>NC_000002.12:124364618-124989618 GCF_000001405.40 Homo sapiens
TAAATAAATAAATAGATGAAAGAATGAACACATTTAGTGATTCTTTATTTCTAAAGCAAGAAAGAGATATCATGATGCCAGTTAATTTCCTGAGATAGAATTCCTTACAATACATTGGATTCAGACATTAACTGCATTAAGTATAATACCAGAAAGAAAATAAAAAGTACCAGAGGAGAAAAAGGAAATTAATGGAGGATAATACAGTAGAGCTTTACTTCTAAGAGTTGTGAGACAGAGCAGAGCAGTGTGCTTATCTTCCTAGGGCATTCCTCATTATGCCCTAACTTCTTGCTTGGCACATAGCACATAGCTGGCACACCATCAATGTGTGCTGAACTAAACTGAAATTCTAAGAGACATAAGTTAATCACTAAAAAACTATTGGCCATAGAGTTGATAGAACTCTTCTTCATGGTTCTTGAATGAATTTTTCCAAGAAATATTAGAAATCCTAATAGCCGATAAGAAAAGGAGGGATGAGGCATTTGAGACCAACCTGGAAAGGGTAGTAAGACCTCATCTCTACAAAAATAAAATGAAATAAATTAGCCGAGCATGGTGATGTGCAATTGTGGTCGCAGCTACTCATGGGACTGAGATGGGAGGTCCGCTTGAGCCTAGCAGGTTAAGGCTGCAGTGAACCATGATTATGCCACTGCACCTCAGCCTTTGCAAGAGAGCAAGACTCTGTCCCAAAAAAAGGAAAAAAAAAAAAAAAGGATGGATGTCAATGGGGAAGAATACTTGCGGGAATCTTTGCATATACTTTGCCATTTCTCAGAAATGCACAATTCACATTAACATGTTAGGATTTGGGGAGATATTTCTTTCTTGAAATAAGGAAACAAATTTAACAAAGTTCAGCTTAGAATTTCCAAATACTTCACAAACTATTGGTGCTACAGAGAACATGGCATTGGAAACACTGAAACAGTTGGCCCTGCATGTCCCTTTCCAATAGTAACACCATTGGGAAGCAGAGCAAAAGATTTGCTGTAATTCCTTAGACCTGAATTTGAGATCCAGCTTTACTACCTCTTATAAAAGTTTCCTGGGAAAGTTCTTCCTACTTTGTGAAACTCCCCTTTATGCATTCCTAATATGAGACTGACAATTAACTTAAAGATTATATAGGTCAATGCACATGAAAGATCTAAAAGACACCCGTTTCATAACAGTATGTTAATAAGTGTATGCTGAATCTGAAGATCCCATTCTTAAATCTTAGATCTTTCATCTTTACCAGGAGCTCTTGCATCAAATAGTCAATTATGAGTAAGTACTGGAGCTAAGTGATTATATTTCTTATATTCTTAATTTACAAGTGGTGCCTGGGATGCATTTTTAAGGTCATGTAACTTTTTTCTTATTCAATTGCTTGTTTATCCTATAACCCCTGTTACATTACAGGTATTTTTAACATTGGTTTTTCTTTGGAGAGATAGTCTATACAGTGGGGACTAGCACAGGTAGGGTGAGACCACACATTCAAATCCTGGTTCTTCTCTTTACTAAGTACTTGATTTCAGTCCAATTAATTAGCATTAGTCATCTCAGTCTCTTAATGTAAAACCAGAATCACAGGGCTCATTCCAGGAGGTTACTGCAAGACTCAAATGCAGCACTGCATATAAAGCACATACCAGGGTACCCAGCACCTTATGAAGCACAAAATAACGGTACGTACTTTCTTTTTTACTGATATTGATAGTCTTTCTCTTCTTCCTTCTTGTTTTTAATCTTCATTTTCTGTAGTCAAAATATAACACATTAAAAAATACAATGAAAAATAATTATACCCAATTCCAATTGACATTGAAATTCCTAGCCCAAGACTAGCAGTGGCCACCAAGGGGCTTCCATAAGAGAAAGAATGGCATTCCAAGTGCAGTGTCCTTTAAACTACCAAGTCTGTGTCCTCAGGAAAAGAAAATCAACCTCAGGCTGAAGCCCTGGATCTGAAGGGAACTTTCTTTAAAGAGAAGCAGTAGCGTGACTTTTGCCCAATTCTACCCCTCCAGGTGTTATTTTAATGACAAACCACAGCAACATATTTCCAACCATTTCTTCCTCTGATTGACTTGTAATTGGAGTCATACCTAAGACCTCAATCATCTCATGGGAAGCTTTGGGGCTGGGAGAGCCCTTCAAATTTGTCCAAATTGAGAAAAGAGGGCTGAGTCTTATCCCAGCCTCGCTCCTACACATGGGCCAGTCTTAGGTAGGCCCCAGGAAGGAGGCATAACATTGGCCAAAGAGGTTCTCTTCTGCTGAGAGAGCAATGTCCAGAGAGAGGCTCAGCAGAAGGCTGGTAGCTGATAAGACACCCCTCAGCTGAGCCTCAGTCTGGAGGGGAATCTGGGCCACACAATATGGCACCACCCCAGGGGACATTGTAACTGGGTTTATGTCATGTCTATGTACATGTTTGATGCAAAGTCAGAGAAAAGAAAAAAGGTAACTATAAGTTCAGAGTGACCCTTAGTCTGCAGTTAATGCTGAAGGATAATTATTAGTTTCAGTTTGGGACTGTTGCTTGACGAACAGAGACAAGCATTTGAAATGGTAAAAACAGAGAGAACAGTAACCATTGGACTGGTGGCAGGAGGCCTATTAGTCCATTCTCATGGTGCTGTGAAGAATACTTGAGTCTGGGTAATTAATAAAGGAAAGACGTTTAATTGACTCAAAGTTCTGCAGGGCTGGGGAGGCCTCAGGAAACTTACAATTATGGTGGAAGGGGAAGCAAACATTTCCTTCTTCACATGGAAGCAGTAAGGAGAAGTGCAAACTGTCAGATCTCATGAGAACTCACTCACTATCACGAGAGCAACATGTAGGTAACCACCCCCATGATTCAATTACCTCCCACTGGGTCCCTCCCATGACACATGGGATTATGGGAAATACAATTCAAGATGAGATTTGGGTGGGGACACAGCCAAACCATATCACCTGGTTTTTGCTCCTATTGGGCTACCTCCAGTGTGACACCATGTAAGTTACTAGCCCCTCTGGCTTCCATTTCACATCTGAATGCAGTCTGTTGGCATAAATTAATCTTTGAGGGCCTTGAGGTTTAAAGTGTACTCCATCTGAACCTTAGAAAGGACCTGGCTCCCTGACGTGAAGGAAAATTACAAAATTCACAAAACCTTCTAAAATGCTAACTCTTTTATTATGGCTGCTTAATGACCTTTGTTCAAGGTACAATTACTTATAGAAAGAAATCAGTTCTTGGAAGAGGACTAGCAGGTAATTTCTGAATGTACTTGCTGTTCAGTACTATGCTGTGAATCTGAACAGATATTTACTTCCCATCAAATATGTTGCACATGTGTGATGTGGAGCACAGAGAGTGTCACGCTGGACATCGCATGCCTTTCAAATGTGTCTATAATTCAGTTATATGGAACTATAGGTGATTTTTTTCCCATATAAGTAAGGTTGCAAATGCTGGTTAGATTCCCACACTAGCCCATGCGTTAGCCTCGTAAGCTTAGGTTGAAACAAACAATTGCAATAATAAATAGCAAGTTTGATTAGTGCAATCCTGATATTATGTAATAAAATATAGTATAAGAAAAACACAGGAGAAAATGGTTTTAGAAATTAGTTTGTAAAGCTTGATTCTGTAAGGAGATACACAAAAATGAAACTATGCTGAAATGCCATTTCCATTCATCTGATTGACATACAGATCAAAACTTCTGTAATACGCAGCGTTTTTGAGGCTATGAGGAGAGTCAGATATTCAGATGTGCTGCTCGGAATAAAAATCAGTACAACTGCTACAGAAGCCATTTTGGCAATATCTACCAAAATTACAAATATGACCCAGGAAGTTCATTTACAGAAATCTATCTTAGAAATATACTTCACATGGACAAACTCATGAAATACATTAGTTTAGAAGTTAGTCTATAATAATAAAATAATTGGGAAAAAACCAAATACCTATCAGTAGAAGGGTGGAATATCATTGAACAAGGACATAAGAAAGAATGAGGAGGCACCTATATACTGGTATGGAAAACTATTCAAAATTCATTAATCCATGAAAAAACAAGATGTAAAACAGATCTGAACTGGTGAACACAGAGAGTGGTAAACTTTGTGCTGGGGGTGGGAGGCCTGGTTTGCATTCCTACTGCATATACTGTGTTATTATTTGTAGAAAATAAGAACAAAAAATATTTATTTATATAGGCATAAGATATCTCTGAAAAGACACAGAAGACACTGGACTTAGGCAGCTCTGACGAGAGAAGCTAAGTGGCTGGGAACTCAAGGTTGGAAGAGAAATCTACTGAATACCCATTTTATCTTTTACAATGTTTAGCCATATAAAATTGTGGCTTGTTTAAAACAAATAATTTTTTAAAAAATAGTTGGATAGCTGAGAGTATCAAGACAAGCCAATTTAATTAGAAAAGGGGAAGAGAGAGACAAGAGAAATGGGGTTGTGGAAAGCTTGGTGGACCCCTGGCTGTCTTACAGCTCTGGGTAGTGTTACCAGAGATGATTCTTGGGGCAAGGGAACAAGAGAGCTATCTCTACCCATCCAATTGTTTCAGGAGAGCCAGGGGCTTATAATTGCAGAGTCTTTGAATGCCTTTGTATATTTTCATAGAAAGAAACCTTGGAGGCCACTGAGCCTAATGGAAAGAGAACTTGGGTAGCAACCAGGAGACTATAGATCTAATTACAAACAGTCAATTATGTGGTTTTAGCTGAATCATCTAATCTCGTGGTTCTCGATTCTGGCTACATGTTAGATTTAACAAAGAAGCGTTAAAAAACTATAGTCAAAGTTGGTTTTGATGGTGGGGGTGGGATCTTACTCAGACCAATTAAAACAGAATCTGTAAGGAAGAGACATAGGCATTGGTATGTTCTAGAAGTTCCTGCGGTGATTCTAAATCAGAGATAGGGTTGAAAACCTTTTCTTTCCTTTTGTAGTTTTATTTTAGTGTTATAACCTGTCAAATTGTGATTTATAAGCATCAAATGACACAATTTAACCTTATAAAGTGTTCTTAAAATAAAGACAAGGTTTGTAAGAGCTTGCTACGGTGTTCACTACATGAAAATCACTCAAAAAATGGTATGTATGCATATGTCACATGTCTGTTCAAAAATCTTCATCGGACAAATGCAAGGAGGTCTTGACTATATCTATTGTGCACATCAAAACCCAGGAAAGGCAGTTCCCTCAGGCTTATCAGAAAGAGCACAGAAATTTATAATCAGAGCAATCTGGGGTCAGTTTCACTAGTACCCTGCTGTGTGGTCATGGAGCAGTTTCACTCAGCATGCTTCCTCTGGTACAAAGTGGTCATAACAATACTTGGTAAGGTTGTTGGAAAAAAACAGACAATGCAATTACCACACAATATTTTTACATAATCACTACTGTATCCACTATAATTAAAGACAATGTATAACAAATATGTAGATTATTCTAGAGATGCAAAATAAATTCTCTGATGAGAAAACAGCATCTCAAGAATTGAGAGGAAAAGGGATTCAAACAATTATCAAGTGAGAAAATACTTCACAAAGAAAAACTGCAAAACTAAAGCTACGTACGTGAACACTGTTTTGCAGAGACCACATCTAGACCCTCAGCAGTAAAGGTTGTGCTTTTTGGAAAACGAAGACAAAGCAGCAGGAAGAAGAGAAAGGGTTGCAATGGCTAGAGGGAAGATGAGGGCTTCCAGGTAGGTTGTGTGATGCTCTGAGGAAAAGCCGGTCATATACTTGGGTATTCCAGGTCACTCTGCTGGAACCCTGCTTTTAGGACTTCTCAAATGAAGTGACTACTAGCCTCTTCTCAGAGTCACATGGAAGACAAAGAATACTGATGGAAGAAACAGCTCTGGACAGCAACTTTGGAGACCATGATGTCCTTGAGAGAAAACTGAACTCTTGCAGATGCAAGATGTTTTAATCTACCTTCCACTCCAGATCAAGGAACGGTAAATTAGGGAAATAATGAATACGAAGTACAAACTGCTGGTTATTGATTTGAGATTTGATATCACAATTTGATTTACCAGATCCACTGTTTAGATGTCCATAGCACTGACTCTTGGCTGGAGATTGAGTGTGCTGCATGGGGGACATAAGGGAGGAAAATATCTTTCCTTCTTCTGATCTTAGGTTCATGGTTGAAGCCTCTATAACAAAAGACAGATTAACAAGAGAAAAACATGCACATTTATTTCATAAAACTTTTATGTGACACAAGAGTTGTCAGAATGAAGACCTGAAATAACAGTTAAACCTGAGTTTTGTTTTGTTTTAGAGTAAGTTTGAAGAGTTTATAGTCATGCAGAAATATTACACAGCAAAAAAAATGATCTGATTGTAATAAACTGGAAAGCTTAGCGGAGACTGTTTGTGCAGAATTTTCCCTGTGTTCCTGCATCTTCAGAGATAAGGATGCTACTGTCCTCCAGATATAAGGAGGGTACCTCTCACATAAGTGTCTATGACCTGCTTCAGGGGAAGGTCAGAAAATCTTTCTTAGGTTTTACGACCTGCTTCAGAGAAGAAGGGTGAGGGAAAGTGAGAGTAACCCTTTTGCTTTTGCTGTTTTCTCAAAATTGCTTTAGCTTAAAATATCGTGGGGTAATGTGTCCCGAACCTCATTAGGTATGGGAAGAGTACACTTGCTTTGACATCTGCAGTCTCATCATAGGTTCTTAGTCTACCAAAGTATGTAACAAGGGATGGAAATTCTGATTGAAATAATTATTATATACGATATGGTAGATTTTCTCAAAGTATTCCCCTAGAAAACCTTGTAAGATTCAAAAAGACAACATGCAACATGGGAGTTCCATAATCCATTAGGTTTGGAAAATGAGGAGTTAAATATCTCAAAAGAAACATTTTCAACTGCAGGATTTCTTATAGAGTTTAGTGTGCTAATAGGCTTTATGAGTCTTCTCCAAACAGATCTAATACATGGCACTTCCTAAATTTTGGGGACTCTTGCAACTGAAGCACTCTTAGAGAAATGTTGTAGTAGCTGGTAAGATAAAGCTGGGTAACAGTAAATGTGGAGGGAGATATGGAAAGATACAGGAAATCATACATGTAATCTTAACATACTATACATAAATTCTTAGCCAATGGGTAGGGAAGGAAGAGAATGTTTGTCTACACCACTTCCACTTTCATTGATGGATCCAACAATACAGAGACTCTGCTGCACTGGGTAGAACTAAGTGTTCTAAATTTTCAAATCAACTGCAAAGAAGATGTAATAGTTAATATTAGATGTCATCTTGACTCGATTGAGGGATGGCTAGGCAGCTGGTGAAGCATTATATCTGGTGTGTCTGTGAGGGTGTTTCCAGAGGAGATTGACATGTGTGAGTCAGTAGACAGGGAGAGGAGGAATCACCCTAAACCTGGATGGGCATCGTCCAATTGGCTGCCAGCCTGGCTAACAGAAAGCAAGTAGAAGAAGGGGGATATTCAGTTTTGCAGCGCTTCCTCTCTATCTTCCTTCCCCAGTGAGATGAATTTTCATCTCCTGCCCTTGGACATCAGACTCCAGGTTCTTTGATCTTTGGACTCTGTGACTTATTCCAGCAGCCTATCAGGGGCTCTTAGTCCTTCAGCCTCATACTGGGGACTGTGCTATTGGCTCCCCTGGCTTTTAGGCATTTGGACTTGGGCTGAGCATGCTACCAGCTTTTTTTGTTCTCCAGCTTGCAGACCGCCTATGGTGGGACTTTGCTTTTGTAATCATGTGAGCCAATTCTCCCTAATAAACTCCTTTTTACATATACATATATTGTATTTCTTCTGTATCTCTAGAGAAACCTGACTAATACGGAAGGATTTATATCTTACTGTTGAAGGTATATAATTGTTTCCTAATTCACAAGACCTAGGAACCAACTTGCCAGGCAGTGATTTGTAGCCAACTTCTGACAACGAAGTGAATCAACCTTAGGATGAAGCTGGACCTATGGATGGTAGCAGAGTTGCAAAGAAGTTAAGTTCCTGAAGCTATCATAGAATTACTCAATCAATCAGCCCTTAAGCTTTTTTTACTTCTATGCTTACGAATGTGTGGAGTATTTAATTCCTTTTTATTTAAACCAAATTGACTCAGGGTTCCTGTTATTATAGACAGAATTGTGCTAACTGGTACATGTACCAAGAATTAATAATGCAACACCCATTAACACAGGACGAAGCACTAACTATGTGCAAAGCAATGAGAATCTTGAAGAAAAAGGAAGATAGTATCAAATATGCATGTGAGGAAGATATGCTATGACCTGGAATTCCTTCAACCTGATGGTTGAAGCACACTTGAGGAACTTGACATAGATATAAAAGACAAAGATGACAAAAATTATATCCTTGAGGGAATAGACTACCATTCAAACTGAAGATGAGAATTTGGCAGTCCAAAGACAGATATCAGAACAGCCACAGATGAAAAATACCACTGTGATAGAGGAGCAGTGCCGTTCTTGACATTAGCTTGGAGTCTCAGCAGGGAGAGGAACATTCGATAAATTTTTTATTTGCCTTACAGGCAACTTCAAACTCTTGGAAGACATAAGAAATGATGACGAGAACTATTATTTCTAATCTAAAAGTAGGTGTTGCTGTATAAATTGGAAACAACAGAGGACTCAGGAAAGCACTGATTCTCATCCATTGAAAGGATCCTGGCATACTCATTCAAAATTGACCACAATCAGGATTTCCCTAAAGGGGAATTATAAAAGAAACAGATCAAGGAATGGAGAGACAGCCCACAAGGAAATTGTGGTTTAATAAATGACCAGCAATGACAAAGACAAATGAATAAAAAGGAACTAAAGTGGTGCCACGAGGAGTTCACTGATAAATTGAGATTTTTAGCAACATATTTTCCAGTTTTATTAAAAAAAAGACATGTAACAATAGAGAAATTCAAACGGACAGCATATAATTATAAAAACACTATCTAGAAGACTAAGGTTCAGAATAATTGAGGTTTTCAAAAAAGTAAAATAAAAATAAAACAAAAACCCACTTTCAATTATATTAAATGTATTTTCAGTTATATTATGAGCAATGTGATTAGGAGGGCTGGGTGGTGATTATAAATGTACACAAAAATTTCTGTATGAAGTTATTTATTACAGTGTTACTTAAAAGGATACAATATTTGAAGAAAAGACCTGATAACAAATACTTAGTTAAAAATTTTAATAGGCATATAGAATGATGTACTAAGCTATTAATAAAATTATATTTATGAATAATTTTACATGTAACATTCATTTTATGATATGTTAAGTGAAGATCACAAGACAATATATTTGCAGTGTGATATCACTTTTGTGTGTACATGTATATATGTGTGCATGTGTGCATAGAAGAGATAATATTTATCTATGGTGGTGATATTTTGAGATACTTAATTCTACAGTGATCCTATATTACTTTGTAATAAAGAGACTGGTACTATATTTAAGTAAAAATAAATTCTTAGATTTTAAGTACAAATTAAGTTAAATTCAATACATTAAAAACAATTATATTAGAGAAATGTCAATTATATTATGGTTAATTATTTCTTTCACTAGTTACAATATAGGGTTACATAAATAGAACATGTTCTGACAAAAACCAGATAGAAAGTCAAAGTTCTGTAGTTTTCTATCAAATATAATTTTTGTCAAATTGGAAAGGGTTGAACCAAGTTGATCAATAGGAAAATGAACTCCCAATAGTAGGGAGAACATCAAAGATTCTAGTTGCTCTAAATGAGTTCACATTTCCTGGTCCTGCTCTCTAGACTGTTACATCTGTGAGTACTAAGAGAAGAAGTCAATCATACTCTGTTCAAAATTTGAGCAGATGCTCTGAAATACTGAAAATAGTTCAAACTAATTATCACTTTTAGGAAAGTAGAGAAAACAGAGTTGATAAAGTATTCTAGGCAAAGGTTTAAGATGACTTAATCGATGATCTGTGAGTGCCTAGCAGGCGACATGCTCATCACTACAAGTTAGTAAGAGGACATGTCACATAAGTCAGACCAACTCTATTAGGAATGACCACACCTAGTGGCAAAATCTTGGTTTCTAAACAGCATTCTCCAATGCACACAACCAGGGATTCTTGGAGAAGTGATTGACAGTGGAGCTGGGGCAGGGAGAATATAAGATGGGCCTGGAACGTCCTATGACTCACAAAAGTAAGGCAATACTGAAGAAAGGTTGAAGGCCTATCTCAAGGACACAGAAGTCAAGCTAATAAGAGCTCCCAAACTTAGAACAATGAGAGAGAGAAAATAAATCATGGCTATATCAAATTATAACTCATAAATTACACTAAAATTCTATGAATCTAACTTGATATAAATAAATAGTTGAATAAATAATTAAAGGGAAAAGGAGCAGCTCTTTCTTACAGAGGAATTCTAATGAACAGAAGTAGAATGGGCAAGATAGAAAATCACCATGAGCACACCACAGTAATAATGGTCGCAATACATGGATCATCTATGCATGGTAAAATTAGTGGGTGAAAATTTCAGGAGAGACAAGATGTTTGCATGGCCTGAAAGTATCTCTCCAAAGATATTTATTAATTACAAAGAAAAAAAAACAGTAAATTTCTTTTATACAATTAAAGAAACCTGCTGACCCCAGCATAACTGGTAAGATTAACATCACCAATGAAAAAGCATACTTGCATCATGATTCTCTTAAATGATGCTCAAACAAAGGCAAAATGTCACTTCTGTGGCCTTCTTGCCAAGAATGTATAACTTCAATCTAATTTGTAAAAATAAAAACAGACAGACTCAAACTGAGGGGCATTCTATAAAACAACCTGAAAGACAAAGAAAGACTGACAAGACTGTCACAGATTGGAGGCCACATGGTAATTAATGCAATATGAGATTATGGATTGGAAGCTAAAATTGAAAAGGGACAGCAATGGAGAAACTGATAAAATGAAAATAAAGATTGTAGTTGAGTTAATAGTATGACATCAGTGTAATTTCCTGGTTTGGGGGACTGTGCTATGATGATGCAAGTTTTTCACATTGGCGAAACTGACCGAGTGGCGTACAGATTCTCTCTGTACAGTTTTTGCAGTATTTTTGTGTGTCTAAAATTATTTCCAAAAAAAAGTTAAAAAACTACATCATTCCAGATTAATATGTTAATGGATATCTAGGCAGACAAAATGAAGAAATATACTACATAGTAACACTGTTAAACTCAAAACTACTTACCACAGAATATTCCAAATGCTTTGATGAGAACATCACCTTGAAAAGTGTCCTCAAAATGGAACCAAAGGTCATTCCAGGCTTTGGCCTGCTGTTCTGCACTGGAATCAGGTTTGGATGAGTACCAAACTTGTATATTTTTCATAAGAACTGAAACTGGGGAGAAGAAATAATATAGTAGATGAAAGCACCTAGTACCCAAGTTAACTGGAAGAAAAACATATTCTAAGAGAAATAAGCAATAATTGCCTTTTGTTTCAAAGCAACCGTCTATACCAATATAGAAAATGAAAGATGCTGCTTATCATGAATTCAGGCGAAATAAAATATGTGAGTGACAGCTGCCATTTATTTAACATAATTAAGCTCTCTTTATTGAAAATCTATAATGAGGAAAATGGAACTTTTTGTATTATTCCCAAAGGCAGAAGCAGGAGCAAGCATAGACATTACTAGGAAGCAATTACTGGTTCAGAACAAGAAAACCCTTGCAGTGGTTATTTACAAAGCACAGAGTTTCATTTGGGTAAGTGGAGGTATTCAGGAAGAATAGAAGGTCTCTGAGATCACGGAACTGAGATTTGCTCTGCTAAGATAAAAGTTTTTCATGATCTTTATGAGTGCCTCTAAACTAAAATACCAGGATGCTTGACATTACTATATGTACCGTGTGTGTGTGAGTGTGTGTGTAAAACAAAGTTGAATGTGCTAGCTATTTTATTATCATAAGTTTATCATTTGGGAGGTGGAAATTTGTGATTGAATAGCTGTGTGATCATGCCATTCCATGCTAATATCCAATTTTGTGTGAGCATGTCATTCCATGCTAATATCCAATTTCTTTTATTTTTCAAAAGATATTTACTGTCCTGTGAGCATCCACAGAGAGTTCGGATGGCCCTACCTTTTTTTCTTTTAAGCTTAAGAAAGTAATGAGAAATGAATTAGAGTTCTTCCATGAGTCAGGTTTCACGCACCAGAGAAGTACTGGGGAATGCACTATTGATCTATTTTCTTCAACTCATTTCCTGTGTTTAAATGGAAATATTGATACCTATGCATAGGCTTCTTCTGAGGTTTTGGGGATGTGAGCCTGTGTCTTGTGTTTGAATCAAAGTAAGATTTAGATTTCGTGGTATTAAAATAAGAAGTGTGAGGGACAAAATAAAAGTCTCCAAGGAGAAAGAAGTTGGAAAAAATCTTTAATAGCCTTAAGGTTCCTCTCACGTAGTTACCACTAAGGTTTTGGATGAGAATGCAGTAGACAGAACTCAGGCTCACCAAGGAGTTAACTAAGATGGTGGTTATTTACATTGGGAACACTGTCTTCCACTGAATACATTATTTTTGCTTTAATAGAAGGATTTATTCTTCAAAAAAGGTCTCTTCCCATGTATTTAAAGGTTAGCTAATGGGTCACTCTTTGCCTAAGAGAAAGAATAAGGAGTGTAAAAGGTGTAGAAACAAAACAAAAGAAATTGTAGATAAAAGTTTTATTAGGAGCTACCAGTAATTTCTGCAATCAAAAATGGGCCTGTGGGTGGCTGAGGTGGGCAGATCACCTGAGGTCAGGAGTTCGAGACCAGACCTGACCAATATGATGAAACCCTATCTCTACTAAAAATATAAAAATTAGCCAGTCGTGGTGGCATGCGCCTGTAATCCTAGCTACTCAGGAGGCTGAGACAGGAGAATCTCTTGAACCCGGAAGGTGGAGGTTGCAGTGAGCCAAGGTCTCGCCATTGTACTCCAGCCTAAGCAACAAGAGCAAAACTCCATCTCAAAAAGGAAAAAAAAAAGAAAAAAAAATAAATGCACCTTTTTTTTTTATGGATAATAATGCAAATCCCTGGGGGAAAAAAAATAAATTTTAGGAAATGTTATGGCTACCAGAGAATGTCGTACCTAAAAATTAAGTTTCAAAAAAATTCTAGGAAATACAAGAGCTTTTGAGCTACATATGTGAACAATGAAGGAAAAACTTTCACATCCACCCTGTAAATCTTAAGAACAATTTTGATTCAAGGGGGCCTCTTGGCTGAGTCTAGACAGCCTACCTTTGAATTCAAGCTCTTTGCTACTTGTGTTTCTAGGAGCCAATGCTAATTTCTGGGAATGTTGTTTAAGAACTTCTACTTACTGTGTACTCATTTTGGCACCATTGCACTCCACATACTCACAGGATTTTGTTAATAGGGACTGATGCTTACTTAAAAGCTTTATTAGATTATCTGAGTGGATTGCACTGGTCCAGGTATATATATCCATCACAAAACCTCTTCATCCTTTAAATTAAGTACTTCATGAGGACAACAAAAAGACTGGAGAAAGTCTGAATTTACTCTATGGAATCAACCGTATGTAATTTACACAATTAAAAAAAAAACATGCTTTTTTAAAAGCAGACATTAGAGAAAAATGTAAGGATAAAAGTAAAGTTCTCTATTTCTTCCTCCACCTACCCCACTCTCTCTCTAACTCCCACTGGTAGGATTATGAAGGCGACCATTTTTAGTATTTTTGCATGTATTTTTGCAGATTTTTCTTTAAATATAAAAGCATAATTACATATTATCAATGTAAAACAGTACATATTTTTTAAAACTTTCCTATTATCACATGTACATATGTCTGATTTTTTTCAACAGCTGCTTAAAATTACATTGTATGGTCTTACCCGTACTTCTTCAACAAAAGTCCTTGACTTCTGTACAATTATGTTGCTGTCAGTTAGGCTTTCGTGTTTTAAAAATAGTGCAGACATGGTCGTAAACTTATCTTGACATACTTTTATGAGAATATTTATGGGATGTCTTCTTGGGTATGAAACTGTTGAGGTTCAGAGTGTGTATATTTATATATCTATTCTTGTTGGATGATGCTCGTATCGAGGTATTGCTGACTTCATTTATTAGTGACATAGGTGGATACTCGTTACTCTCTGTTTACATCTTGAGAAAGGGAAACAACTTTCTATGTGAGAACAACATGGAACAAGTTCACTTTGCATATGAATTACCTTACATGTGAGGATTGCTTTCTCCAATGCCCTATGAAATATGGCTACTGCTATCTTTTTTTCTAATATTTTCTAATTTTTTTTCTAATTATTTTTTAGAGCAGTTTTAAGTTCAGAGCAAAATTGAGCAGAAAGTACAAAAATTTCCCACATACCCCTGGCCCCACACATGCATAACCTCCTTTGTTATTCTCTACCAGACTGAGGTACCTTTTTTTTTGTTTTTTTTTTACAACTGTGCAATTGATGAACCTGCATTGACACATCATTATCACGCAGAGTTCACAGTTTATATAAGGGTGTACTCTTGGTGCTGTACATGCTAGTGGTTTGGACACATGTATAATGGCATGTGCCCACCATGACAGTATCAGACAGTGTATCTGCACTACCCTAAACAGCCTCTATGCTCTGGCTATTCATCTCTCCCTCCCCTGACCCCCAGCAGCTGCTGACCTTTTTGCTGTTTCCATAGTTTTGTCTTTTTCATACAATATGTATCCCATTTTAGTCTGGCCCCTTTCACTTGTCAATATACATTTACATTTCCTCCATGTCTTTTCATGGCCTGATAGCTTATTCCTTTTAAGTGCTGAGTGATATTCCATTGTCTGGACATACCACAGTTTATCTATTTACCCACTGAAGGACATCTTGGTTGTTTCCAAGTTTGGTCAACTAGGAATAAAGCTTCTATAAATAACTGTGTGCAAGTTTTTTGTGTGGACATGAGTTTTCCACTCCTTGGGTTGCTGCTAACATTTTATTAACTTGGGCATGGCCTCCCTTGTGAGGTCTGGCAGCGCCCTCACAAGGGAGTTTTGTAACCAGCCCTGGGATTTTGCTCCTGTCAGTGGTAACTGCAGCTGCCTGAGAGGAGTCAGTGATGAAATTGTTGCGCAGAGGTGTAGATGGTAGCATAACCTATCTTTTGGAATACTGTAAGTTTATTCAAGGAGAGGAGAGGGTGAAGAGGGTTACAAGTTAGACCCATTGTTCCTGATACTTTGGTTGTGGAAACCCCTTGCCTTACAACTACACAGAAATCAGAATTAGAATTCAGATCTGGATTACCATGTTTGTTTATGTTTTATTATTTTTCTTAAAAATGATTCTCTGTGATTCTAAACACAGTTTATTTGCATATCTAAAACTATTTTCCTAGTTATTAATTTACTGTTATAATTAATCAGATTTTATATAAATTGTAATAGTTGAAGACATTATTTCAGATATCAATAGTTTATTAAGCTTATTAATAGCTTAATAGTGTATTAAGATTAACCATGTGGCAAGAACCGCATTTTGTACACCATCCCATTTATTTTTAAAAGCCATCTTATAGAATAAGAAAACTGAGAATTTCCATGAGAGATAAGGAAAATTGCCAGAGCTGGTACATGACTGGGCTAGATTCAAAGACAGGTTCCTCTTCCTGCAATGCTCGTAGTTTTTCACAATACCGACCAGTTTTTATTGAATTTGTCCTTGGGGAAATTGTGGAGCATAATGCATTTGTACTCTGGTGAAGAGAGAGACAGATAATTGCTGTAATTCTCTGGAAATCACAGGAGCCTAGCCTAAGTCCATTCTGTCTCCATCAAATAAGCATATTCCTTACAGCACTTGCCATACATATCATGTACTTTAGCACATATCATGTACTTTAGCAGTAAATTACAGACTCTTGTACTGCTCACTGTTTTCCTTTCCATGGGTTTATATCATCTCTTTCGAAATTTGTAATAAAGTCTGTATCCAATAAATCTCCCTCCCCTACCTCCACTCTCTTTTGAAGCAGTTTAAAGATGACAGCCAGTCAGTGAATATTCTCTGGGTGTGTGCTATGCGCAAGGCACTGTTTTAGACTCTGGGGATAGAGCAGCAATCAAAACAGCCTGTGCCTTCAGAAAATTTACGTTCCACTGGAAAGAAAACAAGGAAACAAGCATGCTCTAAAGAAACAATTTTAGATAATGATATGTGTCACGCAAAAAAGTAAGCTACTAGTTAATATAATAGAGAATAGATTGGAATATGAAGGACCTGATATTTCCCTGGGGAAGAGAGGGCTGGAATCTCTGAGAAGGTGGCATTGGAGCTGAAACTTGTCCCTTCAGAACAGGACGCCATGGGTGGGGACCTGGGAGAAGTGAGCTCTGCTCAGAAGGAAAAAGAAGTGCAGGGAACTTGACGTGGGAACTAGCTGGGTGTGTTTAAGGACAGATGAAAGTCTGATGTAGCTGGGTGGCTGGGGGCAAGTGCACATGGCAAAGAGAATAGTGGAGTAAAGTAGCCACAAGTCATGTGGACCTGAGTTTGAACTTCATTCAAATCAGAACAGGATACCAACACAATACTTTACATGGGGGAGTGATGTGATCTTTTTTATTCTACCTATTAGAACCAGTACACCAGTTCTGGGAGGATGGACAGCAGGCAGAACAAGTGCAGGAGTGACACCAGTTAAGAAGTCATTGCTGTGGCTCAAGAAAGAAATGATAGGTCTTAGACAAGCATGCAACAGTAAAGAAATTAAAAGTAATCACATTGGGATAGAGACAGTGGGAAAGACTGATGGGTGATTTCTGAGGCATTAGGGGAAATGGTGATAGGATCACCCCCCCCTCCAAGACTGCACACTGTGGGAAGATCCTCGTAGAGAGGTGCCATTTGCTGAGATGTGTAAGTGCTGGGCAAGAGCTGACTTTTCAGGGTCGGGGTAAAGTGGGGAAATGAAAGGCTTTGCTTGACTACTACAAAGTTTGAGTCACCTATGAGCCTGGGAGAGGTCGAGCGGGACCTACAAGTGTATTTGCTCCAGGGTTAGACATGTGAATATGGGAGGTGTTGAGCCTATCAGTGGTAGTTACAGCCATGGTTTTAATGAGGCCACTTAGGGAAAGATCTTCCTGTGGTTGATGAAGAGAATGGGACACACGACAGAGCCCTGGAGCCTCTAGCAATTAAAAACAAGAAGGGAAGAGGCGTGAAGCAAACTGAGAGAGACAGTGAAGGAGGAAGGAAATGACAAAAGCGTGGTGTCAGGGAAGCAACGAAGGTAAGCAGGAGCAACAAGGGGAAGTGAAATCTAGGTCATTTTTATTGTTTGCTTGCTTTGTGTTTGTTATTTGATTTGTGAGATGTATTAAGGCATACTTGCATGCCCAAATAAATAACCTAGTAGAAAAAGAACACTCATGATAGAAGGGGTAACTCAGGAAGGGAAGAATGGGCAGGAGGGTTGAGATAAGCCATCAATGTGGCTAGGCTGGCCCTTCCTGCTAGAATGAGCACTTGGCTTGGCTCTCTGCACTGGAAAGAAGGTAGTCTATGCGCTCAGATGCAGGCACAGAGAGAGGTGGCTTTGTGGATGGGTAGATGAGGTAGTTCTAGTCTGTTTCTGTTATGTTCTAAAAATATGAGGAAGTCATCAGCTAAGTGTGGGGGTGAGGAAGAAATATTGGAGATGTGAAGAGAGAAGATTGCATGAAATCATCTTGGAGAGTGGGAGAGTGAATTTTCCTAGGGAAGCATCACTGGGTGGTTTTAAAAATCTGAACAATACATTTGAGTCTCAATGTACTCCTCTTTCCAGCTTCATGATGTTGGAAAAAGCAGCTTAAATACTTTAAACTTGCTTTCCCATCAGTACAATCATTGTGGGTTTTTGCATAACATCTATGAGATGTTGGGTACCTTCATATACACTCTCCAATTTATTCTGTAAAATTGGGATAATGACACCTACTAGAAGAGAGATTATTTGCAAGAACTAAATATCTATATGAAAGGCTTTGCAAACAGTAAAAAACAAGGCACTTAAAATATTTTCCTGCCGTTATTCTTATCCACAAATCCTAGCTCAAACTATTTAGTTCTTGATCGATTTTTAGAATCCCTTCTAGTTTGATTCCTATATCTGAAGTTTGGAAATTGAGCTTGTGTTTCTCTAAAGGAAAAACAAGATGTTTAACACAGAAAAAGATTTTTTTTTCTTTTAAAGTGTTCTTAACATTCCTCGGATTCTGGCATTTTCTTGAAATAAAATTAGGTATGTGTTTTGAAATGTCAAGTTTTCAAATAAACTCCTACAAACCCGCTGCGAAGTTGCTCCCTTTGCTTTGCTACCTTCTGCATATACACCTTCAGTTTCCTCCAGGTGTCCCAGCTCCAGCCCCACATTCCTGTGCCAAGAATCACAATGACCCGTACATTTCCACATCACCTTTCTTGCAAGAAGTTTAACACATTTGGCGAACATTATTGCTGGAGTAATAATAGTTCCTCAGGTTTGTAGAGCTCCAGCTTTCCCTGGAGCTTACAATCTGCATGCATATTACCTGATTTAGTCTCCCATCACCGTCTTGGAGCAAACATTAGTATTAGACTTGCAGACGGGAAAACCGAGGTCTTGAAAGTTTACAGGCCCAGCTATATCATTTGCTTTTTATGTCCTTCTTCCTAACTTTCCAGCTTCTAGTAGTCTTTTGAGGCCCATTGCAGCCTGTCTGCACCATGAAACCTTTCCTGTTAACCGCAGTAATAATTGATTCTGCTCCCAAACTACTTACATCATTGTGCTTACAGACAGCCCCATACACTCTGGTACTGCAGTCCAGTGGGAGGTAATGTGGTACTGTAGCTTGGAAAGAAGACACATCAGAACAAAACTTGAACTACAAGTAAACTCTGCCATATGCTAGCTGTTATTTAAAATCTCTGAACCTCTATTTCTTTACTAGCAAAAATTGCAAGGCTATTATGAAGGAGAAGGCTGATTTATGCAAAGTGCCTTACTAGCAGAGTTCCTACCATGATTGGCACTCCATGAATCATAACTCTCGGGTTACAGCAAAAGTGTATTTTATCATTTACTAATTGTTTCACATGAATATACTTTTTACTCTTTAATAATAATAAAGTCCTGCAGGAAACAACCAATATCATATTATGGAATGGAATTCTTAGGTTTTGCTTCTCTTCATGCAATTTTAATCAATGCAGCCAAGTTACACATTTTTCTCTAAATAATTCTTTAGTTTTGCTGTGGAGTTTTTCACATTTCATTCATCTTTAAATGTATTGTCATTTCTTTTATTTCTCTTATTATTGCCCCATTAATCCGTGGTTTAATATCTGTGTGTTATTGAGTTTGCAGATGTATAATTTTAAACATACATTATTATATTATATATTTTAATTGGATTAGATTGTAGTCAAACCTGTATGTCCCTATGTGGTTATCTCTTTGAAAGTTAAAGAGGTCTCTCTTGTGACATAATGAAGGTCAGATTTTTATAAATACTCCAAGTGTGCTGCAGAAGCGTGAGGATCCTTGGCTATGTCCAGTTCACACGGTCACATTGCACAACATTTTTCCTATGCATAAAATGTATCACTTTGCCTTTCTTCTCTTTCCCATATGGAAAAATATATACATTTATATGTTATTGTAGTAGGAAATTTGGAATTTCACCTGAGTTTCTTTAGAGAGGTTTTTTAAAAAAGCTCCTATGTAGGATAGAGCATAGAGAAAGGAGGTGTATTTTGGACATAAAGAAAGGGGAAGATGCTTATCAAGTAACTATTGTATACATGGTTCTTTAGATATGCTCCATTTTAACTCCCATTTGGAAAAGGCACATTACCTTCATTTTAAAGATAAGGAAACTGAGACTTAGAAAAAGTAAGTTAGATTTTTGAAGCCATAAATCTATTTAATTAGAACACTGAAATTTCAATCCAAGTTCATCAGAGTTCAAAATCTGTATCCTTCCTCTGAGGAAGAAGAAAAATAACTAAGTAGGCAAACGTGAAATAAACTGTGGATTTCTTGTCCCTCCGCTTTGTTCTTCCTCTGTTATCTGATTTCCCCAGCGTTCTAACCCGCAAAGTGAAAAGGGCCAGGGATGATCTCAGAGACAGGTGCCAAGCCCTTTCTTTTGTGATCACCACGCTGTGCCTACCTTTCCCATCCACAATTCCACTCCTGACAAGTGAGAGTGCAGACAGGTTGAACAATCCAGAAGAAGACAGAGATGCCATATGGACTCAAAGGTGAGACAGGAGCCTCACTGGCTTGTGTATTCCCACAGCAGCAGCAGGCACTTAGCAAGTGATGGGAGGTCACTTTGCAAATGGCAGGCACCCAACCCTTGAGCAAGAGGTCCTCTACCATACCTCAGTTTTTGTCATAAAAGACATTTCATTTGAACATGAATTAAAGGTATGAATTTGGTTTGTATGTGGATGAGGAAAGTTTAGCATGAAAATCAGAAAGAAAAAAAGACATTGGTGGGTAAGGATGATGGTTGTGTTTGTTTTTACGGCAGGCATTAATGGGAGAGAAAACGTATCATTATTATGAACATAATCTAATAGTGAATATGTGCCTATTATTCACTGTGCCATCCACCCTGCTAAGAATTTTGCATGCATCATTTCTCTTTACCCCACTTCAATCTTATGAGATATACATGCCTATTATCTCTGGCACCCATGACCAAACTAAGTCCCCTGCTCCTCCCACTTATCACAATTGTGCAATATAAGAATTTAAGTAGTTTAATCTGCAATTAATAACTACCTCCCCCATAAGACTATATTCTCTGGGGGCAAGATCCATATCTTCCTTTTTTATAACTCTATCTTCAATGCCTTGCACAATGCTTGCTGCATAAGTAGGCACAGAAACATATTTTTTGGATAAATGAATCTGCTTTTACAGATGTTGAAGTAGTAAGTAAGTGGCAGAATCAGTATATAATTCCAGACTTGCCTGAGCCTCTTAAGTGCTGCAATAAATAAATGTTCACTTCCTTCTTGGGCAAAAATAATCATATATATTCTTAGAGGCAAGAAAACTGTCCCATCCCCAAGAAGTGCCCCCTGAGTACTCTATCCCTGGAGGGGTTCACATTATCCTACCAATGTCCACTTCCTTTTTTATCGTGTTCTGAGATAATACATTCATTCTTTTTTTGTTTGTTTGTTTGTTTTCGGCCGTTTGGCTATGGATTCCTTCAGAGTACATCATTCACTATGTATCTCCATAATGTTGAGCACGTAGACAACATCGATGTTTGTTGAATGAATTAATGAGTGAGTGAGTAAGTGAACTGCCCAGGCTCAGTGCACCAAGAGATGTACAGTCAGTTAACCTTGTTCATTGAGCTGCATTTCCTGTGGAGTGATGGGGGGTACCTCACTGTCCTTCTCTTTCACATGGTCTACTGGAACCAAATGCCTGCCTTTGTATGATAGCTGCGCAGAATCACCTAAGGCTGAAGAAACAATGTTGTTTAAATTTCTTTTCCATTGTGTGAAGGTCATTGGCCAGTAAAGAGATACTATTCATGCCCTTAAGAAGCTTGCAATACAGGTTTCCTATAAATGAGGTACTAACCTTGTTTGAAACTCAGAATCACAGACTCTACATTATAAGTAACCTTGGCAATAGTTTAATCTAGTTCTCACCCTTGGCCAGAATCCCCTTTCCTGTAACATACCTGCAGAGACTTGAAAATATGCAGGGATAGTGATGTTGCTACCTCATCAAGCAGTCTCTTCCATAGTTGAACGGCATTTCTGCCAAGAAATGTTTTAATTGTTTTGAGCTAAATCTTTCTTACAATAACTTCATCCAATTTGCTGTAGTTTACAGCTGTACAAAAGAAGTTGCAGCCTTCTTCAATAACTATCTGATGGTAATTCTGACCTTCCCTTTCACCTTTTCCCCCTACACACTTTGACAGTCTATTTCCATATGGCACACCTCAGTGCCTTCAGTGTTCCTCTTGTGATTATTTCAAATGTCTCCCCAGTTTTGTTCACTTTTCTGATCATGCTCTGTAGGTTCTCCCCAAAAATTGCCACTCCTCTGCAATGGAGTGGATGTTTGTGTCCCCCCAGAATTTTTATGTTGAAACCCTAATCCCAATGTGATTGTATTTAGAGGTGGAACCTTTGAAAGGAAGGTCATTAAGTCATAAGAGTGGAGCCCTAATCATGGGATTAATGCTCTTATAATCAGAAGCCAGAGGGCTAACTTGCTTTTTTCTTACCATGTGAGGATAGAGCAAGAAGATGGTTATCTCTAAATGGTGAAGAGGACCCTTACAAAGAACCCCACCATATTGGCACCCTGATCTCAGATTGCCAATGTCCAAAACTATGGGAAATAAATGTGTATTGTTATGTTTAAGCAACCTAATTTATGGTATTTGGTTATAGCAATCAGAGGTAAGAACCCCTGCCTCCCACTAAACCCTAGTTGTGGCCTGATAAAGATGAGTACAGAGTCCGACTAGAATGTCATCTTTTCTGCTGGGGATAGCAAAGCCATGCTTAGGCTATTTTGGCTAAGATGCCCCACCAATAATTTTCTTCAAATCTATTATTTCTATTTCTGTTTTTTGTCTCTGAGCTTATACTCTGAGATCAAAGTTTCATGCGCGTCCATGTGAAGAGACTACCAAACAGGCTTTGTGTGAGCAATAAAGCTGTTTATTTCACCTGGGTGTAGGTGGGCTGAATCCGAAAAGAGAGTCAGCGAAGGGAGATGGATTATCATTAGTTCTTATAGGTTTTGGGTTAGGCGGTGAAGTTAAGAGCAATGTTTTGCGGGCAGGGTGGATCTCACAAAGTACATTCTCAAGGGTGGGGAGAATTACAAAGAACCTTCTTAAGGGTGGGGGAGATTACAAAGTACCTTCTTAAGGGTGGGGGAGATTACAAAGTACATTGATCAGTTAGGGTGGGGCAGGAACAAATCACAATGGTGGAATGTCATCAGTTAAGGCTATTTTTACTTCTTTTGTGGATCTTCAGTTACTTCAGGCCATCTGGATGTATACGTGCAAGTCACAGGGGATGCGATGGCTTGGCTTGGGCTCAGAGGCCTGACACAAAGCAAGTAGAATGAGGACCAATTTCAAGCTCCTTCCACAGCCCTCCTATCTTAGCCACAGTGTCCTGAAAAATACACTCTGAGTCCAAAGCTTTTGCTGGGGAATGCAATCCTAGAGAATCAGGAGTGAGGGAAAATGGGATGGAGACAGGAAAACAGGGAAAGTCATTCTAAAGGGGTGACATTTCAAACTAGCCACCTCTCCTCATAGGCTTCAGAGTGGCCTTAGGAAGAGATTACACTTTATAACAGTGTGTCTAGAGGATGAAAAGAAAAGAATTTGTCCTCCAACTCTGTCATTGATACGTTAACTCCCCATGCTTTCAGATGAACATTTGTGAGCACAGACTACCTCCTAAAGGCATCATGTCTCAGGGGCAGGACTCCAGAGATGTGAGGCTTAGGCATGAGCCAAGGTGCTGTCAGATGGTGGCTAGGCCAGCTGAAGCCTGGGGGAGCAGTGGCTTCAGAGGGACTCCTGGTCTGCAGTGGCAGCAGTCATTGAAGCTACCACCAGAACCCTGTGTTGCAAAGCACTGCTGA
The DNA here is from genome assembly GCF_000001405.40 of Homo sapiens. NCBI lineage: Eukaryota > Metazoa > Chordata > Mammalia > Primates > Hominidae > Homo > Homo sapiens. The sequence goes on from NC_000002.12 coordinate 124,388,367, forward strand.
TGCCACTCCAGAAAGGCAAGCATGCGGTTCTGCAGGGATCTCTGAGTGCAGCCCATCTCACCTCCTGCGGGCTCTAGCCTTCCCATATTTAGCAAAAGCCTTGGCTTTTAAGAAGCTTAGGGAGCCAGCCTTAACTTATGCATCAATTCCCTGGGAAGGCATTTTCTGAACCTTCATTCTAGGCCCAGTGCCAGGGTTATACACTCTCAGAGCATTTATATGTTCCCGCTCCTTGTCTTTCATAATCGTGCGTTCACTTGTGTGAATATTTGCTAATGTCCATCCCTGGTCTGACTTCAAGCACCAAGCACGGGGCCTTTTTTTTCTTTTCTTTTCTTTTGTTTTTGAGATGGAGTCCTGCTCTGTCGCCCGGAGTGAGACTCCACTGGCTTCAATCTCCGCCTTCCGGATTCAAGTGATTCTCCTGCCTCTGCCTCCCGAGTAGCTGGGATTGTGGGTGCCCATTGTCATGCCCGGCTAATTTTTGTATTTTTAGGAGAGGCAACGTTTCACCATGTTGACCAGGCTGCACGGGGTCCATTTTTGTGCTCACCGTTATTCCTACAGCCTCACAGAATCCTGGACACAAAGAAAGACTTAACAGGGTTCATTCATTCCTGAACCAAAGCGGCTGAACGATGTCAACAGGACCAGAGAGGCTACAGGAACGCCATATTTTCTTCTACATCTCTTTTTTTAAAAATCTTATTTCAATGGAGTCAAACTCAATAAGGTGAATTAAAGGAAAAAGAGCTGACCCAAACAAACAAGCAAACAGAAACCTTTTCTGTCCTGTAATGTTTAGGCGCAGATAAGAAGTGCAAATAGAGAGTTTAAAAAGCTAATAAAGTGTTTTGTTTGAAAAAAAATATGTGTTGCTACAACTTGGAGAAAAGACTGTCTGCTGCAAATATTAATATAATTCACTGTCCTTTTTTCCAAATTCTACTCGAAATAAAATATTCAGTTTTTTTAAATGATTGTCAGTAATAAGAATGTAATGCTTAGTGTCTGTGACATTCTTTTGACATTTTTCATGTAGTTCCTGCTATAGCTAGTTAGCCCATAGGTTTTGTCCCTTGCCTTCTAAAATATGTTTTTCCCTTTTGTTTTTCACAGTTAGACCAGTTTTATTTTTGTCAGACAAAAAAATTCATCTATGTTTAACAAATGAGTTAATTATTCACATAGTGGAGATTCTGGTCTCAATTGCTTTGACACAATAAACAAGGCATGTCTGCCTTCCACAAGTAGTAGAGATGCAAGTAAATAAAAGAAGAATCTGCACACCTTTTTAAAAAATAATAATAATAATTTAGGCTGGGTGCAGTGGCTCATGCCTGTAATCCTAGCACTTAGGGAGGCTTAGTGGGAGGATTGCTTTAGGCTAGAAGATTGAGACAGTCTTGGCAATATAGCAAGACCCTGTCTCTACAAAAGAATATGAAAATTAGCTGGATGTGGTTGTACCTGCCTCTTGTCCCAGCTACTTGGGAGGCTGAAGCTGGAGGTTCTCTTGAGCCTGAGAGGTCAAGGCTGCAGCGAGCCACGATTGTACCTCTGCAATCCAGCCTGGGCAACAGGAGACCACATCTCCAAAATAATAATAGTAATAATAGTAATAACAATAATAATAATAATTTAAACAGCAACAACAACAGAAACTTGGGATGTTTGTCAGCTCAGAGTCTCTTTCAGCTAAAAAATCTGAAGTATGAGTGTCCCCAAAGCACGATCAATGATAACAAAAGGGAGATGAGCATGAATCAATCTTTCCATTGATGATCAAAGGGCTAGACCCTCTCCCTGGCTCTAGATAATCCAACAGCTGACAGTCAACTCCTAGATCTTTCTCTGCCTTCCTTTTTAAATTTTTCTTTGTGATTTTGATTTCTCATCTGCATCTTCCGATTAACTTCTCACCTGTCAACCAAATAGCTTAGCAGCTAATCCTGATGAGTGGCTTCTGACTCTAAATTTAGTTACATCTCTTCCATGATACAGAAAGGGTTACCTTCCAGCACAGAATTATCTACTAAAAAGCCATGACAGCCCACCTGTCCCTGCTTCTTTCAGTGGGACGTCACTGGCTAGCCCCAATCTGATAAATATTATTATGAGAAATAACACCACGAGGACAAAGTAAATAGAAACATACTGGAAGCATGTGTAGAGTACACAAAGCAGAGTGTAGTAGGGTGCAGTTAATCAAGTAGACTAAAACACCTGGGAAATACTTCTTTTTCTAGTAGCTGAGGCAAAAATGGCAACATGTCAGTTTGTACTAACAGAAAATGCCCATTTAGCTGTGCAGTAAATTCATTATTTTTTTCTATAATTACACTCAAGGAAAAATTATTTGGCCAAACCCTTATACAAAAACACTGGGTGTTATAATGTACAATATTTTGAATAGTGGTTTTATAGGTGGTGCATACACTGTGTGATACAATATATAAAAACCAGGCTCAACAATATTTTTGTACAACATTCAGGAAGAGGTACCTACTTTCCATAAAGGCAGAAGACTGGAATTGAGAAATTTCTATGAAAGTATTTCTGTAAGGGAGATAAAAAGTATTTGCGTTAGACATGGGTTCAGAGAACTGCTGGTTCCAGTATTATTCTGCATGGTCCAGTTAGAAAAGTTAAATTCTGAAGCCAAACCAGCGGCGGTTTAAATCTGCTTCTGCATATTAACTAAGATGTGGCCTTGGACAAGTCGTTTGAACTCCATGGATCTATATCTTCATCTATGAGATGGGTATAATAAAATATACCTCACAGAGACTGTCTAGGAAATTAACTAAAATAATATATTTCTCGTGTCCATTTTAAAAATACCTGTTACATAACAGATACACCATTTGTTAAGAAGAATGTATAAACAGTAGGATATTTTAGATCTTTGAGAAATTTTAGATTTTAATATATTAAAGTATTTAGATATGCTAATTAGAATATAAAATTTAGAAAATTTAAAATGGAAAGAAGACACAATGTGATCACAAAAATGGGTGGACATGATAAAGTCGTCTTTGTGATGTTTTGACCTGTTCATATCACTTTTTACCTGATGTAACTCAGGTAATAAAAAGAAGAAAGCAGCCGCCTCTCCTCATCGTCTTCTCTAAATTGCCACTTGCATTGGGCAAATGGCTATTTGTCAGTCCACCTCATTGCTTTTCTTTGCAGCCTCTGAGTCTTTTGTTTTAACTCTTGTGGAAGAAATAAAAAACAAAAAGGACCAGTGACAGTCTTGTGAATCCAGAGCACTTGCTGTTCTTACCGCAAAAAAAGAAAGGGAGGCCGGGCGTGCTGGCTCACGCCTGTAATCCCAGCACTTTGGGAGGCCGAGGCGGGCGGATCACGAGGTCAGGAGATCGAGACCATCCTGGCTAACACGGTGAGACCCCGTCTCTACTAAAAAATACAAAAAATTAGCCGGGCGCGGTGGCGGGCGCCTGTAGTCCCAGCTACTCGGGAGGCTGAGGCAGGAGAATGGAGTGAACTCGGGAAGCGGAGCTTGCAGTGAGCCGAGATCGCGCCACTGCACTCCAGCCTGGGTGACAGAGCGAGACTCCGTCCCAAAAACAAAAACAACAAAAAAGGGAAAGGTGAGAGCAGGCACTGAGAATGACAGGAAAATAAGGCAAGGAGTAAGTGATCAAAAGTCAGGGAGGTTAGAGAAAAGCATGAATCTGGATGAAGGACACAGCACAAAGTGACTTCTCCCATCTCTGTTCTGTGCCCAGAAAATTTAAATTGAGGCATAAAGGTATTTATCATGGGACCCTTTTAAAGGACCAATTAGCATTTACTATACACCAAGATTGCTTACTGTGAAGAAATGTTAGCAGGAATGAAGAACTATAAAAGCTGATGAGGAAAAGGTCAAATAATCTAAGCAGGATTACTCTGGTATATGCTCAACAACTGCCCATGATGATGGAAAGAAATAGCTTTGATTGCCTTTAAAAGGAAAACTGTTAAAAGATTACTAATCTTTTAAACCAGTTGTCTTTACAAATCTCTAGGAGTAGGTCAGTTAAATGAAATCTCTAAATACTCCGAAAGTAAGTTGACAAAACCAAAATCTCTTGAATGGAGACAGAGCTATAATGTATTGTGGCAGCTTCATTGGGAATTAAGACTGAGATTATATCACAAAGAAGTAAAGCCATATTGAAATTTATTCATACACCCTGTCATCTCTCTCAGAAACCCTAGCTCCTGCTCTGAATAATTTGTTCAGATATGCTTCTTAAGTATGACATTTGAATAAATCTGGTTTTTGATTTGCATTTTGTTTTTCTTTGCCAAAAAAAAAAAAAAAAAAAAAAAGGAAAAGAAGGAGGGGAGGAAAAAAAAAAGAAAGGAAGGGAAGGAGAATGAAAAAAAGAGGAGAACAAAACCAAAACCAAAAACACAAAAACAAGCTTTGGTCAGTTTGCTTTGGCTATATGGTTCTCAGGTTAATTAAGGAATTATAAAGAAGCACCTTTGGTTTAACACTCATCAAAACTCTTCCTTAAATATATTCAGGCATGTACAGACAATGAAGTCTGATGTGGACCAATCCCAGGACAATTCTCAAAGTTGTTTAGCTTTTTAGGTTACTGTGTAAACAATTTTTAACTCTTATTTTATTTTATTTTTTGTTTTGTTGTCTTTGCAATCCCAAAATTTTCTGTTAGTTTCCTTATCATGTAATCTAAAAAGAAGAATGGGAGAACCTCTTTAAGTGAGCACAGTTTTATTAGATTTGAATCCCTGCCAATTTACCACTGTAGATTGTAGAGTCATATGTGGAGGCTATGTGTAATGTGGCATGCGGCATCCTCAGATGTCAAACTTCTCTTTAATTTCCAAGTGACAATTAGCCAACCCACCGTTTCCCATGACTTCTCTGACTCCTAAATATTTTTGAGAGTCCCCAGTGATTGCTCATGTGCTCTTCAAATTCACCTTGGTTGCTGCTCTTCATCTCAGCTGGGACTCCTGCCCTTTTTGCAGTATCAGAATAGACTTCTCCAGTCTGCTTTCATAATTCTCCAAAGGCTAGGTAAGACTTAACTGTAAGGCTTGGAGACAAGCAGAAGGTTTGCAGATAGGTCAAAGCAAATTACACACAGAAAGCTTTATACTGATTATTATGTGTTAAAGATGCTAGACCTATGCATGGGGTTCAGCCCCTAATGCCAGGCAACCCTGCTGGACTTCTCTGCTTCACCCATAGTATGACACTTCGTTGTATGGATTCACTCAGCTGTCCTCACAGGGTGCTTTAGACCAGATCTCCTGCACCCCAAAACCATGGGTGCATACAAACTTACTGTAGGGGGCTAAGTAAAGCGGGGCAGGATGTAGTTCTGCCCAGCCCAGGCTCAGGCTTTCTCTGGGACATCTCATTGTGTCAGGCTGCACCTCACCTGAACAGGGATATGGTTTTACTTTGGTAAACCAAGGGGCACATTGAAGTTTTGTGATTTATTTTCTGCAAAGTAAATTGCAATTCTTCTCTATATACGAATGAACAACACTGTCAGCTTTAAGCTAGCGGTTTATCCTGGCTTCTAGTCACCAATATTTTAAAATGTTTTGGGTAAGTTAGAGAACCCAGTTACATTTTATATAAAATATCAGTCATCGTTTACACATTTCTAATATTTAACTGTTATAGCTATTATATGTTTTCTGTAGCCATTAATAAAAGGTGAATAAGCTGGGCACGGTGGCTCGCAGTTGTAATCCCAGCACTTTGGGAGGCCAAGGCAGGCAGAACACCTGAGGTCAGGAGTTCAAGACTAGCCTGGCCAGCATGGTAAAACCCCATCTCTACTAAAAATACAAAAATTAGCTGGGCGTGGTGGCTCACAACTGTAATCCCAGCTACTCAGGAGGCTGAGGCATGAGAATCGCTTGAACCCAGGAAGCAGAACTTTCAGATAGCTGAGATGGTGCCACTGCACTCCAGCCTGGGTGACAGAGTGAGACTCTGTCTCAAAAAAAAAAAAAAAAAGAAAAGAAAAAAGGTAATAAATAAATAGAAAAAGGTGAATGCAGAGCATGAAAAGAGGAGAGACAGGAATGAATGAATGAGACATCCCTGGACATCCCTGGACAAGCACTACAAACAATTTCTGACAGAGAATGGCTTAGACTTCCATGGACAATTCAACCCCAAATGGCATATTAACAAGAAGGAGAAGTTATATATTGAACACTCAATGAGGATTTGCTATATTCAGGGACCCACAAGTAATTGACATATGCTTTGCCTTTCATTCTTTTAACAGCTCTCTTATAAACCCAGTGTTGTCATTCCCATTTCACAGAGGAAGAAACTAAGGCTTAGAGGTAGAGTAGCTTGCCCAAGTCTCATTGTGGTGGAGACAATATTGCAGCCCATCTGCTTTTCCTTCACCCTTCCTTCTCACTGCTTCGCCTCTGCCGAGACACATACATTCTGCTGCCCACCAGGGAATCTTGTGAAGCTCCAATTCAGGCTTAATATCCCACTAAAGTATCAGAGCTTCATGTAGTGGCAGTCTTTTACAAACTATATATATTTATAACTCAGTAAAATACATAATAAAATTCTCTTGATCTTATCCTATGACAAATGCTGGGGTAAAATAGTCTTCCAACAATTAAATTCACCCAAGAAACACAGAATCTTATAGAGGAAGCAAACATGCCCATTGATAAAGCAAAGGAACAAACAAAGTTGGAATCGGGGAAGGGAATCTATATATAAATATATGAGATTTCTGCTCTAAAAATACACATTCTTTTATAATGAAGGTCAAATATGTACACACATAGTTATAATACAAAATAGAAAGAATCAAGTACCATGAGAGATGGAGAAATAATGTGCCATAGCAGTTCAGAGGAAACAGAAAGCATGCCTCCCAAGAAGCAACAGTGTTGAGCAGAGAGAAAGTTAGTTTGCACAGGGGAACAGACCTGGGTTCACATCCCGAGTCCACTGCGGGCAACTTACTGACTTGTAGTTCTCAGTTTCCTCATTTCCAAAATGCCCAGAAACAGCATAGGATGTGACAAAAGACTGATGTGAAAACATGCAGCTGGATCATTTTCTACATCCAATAAATATTCTCTCTGCTCTCCTGCTTGGAAAATTAGGATTATTTAATAAAGGAGTCAGTAGTTGACATGAGCCTGAAGAATAACTACAATTTAACTAAACATGTGGAACTAGCAATAACAGTAGTTAACACTTATATAGGTCACATACTGTGCCAAAACTTCATACTTCATGCTAGAACTGTTCTAAGCAATATCTAAACACTATGTCCATGTATATGGCATGTTACTTAGAATAATTCTGGCATAAATTATTAGCATACATGTTAACTAATATGCATGCATATATTTATATGTCTACACACACACGTGCACGCACATACACATACACACTCACCATCCTCTTGAGAAATGCACTCTGGTCCCTATTTTAAAGTTGGGCAAATGCTAGAACAGAAAAGCTAAGTGTGTGCCTGAATTCTCACATTCAGTAAGTGGGAGAGCAATGACTAAACTTAGGCAATGTGCCCCAGAGTCCATCATCAACACCTTGCTACAGTACCATGCAGGAATAGCACCAAGACCCTAAAACAAGACTGCATGTAATGTGTCTGGCCAATGACATTGAGCAGTCTAATTTTTTGGAGTTTATAGTACATTCAGGGATTGTGAGAAATAAGACTCAAAGCAGAACAGGGCCAGCTTATAAGACCTTGCAAGTCAAGCTAAGGAACTCCATATGCCTGTCTGGCTTGATTCAAACATTGTCAACAATGAGATCAGACCAAGTATAGAATTACCAAGCTGGATAGTCTGAAAATCACTATTTAAACTTGGGAGTGAAGCAAAGTATAAACAGGGCCTGAGTGTTCCTTAACACAGCAAGGTACAAATACGTTTATCCAGCGTTAATTCCCTGCATTCGATATGGGGCATACAGACCTCCCTGGTATTGGTGCAGAGGAGCTGCTGGAAGCATGATTAATATCAGCAGTGGAAGCACTGTTGCAAACTATTGGAGAAGGCTAATCAATTCACAGTTCTAGGGGGTCCCTTTTTTCTGGATACGAAATGCTTTAATAAATACGTTGTAAAGAACTGAAGTGAAATGCAGGCTACAACAAGCATTATTTTGCCCCCTTTTCTCCTTTGTAAACAATTTATCAAATCAAAAATAGCTTGGTACTTTAAATACAGTGTCAGAGTCTTCTTTTCAATATTATACCTTTTCTAATGAATAGTTGGATCTAGATGCTCCAGAAAGCCATGAAAATAAAGAAAAACTCACTGAATTTCTTAGTTGAGTAAATTCACTGGTAATGTGAACTAGGGCTTGAGATAGATCTTTCTATATATGAATTCAATACCTCTGCTAACCTGTCAACAACAACAATAATAATAGCAATAACGATAACGATAACAACTGTTTAATAAACATTTGGTGTTAGAATACAGGTCCCCCAGTATTTTGCTCCAGGACTTTTTGTCTTGAACTATGACAATCTGTGCAGAAAAAGGCCAGTCTTAGAGTCAAATGCAGACAGGGCTACTGACCAGGAGTTAACACTAAGCATCACTGCATCTTCTTGAGTCTCAGTCTCCTGTCTTAGCACATCACTATATTGCAATGATGAAAGCTTTCAGGCATTTCTGTGTGGAAGAAAAAATTAGGTGACACTCTTGTGGATAGGAGAGGCCAGAGAATTTCTTTGACACTGAATTTGCATAGTGAGCAAGTTTTTTTTCTATTTAGATTGTGTGATTACTTGGTGCAGGTTGACAATTCTAGAGCCTTTCTGTCTTAGAAAGTTCTAGCTGCTATAACAAATGTACAATAGACTTAAACAACAGAAATTTATTTCCCACAGTTCTGGAGGTTGGGAAGTCCAAGATTAAGGTGCTGGAAGATCCAGTGTCTGGTAAGAGCACTTTTCCTGGTGCGCAGGTGGCTGTTTTCTCATTGCCTCCTCATATTAGGGAAAGCCAAGATAGGGAGGGCTAGTTCTTTTTCTATTCTTAGAAAGGCACTAATTCCATCACAGAGCATTCATTCTCATGAACTAATTACCTCTCAAAATCCCCACCTCCTAATAATGTGACAGTGGCATTAGAATTTCAATGTATGAATTTGCAGGAGCGTTCAGTCTATATCATCTTCTGCAAAGTCATCTTTGGAGGTCACTACAATGATGTTATGTTACTCTGAAATACAAATAAATGTATGAGTGTTTAATATATATGATTCTTTTCCCACGGTATTGTTATCTCCATTTAATAGATGAATAGACTAAGATTCTGAAAGATGATATGAATGGCCTAAGGTGATACACGAAATAATGGTTGGAGGTGACTTTCAAGGGAACATTCCTTCAAAGCCCAGTGGTTTCACCTTGCACATGCAGCCAGCGATCCAGTGACACTTCTCAAGGGGATCTAGGGATAGCACGTGAAATGAAGAATGAAAAATCGCAACTTTGTAGAGCCACCAGCAAAACATTGCCATCAGACTTCACATTTATCTTTAGCTCAAAGGAAATAATTTCATGATAACTGATACCTGAGTTAGGCAAAATGTTTACATTTTTTGTGCTTCATAATAGACAAGCAGAAATTTCCTTTAGTGCTGTCCTCTCCTTTCTTTGCACTGTGATTTACACAAAATTCCACTGAGTTTCTGGGAACAACCATATATTCTCTACCTTCTGTATACTATAGTTTGTGCAGGTGCCAGGGATGCAAAATGAATCAGGGCAGTGGCCCTCAAAGTACTTGTTGCCTAGAAGAGGAGACCAACCTAAATACAGACATTCCAGCTCCTTTGCTGATTTCCTTCCATGACAGCAAATACCATTAGGATGAACAAGGAGAGTGCCACCAGCTTAAACACAGAGGTTGGGGAAAAACAGAGCTGAGAATATGCTTTAAGGAATTAGTTCCCTGTTGCCTTTGGGGGAACATCTCGCAGTTTGATGTAACAGAAGGAGAACACGGAAAGGAGAGAAAAAGCAGGAGATAATTTGGAAAGCAGAGGGCTTTATAGGGAATATTAAGAAATTTTTACTTTATTTATTTATTTATTTATTTATTTATTTTTGAGATGAAGTTTTGCTCTTTTTGCCCGGACTGGAGTACAATGGCCTGATCTTGGCTCACCACAACCTCTGCCTCCCAGGTTCAAGCGATTCTCCTGCCTCAGCCTTTGGAGTAGCTAGGATTACAGGCATGTGCCACCATGCCTGGCTAGTTTTGTATTTTTTCTCCATGTTGGTTAGGCTGGTCTTGAACTCCCGACCTCGGGTGATCCATCTGCCTTGGCTTCCCAAAATGCTGGGATTACGGGCATAAGCCACTGCATCTGGCCCTACTTTATCTTAAAGGTAATGAACTCGCTTGTCAGATTGATTAGATGGGAGTAACACTGGAGGCCAAACAACTGTCTGGAGGCTATTGCAGTGATCCAGGAAGGACACGATGAAGATGATGGTGATGATGGAGGGAGGTGGGCTGTATACCAGGTATTTCCTTGGGTTTGTGTTTACTCAAGGCCAGATCTCAGAGTTTACAGTAAATATCCAGTAATTCTGTCTCAATTTACCAGACAACTTGGCAAGAGAAATTAATTCCTTTAGCTTGTAAAGATTTTTCCTCCTTTCTCTCTTTCTTCTTTATTCCATTATTCTTCTTGTGTTCCTTTTAAAATTTGCCTCCTCAACTGCTCATTTTCCCTAGGAAGGGAAAAATTTCATTGCTTGGGCTACTTACAATTCAACAGAAAAAGTTGAAAGTCACCTAAGAAAAGAAAAGGAACAGAGGAGTGAAGAAGAGAGGAGGAGATCATGATAAATGTGGGTTATTATGTGGTTTTGCCAAAGGCTGTCAGTGAGCTTACATCTTCTCCATAGAGTGCTAGTTTAAGATCAAAATCTCAATAAAATGAATGATTAAAAAAGACACATGATGTCTGCCTTCATATTCCTCTTTCCTGCAAGAATCTGCTATCTCCTCAAAGATTCCCATTCAGGGAGGTGAAATTATCTTTGGCGAAAATTGACTATAGGACAGGCAAGTTGGGGCTTTTCTGCTGGTGTAGACGTTCATCCCTGGAAGTGATCCTGGAAAGCTCTGGGGAGGAAATAAGGATGAGCGAGCATCCTAGATTTATTTAGTCATCATTTGTTTCTCATGAAACCAGCACCAGCCTTAGCTTATTCTCTGGTCAATTAAATGTAAAGGATGGCAGAAACTAGAGCCCACAGTCTGTGAGTAGTTTGTGGGGTTAACAAGCTGACTTTCTGCGGTATGGAATGGCATCAGGGATGAAACACAGACTTCATATGCTGCCCATTCACTCCTTTTGATACTTCCACCTCAAATAATTTTGAATAGTCTGGGTAACATAGGGCTTGGTGAACCTTGAACACTGACACTTTATTATTTGCCTCTCTGAAGCACTCTAGCCTGACACTTAAGATTCCTAAATCCACTGTGGTAGTAGAAGGAGCTCTAAACTATAACGTCATACCAGTTTCCTCTTAAACTAATGACATTTCATTGAGAACATTCCTCAAAACTCCTATCCTTTGTTTTCCATCCAAAGCCATGACCAGGAAGATCTCCCATTAAGACATTATATTCAGATTCCCGAGGAGCACTATTCCCTCAAGATGCACCATGAAAACATAACAGGGCTTATAATGAAAAAAAAAAAATAGGGAAACCAATGCTACATTTATTTCTTCATTCAACAAGGATTTATGGGCCACCTGTTCTGCTTGAGATTTTAGGAGAAGACTCTGCTCTCATGAAGCTTAGAGTGTCATCGCAGGGAGATAGGCAAGTAAATGAATATATATGCATATATTTAGTTTGTCAGGTGGTGATAAATGTAGGAAGGAAAATAATGCAAGACAGAGAGAAAGAGAAATCATGCTGGGAAGACAAAAAAGATTTGTCAAGATCACTTACTAAAGCTACTGCCATGCACATAAGAACATAAAGGCATTATGAAGACTGGCAGCCTTTTCATCTTTGTTTCTATTTTTCTCTTTGCCCCAAGGCTTTACCCTGTATACCTGAGTTAGCCTCTCCCTAGCTCTGGGCCTGGCCCTTGCTGCAATATCACTCCTTAACTCCAGGTGCTCTAATAGAAGGTTGGGCTGCCCTGCCTACTCCCATGCTCTAGTTCCCTACCTCATTGGCAAGAAAGTTGAAAAAGATTTCTATTTAATTTTTGAAAGGATAAAGGCATTGTTTTTTTTTTTTTTTTTTTGTTTTTTTTCTTTAGTGGAATGTGAAAAGTGTGATTTTGCTAAGAGGGTATTTCAGTCTTTTCCAGGCATGTGCCATATGTTGGAGCTGCCATACATGTTGGTGTTATCTCTCAGTGCAGAGACAGAAATATAAATATATGACACTGTTGTCAACAGTCACTTCATTACCCCCTACACTTTTTTTTTATTACTTTTTTTTTGAGACCGAGTCTCGCTCTGTTGCCCAGGCTGGAGCGCAGTTGCATGATCTTGGCTCACTGCAACCTCCGCCTCCCGGGTTCAAGCGATTCTCCTGCCTCAGCCTCCTGAGTAGCTGAGATTACAGACACGTGCCACCACGCTAATTTTTGTATTTTTAGTAGAAACGGGGTTTCACTATGTTGGCCAGGCTGTCTCACACTCCTGACTTCATGTGATCCACCTGTCTCGTCCTGCCAAATTGCTGGGATTACAGGTGTGAGCCATCGTGCCCAGCCAATTATCTCTTACACTTAACACAGCAGAAGTCACGCAAAATCCAGAATTTCAGAACAAACACAGCAGTAGCAACAGAGGAGTCTGGTGTCATATACATGCCGTCAATTACTTAACAAACATTTATCTTTACATGCACAACGCCTTCAAGAACAATTTCTCTTCTGAATCATACAAACCAGTGGGCAACAAAGGCATGTTTCTCTTTGTTTCTGGGTTGATGTACATAATATCAGTTGTCATATTTTATCTTCTAGTACTAAGTGGCTCAGACACTTATCATTATCATAGGGATGCTGATAGACTACTTATATACAAAAGTTCATAGTGTTCTAGGAAGAATTTTGAGAACTTTATTCAGAAACTTCATTCTAAATTAGTGTTTGGTTGTTAAAGCCATAAATAGGCAGAGGCCCAATGGTGATTTAGGTTCTTCCACATGTACCTTAAAATAACTTTATCAATGCCCTTTCTTGGTGCTTGTAACTCTTGACTTTCAATAAATTCTATTTGTACTTACGTTATTGATGGAGGAGATTTAATGCAAATAATTCACAGGCAAGGACATTTGTTCATCAAAGTAGAAGAAGGATGAGAAAATGGAATATAGAAGTAATAACTTTCATGGGGCAGTGAGGGTAGCGATGCAGTAGCTCCATGGTCATGGGGCACTGCCCCTACGGGAAGCTGGGCTTTTCTGCCTGGGGCCAGGTGCTGGTCACTCTGACAACACTGGAGTCTCCAGTGGGAGAGTCACTTAATGGAAGACATTACCCCCTGCAACCTTCACGGGTTTACTGAGTAACTTCTGCTGACAAGTTCTATTATATCCCCTCACTAAGAATAAAAAGGGATATAACTGATGGTTTAGGAAGGGGTTCCAGGAGTGTATTAGGAGACTCTATATTGATAAGATTTGCATCAGAAATAACTTTCACAGGGGTAAAAGAATAACAAAGTGGTCCATGTTAGGATCCCTTCATATTTCATTTTCTGAAGTGGCCACATCAAGCTTCAGGAGAATGAATGACAGTGAAGGCCAGGACAAGGAGACTAGGAGGAAAATGTCAAGTTGACCACTGGTGGCACGGGAGCACATGTGTCACAGAAGATGTGCCAAGGCTGGGCTGGGAATGAGGAAGCACTAATACCCACTGAAGGGAATTTTTACTGCCAGAGACAGAGGCATAAACAAATACACCTTCAGTGTCCCAGGTACACAACTCCAACAGAGTAAGAGCACAGAGTCGATAGCGACTCCCTGAGAGAAGGGAGAGAACATGAGCACGTGATTGTCACTAGCACAGCTCTGAGAGCCTATACCCACACAACTGGTGGTGAGATCAGACTGGAATGCCAGCTTTTCTCTAGTGTTGGCTGAAATCCTTGTGTTGTTTCTCTAATCTGGAGGTCATAACCAGGCAAAGCAAGCAGGGTGGCAAGTGGTGCCAATCAGTCATTCCCCTCTTGCCAACTGTTAAGATACAACAGGATTCTTAGACAGCAATCAAATTCTGAGTGGTCTTTTAAGCTAATCAAATAACTGTCGCTATTAAACGACAAGTAGATACACACATATGCACTTATGATATAATAGACCCTGTGCTCCAAATAAGGAAGAGTGGGGGAAAAGGAGAGTTCTATTGTTTAACTCTCATTTTTGTCTCCTCAAATCTATCATTTCAGAGTTCCTCTTAGCTACCAGTAGTGGCCAGTGCCTAAAACCTATTTCTCTCATTTTCTTTTCTATAAACGCCTGTCTGAAATCCATTTTTGCGCTGCTCTGAATAGCAGTTTGGAACTTTGAAGGCTGAATGGGTTTGTCAATTTTAGCTTTAAGTCTGTGGTTTGCATGTTAATTACCCTTTGCCTTATTAAATGTATCTTCTTAAATTAGAAAAGAAAACCAATCATTTCTAATTACCTCTGTGCTGCTAGTTCCTCCTTAACTTTAGTTTGTACTCTTCTGGGGGGACATCCCTTTGAAAGTCATTCAGAAAATGTAAGTGTCATTGACACATTCCTTATATGTAGCTCGAGGTATTAGCAGGTCGTTGCTTCAGCATACACTGTCATACAAAGATATTTTTACAAGTATTTTCTATTGGAACCCGCCTTTCTTTTTTTTCTCTCTGTCTTTCTTTCTCTTGAAGAGTATTGCATGTATTGAAGAACCTACAAAATGAAGTGTCATCTGCATATGTATTAGATGTAAGATTCACATCTTCCCTGGAGACTTCATTTTCTCTATTTTCTTGATGAGTAAACAGATTAAGAAAAGTTTTTTTTATGTTTCTTTGTTCATTCATTCACCCAGTTATTCAGCAAGTCTTTAATAACAGTATGTGCAGCATTAAGATGCTGTTTGTAAATTGACTGATTTTGAAAAAAGTACACATATTTGGCTTGGGTTACTGAAATCCATTTCAATATACCTTTAAGAAATACTGTGCTCCATGCACTGTTCTAGACAATGCAGTTTAAAACGAGATACAATCCAGATTCAAAGAGGAATTACAGTCCGGGTGCCTTGCTGGGGATGACAGGGCAAATCGTATTAGTCCGGTCTCATGCTGCTAATAAAGACATACCCGAGACTGGGTAATTTATAAAAGAAGGAGGTTTAATTGACTCACAGTTCCACATGGCTAGGGAGGCCTCACAATTATGGAAGAAGGCTAAGAAGGACCAAACGCACGTCTTACATGGCAGCAGGTAAGAAAGCATGTGCAGGGGAACTGCCCTTTCTAAAACTATCAGGTCTCGTGAGACTTATTCACTAGCACGAGAATAGCATGGAAAAAAACCCACCCCCGTGATTCAATCACCTCCCACTGGGTCCCTCTCATGACAGGTGGGGGTTATGGGAGCAACATTTCAAGATGAGATTTTGGTGGGGACACAGCCAAACCGTATCCGCAGGGATGTTAGGATTAGCACCCAAAGTTCATCTCTTTTCTTTCCCACTGCTTCTCTTAACATGGACCCTTAGGCAAGGTGGTGTGTTTGGCAGAGCACCAGACTTGCAACAGAGTCTCCCTGAAAATTCCCGACATCCCCTGTCAAGGTCACTGATGCAGAATTTTGTTGTTGTACCTGTCATTTCTTGCACAGACTGTAGTTAGGCAAATTAATAACATCTGCCTGGTGGCACCGGGATACTTGTAATCTCACTGCCAGTCAAAGTCAACAGTGTAGGTCGGCTGGCTACAGTGAATTCACAGAATCCAAATGAGTGGCTCTGGTGGCAGCCAGCTCAGACCTGTCCACTCTCCACTGATCAGTCCCAGCACCAATCTTGCCTTAGCCTCACAGTGTCTCCCCATACCATGACCTGCTTAACAAAGTCAAGGAAGAGCATCAGCACCTTTGTGTGACCACAGGTTCTTCCATTCATTAACCAAACAGTGTTGAACACTTAGGAATGACTGAGTGGCAGAAGGGCAGGGGGTGAATGCTGACTGATACTCTTTTCTTTCACTTCTGGCATATTCTTCTGTGTGTCAATCCCGAGTAAGCTCTCCCTGTGATCTCCTTTCTATGTGCTTATTTTCTTTTCTAATATTCAGGCCAAATATGGTGGAGAGTTCTTGGAAGAAGATGGGAGATTGAGATTCTCTTTGAAGAGCAAATTTCACTCTCTCTGTGACCATTACAAGAAACTTAACTTCTCTAAGCCTCAAGTTCTTTAACTCCAGGGAAGGAAAGACAAACTCCTAAACTGTGTTTCCGTGTAAGGATAAGATCAGTGAACAGCTTTGTTAAGAATCATATGAATGATATTTGAGAGTAACAAATATAATAACATTTATCTCATTATAACTTTAAAAGGTCTATGGATAAATTCAGTATATTAGTACTTAAGGTTGTGGGGGTGGCGGGTGGGGGCGGCTGGGGAAAAGAGAAAAATCAAATTTCTGAGAACTAGTGCATATAATATCATTCAGAATTGTAAATGGAAAGGACCTGCACTGATTTTGCAGTGTGTTCTTGCCATTAATCTCTCTGAGCCCCAGGGTTTTCCTCATGAGGCGGCGAGACTACATTAATGAGCCACATGTTTGTAAGATGTACTGCAAATTCAGAAGGATTAAATACATGTGGAGGGGCGGGAACAGGGTGTCTCTTTTAGTGAGGAAGTGGGCTGAAACCTTCTTTGATGATAAGTGGGACAAAGTGAACTAATACATGCAAAGAGCCTAGCAAGTGCCTGGCATGGAGGAGACCCTTGAAAACGGTAGCTATGATGCAGCCACTGCAATTACTTGGTTGCAGAAACCGGACTCCACTTATATATGCAGGTGATTATGGGAGTGAAGTAAAAGGGTCACTAGACTCTCATCAGAATCTCTATAATCTAGTCTCAACTTCTGATAATTTTTTTTACTTACGACCTCGGATCACTTAACCTCTCCAAAATTAAGTTTTCTCACCTTTAAAATGAAGATAAAACAGCCTACCTACTTCACAAGAATACTGTGATCAAATGAATTGATGAATGTTCTTTGTAGTTATTCGTGGCCTCACACTGTCAAGAAAAGTACTGATCTGGTTTCCATCCTCAGAGCTTAGGTCTGCCTAGTTTAGAATTTTATATGCATGGAATCGTGCTGTTTGCACTCTTTATGGCTGGCTTATTTTGCTCAACTAGTGTGTTGTTGCAGGGATCAGCACTTTGTTACTTTTTATTGTTGAGTAATATTCCAATCTACTAATATTCTGTATTAAATTTCCTGTCTTGCTAGGCTCTAGAAGTGGAAAATTAGATTTTTAATTTTATGTTGTTCTTCTTATGTACAAAGCACTGAAGCCACAAGTTTTTCTCTAAGGTCTGCTTTAACTGTGTCCCACAAGCTTTGATACAGTGTTTTTATCACCATGCAATTCAAACTAATTTCTAATTTCCGTTTAGATTTCTTCTTTGACCTACGGGTTACATAAAACTGTGTTGATTAACTTCCAAATATTTGAGGTTTTTCTAGATAATTTATTATTGATTCCTAATTTAATTCAATTGTGGTTAAAAAACAAACTGTACGGTTTTAACTAAGACCTATCTTATTGTGCAGGATATGGTCTCAGTGAAGGTACTGTGTGGACTTTAAACTAATGTATAATCTGTAGTTGTTGAATGGAGTGTTACATGAATGTAAATTAGGTCAATTTTACTGATAATGTTATTTGAATCTTTCATATCCTTTCTGATTTTTTGTCCTCTTGTATAATTCCATTTTCTGTACTTTCCATCCTTTTTGGTTTTGTTCGCATATATTTTCCTTCTACATGCCTTGCAAACATTACAAGATATTATTTTTTGAAAAACTATGAACTGACTTTTAAAATGTTTAAGAAAGAAAAATAGTCTTTTATATTTAACCATGCAGTTTTCATTTGATTTTTAAATTGATGGGTAATACTTGTACATAGTTATGGTGTGCATGTGATATTTTGATACATACACAGAATGTGCAAAGATCAAGTCAGGGTATTTGGGATATCCATCAGCTCAAGCATTTATCATTTATTTGTATTGGGAATAATTCAAATCACCTTTCCTAGCTATTTTAAAATATATAATACATGTTGTTGTTAACTATAGTCACTCTACTGTGCTATTAAACATTAGAACATATTTCTTCTATCTAACTACATGTTTGTACCCATTAACCAATCTTTTTTCATCCCAACCTCACATATACCTTTCCTGGCTTCTGGTAACTATCATTCTACTCTACCTCCATGAGATCAACTTACTTTTAGCTCTCACATATGAGTGCAGACATGTGAAGCTTGTCTTTCTGTAGCTGGCTTATTTTACTTAATATAATAACCTCCAGTTCCGTCCATGTTGTTGCGAATGACATGATTTCATCCTTTTTTATGGCTGAATAATACATATACTACATTTCCTCTAACTATTCATCTATTGATGGACACGCATTGTTTCTATATCTTTGCTGTTGTAAGTAGTGCTGTGATAAACATGGGGGTGCAGGTATCCTTTTGATATACTAATTTCCTTTCCTTTTGATACATTTTCACTAGAGGGATTGAGAGCTCATCATTCCTTCCTATACACCACAAATTTTACCTGGCATCAATTTCTTCTACTTTTGTATTAGCATTTCTTAGCAGCTTTATAGCTAATAAATTATTTATTTTGTTCATGGAACTGTTTCTTTTCCTTCATATTTGAAAGCTATTTTTTTGAGGGTGGGTTGTAGAGGTCAGGGGAAAGCTTCCTCTCTTCTTTCTAAAGGTTCACTGAAAACTAACAAATGTAACAAATTAACAATGGCAGGATACTAGAAAGAAAAGGCATATCAGTGTATTTAACATGGATAAGCCCAGGGGAGTTGCTAGAGACTCAATAACTCAATGAGGTTCAGGTACTTCAATACCCTTCTTCACAGGGGAAAGGGAGATGGCAGAAATGTGGTAATTTTGAAGAGCAGTAAACTATTTTCAGGGAAAATGGATGTACCCAGTACTCAGACTATTTTTAATAAATAATTCTTTTTAGGCATTGTATAGGATTAGAGATAAAGATCATCTGGGTTCTAGGTGTGGTGTTTAATTTTTAGTTTTTTCCTCTCTGTAATATGAGTTGCAATCTTCCCTACTTAATTACATTTCAGGGAGGGGATTGAAGACAATTGTGTTTCTCTTTGGTGGGTTCAGTTTCCAAGTAGATAAAAGAACTTCGGGAGGAGGAGCCAAGATGGCCGAATAGGAACAGCTCCGGTCTACAGCTCCCAGCGTGAGCGACGCAGAAGATGGGTGATTTCTGCATTTCCATCTGAGGTACTGGGTTCATCTCACTAGGGAGTGCCAGACAGTGGGCGCAGGTCAGTGGGTGCGCGCACCGTACGCCAGCCGAAGCAGGGCGAGGCATTGCCTCACTTGGGAAGCGCAAGGGGTCAGGGAGTTCCCTTTCCGAGTCAAAGAAAGGGGTGACGGAAGGCACCTGGAAAATCGGGTCACTCCCACCCGAATACTGCGCTTTTCCGACGGGCTTAAAAAACGGCACACCACGAGATTATATCTCGCACCTGGCTCGGAGGGTCCTACGCCCACGGAGTCTCGCTGATTGCTAGCACAGCAGTCTGAGATCAAACTGCAAGGCCGCAGCGAGGCTGGGGGAGGGGCGCCCGCCATTGCCCAGGCTTGCTTAGGTAAACAAAGCAGCCGGGAAGCTCGGACTGGGTGGAGCCCACCACAGCTCAAGGAGGCCTGCCTGCCTCTGTAGGCTCCACCTCTGGGGGCAGGGCACAGACAAACAAAAAGACAGCAGTAACCTCTGCAGACTTAAATGTCTCTGTCTGACAGCTTTGAAGAGAGCAGTGGTTCTCCCAGCACGCAGCTGGAGATCTGAGAACGGGCAGACTGCCTCCTCAAGTGGGTCCCTGACCCCTGACCCCCGAGCAGCCTAACTGGGAGGCACCCCCCAGCAGGGGGGCACACTGACACCTCACAAGGCAGGGTATTCCAACAGACCTGCAGCTGAGGGTCCTGTCTGTTAGAAGGAAAACTAACAAACAGAAAGGACATCCACACCAAAAACCCATCTGTACATCACCATCATCAAAGACCAAAAGTAGATAAAACCACAAAGATGGGGAAAAAACAGAACAGAAAATCTGGAAACTCTAAAATGCAGAGCTCCTCTCCTCCTCCAAAGGAATGCAGTTCCTCACCAGCAACGGAACAAAGCTGGATGGAGAATGACTTTGACGAGCTGAGAGAAGGAGGCTTCAGACGATCAAATTACTCTGAGCTATGGGAGGACATTCAAACCAAAGGCAAAGAAGTTGAAAACTTTGAAAAAAATTTAGAAGAATGTATAACTAGAATAACCAATACAGAGAAGTGCTTAAAGGAGCTGATGGAGCTGAAAACCAAGGCTCGAGAACTACGTGAAGAATGCAGAAGCCTCAGGAGCCGATGCGATCAACTGGAAGAAAGGGTATCAGCAATGGAAGATGAAATGAAGCGAGAAGGGAAGTTTAGAGAAAAAAGAATAAAAAGAAATGAGCAAAGCCTCCAAGAAATATGGGACTATGTGAAAAGACCAAATCTACGTCTGATTGGTGTACCTGAAAGTGATGGGGAGAATGGAACCAAGTTGGAAAACACTCTGCAGGATATTATCCAGGAGAACTTCCCCAATCTAGCAAGGCAGGCCAACGTTCAGATTCAGGAAATACAGAGAACGCCACAAAGATACTCCTCGAGAAGAGCAACTCCAAGACACATAATTGTCAGATTCACCAAAGTTGAAATGAAGGAAAAAATGTTAAGGGCAGCCAGAGAGAAAGGTCGGGTTACCCTCAAAGGGAAGCCCATCAGACTAACAGCGGATCTCTCGGAAGAAACCCTACAAGCCAGAAGAGAGTGGGGGCCAATATTCAACATTCTTAAAGAAAAGAATTTTCAACCCAGAATTTCATATCCAGCCAAACTAAGCTTCATAAGTGAAGGAGAAATAAAATCCTTTACAGACAAGCAAATGCTGAGAGATTTTGTCACCACCAGGCCTGCCCTAAAAGAGCTCCTGAAGGAAGCGCTAAACATGGAAAGGAACAACCGGTACCAGCCGCTGCAAAATCAAGCCAAAATGTAAAGACCATCAAGACTAGGCAGAAACTGCATCAACTAACGAGCAAACTCACCAGCTAACATAATAATGACAGGATCAAATTCACACATAACAATATTAACTTTAAATGTAAATGGACTAAATGCTCCAATTAAAAGACACAGACTGGCAAATTGGATAAAGAGTCAAGAGCTGTATTCAGTGTGCTGTATTCAGGGAACCCATCTCACGTGCAGAGACACACATAGGCTCAAAATAAAAGGATGGAGGAAGATCTACCAAGCAAATGGAAAACAAAAAAAGGCAGGGGTTGCCATCCTAGTCTCTGATAAAATACTTTAAACCAACAAAGATCAAAAGAGACAAAGGAGGCCATTACATAATGGTAAAGGGATCAATTCAACAAGAAGAGCTAACTATCCTAAATATATATGCACCCAATACAGGAGCACCCAGATTCATAAAGCAAGTCCTGAGTGACCTACAAAGAGACTTAGACTCCCACACATTAATAATGGGAGACTTTAACACCCCACTGTCAACATTAGACAGATCAACGAGACAGAAAGTCAACAAGGATACCCAAGAATTGAACTCAGCTCTGCACCAAGCGGACCTAATAGACATGTACAGAACTCTCCACCCCAAATCAACAGAATATACATTTTTTTCAGCACCACACCACACCTATTCCAAAATTGACCACATACTTGGAAGTAAAGCTCTCCTCAGCAAATGTAAAAGAACAGAGATTATAACAAACTATCTCTCAGACCACAGTGCAATCAAACTAGAACTCAGGATTAAGAATCTCACTCAAAACCGCTCAACTACATGGAAACTGAACAACCTGCTCCTGAATGACTACTGGATACATAACGAAATGAAGGCAGAAATAAAGCTGTTCTTTGAAACCAGCGAGAACAAAGACACAACATACCAGAATCTCTGGGACGCATTCAGAGCAGTGTGTAGAGGGAAATTTATAGCACTAAATGCCCACAAGAGAAAGCAGGAAAGATCCAAAATTGACACCCTAACATCACAATTAAAAGAACTAGAAAAGCAAGAGCAAACACATTCAAAAGCTAGCAGAAGGCAAGAAATAACTAAAATCAGAGCAGAACTGAAGGAAATAGAGACACAAAAAACTCTTCAAAAAATTAATGAATCCAGGAGCTGGTTTTTTGAAAGGATCAACAAAATTGATAGACCGCTAGCAGGACTAATAAAGAAAAAAAGAGAGAAGAATCAAATAGATGCAATAAAAAAAGATAAAGGGGATATCACTGCCGATCCCACAGAAATACAAACTACCATCAGAGAATACTACAAACACCTCTATGCAAATAAACTAGAAAATCTAGAAGAAATGGATAAATTCCTGGACACATACACTCTCCCAAGTCTAAACCAGGAAGAAGTTGAATCTGAATAGACCAATAACAGGAGCTGAAATTGTGGCAATAATCAATAGTTTACCAACCAAAAAGAGTCCAGGACCAGATGGATTCACAGCCAAATTCTATCAGAGGTACAAGGAGGAACTGGTACCATTCCTTCTGAAACTATTCCAATCAATAGAAAAAGAGGGTATCCTCCCTAACTCATTTTATGAGGCCAGCATCATTCTGATACCAAAGCCAGGCAGAGACACAACCAAAAAAGAGAATTTTAGACCAATATCCTTGATGAGCATTGATTCAAAAATCCTCAATAAAATACTGGGAAAATGAATCCAGCAGCACATCAAAAAGCTTATCCACCATGATCAAGTGGGCTTCATCCCTGGGATGCAAGGCTGGTTCAATATACGCAAATCAATAAATGTAATCCAGCATATAAACAGAGCCAAAGACAAAAACCACATGATTATCTCAATAGATGCAGAAAAAGCCTTTGACAAAATTCAACAACCCTTCATGCTAAAAACTCTCAATAAATTAGGTATTGATGGGACGTATTTCAAAATAATAAGAGCTATCTATGACAAACCCACAGCCAATATCATACTGAATGGGCAAAAACTGGAAGCATTCCCTTTGAAAACAGGCACAAGACAGGGATGCCCTCTCTCACCACTCCTATTCAACATAGTGTTGGAAGTTCTGGCCAGGGCAATTAGGCAGGAGAAGGAAATAAAGGGTATTCAATTAGGAAAAGAGGAAGTCAAATTGTCCCTGTTTGCAGATGACATGATTGTATATCTAGAAAACCCCATTGTCTCAGCCCAAAATCTCCTTAAGCTGATAAGCAACTTCAGCAAAGTCTCAGGATACAAAATCAATGTACAAAAATCACAAGCATTCTTATACACCAATAACAGACAAACAGAGAGCCAAATCATGAGTGAACTCCCATTCACAATTGCCTCAAAGAGAATAAAATACCTAGGAATCCAACTTACAAGGGATGTGAAGGACCTCTTCAAGGAGAACTACAAACCACTGCTCAAGGAAATAAAAGAGGATACAAACAAATGGAAGAACATTCCATGCTCATGGGTAGGAAGAATCAATGTCATGAAAATGGCCATACTGCCCAAGGTAATTTACAGATTCAATGCCATCCCCATAAAGCTACCTATGACTTTCTTCGCAGAATTGGAAAAAACTACTTTAAAGTTCATATGGAACCAAAAAAGAGCCCGCATTGCCAAGGCAATCCTAAGCCAAAAGAACAAAGCTGGAGGCATCACACTACCTGACTTCAAACTATACTACAAGGCTACAGTAACCAAAATAGCATGGTACTGGTACCAAAACAGAGATATAGATCAATGGAACAGAGCAGAGCCCTCAGAAATAACGCTGCATATCTACAACTATCTGATCTTTGACAAACCTGAGAAAAACAAGCAATGGGGAAAGGATTCCCTATTTAATAAACGGTGCTGGGAAAACTGGCTAGCCATATGTAGAAAGCTGAAACTGGATCCCTTCCTTACACCTTATACAAAAATCAATTCAAGATGGATTAAAGATTTAAACGTTAGACCTAAAACCATAAAAACCCTAGAAGAAAACCTAGGCATTACCATTCAGGACATAGGCATGGGCAAGGACTTCATGTCCAAAACACCAAAAGCAATGGCAACAAAAGCCAAAATTGACAAATGGGATCTAATTAAACTAAAGAGCTTCTGCACAGCAAAAGAAACTACTATCAGAGTGAACAGACAACCTAAAAAATGGGAGAAAATTTTCGCAACCTACTCATCTGACAAAGGGCTAATATCCAGAATCTACAATGAACTCAAACAAATTTACAAGGAAAAAACAAACAACCCCATCAAAAAGTGGGCAAAGGACATGAACAGACACTTCTCAAAAGAAGACATTTATGCAGCCAAAAAACACATGAAAAAATGCTCATCATCACTGGCCATCAGAGAAATGCAAATCAAAACCACAATGAGATACCATCTCACACCAGTTAGAATGGCGTTCATTAAAAAGTCAGGAAACAACAGGTGCTGGAGAGGATGTGGAGAAATAGCAACACTTTTACACTGTTGGTGGGACTGTAAACCAGTTCAACCATTGTGGAAGTCATTGTGGCGATTCCTCAGGGATCTAGAACTAGAAATATCATTTGACGCAGCCATCCCATTACTGGGTATATACCCAAAGGACTATAAATCATGCTGCTATAAAGACACATGCACACGTATGTTTATTGCGGCATTATTCACAATAGCAAAGACTTGGAACCAACCCAAATGTCCAACAATGATAGACTGGATTAAGAAAATGTGGCACATATACACCATGGAATACTAGGCAGCCATAAAAAATGATGAGTTCATGTCCTTTGTAGGGACATGGATGAAATTGGAAATCATCATTCTCAGTAAACTATCGCAAGAACAAAAAACCAAACACCGCATATTCTCACTCATAGGTGGGAATTGAACAATGAGATCACATGGACACAGGAAGGGGAATATCCCACTCTGGGGACTGTGGTGGGGTGGGGGGAGGCGGGAGGGATAGAATTGGGAGATATACCTAATGCTAGATGACGAGTTAGTGGGTGCAGTGCACCAGCATGGCACATGTATACATATGTAACTAACCTGCACAATGTGCACATGTACCCTAAAACTTAAAGTATAATAAAATAAATAAATAAATAAATTAAAAAAAAAGAACTTCGGAGAATAGCCTTAACCTGTGCTTTGGAACAGACAAAGTATTGAGAGATGGAGTGAGGAGGGGAAGGTAAGAGAGATTTGAGGCTATTTCTTTAGTTGTATGTCAAAGTGCCATATTTTGGGGTACCATTTCCTGAGTTCCAGCATTGGATATAGAATGCTAGATTGATAGTGTTTTACTTTCAGTATTTTTGGATTTCCTTTTTTTTTTTTTTTTCTGATGAGTAGTTTGTTGTCATTCTTGTTGTTCACATGTTACATTCAACAACTGAGATGGCTTTGAATAGGTTGGTGGCTTTAATACATCTAACAGGAAGATCTTTTCTTGCTATTCATCCGGCACATAACTTCCGGCATTGATAAGTGATTGATTGACTTTGATCCACTGGTGAACTTGGGGAGGGGCTGATTGTAGCTTTGTTTAGATTCAATCTGCCTCTACTGTTAATGCTTTCTAGGTGACCTTAAGCTGCTAGCACCAGGAAGTCCCTGGGACCATGCATTGAAAACTTCCAGATCTCAGAACTGTGAGACCTTGGATCTGCTTGACCATGAGCCTCTAAGACTATGAAACTGCAAATGATATGGCTCTGGGATAGTAGGACTTTGAGACTGTGAGATTGCAATACTAAGGCTGCCTCTTCTCAGAATGAGAGTCCAAGATTCCTTCTCATTGGAGCACACCATACATTAGTCACGGGATTAACTCCTATAAAGCATTGCCAGGTCATGAAACAAATCTTTAATCTGGAGCATGCGATCAAATTTTAAACATTGTTTTAAGATGTGTGTATGTGTGTGTGCGTGTGTGTGTGTGTGTGTGATATTCAATCTACAAATTATGCCAAACTCAGAAGGGGCAGCCAGTCATTTGAAGGTGGATAAGTTTCTACTGCACATTTGGATTAGATAAATAATGCTACAGACCTACGGACTCACATGCCTGGGGAGGTGGGATATGGTGCACACAATCAGTAGGGAATTGAGAGTGCTGAAGAGAAGGTTCCACAGTTAGGCTGTAGAAAAACATGACACACTTTTACTCTACCCAAAACAGTAAGAAACCACCAGAACCCATCTCCCTTCCTTCCCTCATACATATCAAAGTGGTATGGACGCAAGGACATTTTAAAAGAACTAAACTCCACAGGGAGGCGTCCTTTCCAGGTGAGCAGGGAAGGAGGACAGCTTCATACCTGTGCCAGATGCTAGTGCTGGGAGCAGGGGATGTGGAAGAGCATTTCTGTCAAATAAAGCCATTCTCCATCTGGATAAAGAGAAAATGTTCAAAGTTTGACAAACCTGGGAGCTGAAATGTTGAATTTGAACCTCAAGAAATTCCTCACCACTAAGTCATTCTTTTATATGAGAGTTTTGCTGCAGAAGGGGCTGCAAAATAGAAAGTGAGCCAATTCCTTCTTTATAAGCCACTTTGTGATACATGATAGTAATTACATCAATCGCCTAATTTCAGAGCTATTAGCTAGCGGGTGTTTTGTGCGTAGTAGAAATGTCAAAGATTATGCAAGATAACCTAAATCCACAGGTGCTATTAAAATATAATCAAGGTTAAGGTTAAGGTCTTTGAAAATGGATTTCATTAAATAGACAAAATTATCTTACTTGGTTTTCACTTTGGTCATCTGCGAAAGCAATGGATCTTCTTTTCATTGGTTGACATTGATTGCACACCAGCAAGTAGGTTTTATCTATGAATATTAGAAGGTGAAAAGAAGAACGTTGATGATTCATAATGAAGCAAGCAAATCGGTATGCTAGCTGACATCCCATCTTAAAGATGAGGTATGATTGGGATGATGAAAACGTTCTGGGGAAGGATGGTGGTGATGGTTATACGACAACGTGAATATGCTTAATGCCCTGAATTATTTACTTTAAATTGGTTATAATGATACATTTTTTGCTACGTATATTTACTCCAATTAAAAAAATATATTAGGTGTGAGCCTTTGGATTTCATCTTCAGCAAAAAAAACCCCCCAATAATTTTCAGGGAAAATGAATGAGCCCAATGCTCAGAGTATTTTTAATAATTCTTTTTTGGCATTGAATAGGATTAGAGATAAAGATCATCTGGATTCTAGGTGTGGTGTTTAATTTTTAGTTTTTTTTTCTCTCTAATATGAGTTGTAATCTTCCCTAATTAATTACATTTCAGGGAGGGGATTGAAGACAATTGTTTCTCTTTGGTGGGTTCAGTTTCCAAGTAGATAAAAGAACTTCAGAGAATAGCCTTAACCTGTGCTTTGGAACAAAGTATTGAGAGTTGGAGTGAGGAGGGGAAGGTAAGAGAGAATTGAGGCTACTTCTTTAGTTGTATGTCAAAGTGTCATGTTTTGGGGTATCATTTTCTGAGTTCCAGCGTTGGATATAGAATGCTGGGTTGATAGCATTTTACTTTCAGCATTTTGGATTTCCTCTTTTTTTTTTTTCTGATGAGTAGTTCGTTGTCATTCTTATTGTTCACATGTCATTCATGTTGTTCACATCCAAATAAAGGCTATGAAGTACAATATTAGTAGACCACATAGCTTTTGTGCTGTGTATTCTTTTGCTTAAACTTCACAAGGAAATATGTAAAAGAACAAGATATAAATCTGAGTTGCATTGTCTCCCTCCTGTAACAACAATGAAATTGTTGAAGAGTAGAAAGCTGTAGAAATTTCAGACTAATTACTAGCCAATTGGGTGATTTGGAGATTTTTTTCCTTCCCTTTTTCTCTTTCTAGGCTTCTTTTTTTAAAAAATCTGTAAAATGGTGATAATGATAATGGAAAGTGCTTAGCATAGTGACTGGCCTCAATTAATGGTAACAATTACTTCAATAAAATCCTTTCCTTCTAAAAGCAGATTGTCAGTTATCTTCCATTCCTCAGTGAGTATGGACATTAGGAACATGGGAATTTCATTGTATTGTTACCTTTGTAAAGCTTTTAGGTGTCATGCCTCAGGACTTGCTAGAATTGCTTTATTCATAAAATGTTTAAGAGGGATTTCTTTTTTTTTTTTTTTTTTTTTGACAGAGTCTCCCTCTGTCGCCCAGGCTGGAGTGCAGTGGTATGATCTTGGCTCACTGCAACCTCCGCCTCCTGGGTTCAAGTGATTATCCTGCCTCAGTCTCTCGGGTAGCTGGGATTACAGGCACACACCACCATGCCCAGCTAATTTTTTTGTATTTTTAGTAGAGACAGTGTTTCACCATGCTAGCCAGTCTGGTCTCAGACTCCTGACCTCATGACCCGCTTGCCTCAGCCTCCCAAAGTGCTGGGATTACAGGAGTGAGCCACTTCACACAGCCTAAAAGGGATTTCTTAAAGAATAATGTGAAGTATTTCTGAAAACAAACAAACATGATGCAGGATTTTCACCCAAGTCATATTTCAATTGAAATACGTGAGAAATTAGGTATGTTCTCAGTACGAGTTCGTGGAGTAACAAATATGGTTTTCCACTGAAATTCCATGATAGCACAGACCTCACTGCCTCTCCTTTCTTCTCTGCAGACCTTTGCAGGAAACATGAATGCTGACAGCGTGGTGCACCACAAGCTATTGCACTCAGTGAGAGCCCGATTTGTTCGCTTTGTGCCCCTGGAATGGAATCCCAGTGGGAAGATTGGCATGAGAGTCGAGGTCTACGGATGTTCCTATAGTAAGTACTCACATGTACCCTTTACCATTGCTGAGTGTGAGTGGCACCGCCTACGTAACATCAGTTTATCTACATTGAGATTGACAATCATCTTATTTTAAAGTTGTTTCTAGACTTTCATATGCATATTTAAAAATGTTCAATTCAATCCCAAAGTAGAAAAAACATTCTACTTAGGACTGTAGGAATGTAGTTGTGATGGTGTGATAAAGGCTCAATGAAACATTCAAAATTAATAACTCTTGGGGAATCAAGTAACCATTTGTCCTTTGCAGTTAAACAAAATTGAGTTTAATTCTTCCCCGGAAGTGGCATTAGGTATTATAAAGTCTTCTCTGCCCTGCTTTCCCAGAGCTATGAGAGAAAAGCATTCACCTTCTTGACTTGTTCTAGAAGACGAGGAGAAAGAACAACTAAATGTAATTCACAAAATGCTTTCTCCTTGAAATGATCTCCTTCATTCATTCATCTGTGAATTGTTTGTATTAAATTTGAAATTAGAGTTCTATCTTGCACATAAAGATTATAAAGATGGGTAGAACTAGTGATCACTCTAGAATAAGGTTAAAATTATTCAGGGAAGATTCCCATCCCTATAATTCTTTCCTGCGCGCTTTATACTGAAACCTGAAATTGCATCATAATAAATAGTTTTTCTGCCGTAAGCAGTGACATATTCTGCTTATATGCTAAAATTCAATGACCCCTAATGCATAAACACATTTGATCACTAACACTTTCATCCAAACTAGTTCAGTAGATTCCTGTTTTGGGCTGTAGGAATTCTTAATGAGTACATGTCTGTACTGTTTTCCATAGTGAGATCAACTGAATGCCTGTATCAGAATCAATAGGAGTGTTGCCTAGAAAATGCATTTCCCTCACCCCATCCCATACATACTGGATTATAATTTCTGAAAATGGAAATCCAAAAGCGGAATGTTTACAAATTCTCCAAGTAAACTATGGATATAGAGTGTCTGCTAAAAATAAAGCCCTGCACACAGGGAATTTACTGGTAAAATGACTGTATTTATCTTGAACAAGCACTTTCAGAAAGAATATGGTTTAGAACAGATGCATCAACAAACCATTAGGCCCAGGAGGAACTGCCTTCCACTCCAAACTTTGTATGATAAAGCACAGAACACCTACAAGGGTATATGTGTCCTATCCTGGGATGTCTGGGGCATCAAGCTCCTCTTGTCACCTCCTGTTTGATAACAATTTGTCACTGCTAGGTTATTTTAAAATACAGTATGGGCCGGGCGCGGTGGCTCACGCCTGTAATCCCAGCACTTTGGGAGGCCGAGGCGGGTGGATCACGAGGTCAGGAGATCGAGACCATCCTGGCTAACAAGGTGAAACCCCGTCTCTACTAAAAATACAAAAAATTAGCCGGGCGCGGTGGCGGGCGCCTGTAGTCCCAGCTACTCGGGAGGCTGAGGCAGGAGAATGGCGTGAACCCGGGAAGCGGAGCTTGCAGTGAGCCGAGATTGCGCCACTGCAGTCCGCCGTCCGGCCTGGGCGACAGAGCGAGACTCCTTCTCAAAAAAAAAAAAAAAAAAAAAAACAGTATGAAGCTTTTATGCTACAATTAAAAGTTTGTTAATATTATTATGCCAGCCATCTATTTTGATCTAAGAATCTTATTACTCTTTAACATGTCCTTATCCTTTTGCTTTTTCTCAGTCTGTTCAGTTGTACTTATTTTTCATGCCAATTGTTCACCCACAGTGTCTACTTGCACAGAAAGAGTCACAGCATCGAGTTAAATCACAGGCTGCAGGGTTGAAAGATGTCTTTGAGCAGCATGTTTAGCATCTTCTGGTGATGAACCCCTTGGAGAATCTGATAAGGAACACTCTATCCAGAAAAATAATAACGATAACATGTATCTTTTCTACAGTATGAGAAGGTTCAGAGGTCTGCTAAAGCCCAGTTCTAAGCCAAGGAAAGAACTCCTGACTTTGTGATAACAGAGTCTACCTTTTTCCATGTAGGCTCCAGGTCTAGTGCATCTTCCAATGGGATAAACTGCCTTCAGGTCAACCTCACCAATAATGGGAAGTTAACAACCTTGGGGAGTTGTCGGACACAGAATGTCTTTATGATGTGCCTCAAGCAGGAACCCTATAATCTTCAATCACTAGTGCTGATGCTTTGGTACTTTTTTTTATTTGGGGGAAATAATTTAAAAAACGAATACATTTCTCAGTTTGTATCTAAAACCAATGGGTTAGCATGCCTTCTGAACCTAATTCTCCCTTTCAGCATTATCATGTTTTTTATTTGACTGGATTGGTTTTCTTTCTTTCTTTCTTTCTTTCTTTCTTTCTTTCTTTCTTTCTTTCTTTCTTTCTTTCCTTTTCTCTCTCTCTCTTTCTTTCTTTCTTTCTTTTTTTTTTTTTTTTTTTTTGAGATGGAGCCTCGCTCTCTTGCCCAGGCTGGAGTGCATGGCATGATCTCAGCTCACTGCAACCTCCGCCTCCTGAGTTCAAGTGATTCTGCTGCCTCACCCTCCTAAGTAGCTGGGATTACAGGCGTGCACCACCATGTCTGGCTAATTTTCGTATCTTTAGTAGAGATGGAGTTTCACCATGTTGGCCAGGCTGGTCTCGAACTCCTGACCTCGTGATACACCCAGCTCGGCCTCCCAAAGTGCTGGGATTACAGGGGTGAGCTACTGTGCCCAAGTTTGACTCGATTGTTTCTATAAACCTAAAATCTTACTGTAAGCACCACCAAACAAAACAGCAAAAGCTCATGGCCCTCTTTAGCAACTACCTCTCCTTTTCCTCCTCTCTCCTGTTCACAGAATGGCTTCTCTCTAAAACTTCTCTTTAGTTGCTCTCCCCACCTGCTTACCTCCCTTCACACTGCAACTGATTCCAATCACTATTGAGACATTTGATGGGCAGTTTAACATGTCAACTTGGCCTTTTTATAGTCCCCTGTTACCCAACCAAACACTAATATAGTTACTGCTGTGATATGTTTGGTGTCTACAATCATTTGACTTTAAGTAAAGGAGATTATCCTAAGTAATCTGAATGGACCTAATTCAGTCAGTTGAAATGCTTCAAGAGCAGAACAGAAATTTCCCTGAGAGAGACGAAAATTCACCTGTGGACTACAGTTTCAGATCCTTCCTGAGAGTTTCCAGCTTCCCCTTCTTGATGGCCCGCCCTATGTACTTCAGGCACGTTTAACCAGACCCACAATTGTATAAGCCAATTCCTTGCAATTAGTCTCTTAATATATATAAGTATCTACTGGTTCTGTTTCTCTAGGGAAACTCTGACTAATACAGAATGTTCTAGAGAAACTACTTTTCTCAAGATCACCAGTGATTTCCAAGAAGCCCAATTCAGTGGACACTTAATGTTTCTTAATTCACTTAAGCTCTCAGCAGTACTTGATTCAAAAAGCTATGTCCATATTTTTAAAACCTCGTTTTTCCTCCTATCTCACTTGCTAATTGGCTATCTCAGTTTGCTAATTGGCTATCTCAGTTCTTCTACTACTTTTCCATCTACACTGCATGCTTTGCTGAATTGACAGAGTTTTGTAAACTTAAACACATCTACATGCTGGTCACCCCACATCTGTATCTCATGGCCTGACCTCAGAGATGATGTATGCAGCAGCCTACTTGATATTTCCACTTAAAGTATAGTAGATATATTAAATAGAATATAGCAAAATGGAACTCTAGATTAGTGGTGCCCTCAGCAACCTGCTCTTCTCTAACACTCCTCCCCATCTCAGTAAACAGCAGCACTCTCCATCCACTTGTCTATGCAAAACTCTGGGAAGCAGCCTTTGTTCTTCCTTCTCTATAACTTCAAGTCCTGCGCAACTTATCTACAGCTCACAGTAACTCTATCAGTTGCTTCCTCCAACAGGTATCTTAAATCCATGTACTTCTCCCACTTTTGTGAGTAGAAGCCTCTGTCAGTTCTTACCTGGAGTTGTTAAGTAGCCTCCTGTCTGGAGTTCCTGCTTCCACACTACACTCACCCCAAAACCATCTTTTACACGGTCACCAAAATGTTCTTTATAAAGAAGGAATGAAAGCATAGCATTCCCCTTCTTGATTCATGTGAAATAAAATTGAGATTTCTTACTGGCAAGTAAAAGTCCTTGTTGAACAATTGTTCCCAGAATTTACAGGGTTGACTCCTTCTGCCAATGTGATTCTTAATTATAATGTCACCTCCTCAGAGAAGTCCCCCCGACTGTTCCTCTAAAGTCACCTGCCTTCCTTCTTGTACACCCACCATTAGCCCATGATTATATGCCCATGGATATGTGATGTGCTGTCATTTACTTTGTGGTGTCGGCCACAACCCAGAATCTCACTGGCTGGGTTTGCTTACTTCTTTCCTGTTTACCTACTCTAGTACCTGCACAGGAAAAAGTACCATGAGACCAGGCACCTTGTCTACTAACAGCCAGCACTTAATTGGCACAAAAAGACAGTCAGTAAGTATTTGTTGAATGGGTACATAGATATATCAATCCAGCCTCATTCTCTCAGCATAGGCAACAAGGTTCATCTGGAATTACTTGATTTTCATAATCTGTTGTAGTTTCTAAGGAATTACTTTTGTTTCTATGGGCTTAATAATTTTTCCAAAAGTTTAGTTGAGTATGTTGCTAAAGATTGGTAGAATTCTTACAGCTCTATAGTTTCTTCAGACTTAACTCTCTACATTTTGGAAATATTAACATATTTCTTCCACTAATTTATTCATTCAGTAGATACCATTTATTTAGCCTTTAAGATACCAGGCATCTTGCAACACTCTAGGAACATCAGAAAATAAGACCTTTTTCTAGACTTTATCAGTCTTGTATTTGTACTTTGAAGCACTTTTCTTGTGATTACATGTCATCAGTTAACTGCGTGATTGTCTAACATCTGCTTCCCCTGACTCGACAAGATAGTTTTGCACAGTGCCCTGGATTGTCAACATTGCCAAATGTTGGAATCTGAAATTCTCTTGGAGATAACACATCCTAATGAATCTTCTAATACCCAGATACTTTTTTTATTCACAAAATCAAAGTTAGCAACCTACGATTCCTGAGCATATGCAGCTCCACGTACAAAGTTTAGCTGTTGACTGGGCCAAGAGCTTCTGGGCTTGCATGCTTCCAATCCTCTATCCCTTGCCTGTGTTCTCAGACCTAGTTCTACCTGAGAATCACCTTGGGACATATATGCTTTTAACATACCTACTCTGGCTGCACTTCAATTAGATCATGATCTCTGGGTAGGGTCTCCAGTGCTTGTATAAGCATTTTGTTGTTGTTGGTTCTAGGCAAGCGTGATGAGGAACCAGAATTTAAAGCTGTTATCTCAAACATCACTTCATTCTTAGTCTGCACTATCATTTCCGTGTCTGTGATTGCTAATCCTAAGGATTTTAAATGAAATCTGAAAACTTGAGAAGTCAGTATAATGTTAAATATATGGGCTCTGAATTCAAACCAACAGACATAGAAACTTGACTTCACCACCTACTAGTTGGGTAATCTTGGGCAATCTTGGGTCCTCTGTGGACACCAGTTTCCTTTTCTATGAAAAGAAAGGTAATACTAGTGTTGCTTCAACCAAGTAATTGTATGAAACAGTGCTTTGCATAATGTAAGCACCCAAAAAGTGTTAGTTACAAGCATCGTTACCTTCGTCAGATATTTAGGCTGCTCACCAAACTTCCCTATATTTTTTTTTCCCACTCTTACTCAGGACCACATCTCATCTGTATGTCCAAGGAAGGTCAGCTTTTTTATATACCAGGTATCCAAGGATTTCAGCACCTTCGTCAGGCCATCTGGAGTCTAGGCTACCTGAAGTTCTGTCTGGGGGCTTCCATTTGAATTTCTTTAAATATGGGAAGCTAATTAACTTTATTTATTTATTTATTTTTTGTATTTTTTAGTAGAGACGGGGTTTCACCGTGGTCTCGATCTCCTGACCTCGTGATCCGCCCGCCTCAGCCTGCCAAAGTGCTGGGATTACAGGCATGAGCCACTGCGCCCGGCTAATTAACTTTTTTTTTTTTTTTTTTTTTTTTTTTTTTGAGACGGAGTCTCGCTCTGTCGCCCAGGCTGGAGTGCAGTGGCGCAATCGCGGCTCACTGCAAGCTCCGCCTCCCAGGTTCACGCCATTCTCCTGCCTCAGCCTCCCGAGTAGCTGGGACTACAGGCGCCCGCTACCACGCCCGGCTAATTTTTTGTATTTTTAGTAGAGACGGGGTTTCACCGTGTTAGCCAGGATGGTCTCGATCTCCTGACCTCGTGATCCGCCCGCCTCGGCCTCCCAAAGTGCTGGGATTACAGGCGTGAGCCACCGCGCCCGGCCCGGCTAATTAACTTTAAAAAACATTATAAATTCTGATAAAGTTAATGATCTGTCAGGCCTCCCAGTCTCATTATGAATTACAAACATCATTTTGTACTTCAGGTCGCCTCTGTTCCACACAAGACCTTGCTCCTATTTGGTTAATTACTCGCAAGTGGTATCATCCAAAATTCATCACTCTCAGAGCTGAAGTCATATTCTCCTTCCTCAGATAAATACTCTTGTAATTCCAGCTTCAGCTGCCCTCTTTGTTGCTGTTCTCATCATCTGGGATCATTTGTCATACATGGTAGAGGCCACACAGTTGTAAATCTCACCTCTGACATGCTAAGGCCCATACAGCCCTATCACAGGGAACTTCAGAAGGCACAGTTTACAGCTCTGTCAGCCCTCCAAGTGGGGAGGGACAGGATGACAGCAGTCAGACCTGGGGCATTGGCAGTCCAATGTGAACTTTGATTCCCACTTTGTAAATCATAGCATTTTTAAGAGTTGGAAAAATCTCCAAGATGCCAGATTCATTGCAGTCCCCTCATTAGATTTGAGAATAAATGAAATTTCCTACCCTTCTTTCTCATAGTTCCTATAGGAATGACTGAAAAATCTCTTCTATGAAGAGACAAATGTACACACATACATGGAATAACAACACTAAAATAAAAGACACTGTGATCTTCCATCTTAAATCAATGACTTCTTTATAACTTTTCTGACTGGTTGAGGATCTGAAGGCTCCTTCAACAGTCAACAAACATTACCCAGTAGGCTCCCTCTGCTAGGCTTCAGAGATACAAAAATAAATAAGACAATCCTTGCCCTTTAGGAACTCACAGATTTTCAGAAGCTACAAAAGGTAGATAAACAAATGCTCATAAATATGGAGGTTTAGGAAACCAAGTCTTTGGCAAGGCTTGCAAAGGAGAAAAAAAATACACAGCTAACACTGTTTCCTGATGAATTAATGCCCTGCTGCCCAGTATGTGATTTGACTGGCGATATTGCTATTATTCCTGTGACCCATATGCTAATGGCAGTGATTTTAAAGGAAACCTGAAAAGGGAAAAATGACCAAGTAGTTGGATCAACCACTTTATGCAACAGTACGTTTCCACAAAAATGCCAAGGCCTTGCCTCCTACAATTTGTTTTGCATTTACTCCCTGTTGAAGTGGTCACTGGAGTGATTGACCGTGACTCCCCTCTGCCTCCTAGCACTAAGTGGCTTAGTCTGTGCCCAGGTAGAATCCTTAACAAAGACTGTTCACCTTCCCTTAAACATAAAACCATACTAAATCTTTTTATTAAAAAAACAGGTCAACTACCGTAAGGGAGAAAAATAATAACTATCGTCTCTAATTTTGACATTGCTATTTAAATGACTCTCATTGTATGAACATCCTTTTAGTGGGCAATTGTGTCAACACTGTGGCTTAAGACTACTGATGACGGTAGAAGTCAGGAAGCAGCTTGTCATTGCAGGATGCTGCTGCCACAACACGGGTTGATCATTCCTTTCCTTCTGTGAGTTTGTGGCTAAGATTTCTGAAACCTCATCCCCATAGTGAAACCTTTTGCTAACCTGTCTATACCTTAGTGGAGTGATCACTATCTTCTCACTGCCCACCATGCACCTCTTACTTAGGTGACCATATGTCCCAGCTTGCTCCTTAGAGTTCTATTCCATTTCATTATTTATAGCTCCCCTTTTCAATCCCACAAGTCCTCATTAGGGTAATAAGTTGTAGGGATCACCATAATGCTTCCCTGTACCGCATCTTACAGTGGCATAGTGATGCATTTGCTATGTCGCTGTTAGGGTGTTCGAGTTCCTCGGTGGCATGGCTCACGTCTTTGTTATCTTTGTATCTCAGAGCTCAGTACAGTGACCAGAAGGAGTACAGAATATGCTTAATACCTGCCAATGAATTTAGGAGTAATGAATAAAATGATACCTACTATGGAAGTTCCCTAAAATGAGTACATTATTTTTGTGTAATCTTTGTCATTATTCAACAGTCCAGTTGAACTACAAATTTTAAGTGCACCCCGAAAGACATCTATGCATCTGAAATATCTAAAAACAAAACAAAACAAAAAAAAACCTAAGCATTATGAGAAGGCGAGTCTTACTGTTAGAGCTAGAATGTATTTCTGCTGAGGTTACGACTGGAATTCAGAGTTTTGATTTTTTTTTGTACTATGATTGTTTTCATGTTTTCTTCTTGAAACGCATCCTGTTTTTTCATGTGCTATCATGCATAGGAATGTCAGAAATTTTGAAAGAAAAGCTATGTTAGGAGTTGTCACAGTTAGCTTTGGAAACTTTCCTCATTTTCATAGTTCATCTGAGGTAATCAGAGTTACTGATAAGGCCTGGCAGTCACAGAATTGGTGGAGGAATCTGTGCAAATTTGAGCTGCTGTGGAAACCCTGGTGGTTTGTGGATTGCTAGCCAAAGCCCTTGAGTCTTCAGTGCAAGAGTATGGTCTGAATAATAATCATTTTTCTTATATAATGTATCATGACATAAGCTTCAAAATGTAATTGTATTGAAAATCATGTTTACTGTGAACAACTGAAGAGTCCAAGTGGGACTGATTGTCTCAGGGTGAATCGATAGCTTCTCCTG
The DNA here is from genome assembly GCF_000001405.40 of Homo sapiens. NCBI lineage: Eukaryota > Metazoa > Chordata > Mammalia > Primates > Hominidae > Homo > Homo sapiens. The sequence continues at coordinate 124,426,592 of NC_000002.12, forward strand.
TCAATGTTGAGCTTCGGCTTTCTGGCCCGTGAGGAAGCTGACTCTTTGTCCCTGGCCCACTCAGGAGCCCAGCTGGCCCACTTGGGGATTCAAGCTTGGAATCTTCTATTCAGTGAAGCCCTTTTTTTAGCTGGTTTGTTGACAAGCTACCAACATCCATCAAATATGCCAGCATATGCCTCCAGAACTCTGTCTTTCTCAGAAAACAAGCTGTGGCAGCCAGGTCAGCAATTATGGGCCCAGTGGGAAGTCGGCCAGTGCTGGCATTCTCAGTACTCCAGGATGGGGGAGCGCATGCTGGCTCTGTCTTGACCCAAAAGGAGAGGTTGTGCACTGTAGAGCCTGCCTTCATTCTAAGGACTCTGGAGCATGATTGGCCTCTCCTTCATATTCTAGAGAAGACTGCCAATGTATCAGCATCTTAACAAACCACGAATTGAATTGAATTAAGTTTGTAATAATGGGTTCTTAAAAATCGATTTTGAAAAAAGGGGAAGAAATTGTTCACTCCAGGAAGTAAATATCTAACAGCTGTGTTCTGGGTCACTGGCATGGCAGATAAAATAGAGAACTCTGAGGAACAGATAACAGGTATTAATATGAAGGAAAACATTCCACAACGACCACATTAGGGTTTTACTACCTTGGCAAGGCACAATAAAATTGGGTAACGGGGGTAGGTAGCCAGGATTATGCAGGCTGACCATGCAAGTAATCTGATGCATTTTCTAAAACACAAAGAGCTCTTTCTAAAAACCCAAACCAATCATACATTTTCCCTACTTTAAATGATTTAGTAGTTATTTCTCCATTGATATCAGGGTCACATTGAAACCCATATTATTTTATTTTGTTTTTTTATTATTATTTATTTATTTATTTTGAGACAGAGTTTCCCTCTGTCACCCAGGCTAGAGTGCAGTGACACAATCTTGGCTCACTCCAAACTCTGCCTCCCGGGTTCAAGCAATTCTCCTGCCTCAGCCTCCCGAGTAGCTGGGATTACAGGTGCCCACAAGGACGCCCGGCTAATTTTTGTATTTTTAGTAGAGACGGGGTTTCACAATGCTGGTCAGGCTGGTTTCAAACTCCTGACCTCAGGTGATCTGCCTGCCTCAGCCTCCCAAAGTGTTGGGATTACAGGTGTGAGCCACCGTGCCCGGCCAAACCCATATTATTTTATTTTTAATTTGACTCTCCATCATGAGACTTCCTACTCTAGTTCCGACCTGTTGAATCCCCACTGCCCTTGGCACCCTACACTTGAGCACAGAGCTCCTCAAACCTCATCAAGAAGAGCAGCTACTGAGAAGGCTCCTTAACACACCACTTGCTGGGTCCCACACCCAGGTTTTTATTCCTTAGGTCTGCAGTGAGGTCTTACATTCTGTATTTCTAACAAGCTCCTTGGTGACCTCAATGCTGCTGGTCCACAGGGTATGGTTCCCTTCAGCAAGTTTGATTCCTGATAGATCCTAGATGGGACCCTGCACTTTGTCTCTCTCCTCCTTGCCTTGAGCTTGCAGCTCCTTCCTTCTGGTGGGACTGCCCTTCCCACTTCCACTCCCTCCTTCTATTCTCCTATTCCCACCACACCCCCACCTCACCAGCCTGACTGCCTCTTATGTCTCAGGACTCTGGAGAAACATTGACCCTGCCTGGACACCCTCCTAACCCTCTGCCCCTCCCTGGAGAGGGTTCAGCGCTCCCTCAGCACACAGTGCTCACCTCCTTCCAATGGATGTAGAATTGCGTGCTTGCTCTCTCCAGCTTAGTCCTCGAGAGCAGGGACCTCTGTAGAGCTTGAACACAAGAATGCATGAGTGAAGGAAAACCACAAAAATAAAAAAGGATAGAGGGTTTGAGCTTTGGGAAGATGGTGGGGATAGAGAGGGCATTGTACCTCTACCATAACAAAGCCTCCCACATGTGTACATGGTTTCCCTGCTCTCCCAGAAAGGGAGCAAGTGAAAGAGCAAGTGAAGAAGAGCAGGGAACCCAGGGAAATTCAGAGCAACATTTAAGGAAAAGAAAACTTCTTATTTAACATCATCCTTCCCTTCTTTAAATCAGCAATCAGCATTTTTTTTTTTTTGAGCTTTGGTTTTCCTACTTTACAAATGGGGAAAAATATGGACCTTTCAGGGCTACTAAGAACATTACCTTAGGTAATGTGTGTATATTAGTTCCTTTTCCCCCTGGGAAATGGATTCAGAGAAAGAAATCTCCACAAGTGTGTTAGAGAAGTTGTGATAGAGAATATGGGAGATATATTCAGTTTTATGTTTTTGGTACCTTTAAATCTGAAGTGATCACACATTTCCCATCTGCCATAAAGAGCCCATGTCTACCCTTTTTACTCCTTTCTACACACTTTCTTTTTTTCCTTTTAAAAGAGAATCTGCCAAGATGCTTGTACAACACAAATAAAGATTTTGATTTCTATAACCAGACCCCATGCAGCAAATTAAGTTCCAAAGAGATATCCAGAAAAAGTCGTTATGATACTACCTCATGAGGAAAAAGCAGCATATAATAGTTTATCTCTTATTAACAGCAACCTATAACCATGTGGGTCTTTATTATTATCATTTTAAATCTGCTTTTCCAAGTGAAGTTGGGAGTGCTGAGTATTCTTCTTGAAACTCATCCTGTTTTTTTTCATGTGCTATCATGCATAGGAATATCAGAAATTTTAAAAGAAAAGCTATGTTAGGAGTTGTCACAGTTAGCTTTGGAAGCTGATTCTAAGTTAATGTACATGCTAAATCCTAAAGAAAGTGTTGAAAAAAATCAAGCAATAGTATAAAAAGCATTAACTATATTAAATAAAATAGTACATTATAAAATACTCAATACTAGTGTCTGGGAAGGAGTAGGAAGTATTCAGTTGGGGAAACCTTTAATCCTTCTTTGAAAGTTTTGAAAACCCTTTTCTCTCTCTGGGAAATGGCTGGAGCCTGTTGTGTGCAATGTAATTAATATTGCAGAAGTGCAGAGTGTTTGGCTGAAATCTCTGAGAACAGCAAAGTGTAGCTCTTATCAGGTACTGGTGGTGGTCGGAGGAAAGCTCCCGCACCCCACCAGGCTAGTTCTGTGCTTACTAAAGGCCGTGCATCCTCTCTGCACCAATAAGCATGTGTGAGTCACACAGGGATCACAGCTCCAGTGGCTGAGCATGGCCTGCAGAAGAAACTAACTCTCCCAGTGTGGATGGTAAGCTGGCTCTGAATGGTGAAATAGATGATGCGCAGGAACTCAGGGGAGACTTGGGCAACATCACACTTGGGCATAGGCACCTCAATGGATCACAGCTCATTTCACAGGTGGTTCTGGATGGCATACCCTTCCGAGTCCATTGCGAGGCTCTGAATTAATGTGGCAAACAGCGTACATCTGGCCCTTGTCCTCATGAGATGCATTGACGTGTTGGACAACTGGACTATAAACCACTGAGAAAACAGATGAGCATCTAATCCAATTGCGAGGTGCATTATGAAGGGAATGGCAAGGTGCTTAGAGGGAGACTAACAGGGATGGAGGACCCCTTAGAAAAAGGGCCAGGTGGGAACCGACAGATGAGCTGAGCATCGTGGTCCAAGTGGGCAGCGCATGGGAAAGAGCTCAGTGGACTCAGCGTGGGTGGGTCAGACAGGGTAGGTTTGAATCCTGGCCCTGGCACTTGCTCACTATATACCTCTTTGTCTCTTTGTGCCGTGTTTGTCTTATTTGTAAAGGGGGAATAATAATAGTATTTTCCTCAAAGGTTAATTGATGTGTTTAAATGAGTTCCTGTGCAAAAAAACATCTAGAGAATTGCAGGGCTTATGATGTGGGCTCCACACACATTATCCTAGCCCCACACATACATGCATATGCACATACACTAAAATCACAGCATGCCTGGAGCAGTGTGAGGGTTGAAGAAAGGAACAGAAGATGAGGTGGGAGAGGTGAACAGAGCAGGATCATGTGGAGTCCTGGAGACTGAAATTAATTATCAGGGCAAAGGAAGTTCAATGAAATACTTTAGCAATGCTGAGGTATGATGTTTCTTATGCTTTTTAACGTTAAAAACTGTGTCAGGTGAAGGTGGCAAAAGTGAAATCTGGGAGGCAGTTCTGAAACTATTAATAGAAAACGGAAAGCAGGCAATGATGATGAGGACATGAGTGCACGCCTACTCAGTGTGATGTGAAGGCTACCGAATCCCAAACCCAGACAGAATTTTTTCACACCAAGTTCTTGATAGCATCTTTATGCTGTGCTTGAAAATCTTCACTACTGAGTACTTTCTTTCTATAAATAAGGAAATGTGGGGATAAAATGTTGTTGAATGCCTTTGTATTTTCAGGTCTGAGATTGTGCAATTTTCACAATGACTTTGAAGGTAGGTTCCTATAAGCCCCATCATACAGATAGGAGAACTGGAGCTCAAAGAAATCAAGAAAGTTGCTTCAACCAACACCTGCCCCCAGGTAGTAAGGAGTAAAACCAGAACTGAAACCCAGCTCTGTTAGACTCGTTCTACTGATTGGCTTAGTTTTCTCTAGGTCTCATGACAACGTGGAGATGTGTTTTCTTAAGAGATAACCTATGTCCCTTTGCCATCAACATTTGTATCCTCAGTTAAGTCACTAGACTAGCCAGACATTGGAGGGAATGGAATGCAGATCATAGTAACGATGATGAATGGAGAGGGAGGTGAGTGAGTGAGTGGACTGGAGAAAAGAAAACATTTGGAATTCAGTACTTGACCCAAGAACTCAGGCCTGCATGAGGGGTCCAGGCAGCCAAGTACACTGGAGTATGACATTATAAAATGAAGAGGAATGGGGGAAATAGCAGCAACATAATGAATATTTATATTTACATAAATTTCTCCATAACCATTGCTTGGACAAAAAAGTGTCAAAGATATATATATATATATATATAAAATTTCTTTATATAAATATTATATATAATTTCTTTATATAAACATTATATATAATTTCTTTATATAAACATTATATATAATTTCTTTATATAAACATTATATATAATTTCTTTATATAAACATTATATATAATTTCTTTATATAAATATAAATAAATTTTAATAAATAAAATTTAATAAATAAATATTATATGTAATATTTATTTATATAAATATTAATCCAAATTCTCTCACTGCTTTCTTATAATCAGTTGTAAGTGTAATTGAATACATTGTTATGCACCATTTTACAAGGATGGAAAGTGAGGCCCTTAGTTTTGACATAAACTTAACCCCAGTCAGACACCTGGTGAGTAGTAGAGCTGCTCTATAGAGGGCTCCTCTCCTTAGTTTAATGTCTTTACCAGGGAACCAAAGGCAAATTTCCTCCATGTGGTTTTAGTTCACCACACAAGGGACCCCACCTGCCATGTTCAGGCTCTGTGCTCAGTGCTGGTGCTGGCTGGGAGATGAAGAGTATAGTGGTGGTATGAGTGAGTGGACAGGATGTATATAATTTGTGGATGGTGATTCTCACATGGCATGTGATAGCAAAAACAGAGGGGTGTACCCAGTGCTAGGGAAACCCAAAGTTCAGATGCAATATCTGTCTATGGGGGTGGGACAAATGCATCCATGAATAATGATGGAATTGAGTTACTGCTTCAAAGACACCATGTGTGGTATGTCTCAGCTTGCAAGAAATGCCTCACTGGGAACTAGAGATCTTTCTGTCCCTTCTCCATCATGCTGGCCTCCTGCAGTACTGAGATGCACCAAACATTCTCACGCCTCTGTTATCCCTCCTGGAGACACTGGGTCCCTCCTTTCCCTGGGGTAACTCCTACATATTGTTAAAGGCCAATATACCACTCACTTTCTCTAAGAAACCCTGTCTGAATCTACCCCCTTTGAACTGAGTCAGTTCAGTTAGCATTACTGTGAGTATTAATGTCTGCATTTGCCATTAGAAACTCTATGGGACACTATGTGGTCCTTCCACTCACTGCTGGGCACTACAGGGGCTACCTAGGACACAATTTCTACTCCACAGTCTGGTACAGTGGCAGAGTAGAAGCAATCAGAAGAGAATATTAATATTGTGTACATTGTGATGTACGCACTCTGCACACACTAATTTCAGCTAGAATGTGAGAAGCCAAAACATGACAGAAAAAGAAGCTTGGGGCTACTTTGGCATCCCTGGGCAGTAAACAACTGAATCAAAATTGAAAAAGCATCATTTGGGGTAAGAAGGTAGAGTGCCAACCAATAGAGTGGCCTTGATAGGAACTAAAAGATTCCTGTTATTTCAATTACTACTAATACCTCTCCTATCTATTATTGATTTAACACAAATAATGTGCCATGCACAATGAGTTCACATTGATGTGTCATAACTTTGTAAGTCTTAGCACATGTACTTCTCAAAGCAGTTTTCTCTAATGGATATAATTATCTTCATCCTATAAATAATACAATCACCTTAGACCAAGGTAACCCAACTAACAAACTATGACCATCACAGTTTAGAATCCATTATGTTATCTATACCACAGTCCTCACTATTCCATGAGTGGTGGCAGCTGTTGGTCTGTGGCCCCACTTTGGTCTGGGTGGAATCCTAGTTGAGATAACAGTCATAAGTGCATTGATGAGGTAGGGAGGGGAGGTGCTGAGAAAGGTGGACATTTGTGAAAGTCTCTTTGTATATGGACAGTTTATTTTTAAAGTCAAGGTTTCCATCAGCAACATTTTGGTTAGGACACTTTGTTCCGTATAAATAAATTGTGAAATTGGGTTTTAAAACTAATTACAGAAAAGTATTATTTCATTTTCCTTTTCATTTCAGATCCTCAGATTCACAAAGAGTGTTTCTAGATCCTTGGAAAAAAAATTATCATTGTGTATGCTCAGGCTGAGGATTTTAATTACATGCTGAATAATACAAAAATTGAGTTTTCTTGGGTACTCAATTTTAAATAGAAAATCCCACCCCCTCCACATAATCACCACAATCCCACCCACAGAACATGGTATATAATGAATCAGTTTCAATTTGTAATTAAACAGTCTTACATGTTTTTCTACAATAAAAGCTCATTATAAAAGTTTTTGTAATTAAAAAAATAGAAAAAAAAACCCGCAAAAATAACCTAGAACAACACATTCCAAATAGAATCTCTATTAGATTTTTGGCATAATTTGTCAGATATGTTTACACATACCTGTTACATAAGTTTATCTAAATCATGGTTACTTGACCTTCACCTTGTTTTGCTTTGACAATAAGGAATTAAATGTTTTGTATAAAAACACTAAAATGATAAATATCACCAGCACAGATAAGGCAGTGATACATTTGCCCTCTTTGTTCAAATAACAAGTCTTCTTTTGCTGAGTATTTTTTTCCACTGAACCCAGTAGAAGCCTCAGAATCCTTCTCAACACAGACTTCTAGGGAGACAGTACTATGTGGAGTTGGCATCATAATTATATCTATTTTTCATCTCTAATGTTGTGTCTGAGATAAGGAGATCAAGTGGTTCTGACTGTCAGGAAGACAAATCAAGAGAGATTATTCTAAGCCATCTGACATAGTAAGCCAGACATAGGTACTTGCGGTATTTTCACCCTGTCCCCTCCAGCAAAAGCTGACATATCACTAATGAGAGTTTTTACTTCTAAACTAATGATCAGTTCACTTTGACTCAGTGTGTGGTGATTGCTTGTAAACGAATAATTCCCTTGAGTCTAATTAGGGTGGTTCTAGTCTACATGTTTCCTGTTGAGACTAGACCTGGCAGATCTCAAGAACATTTCTGTGAACTGGACATGAAATAAGATGGGAAACAGTAACAGCAGTCATGAGAATATGCACTAATTTTTCTTTCCCGCTCCTTCTTTGTTCCCAGAATCAGATGTTGCTGACTTTGATGGCCGAAGCTCACTTCTGTACAGGTTCAATCAGAAGTTGATGAGTACTCTCAAAGATGTGATCTCCCTGAAGTTCAAGAGCATGCAAGGAGATGGGGTCCTGTTCCATGGAGAAGGTCAGCGTGGAGACCACATCACCTTGGAACTCCAGAAGGGGAGGCTCGCCCTACACCTCAATTTGGGTAGGCTCAGACTTCCTCTTCCAATGCCAAGGGATGGAGAGCTCCTTTACTCCACAGCTCACAGTGTCTGACACTTGCAGTGTATCTGGTGGAAGTCACTGGAGCACAATATAAGTGATATTGGTGGGGATAGAAATGTTTAAGGCATGTATAGCATTCTTTGACACCATATAATATTGACATGTAGGGAGAGTTGCAAACTCATTGTTATGTATTTATTGACCTAACTACGTATTTATCCATTTAGTTTTCTTAGTAACTCAAACTCTAAAAAAACTTTCACAAGTTTAAGTATATACACATATTATAAGGAGGCTTGCTCAGAATCTATGCTATTAGGTACATATAAGAAAGTTAAGTTTCAGAGGGAAAATGACGGGGAAACATTTTGGTTGCTCCGGGTTATTTTGTTGGGGAAGAGGGGATCATATGTGTGAGGTGAAAAATCTAAGTTTCTAGGCATTCCCATGTCTTTTTAAGGGAAACTCTTTTCTTTAGGTGCCCTCACTGTTCCAGAGTAAGCCCCAGACTCACCAGATTCCATTAAACTTAGTACAGAATGCCCTCCTGACTCCACACAGTTAGGACATGGCCTTCCACTGTGGGCTGGCATCCATCAGGGCCTGTTGCACTCCAGGCAGGTCGCGTTCATTGTCACCAACTTCTTATCCCAGAGAAGGAGGAGAGAGGCCCAGCCTCCTGTACATGATCAAAGGCACTTCTGAAGGAAGGGTAAGCTGAGTACAAAAGGCAGGAGCACAGTTCCCAAGGATGCAAACAAAAAAACACTCTTCTATAGAAAAAAGAAAGAAAGAAAGAGATAAGCTGAAAAAAAAAGTAAATGGCCGTTTTTCATAAGAATGACTCCCTGCCTCCCATCTGATATTTACTAATATTAAAGGGAGAGGAAAATAGTTATCTTTTTGTCTTCACTATAAAATAGTAAAGAAGGAAAGAAATTGCAAAATGTAATTTGTAACCCTAAGTTGCATGGAAGACTGACAAAAATCCACAGTTAAATACATTTTAGCAATTAGCTGGAGAGACATAAGGATGAATATTAGTGCCCCAAAACTAAACAATATAGGTTTTTATTTTGAGGCATTTCTGAGGATCTTCTTGGAGCCCCATGGTGACTATAGGCAGCGGTAGCAGAAAGAATCTCTAGATTTCAAAGTTTAACTCAAAATTGACACCTAATATATTAGATATACACACCAAAATACCTTTAAAAGTAGAATATCACCTAGAAGAGAGTGGTAAAAAAATTTGCTGGTAACCTCATTGGTTGTAATTACCATAACTAAAGAAGCAAGCCTCAGAGCTTTCTGAATGTTGGGCGTCCAAATACTACACAAACATGCATCAATACATTTACTGGTTTTCAGTTTTCCAGAAAGGAGATCAGATGAATGAAGTTGAACCTCCCAGTTACAAGTGGCTTACATAGCATTGTGTGTTGGGGGTACAGTTACTATTACTTATCAATAGTAAAGCGAGTGTCTTCTACTGATAACATTGTGAAATATTTCAGTTACTACTATTTAGATTCCCATTTCAGATATGGCATTTCACATCCAAAACTCTGCTCCAACATACAAAATCTAATGTTGTAAACCAGATACATTCATGGTGTGAATGGTAGAAATAGCATAGGTGTGGTCATGTAACAATTTTTCTTTTGATTACAGATGTGCAATCAAATTGTGTTTTTTATTTTATTTATTATGTGATTTATTATGGTGGATGTCTTCTGAGCCTCAGTTTCTTTATTTCTAATCTGGGGCTAATGACTTGTCTTGCAGAGTATGGACATGAAAACCAAGAGCACTGTAAATACATTTTCTATAGCAATGAGTAAACATGGACAAATGCCAAAAAATAGAAGCTCCGTATTGCTCATTTATTCAAACAGTATCTGAATACCTCACACTGTGCTATGCTGGCTTTTCTGAAAATAAGTGGAATATTAAGATAAATAGCACCTACTCCTTGCTATGTTACATAGATGGCAGGATAAGTCTTTCTTCCCAGTTTCCATCTTCTCTATATTTCCAACCATGGTGGTGATTAAGTAAAACCTTACTTGATGGAGGATTAAGTAGTAAGAACATATTTTATCTATATTCTGCATAGTTTTAAGATTTCTTCATCTTTTTTATCTGTCTCTGCAGCTTTTCCCTTTCTATCAGTTTACCACAGTTGAGTGTTTTCTGTACTTACCTGTTTTAAGCAGTCACCTAGGATACTTCTTAAATAGCATAAGTTTCTAGGTTCCTCTTCTAGAGAAACACTGCCACAGATTAGTACTTTAGTCCCTCCTACCTCATTACAGCTAGAAGATCTCTGGAAGCACTAAGCAAAGGGGAGTGGTAATAGCTTTGCTTTGCCCATAATGGGAAATCTATAATGTAGGTTTCATAAACACCAGGATAACACCTTGTTCACTTCTGTATCTCTAGCCTCCAGGAGAAACTCTTCCTAAAGTAGGTACTTGAGGCAGATTGAGTACATTAGGAACAGGGTTTTCATCTCAAATTTCATTATTCCTGTTGGGCTTGTTCACCTTCAAGCCTGCACTCCTGACTCCTCCATGATCCACCACTCTCTCTGACAATGGGGTATATTTACAGAATATTCACAGTGTGGTAATGTCCAGTCCGATCCTCAAGGAAGACCTATGGCATAAGTATACATTAGCCCCCATTTACAGATATGAAATAGTAGACTCAAAGAGGATAAATTACTTGTCCCATTTATACAGATAGTGATTAGTGTAGCTACTATTACCATCTCCAGGTGTTTTACTATTAATTTTAGATTATAAAATATATATCAGTTTTAGAAAACCGGAAAATAATATAAAAAAAAGAAAAATCCAACTCTTACAACCTGGTTATCTCTTTTATTAACATTTTAGTATCTTTTAAGTATTTATCTTAGTTATTTATATGAATTCTTTAAATATTATTCTAAAATACTGTTGTTTTCCTGTTGTCACACAGCCTTAAAGGGGAAAGGGTTTATAACATCCATGATCAGGATTGTTCTTTTAAAAAAATGAATCAGAAAAGCAAGAGAAATACAGGAGAGGTGAGAGAGACAGAGAGAAAGAGAGGCAGGATTCAAGTTAATGGGTTAAAGAATAGTGCTGGTCAAATAAAGGAGAGAGTTTTGGTTTTTCCCTCTCCAGTTTATATGGACATTTCAGCAGTGTCTCCTTTAGTGACAATTCTTCATCTGCAATGTTTATTCATTTTCTAATCAGTTACTTGCAATTCAGAAATTCAGGCTAAGAGTGAAGAAGTTCAGCACCACGGTCAGCTGCTCAGGATGGCACTGGGGACATACATAGTGTACTGTTGTTCTTCTCTAGTGATGCTCTTTGATGAGTATCCAATTTACATTACATAGTTACCCTAACCCTTACTGTGTCTGGCTTGGGTAGAGACAGTTCTATGGCAAAATTGAACTATGTGGTTCCTCTTTGCCTACTTTCTTAAAGTAGAACATTGATATTTTTCCAGAACTACTAGATGGGAAAGAGATTTCTTCTTTCAATCCATAAGGGGTTAGATATGTTTCCTTTCTCACTTTTTACACATCTCATTCAAATTGCCCATGGCAGTCTGCCCTCTGCCGAATTACAATAGTCTGAACCCATTCATGCAGGTAGAGAATCAAAGAGCAGAGATATTACGTGACAAGAGAACTGTTGTAAGAATAAAGAAGACAACAATAGTACATGCAGGTCAATCATCCTTATAAGAGCCCAGTGCCTTTTAACTGAGGCAGGATGTTTATGCAATCCCCAATACATACAGCTGTAGCAAAGTGAGACTCAAGTGAGACTCCTAGAATAGAACAAACATCTGAGGAGCACCTGGGGGCCGAGTACAGGGTTCAGGCGCCAAAGCATGTGATTGCATAATCAACCACTGAGATGCCAGAGAAAGTTCTTTCCATTCTCCAAAGAGTCAAATGAACATTTAATTTAGCTCTTTTGAAACTCAGGCATTTTAGTCAGCCAACTCACACATATTTATGGAATGTTTATCATGTTTCTCAAATTGTACTAAATACTATAAAAGTTTTTTTTTAGTTGCCATTTTTTGAGAGCCCACATTTAGGCATTGCATTAAACATTTAAAATACATATTTTATTTAAATTACATGACAATCCTACAATCTGTATCCAAACCCATTTACAGATGAAGAACTGCTGGTCAGTGATTCCCAGTCAGTGGCTCAAGGTCACATAGCTGCAAAGCTGTAGATATGGGATTATAACCTTATTCAATCCTACCCCAATTCTCTGACATTAATCACTAAAATGTAATAAACTTTTATAAAACAAATAATAAAAATTATAAAACAATTCATAAAAATGTTAAATATCAGGCAAACAATATGTATGTGTTAAGTTCTGAGAATGGAGAGATCAGGAAGGAACAGAGGGATCCAGGATCAACCTTGAGTAATCTGGAGATTTTATTATGGAGAGGGGAGAAAAACAGGTATTTCATACAAAGAATCAATGGGATAAAATGCATCACATTTTTCATAAATTCTGTCATTATGCAATAAGAATAGGTTAAACAAGTACAGTAAATCAGGCACTGAATTCTGCACTGGGGGTTAAAAGTTGGATTTATCAGTCTCTATTTTCAAGAGGCTGTCAGCCTGGTAAAATAGTTATTTCTACTTACTTTTTAGCTTGGTTATATTAATTGGAAATAAAATAACTATGCATCATCAAAATCATATAACAAATGTATTAAGATAATGTTTTCGAAGATAGCAAAGTCACAGAAGACGGACACAAGTTAGACACCAGAGTAGAGCAACAACTCCTAAATCTGGAGAGTGTTTTTAGTCAATACAATCTAGAAATTTCTTAACAGCTAAGGACATGTGTTTCATTGCTTTAGAGAAACATAGAGACTTGCTCTGGATTGAGAGTCAAGTCCATTGAATCACATTGCTTCCTGTCCGTTTCTTATTTTCTTCAGGGCTCTCACTTGGATACTTAGGAGACCATTCAATAGCTTTGCGTATTGCCCAACAAAGTTGAAAGGGGGTACCTTTACAATACTGGCTGGGACAGGGAGGTAAAACTTTTCTTCTTATTCTGTGTCATGTCCTCCCTTCTTAGTGTTGCCCCATTTTACTTTTCTACAGCTCCCTGTTTTCCAATCCATTAAATTCCTTTGCAAAAGAATGCCCTCCATTCCTACTAAGCTACATAACTTACATGCATATATGGGAGATACAGATAGTAAGAGCGTAAGAAATGAGGGAGAATGAGAGTATCCATTTTTCCACTAAGAGTAGTGAAGACAGTTTTAGCTTTGGAGTCAAATAGAGTTGGGTTGTAACCCCTATTCTTTGAGTCCTTAGGTAAATCTTGTGGCTTCTTGGAGACTCACCTTTCTGCAGGGTTATTATAGTCAGAAATAATTATAACAACATATGTGAAGTGTTTAACTTGTGTGAGAAGCTTAAGAAATACAAGTGAATATCGGTGTTGATAGCCTGACAAATTAAAGGTGGGTGGGAAAGTTGATTCTGATGATCTGATAGAGGCAGTCATGAGGGAATTCACGTGACTAGCCACCTATTTTATCAAGAGTAAATCAAACCCTTTTCAAGAATGACTTTTTTTTTGTCAAATACAATCTTAAACATGAGAGTTCCCATCCCCTTTTTCTCAGGCTGTCTGAAATTCACAGATTATGAAAGTTAAAGTGGCATCCATGTTTGAACAGTTAAGATAAGACCTAGAAAGAAGATTTAATCAAACAAGGCATTTGGTTGAAAATACTGCAACATGCATGCCCTTTACCAGAAAATGTGAGTTCTAAGTAAGGATGAAAGAATTGGCATGCTTATCCACAGCATCTTGGGGTGGAGGGAGGAGAATAAACTGGTAAATTAAACACTTTTTGCAAACATTTCAAGCTTCCTATAAAAATTGTTATATTTCTTAGGGCCTTGGGTAGTATATATCTTATTTTGTTTTAACTATATTTTAAACCCCATGAAAACAAGTTTTTATTTCATTAGAAATAATTATTTCCCTTATCTATTTCTGTCCCAAAAGTTAGTTTCTGTATAGTTTTATTGTTTTTGTCCTTCACAATTGCCCATGAAAATTTTTATCTTTGTCTTACGAAATTAGAAACAAGTTAAAACTAGTAATTGAACCTCAAATGCCACTGAGATAAAACTTAAAATAGATATTCTAAGATCAAGAGTTTGATAATTTCGTGAGAATTAAGTGTTTTGTGATCTCTAATAATGGAAATTTCTAGGGAAAATGAAACATTTCTGAGGACCACCATCCTACACTTCTCATAAATACAATTCTAAACATCCTTTTTTAATGAAGAGCAGAAATTTTGTTTTCCCAATTTTTTAACCAAATCAAGTTTCACTAAACTTGTTTTGATATAAGATATCTGAGTGTTGGTATAGCATAACTAATGGAAAAAGAGTGATGAAATTTATCCATATGTGCTCCTTTTTGGTTAATTAATAAGTAACTTGTAATTCCCAAGAGACTCAATAATTACACGTCAGTGATATATAGTCTTCAACAAATATACTATGCAGCGTGAGGATTGTGTTTTTAATGAAGTTTATTTTTCTCATTATCCAAAATAGTTATGCTCACCCTAAAACACACAGAAAAGAAAAAAAAAATGATTATGATAAATGCATTCTTCAGTTTTATCCGCACATAGTGCTTATTTGTGCCTTTTCCAGAATTGTTTTTAGTCTAGATTTTGTATTTTTGTCTTCTGCTCATGTATATTTTAAATCAGTATAGTCTAATTATTGAGTATTCTATTTATTAAATATTACTTTTAATTTTATCAAAAAGGGCAGTCACTACTGAGTATACTTTTGAAATAATGTAAGTATTTTATAAATATCATTTTGATGGCTATTTAATATAATACTTCATCTGGTGAGTCTACATAAATGAACTCAGATTTTTTTTTCTCCTTCCAAATTATTGGACATTATATCCAATTTTTAAATCACTAGCCACTTAAACACTTTTCCACAACAAAAAGTTGTGAACATAAGTTTAAGTCCCTTGATACTAACTGAAATGTTTCTCCATAGAATTGGTGGGACTCAATTTTGCATTATCTTTGGGCATATATATATATATATATATGTACTAAGTAAATGAACAATGTAAACAAGGAGCAATGCTAATCCACTTTTGAGGAAAGGTCAACAAATTGCTTTAAGTATTCATAAAAATTTCATGAGCTACTTTGCATAAAATGATAAGTGTGTTAATTAAGTTTATGGTTTCATTAGATGGAGTAAGTGAAAGGTAGTCACTATTTAAGAAGAAGTACTTTTATTTTCCTAAAGTCTTAAAATTATAAGGAGAAGAATTGTTGGATGCAATGAGAGTGGCAAACTTTCTGAGCCAAAGTTAAGACCCAGGAGAGAAAGGGCTGACTTTAGACCTTGAGGAGGGTAAAGGTAAAGTTACTGATGCTAGCTCTGCTTCCCGCAGTGGAGATGTTCCTGCCCATTGAGATGGTGGTGATGATGGTGGCAGTGGATGCAAGAAGGGTACAGTGAACAACAACCGACATAACCTACTACTAGAAGCTTTAGGATTTGAAGGTCCCAATCATGTACTTAGAGAACCTTGATCCAGTCAACATAACAAATACCACCCTATCCAATTTACTAGCGTTCTCCTGCCATTTTAAAGTTATACAATCTATTTCACTAAATAAGGCCACTCAAGGATTTTAAAATAGTGGAATTTAGACAATTGGTAGCCATCTCAAAACATAAAGGTAGAACTGTGCCTCATACCATACATCAGAATAAATTTCAGTTGAAAGTACTTAGGGAAAACTAGAAGAATTCTTCAATGATCTCAGAATAAGGAGAACCTTTTAAACTATTATACAAATCCAGAAGCTATAAAAGGAAAATGATAGATTTGTTCCCAATACACAAATACCTGAGTGGTGAATTTAAAAAAATCAATCAAACAAACAAAAACAGAAAAGCAGCAACAAACACAAATAAAGAAAGGCAAAAAGATATTTTCAAAATTCGTATCACAGGCAAAATATAGGAAGAGAGTTCAAAGAAAAGGAAATAAAAATAAAAAGATTTTCAACCTTATTCTTATTAAAAGAAATGCATATTAAAATTTCAGAAATGCACTTTTTTAACCTACCAGACAGCCAAATTTTAAAGCTAGACCGTATGTTGTTGGCAAGCCTGTGGTAAAGGCACTCCTAGGCATTTAAATAGTCATGGTCTTTATATAGGACAATTTGGCAGTATTTGCAAAATTGCCAACATGAAAGCCTTTGTCCTCCAGTTCTTTATCTAAGAATGAACGCTACAAATACGCTTGTGCCCAAGCGAGATAATATCCACATAATAAAGTATCTCAACAGTTTTAAAGATCTAAAGTAAATAGAAACATCTAAATTTATATCACTAGGAAGCTCATTAAATGAAATGTGATATGCCCTATATATCATATATATGATTATATATTATTTATATATAATTATGTATCATATGTATATACATCATATGTTATATTTATATATGTATATATATTAGAGCATGGAATACTATGCAGCTATAAAAAGGATGGGAAAGCTCTTTGTATTCTGATAAAGATTTTCAGGATAGATGAAATAAAAATGGAAAGTTGGAGATAAATGCACATTCTATTTTACCATCAGTGTAAAAAATTAAATGAGTAGAAATAAAGAAAATCTATCTTTGCTGCTTGCATACACCTAATATTTTTCTGGAAGCACAAGCAAGACATTAATAGCGGTGATTACCTGGGGCTATGGAAGATGAGCAGATGGAGGAAGTGAGGAAGGGAGGCAGGGAGGGTGTTTTACTATACCCAAAGTTACATAAAAAATAAAATCAGTTTGACTGATTCATAATATTTATAAAATTTATCTTTTGAAGCAGGATAGGGTGATTAAAATATTTTATTTTAATCATTGTTATTATTGGCTCTATTAAAGAACTTAGTAGTTGATTAAAGGCCACAAAAACAGCACATAGAACAAATAAGTTGGGGAAAGGGTGTAATTCCTTGCCGTGTGTGTGTGTGTGTGTGTGTGTGTGTGTGTGTGTGTGATGTATAATGACTTTAAATTTTCAAATGTTTAATATTTGGACTTATTATTAATAAATTTTTGTTCAATGCCTTTCTTATTTTAAGAAAAAAGTGAGATGCAGCTCAATTTCAAAGTGAAAACTCCAATATTAAATCTACCTGCCTTGTTACATCTAGAAATGACAGTTTATAAAGCATAGTTTCCTTCAGCCAATGTTAGCTCCTGAGTCATTTCATTTTATACATAAAAACTGTGTGTGGGGTGGCGGTGGTGGTGTTCTTTGTTCTATCTCCGTCACCTGGAGGCCACCTCCTGCCAACGCCTCATAATTACTTGGATACCATTCTTCCTGTACTCTTCTTGCCTGAACCCCTTTATGCCCCATCTATCCAGATTATGGCCGGTCTTATAGCCAGTCTTACCTTCTAATCCAATTCCCACACAGCTGCCAAAATAACCTTTCTTAAAAGTAATCTGCTGGCCGGGCGCAGTGGCTCACACCTGTAATCCCAGCACTTTGGGAAGTCGGGGCAGCAGATCACTTGAGGTCAGGAGTTCAAGACCAGCCGGGTCAATGTGGTGAAAACCCGTTTCTACCAAAAATATAAAAAATTAGCCTCATGTGGTGGCCTGCGCCTGTAATCCCAGCTATTCTAGAGGCTGAGGCAGGAGAATCGCTTGAACCCAGGAGGCAGGGGTTGCAGTGAGCCCAGATCATGCCACTGTACTCACTCCAGCCTGGGTGACACAGGTAGACTGCATCTCAAAACAAACAAACAAACAAACAAGCAAAAAAATACAGTAATCTGCATTAGTAACCTCTGCCTACTCAAAGTTCCATTTCTTAAAAAAGGTGTAAACTGTGTGACCTAGCCTACAAAGTCCTGCATAGTGGGATCCAGGCCGACGAGCTCCTGGCACTCAGCCGCTGGAAGTCCTGGGCCACGCTTCCCTACATCTCTAAACCTGGCTGCTGCTTCTCCTGGCCTTGCAACCATGCTCCTCCTTCCCTCAGGTTTCAGCCTGTCCCTGCTGCATAAGGAGGGTTTCACAGCACCGCACTCTGCATTTCCATGGCCCTGTGCACTGAGTGCTGGAAACCTGCATACATTTTATAGATTTATTTGATGAGCATCTCTACACTAAGACCACGAAGACCTTCAGAGAGGACAGTATACCTTTAAACTCTATGTCTCCTTAATACATTACTTGTCACTGTGACCAGCTCAGGTGGATCACACAAATATCTTTTTTTTTTTTTTTTTTTTTAGATGAAGTTTTGCTCTTGTGGCCTGGCCCAGGCTGGAGTGCAGTGGCGCGATCTCAGCTCACTGCAACCTCCGCCTCCCAGGTTCAAGCAATTCTCCTGCCTGAGCCTCCCAAGTAGCTGGGATTACAGGCGCCCATCACCTTGCCTGGCTAATTTTTTTTTTTCTGTATTTTTAGTAGAGATGGGGTTTCACCACACTGGCCAGCCTGGTCTCAAACTCCTGACCTCAGGTGATCCGCCTGCCTCGGCCTCCCAAAGTGGTGGGATTACAGGCGTGAGCCACTGTACCCGGCTCATAATACCTTTCTATAGGAGAAAGAAAGGGAGGTAAGGAGAAAAAATGAAAGTATCTTTTAATTCATTAGCATAATCCATCAAACAATGAAAACTCAGAAGTTGTGGAACAAACCAATGAAATCAAGTCAGCTATTAATTCATCAGCTCTACTTTTCTAATTATAATGAGTCTGATGCTTCTAACCCTATATGAAGCAACCAAGTTACTCAGTGAAGGAAATAATGCCTTGGGCCATAATGGAGGTGGGAGTGAGCAGCCTTCGGGGAAGTGGCAGCTACCGCCTGCTGAATGTCACACGGTTGAACAGGCTGCTGCAGCTGTACTGGAGAAAACACTTCCCAAGAGGGAGGAGACAGACATTTAGCTTTCAGTTACTAAGGAACCTAATATATAAAATGTTACAAAAATTGAAAATGTATATATACACAAACGTTAGTTCTATTTAATTGTTCATTTTGCTAAGGTTGACGCAAGTTCCTCAGGGGAAGATATAAGCTGTAATCTTTTTGGTAGAGGGGTATAGCCAGGGACTTCCATAAAATTGAGAGAGAAGGAGGCGGAGGGGGAACCAGGCAGGTTGGATTGCAAAGCATGCCTTTCCAGCTGCATCTCTCATGTCTTCTCAAAGGGGTCTTCCAAACTCAACAGAGGCTAAATCCTCAACAGTATGACCCGAGCCATGATCCATAGCTGTGGTCAAAGTAAAAAGGATGAGGCAAACCTAGATTCAAGTTCTGACCGTACCTGAGGCATGCATGTCTCACCTCCCTGAGCCTCAGAGTTCTTATTTGTCCAATGGAGATGATAATTTTCCCTTAGAGGATTAAAGATGAAAGTTATTTCTTCCTAAGTGCCGTGCATACAGTAGGTACTCAGCCATGACATATGGGATGATTATTTCCTTGCCACTGCTTTTGCCCACAAACTTACTAGCTGTCTTCCCTTTACGTATCCCAGCTTTACTCCTCCTCCCAGGCACGGCTCCTAATTGGCTTTCTCCACTCAAGAACCATTCAAACTCAAAGAATATGCATTCTTTCTAAAAACAAAATCCCCATTTTCAATCATATTTATGTAGCCATAAGGACATAGTTCCTTTCATTATTTAATTTTTCAAGTCTTGAAAACATGCCCTATTTTGTCTGGAAGGAGGTATGCATATTGAACTTGATTCTGGAATCTGTGGGCCAAGCCTGTTATTCCTTCCCAGGTCCAGCACAGTTCCAGGCCTGTAGGGAGACATCATTCTTTGCCTTTAGAACAGATATAGCTGCTTTTGCTTGTGGAGCATTCTGGTGTGCAAAGCTGCCCTTGGACACAGACATCATCTTGCCTCTCTCCCCTCTTCACAGGTGACAGCAAAGCGCGGCTCAGCAGCAGCTTGCCCTCTGCCACCCTGGGCAGCCTCCTGGATGACCAGCACTGGCACTCGGTCCTCATTGAGCGGGTGGGCAAGCAGGTGAACTTCACGGTGGACAAGCACACACAGCACTTCCGCACCAAGGGCGAGACGGATGCCTTAGACATTGACTATGAGGTGAGTTGATCCTCCTTCCTGCACCTCCTCGGCCCCTTGCTTCAATGAACGCAGCAAGAAAATCAGTGAGCAGACCAACTGAGAGAAGTGGTGGGGCACTGAGGAGTCTTACCCTGGGACTTACTTCCTCCATCTATGCCAGATAGTCAACAAGGAAAGGAGTGCAGCCAGAGAATCTGAGCAGTGAAGGAGTGATGGGCTAAACCACAAGATAGCAGCTCTGTGCATTTTAAAATCCAGCAGGTTTCCTTCTCATTTTTTTTTTTCCTGCGTGTAGACTTTCTGTGCTGCTGCCTAGTCTATTGGTTATGTATCTTCTTAAAAAAAAGACCTCAGTTATCTGTGGTGATGAAAGATATTTACATTATAAACAAAACCCATGGAATCTAAAACCTGCAGTCGAGACTACCCTTTGACTTTCATTCTTCCGATGCAAGCTTTTGACTAATACCGTGGCGAGCTGTTTCTTCCCTGCTCTCTTGTAGAAGAGGTACAGTGAAATGAACCAGTTCAATGCAAAGAAGGCTGCACAAAGCTCTGCAAACTGGCAGCCAAGAGTTTGCC
This sequence comes from Homo sapiens, assembly GCF_000001405.40. NCBI lineage: Eukaryota > Metazoa > Chordata > Mammalia > Primates > Hominidae > Homo > Homo sapiens. Next base: position 124,447,502 of record NC_000002.12, read on the forward strand.
AGCTTTGTTAGTAGTTCAGTTCAAGGAATGCATGTTGTGCCCCTGCTGTACACCAGGCTCTGCTGGGCCATAAATGTCCAGTCTCTGAGTTGGAGAAACTGAGATAAGCTCTTGCAGAACAAGGAGGTTAAAGCTACAGTGGATGAAGCCCCTGTCACTGGAAGTTTAGAATAGAGAAATTTTATATTTATATAATTATGTATTTATATAGGAAACAGGGCACTTAATTCAACCTTGAAAAATGGCAGAAGTTTTCTAGCAGGAGATGCTGCTAAGCCTTGAAAGAATAGGGTTAGAAGACTGGGGAGGCAAGACAGAGCATGGTTCAAAAAATGTCAAACAGTCCAGTATTTATGGAATTCAAAAGAATAGGCCATCAGTGGTGTGTTTGAGTCAGCTTGTTACCAGTTCATGAGTTTCAAGTGTTAGATTTTCAGAAATTTTGTGAGCCCTTGGTTAACCTAGGCATTATTAAAAATTAAGTTGGCTGGGCATGGTGGCTCACACCTGTAATCTCAGCACTTTGGGAAACTGAGACCAGCAGATCACGAGGTCAGGAGATAGAGACCATCCTGGCTAACATGGTGAAACCCCGTCACTACTAAAAACACAAAAAACTAGCCGGGCATGGTGGCTCGCGCCTGTAGTTCCTGATACTCAGGAGGCTGAGGCAGGAGAATTGCTTGAACCTGGGAGGTGGTGCTTGCAGTGAGCCTAGATTGTGCCAATGCACTCCAGCCCGGGAGACAGAGTCAGACTCCGTCTTAAAATAATAATAATAATAATAATAATAATAATAAAGTTATGTAAACTTGAAATTAGTTTTAAAAGCTAATACATTCATTGATTTCTAATTATTTCACTATATTATATCGATTTGCCTGTCTCTTTTAACTAAAGGTGCTCTGGAGGTATTTCATGACTATTCTATCTGTGTTGTGGGGATACTGTAGGTTGGGCTGCTACCACACAGCTCTTCCCAATTCTATGTTCAGTGAAATCCCGTTGACAGCTTGAAGTCTACCATAGTGGAAATACTTATACCACAGAGGTTGACATACATTACAAATCAGGGACTGCTTTATTGTTTTGTGCATTGTCTAGACCAGGGGTCAGAAAACTACCTGGCTTGTCTGGCTTGAGGCCTGTTTTTTTATGATGTGTGAGTTAAGACTAATTTTTACATTTTTAAAGGGTTGTAAAGGCAATAAAGAAATTTTTCAAAAAGAATATATGACAGAGACTCTAAGTGCTACAGATAAAATTATTCAACAAAGGTCAGCAAAAGCATTCTATAAAACTCAACTGGTATACAGAACTTACAATAATAGATTATTGCATATTTTATCATTATTCATAAATTGTGTGCTACAAGTTGTTAATATCATTAAAAGAATCTTACGTTTGGATACACAGTCATGGCACACCAACACGTACATACCTGTGGGTATGTGTGTGTTCCTGTGTCCCACCTTGGACAGCCTGCTAGCAGACAACTTCAATCACTAGTGGGATAGATAATAGAACAGTGGAGATGGAGATGAATAATTGAGAAATCGGGACTTATTTTTTCAATCACTATCATGAGAATAAGAGAGCTCTTTTGATCTTAACCTTAGTTTAGTATACTGTGGATAAAATATGCCATTCATTAACTTCAAAAAGGAATTTGTCACTCTTTGACTCAGAATACAAGATAACAGGTGGATATTTTTGAGTTGCTGAAAACTGGAAATCTGTGAATATCAATTGCTCTCCTTTGTCAACTTGTTTAATTGATTGACAAAAGAAAGAACACACTCAATATTGGAACCATCTCAAAGAAAAGAGATATTTTTTATAAACTCAAAGACAACAACAACAGCAAAAAAAACAAAACAAACAAACAAAAAAACCTATAAAATCATCTGGAAGTCTCGTCATTCCCCCGACATACTTTCCCTTTAATGTCCCAGAAGATGGTTCTAAAATTCACTCTGTTGCCAGATTTAATGTTTATTTACAAGCCCATGTCTGCTTATCTTTTGTCTCTTGTGTGTGGAATCTGTATAAAATCATAGCTGAGTGACATTACAGTGAAAGTCAGCATTTAGGGAAATGAAATCCGATGAAGTTGGAACTGATTTCTTCAGGGCGTGCACGGATGTCTTGGTGCTTTATAAAATGTGCTCCCTAGGAAAGAGGCACCTTGAAACGTTTCTCTGAAGTAACCTCTGCTTTAGGGAATTCAAGTCTTCTCCAGATTGTTCAGCCAGCTTGCTCCAATGATTATAAAAGAAGATAGATTGGCTGTAATAGCGGCGTTTGACATTAGCTGTACTGGAAGACAAGAGTTACGTGTCAAGAGAAACCTCCAGCCTTTGAAGATTCACCCCAAAGTCTGTGTGGAGATGAAAGAACACTGGTGCAGAAACCCTGTGTTCTACTCACCACATGACCACTAACTGGCTGTGTAAACCTGGGAAATAAAAAGTTCTAACTTCAGTCATCCAGAAGCAAGATCCAGACCCCTGTTGGAAGGAATGGAGCTAAACAGGATATGTAAATCTAAGGTCTATTTTATCACAACGTTGCATATCAATTAGAATCTACATTGATTTGCTTTCTGCCATGCGTCCATATGTGCACAAATGAGGCCTGGACATCACCAGCTAGAGGACAACAGTCGTGTCTTTGTGTGCCAATGACTAATTTTTGGAGCATGTACTACTCTGATATATACTTCTGATATATATATATACTCTGATATATACTTCTGATATATATATATACTCTGATATATACTTCTGTATATATCAGATTTTATATCAAAGCTAATATAATTATGCAAACCTATGTTTCTTTTTACTCTTTACCATGATGTGGTAATAATGGCAAGAAAAGGTAGTAGCTTTCATTCTTCATCTTAGACTACCTTAGGGGATATCAATCAAGTGACACAATGACTTTCTATAAAGCAACTAGCATGAACTTTGCTGCACTAAGATGTCTGCAGTGGTCTGTTTCCCTTCCTGCCCAGAAGGCAAACAGACAAGAGCTCACAGAATCTGCTGTCAAAAAAAAAAAAAAAAAAAAAAAAGGGCAGAATGTAGATCCTTTACTTCTCATTAAAATGTCTTCTCAGTTTACATCACTTAACCCATGTGACTTCTCCAAACGCTGCGAGAAGGATTGTAGCAGCTCAGTTTACTTCCAGCCTGGAGCAGAAGGGCTTTAGAAAAAAAGATATTTTTAGGATCTTTAGAAAAAATAGTTCTTTTCTAACATTTTTGTAATCCAAGAAGGCTTTTCTTATCAAAAGTGCTCAGTAATCTTGTTTTACATAGCTATTTTGTAAGCTCTTAAACTGTTGAAAACATATTTGAAAAATATATATGATTCAGGAGTCAGGCGTGGTGTTTTTTCTGTAGTCCCAGCTACTTGGGAGGCTGAGGAGGGAGGATGGCTTGAGCCCAGTTTGAGGCTGCAGTGAGCTATGATAGCACCACTGCACTCCAGCCTGGGTAGCAGAATAGGACCATGTCTCTTAAAAAAAAAAAAAAAAAAAAAAATATATATATATATATATATATATATACACACACACACACACACACATAATGTATATATGTACACACACAAATATATAATGTATATGTATATGCACATACATATTTGATTTACATATTATCACTTCATAGATACTGAAAAGGCATTTTACAAAGTACAAAATATATTTTCAATGAAAATTCTTAGTCAAAAAAACAAACAAAAAATTAGATTGAACTAAACATTTTAAAATACATAGATGTTTAATCTCTGAGAATAAGTTTCACAGAAGTTTTAAATAGAGATCATATTTTTTAAACGTAAGAGTGCTGGAGTTCTTCTAGGAATGGCATAAAATCCAGAAACTTGGAACTAAGATATATAAAAAATTTCGTCTATGTAAAATTTTTTAAAACCATGTGACTGTTCACCAAAAAAATCTATATAATTATGTCATCCTCCCAAGAACTTTAAAAAGTACTACAAAAAAAATCACACTTTTGAGGCAGGGCTGGATTGCAGTTCCCACTCAGACAGGCAAAACAGCGTGTGGAGACTCGCATCGTGAACTTTGGCTCCAGAACGACTGCAGTAATACATTAGGAAAGCCCGGAGGACACACAGACCCTCCAAAAGAAGCAGATTGCTTCTGCAGGACCCAGGAGGCACCCCAAATACTGCGAGTGCCCAAACTGTGGAGGGAAAGGGAGATCATCCCACAAAAGGAGGATCATCTGCCCCTGAACACAAACCCCCACTGGGGAACCCGAAGGTCTAGATTACGGGAGAAGATTTTGACCTTACTTGGAGCTCATTGAATTTAGAAAGCTGGGCAAAATACCCAAATGAGGAAAAAGGAGGAAAATCCCTGTGGGCTTGCTGAGTCAATTTCTGCCTTGCTTCACAGTGGACCTTCAGGAGGGCTACCAGAGGCACTGAGAAAAGGCCATAGGGAGAAGGAAATCTCTAGGTGAACTTCGTAACAATTTGAACCCATTGAGAAGTCTCCTGGCCGGCACTCAAGGAAGGGCATGAATCCAGTGTCCAGAATCCACAGGTCGGGGAAGCAGGAAAGCCCTACTTATTTTTGCAGCTGTGAGGTGGGTAGCCTAGGACAAGTTCACAGCCCTGCTTTTCCACTGCTTGGAAACAGACTTGGTGCTATTGAGGGTGGGGCACGGTGAGAGTGAGACCAGCCCTTTGTGTTGCGTGGGAGCTGGGTGAGGCCTGTGACTGCCCGCTTTGCCCACTTCCCTGACAACCTGCATGACACAGCAAAGGCACCCATAATCCTTCTAGGAACATAACTTCATTGACCTGGGAACCTCACCCTAATCCTCCACAGCAGTTGCCACAAGACCTGCCCAAGTAGAGTCTGAGTTCAGACATGCCTAGCCCTTCCCCCACCTAATGGTCCTTCTCTACCCAACCTAGTAAATGAAGAAAAAGGGCATATACTCTTGGGAGATCTGGGGCCCTGGCCACCACCTGTTCCTCTCCATACTACTAAGGCTGATGCTTTCTTGAAAATGCCAGCTCCTGGGAGAAGGCCAACCAGAACAAAAGTAGTGCATTAATCAAACAAAGCTGCAGATCCTCACAGAGTCCACTTCAGGCCCCTGCAACCTCCACTGGAGCAGGTGCCCATATCCGTGGCTGAGAGACCCACAGTTCTGTGTAGTCAACCCGCAGTACCAGCACAGAGCCTGGTAGACTTGCTGGGTGGCCAGATCCAGAAGAGAGACAACAATCACTACAGCTTGGCTCTCAGGAAGCCACATCCCTAGGAAAAGGGGGAGAGTACTACATCAAGGAAACACCCAGTGGGACATAAGGAACTGTACAACAGCCTTGTGTCCCAGACCTTCTCTTTCACATAGCCTACCCAAATGAGAAGGAACCAGAAAACCAACTCTGATTATATGACAAAACAATGTTCTTTAACACCCCCCAAAAAAATTACACTAGCTTTCCAGCAATGGATCCAAATCAAGAAGAAATCCCTGATTTACCTGAAAAATAATTCAGAAGGTTAGTTATTCAGCTAATCAGTGAGATACCAGAGAAAGTCAAAGCCCAACATAAGGAAATAAAAAAAAAATCATGCAAGAAGTGAAGGGAGAAATATTCAGTGAAATAAATAGCACAAATAAAAAACAATCAAAACTTTAGGAATCAACAGATGCACTTAAAGAAATGCAAAATGCTCTCAAAATTCTCAGCAATAGAATCAAACCAGTAGAAGAAAGAACTTCGGAGCTCAGAGACAAGGTTTTTGAATAAACCCAATCCAACAAAGGCAAAGAAAATAGAATAAGAAAATATGAACAAAGCATCCAGGATGTCTGGGATTATGTTAAACAATCAAACCTAAGAATAATTGGCATTCCTGAGGAAGAAGAGAAATCTAAATGTTTGGAAAATATATTTGGGGGAATAATCAAGGAAAACTTCCCTGTCTTTGCTAGAGAACTAGATATCCAAATACAAGAAGCCCAAAGAACACCTGGGAAATTCATCACCAAAAGATCATTGCCTAGACACATTGTCAGCACATTATCTAAAGTTAAGATGAAGGAAAGAATCTTAAGAGCCATGAGGCAAAAACACCAGGTAACCTACAAAGGAAAACCTATCAGATTAACAGCAGATTTCTCAGCACAAATCCTACAAGCTAGAAGGGATTGGGGCCTTATCTTCAACTTCCACAAACAAAACAATTATCAGCCAAGAATTTTTACCCAGCAAAACTAAGCTTCATAAATGAAGGAAAGATACAGTCTTTTTCAGACAAACAAATGCTGAGAGAATTTGCCACTACCAAGCCAGCATTACAAGAACTGTTAAAAGGAGCTCTAAATCTTGAAACAAATCCTGGAAACACATAAAAAAAAAGAGCCTCTTTAAAGCATAAATCTCACAGGACCTACAAAACAAAAAATACAATTGAAAAAACAAAAACAAAAAACAGAGTATACAGGCAACAAATAGCACGATGAATGAAATTTTACCTCACATCTCAAAACTAACATTGAATATAAATGGCCTAAATGCTCCACTTAAAAGATACAGAATTGCAGAATGGATAAGAGTTCACCAACCAACTATCTGCTGCCTTCAAGAGACACACCTAATACATAAGAACTCACATAAACTTAAGGTAAAGGGATGGAAAAAGACATTCCATGAAAATGGACAGCAAAAGTGAGCAGGTGTAGCTATTCTTATATTAGACAAAACAGACTTTAAAGCAACAGCAGTTAAAAGAGATAAAGAGAGTCATTATACAATGATAAAAGGCCTTGTCCAACAGGAAATTATCACAGTCATAAATATATATGCACCTAACTCTGGAGCTCCCAAATTTGTAAAACAATTACTACTAGACCTAACATACAGACAGCAGCTAAATAATAGTGGGGGACTTTAATACTCCACTGACAGCACTAGACAGGTCATCAAGACAGAAAGTCAACAAAGAAATGATAGATTTAAACTACACCCTGGAACAAATGAACTTAACAGATATTTACATAACATTCCACCCAACAACCACAGGTATTCTATTCAACAGTGCGTAGAATGTTCTCCAAGATAGAGGATATGGTAGGCCACAAAATGAACCTCAATAAATTCAAGAAAACTGAAATTATGTCAAGCACTTGCTCAGAACATGGGGGAATAAATCTGAAAATCAACTCCAAAAGGAACATTCAAAACCATGCAAATACATGGAAATTAAATAACCCACTCCTGAATGATCATTTGGCCAAAAATGAAATCAAGATGAAAATTAAAAAATTTTTTGAACTGAATGACAGTAGTCATTCACAACCTATCAAAACCTCTGGGATACAGCGAAAGCAGGGCTAAGAGGAAAGTTCATAGCCCTAAACAACTACATCAAAAAGTCTCAAAGAGCACAAGCAGACAATCTAAGGTCACACCTCAAGAAACTAGAGAAACAAGAACAAACTCAATTCAAATCCAGCAGAAGAAAGGAAATAACAAAGATCAGAGCAGAAATAAATGAAATTGAAACACACATACGAAAAATACAAAAGATAAATGAAACAAAAATCTGGTTCTTTGAAAAGATAAATAAAATTTATAGACCATTAGCAAGATTAACCAAAAAAAAGAAGAGAAAAAATCCAAATAAGCTCTATTAGAAACGAAATGAGAGACATTACAACTGACACCACAGAGATACAAAAGATCATTAAAGACTATTATAAACACCTTCATGTACATAAGCTAAAAAACCTAGTGGAGATGGATAAATTCCTGGAAAGATACAACCTTCCTAGCTTACATCAGGAAGAATTAGATATGCTGAACAGACCAATAACAAGCAGCGATATTGAAATAGTAATCAAAAAATTACCAATAAAAAAAGTCCAGGACCAGACAGTTTCACAGCAGAATTCTACCAGACATTCAAAGAAGAATTGGTACCAATCCTATTGACACTAATCCACAAGATAGAGAAAGAGACATGATAGAGAAAGAGAGAACCCTCCCTAAGTCATTCTATGAAGCCAATATCACCCTAATACCAAAACCAGGAAAGGACATAACCAAAAAGAAAACTACATACCAATATCCCTGATGAACATAGATGCAAAAATCCTTAGCTAAACGCTAGCTAACCAAATCCAACAACATATCAAAACAATAATCCACCATGATCAAGTGGGATTCATACCAGGGATGCAGGGATGGTTTAACATACTCAAGTCAATAAATATTATACACTACATAAACAGAATAAAAACCAAAACCACATGATCCTCTCAAAAGATGCAGAAAAGGCATTTGGCAAAATGCAGGATCCCTTTATGATTAAAACTCTCGGCAACATTGGCATGCAAGGGACATACTTCCATGTAATAAAAGCCATCTGTGACAAGCCCACATGCAACGTAATACTGAGTGGGGAAAAGTTGAAAGCATTCCCTCTGAGAACTGGAACAAGACAAGGATGCCCGCTCTCACCACTCCTCTTCAACATAGCACTGGAAGTCCTAGCCAGAGCAATAAGACAAGAGAAAGAAATAAAGTGCATCCAAAACAGTAAAAAGAAAGTCAAACTTGTAGCTGTTTGCTGATTATATGATTGGTTACCTAGACAACCCTAAAGACTCATTCAGAAGCTCCTAGAACTGATAAAAGAATTCAGCAAAGTTTCTGGATAAAAAAATCAATGTAGCTCTTCTGTACACCAACAGCGACAACGCTGAGAATGAAATCAAGAACTCAGCCCCTTTTACAATAACTGCAATAAATAAATAAATAAATAAATAAAATACTTAGGAAGATACCTAATCAAGAAGGTGAAAGACCTCTACAAGAAAAACTACAAAACACTGCTGAAAGAAATCATAGATGACACAAATAAATGGAAACACGTCCCATGCTCATGAATGGGTAGAATCAATATTGTGAAAATGACCATAATTGCCAAAGTGACATACAAATTCAATACACTCCTCATCAAAATACCACCATCATTCTTCACAGCATTAGAAAAAGCAATTGTAAAATTCATATGGAACTAAAAAGGAGCCCACATAGTCAAAACAAGACTAAGCAAAAAACAAATCTGGAGGCATCACATTACCTGATTTCAAACTATACTATAAGGCCATAGTAACCAAAACAGCATGGTACTGGAAGAAAAACAGGCACATCCACCAATGGAACAGAATAGAAAACCCAGAAATAAACCCTAATACTTATAGCCAACTGATCTTTGACAAAGCAAACAAAAACAAAAGTGGAGAAAGGTCACCCTATTTAACAAATGGTGCTGGATATTTGGCAAGCTGCCTGTAGGAGAATGAAACTAGATCCTCATCTCACACCACATAGAAAAGTCAACTCAATGTGAATTAAAGACTTAAATCTAAGACCTGAAACTACGAAAGTTCTAGAAGATGGCATTAGGGAAACCCTTCTAGACATTGGCTTGGGCAAAGATTTCATGACTAAGAACCAAAAAGTAAATGTAATTTAAACAAAGATAAATAGCTGGAACTTAATTAAACTAAACAGCTTTTGCACAGCAAAAGGAACAGTCAACAGAGTAAACAGACAACCCACAAAGTGGGAGAAAATGTTCACAATCTATACAATCTTTGTCACATCCAATGACTATACAAATTCTAGAAGATAACATTGGAAAAATCCTTCTAGACATTGGCTTAGGCAAAGACTTCATGACCAAGAACCCAAAAGAAAATGTAATTAAAACAAAGATAAATAGCTAGGACTTAATTAAACTGAAGAGCTTTTGCACAGCAAAAGGAACAGTCAGCAGAATAAACAGACAACCCACAGAGTGGGAGAAAATCTTCACAATCTTCACAATCTTTGTGACATCTGACAAAGGACTAATATCCAGAAACTACAATGAACTCAAATTAGCAAGAAAAAAAAGAAAACATCAAAAAGTGTGCTAAGGACATGAATAGACAATTCTCTTTTTTTTATTAGGAAAATGTCTTTTTATTAATCAACTTTTATGTTAAGTTCCAGGGTACATGTATAGGATGTGCAGATTTGTTACATAGGTAAACGTGTGCCATGGTGGTTTGTTGCACAGATAAACCCATCACGAAGATATTAAGCCCAGCACCCATTAGCTGATCTTCCTTTTATTTTTTAAATATACATATATATTTATTATACTTTAAGTTCTAGGGTACATGTGCACAATGTGCAGGTTTGTGACAATTCTCAAAAGAAGATATACAAATGGCCAACAAACATATGAAAAAATGCTCAATATCACTAATGATCAGGAAAATGCAAATCAAAACCACAATGTGATACCATCTTACTCCTGCAAGAATGGCCATAATCAAAAAATCAAAAAATAGTAGATGTTGGCATGGATATGGTGAGCAGGGAACACTTCTGTACTGTTAGTGGCAATGTAAACTAGTACAACCACTATGGAAAACAGTGTGAAGACTCCTTAAAGAACTAAAAGTAGAACTACCATTGGATCCAGCAATCCCACTACTAGGTATCTACCCAGAGGAAAAGAAGTCATTATATGAAAAAGATACTTGCACACACATGTTTATAGCAGCACAATTTGCAATTGCAAAAACATGGAACCAACTCAAATGCCCATCAATCAATTAGTGGATAAAGAAACTAATATATATATATATAATATATATAATAAATATATATTATATATAATATAAAATATATATTACATATACAATATAATATATATAATGTAATATTTTATATATATATATATATATATATAAAATGGAATACTACTCAACCGTAAAAAGGAATGAATTAATGTCATTCACAGTGACCTGGATCAGACTGGAAACTATTATTCTAAGTGAAGTAACTCAGGAATGGAAAACCAAACATCGTCTGTTCCTACTCGTATGTGGTTGCTAAGCTATGAGGATGCAAAGGCATGGGAAAGACACCGTGGACTTTAGGGGTTCAAGGGGAAAGCGTGGGAAGGGAGTGAGAGATAAAAGACCACAAATTGGGTGCCTTGTATACTGCTTAGGTTATGAGTGCACCAAAATCTCACAAATCACCACCAAAGAACTTTCTCATGTAACCAAACACCACCTGTTCCCCAATAACCTATGGAAATAAAATAACTAAATAAATAAATAATGCTAAACAATCATACTTTTATTAATAAGTTAAAAGTGTCTACAATTTTTTAAAAAAACAGGTAACAATGAAAAAATATGTAAAGAAAATGAACACATAAAAATACAAATGACTTTCATATGTATGAGAAGATGCTCAACCTCACTAATAAAAAAAGAAATGCTAATCCATGCTAAAATATTTTCAACTTATATTGTAAAGACCAACACTTATAATATACCATGTTGACATGGAAGAAAACAGAAATATTTTATACACTGTTGATGGCACTATAATTAATAATATATAAAAGAAACAGTGATGTTATTCAAAACTGGAAACAAATGCTCTTCAACCCAATAATTCTGTTTCCAGTAATTTGTCCTACAATTATTAGCAAATGTGTGCAATGGAATATATGCTAGGTATAATACAAGATTTGAAATTACCCACTAACTTATCAAAAAGGGATTTGATTAAAAATTGCGGTCAGCCCTGCATGGGAACAGCTTTGCTCACGGTGCTCCTTGCAGGTACCCAGAGTACACTCAGCCACAGGCTTGCACCGCAGCTGATCTGAGTCTTGGCAGGACACCTCGAAATGTGAGAAGGTGAAGGCCAGTGAACAGGTGCTCTGAAAACTTACATCATTTGCCTCCCTACCCCTGTGGGAGGCCACCATGTTTCTCATCACCTCTCAGATTGTGATAAAGGGTAGAGTTCTCTGCCCTCTCCTCTCAGAATAGAGCTGCATAATACAAAATTGTTTAGCTCAATCAAGAATTGCGTTCTTGGCCAGGTGTGTTGGCTCATGCTCCTAATCCCAGCACTTTGGGAGGCTGAGGCAGGTGGATCACCTGAGGTCAGGAGTTCGAGACCAGCCTGGCCAACAGCATGATGAAACCCCATCTCTACTAAAAACACAAAAATTAACTGGGCATGGTGCACACGCCTGTAATTTCAGCTACTCGGGAAGCTGAGGGCTGAGGCAGGAAAATCTCTTGAACCTGGGAGTTGGAGGTTGTAGTGACTCGAGATCACACCACTACACTCTAGCCTGGGCAACAAGAGTGAAATTCCTCTGTAAAAAAAAAAAAAAAAAAAAAAGGAATTGTGTTCTTAGCAATGGGAATAATACAGCCCATGTTGTGGTCATCTAACCCATTTTGTTTAGATGTCATCCTTCTTGGTATCTACAGCTACAGTGAATGGCTATTCTTTGCTTAGCTGTTTGTGCAAATACAAAACTGTCTGAATCGAAATGACTCTTTTATCTTTCCCAGTCTATTGGTCAGGCTTTGGTCTTAGGCTCACCTTATGTATTGGTGCCTGACAAACCTCTATGAAAGTGTAATGCACTCATTAAAAGGAATGAGGCAATCCTATATGTTCTGATACAGAAATCATCTCCAATATAAATTGTTAGAGGAAAAATAAAATCAAGGTGCAATGCAGTGTAAACAGTTTTTTTGTGTTTAAAAAACAGAAGAGAACATATAAACATTAAAGCACATATAGGCATAGAAATTTCTGAAAGGATACTAAAGCAAGAGGTAAGTTAGAATCTCAGAGAGTAGGACAAAAAGGAAGAAAGCCTTACTTTTTACTGCATACCCTCTTTAAACTTTCTGAATATTTTACTCCATCCAGAAAAGTACTTTAAGAAGAAACTGAGGCAGTAGAAAGAATACATTATTTAAAAGACAGTTCTTATATTTGTTTTAAAGTTGCATGCACTGATTTATTTTTATTCCTAGTTTTCTTTAAAAACACGTATTACTTTATAATACATAATTAAATATACTTATTTTTTAAATTGTCTATCTCATCATCTCTAGTCCAGCCATAGAATTTAAGCTCATCATAAAGGTTGAGATTTTCTTCTTTACTTTCATTTATATCTATAGCATTTTGCCTGACATATAAAATATACTCTGTAAAAAGTTGCTGAGTAATTGGATGAATTTTATTTCTGTGAATTATAAATGATATTAATCTGCATTCTACCTTTCTTCCCTTAAGAAGTTCCTAATAGGTTCTCCATGCTCAGAGGCCACCCCTTGCTGCCTTCCTTACTTTTACTTGGCGTTGCCTAATGGACATCTCTCTAATAACAGACCTGATTTGAAAACTGGCCAGACATAATAAAACTATTTATTTGGTGATCATATGATAGAATAGTTATAGATCCTTTGTTTCCTTTGGAAATTCAGTTGCAGGGTTAAAAGTGAAGGCCTCCATCGAGGAAAATAAACTGAAAAAAATAAAGAAAAAGGAAGCAAGTAGATGCAAAGGGAAAATAACAAAAATCTCACACCAGTTAAAATGGCAATCATTAAAAAGTCAAGAAACAACAGGTGCTGGAGAGGATGTGGAGAAATAGGAACACTTTTACACTGTTGGTGGGACTGTAAACTAGTTCAACCATTGTGGAAGTCAGTGTGGCGATTCCTCAGGGATCTAGAACTAGAAATACCATTTGACCCAGCCATCCCATTACTGGGTATATACCCAAAAGACTATAAATCATGCTGCTATAAAGACACATGCAGACGTATGTTTATTGCGGCACTATTCACAATAGCAAAGACTTGGAACCAAGCCAAATGTCCAACAATGATAGACTGGATTAAGAAAATGTGGCACATATACACCATGGAATACTATGTAGCCATAAAAAATGATGAGTTCATGTCCTTTGTAAGGACATGGATGAAATTGGAAATCATCATTCTCAGTAAACTATCGCAAGAACAAAAAACCAAACACTGCATATTCTCACTCATAGGTGGGAATTGAACAATGAGAACACACGAACACAGGAAGGGGAACATCACACTCAGGGGACTGTTGTGGGGTGGGGGGAGGGGGGAGGGATAGCATTAGGAGATATACCTAATGCTAGATGACGAGTTAGTGGGTGCAGCACACCAGCATGGCACATGTATACATATATAACTAACCTGCACATTGTGCACATGTACCCTAAAACTTAAAGTATAATAATAAAAATAAACAATAAAAAATACAAAAATTAGCCAGGTGTGGTGATGCATGCCTGTAATCCCAACTACTCGGGAGGCTGAGGCAGGAGAATCGCTGGAAACCACCCAGGAGGTGGAGGTTGCAGTGAGCCAAGATTGCACCATTGCACTCCAGCCTGGGTGACAGGGTGAGATTCCACCTCAAAAAAAAAAAAGAAAAAAAAAGTCGTTTTTTATCATTATATCCTTCAAGTTTTAAAAACTGAAGATTAAAATATTTGTCTCAGGTCAGGAAATAAAGTTCACTAAGAAAAAAAATAAAATAAAAATAAAATAAAGAGTTATTATTATGTATGGCATTTTAAAATTTTGTTTAACCACCCAAAACAGCCCTGTGAGAAAGGCTATTATCTCCTATATCACAAATATAAAAGGAGGACACAGAGAAGTTGAAGAAGTCTCCAATCCCTATTCCTCAATAGCCACCAAGAAAAACGAACAGGATTTGAGCCCAGGTCTGTGTGACCATTTGACCAGAGGTTTATCTGGGGAGTAGGTTTTCCCTCTGAGGAGAGAAAATCAATGTCTGGAGATACAAGCACAGACTCTGGGGCTTGGCCTGGGCTCTGCCTGTGTATAAGACATGAAATCACATTACTTGGTGCCATTTTCCTTCTAGTTTTAAATTTAAGATTATTGTGATTTGTGGACTTGCTAACTTTATATTTCTTCAAGTTTTATGTGAGTGAAATAAGATACAAAGACTTCTCTTAAATTTGTTAAAAGCAAATTAATTGTTTTACATATGATGAAGGGAATATTTTAATACAAGTATTATACAAAAATGCATTGTTTTCATTAACATGAACTAAAGGAGCAAATGGTAACATATCTTGTTTTCTATTAGCTGCTATTAGGGGGATGCTAGTAGGTTTTAATTAGTGTGCTACTTCTAGTGGAAGTGGCCAATAAGACATTTGGAGACTGGCCAAATTTGGGCTAAATTACTGTAATCCTTAATAAACTCATGTAAAGCTAGCCAAGCCCCTCTAGGGTGTTTGTAAGCCTGAGGCAAGAGTACAGATAGAGAACCACATATCATGAATCTAAATTTGTAAAGAGTTACAAACCAAGCTAAGAAACGAATGAATCAAATATGCTCTACTCCCCTCCCTTGACAGATAGACATCCATTCACGCCCATACCCCACAGGTCAAAGTTCTGCCCACACTGCAAACAGCTGCCTGTTGGCCACCCCTCAGGAAGGCAGATGAGGGACGAGAACGGTGAAGACCCTTGAAGGACTATCAGAGCTGTTGAGGCAGGAAACTGGGTGTTGTGTGCAGAGATCATGTTCTGGAAGGCGGTGGCAACCTCCTATGTCATCTCCCCTGGGCTCATAAGGCCCTGCCCTTGTGACACAGGATATGACCGAGGAAGACCACAGTGAGACCCTTTAGGAACCCAGTTCAGGGCAGGAAGGCCCACTGGCCTGGGTATAAGGGGGATGTGAATGGAGGATTTCTATTGAACTCTTTGCTTGAATACTAAAATGTACATAATTTACCTCATTGGCCAAAGAATCTAATGTAAAAATATAGTAAATTCATTCAGACAAAAAATTATAAAATATATGTTAGGCCTGTTGGGCTGTGTCAGCAGCTGACGTCTGTCAGTCTGTGAAAAAATACCTATTTAGAGAAAGGAACTGTAGGCCTGGCATTGATCAGGTTTAAGCCAGGAGCAATAAGGACAACCAAAACAATAAGAAAAATGGTCTGAATATACCCCGTTGCAAAACCTGATGGTAGTTTGAGAATATAGGGCTGCCCTGTCAGCAGAAAATACGAGGAGCTGATTTATGCTGTTAAGAAAACATGCGTGGCGTCTGCTGCTATCACTGTGCCCCACTTCTGCTTTTCATCTCCTCCAGGGCTGCAAAAGACTCACCAAATAACATGGGCCAGTGTGCTCACTTTGCCTGAGACAAGGGGGCAAATTTTGCCAGGTTTCCCAGAATGGAGAGAGCCGTAAGGATGTGGAACATTTAGTTTTAAAAATGGCAATGTTTCAGGCAAATGAGGACAAGTTGGTCACCTTAGCCTGGGACTTTTCATTGAGAAGGCTGCTCAGTGGAACCAGGTGTAGAAGAAGCTAGGGGGACACTGTGTGTGTGGCACTTAGAGTTGGGGCTCTAGATTGAAGGATGTGGAATTCCAGCTCTTTACCTTGTGGCTCCAAGGTCTCAGTCAAGCTGCTAAACCTCTGTATGCTGTCATTTTTTTTCAGCTGTTAAATGGAGCAAATCAGAGTACCCAACTCAAAGGTTAGAGAAAAAACAGTGAAGGTCAGCTCTAAGCATGGTGCCCGATATATAAACATGATCAATAAGTCCTACTATTGCTATTACTAAAACAATACTTTGAGAGAGTGCCCAGGGTTGAACAAGAGAGACAAAATCCAGGTGAAATTTAAGGGCAATTATTGGGGTTGGGTCAGAAGCCATAGGCAGAATGTAGTAGGAGGGATGTGAGCCTGGAGCACTGGGGCAGGATGTCAGGACATGGATGAAGCAAGGGAGCGCAGGCACTTTCTAAATGAGGAGCACTATCAAGAACAGTGCTTTCTCTTACTCAATGCTGGGCTGTGTCTGGGTAAGAAATCACCCACTCTCTATCACTGGCAAAAAAGAAATAGGATAAATTTTTTGCAGAAAAAAGAAGGACACTGGAAACTTGTGAAATAATAGATTGTAAAACCAATAAGGAAGAGGTAATTGTTGGTAAAAATGTAAACAATTGCCTCGACTCATTATTTGGCTCCAAAGTCGAAGCAAAAATAAGGCATGATATGTACTACGAGCATATTAAAGTGACAGACATCAGAAGTTCCAAACATGGGACAGACTGAGTCATTCATCCTGTCAAACAGTAAAACATAAGTTACAAAACGATGACCCTGGGCAAGATTTGGAAAGCCATCGTCCAATTTTGCCTATATGCTGTTTTACTTTCTTTTTTAAATACTCAACTTTCAGGCTAATTTTTAAAAATCAGGAGATTTAACCAGAAAATTGGAATTTTTGTCCTCATTTGTAATGGCAGAAATTCATCCACCCTTGACTAGTATCCCAAAGGCTGATGATGGTGTGTTTCTCCTTTTGAAGGGCCATGAGCTTTGCATGTACCTCAGCAAACACCCAGCCAGTGTAAGTCTTAAAAGATGAAAAAGAAGACAGCAGTTTGGATCCTTTTTTTATACCTGTTTCTTTAAGAAGTGGACTGTCAGAACAAAAGTGAGACAAACATTTACAAATGAGAAACTTCAAAAGTATCAGATATTCAAGTCAGATACAAAGTGGGATCTTTAGAACAGGAAGACTCCAAATTTAAACAGGACCAGAGAAAAAGCCAACAAGGGAGGAATGAATTCCTTGCTGTGGAAGTAACATCAAAGATTGAAAAAGAGACAAGCAAATACCAAACCAAAAAAAATAAATAAATAAAATAAGATCAAAGAAAAAGAGAGTGGTAGATTCTGGGACCTCATGCATTTAACATCAATGCAGGCTTTCTCCGGGGATTTATCCTGTTGGAGCTCACCTGTGACAACAGTAAATCCAGCAAGTTACCAGATGGACTATGTTGTCCAAGACATTGAGACTGTGAGTGAAACTTTGCAATCTAATACCTGGCATTTTTGACCACTAAGATCAATGAAAGGCACACCATTCAATGACCACTAAGATCAATGAAAGGCACTCATTCAATATGCCAAGACCAAGCAAGCAAGAAAAGTAAGAAAAGAAAGAGACCGAATTGCCAAAAAAGACAATGAGGCAAAAGCAGATTTAGAAGCAAATTGTCAGTGCTCTTTTTAAAATCCAATTTAACAAATATCTGTTGAATCTATTAATGGTTTAATCATACCTCTTGGAATTACATATTCAAAAATGAATCAGATATTATCTGTGCCTCTGAGAAAATTTTAAGGAGGTATTCCACAAACATTCAACAAATGTTTCTTTCAGCATCTACTGTGTTTCACGTACCCCTTTAAGTAGGTGAAATATCTCAATGCAAAAGACAAAAGATTCCTCCCCTCATAGTGCTTGCATTCTAGCAGGAGAGGCAAACTATAAAGAATAAACACAAGTAAGTGAATTATATAGTAAGTAAGAAGATAATAAATGCTATGAGAAGAACAAAAATAGATCAAGGTAATGGATCTAGGAGTTCTTGGATGGAGGGAACGAGATTGCAATTTTAGATATGTCAGTCAGGGTAGGCATCATTGAGATGGTGCCATTTGAGAAGAGACAAAAAAAAGTCAGTTTTCCAGGATGCTGTCTGAGAGTGCTTGCTCAGCGTATTGATCTCTTTTACCTACCACAACTAGACTCCATTTTTCATGCTTCCACCACCTCTCACCTGAGGCCAAAATAAGCCTCTTTGATCTAATATTTGCCCTCTTTGTTTATTTATTTATTTATTTTTCCATTTTTACTTCAAGAAAATAATTTTCTTTAAAGGTGGTTATTATTTTTCTCCAAAAATCCTTCAGCAGAATAGTGTAACTATTCTCTGAAAATCCTTCAGAGAATACAATAACTCTATTCTTTTCAGCCTAGCCTTCAAATATCCTATCCTATGGCACCAACTGATCTTGCTTTCTTTACTTATGACTTAAAATTTGATGGTTTCCTGTAGATTTTGGTCACTAGTATGCTTGCATTGTTTCTATCATACTTTGTCTTCCATCAGTCTGTTGGAGCATGAATTTGTCTTTAGTGACTGGCCCTACACTTTTAGATAGAGGCAGCATGTGATTTATCCTTAATTCCACCACAGGGCTTTGAATCATGCTTCACAAAAAGTAAGGGTTCAGCAACTATTAAGTGAATCGAATTTGTACCAAACAATTGGAATTAACTTTATCAAGTGTTTCTAAGAGTTGGTAACAGAATAATAAGAATAAAAGAGTTTTTGATCAGTATTCACTGAAAATTACTGGTCAGATGAGACAGATTTTGTTCGGAAAGTCTGTGACAACTGTAAGTTGCCAACGAATGGATGAGCACATTACCTAATGGAAGCAGGATTTCCAGCTCAGTCTTCCATATACTGAAGGCCCTGGGCCATTTCATACAGACTATGTACTCAGAAATACAATCTCCATTCAGTATCATCCACATCTGCCAAATAATGAAATATTCTAGAGTATGAATAGAAAGGCATAATCAGATCTTCAGCATCCTCGGAAATGAAATCTGTGAAGGAAAATTAAAAATGATTAAAAACAGGTTTGAAATGCGGACAAAGGTACACCAATTAAATGTAGACAGAAAGAAAGCAGAAGTGGAAAAACTAGTACCTTTGAAAGTAAATATTAAGATCAAAACAGGCCGTTGTAAAATAATCATTATAGTCTCTAATTAAAAACACATACTAACCCCATGTGTATAGCACATAAAATATCAATAAATGCAAAAGTAAAAGACTTCTAATTGTTCCTATGCAGATATTGGTCAATAGTGCCCTTATGTGAGTACCTGTGTTGCAGTTCCAACATGCAGAGGCCCTAGAGCCTGGTTGAGGAAGATGGTTGTTGGTTTAACCAGCTATGCTGCCAGATGAATGAACTAATGGACAGAGTTCAAGAGGAAAAGCCAAGGTTGGGAATGTTGGAGGGAGCCAATCAGAAGCCAGCAGAACTAAGCAGGAGACTAGCTTGAGGATGATCAGTATTCAATTTTTGCAAAGAGTAGGTACAATAACTCGGCCAGCCCAAATCTTCCATAGTGGTAATTCTTATATGGAGGGCTTGATGGAGAGAAACAGCTTAGAGGAAGATTTTAATTTTTATTTTCAAAGTTTTGGTAAATCAGACAAAAATATGAAAACAAATGATCTGAGGGATATATTTATTAATATAGAATTAAGAGGTGTGTAGCCTATAAGTGTTTATAAAATATTCAGAAAAGAAAAACATCATTATATGAAGCAAATTTCTCCAGTCTAATTTAATCTGATAATGGACTAAATCTATAGTTCAATAGTCAAATTATAACTTCCAATTCTCAACTACGTAAAACATCTAAAAATCTAAATCAGGGTGCAAATTCACACTCATATTCAAATGCACATAAAAACGGTTTTGCTTCTTTTCCCTAACTGGATTCAATATGCTCATCAGCCTCTGTTGCTTCTAATGGTAGAAAAATCTAACCTTGATGATGAATAATAATTACTTAATGATTATTTAAAAAGTAGTACATTATTGGGTATATATTGGGTTATGTTGTGACGTTCTCTCTGTACTTTTTTCCTCTTCCCTTGGCAGATCACTAATGGGGTGGTTTGTGTATCGTGCTGCGTCAAGGGAGTCATGCCATTCACGAGTCCCACCTGTTTGGAGGCAAAAGACTTGCATCACAGCTTTCATTGCTGTTGTCTGTAGGACCTGCCTTAGTGTACTAACCAGGGTTCTCTAGAGGGACAGAACTAATAGGATACATGTATATATTAAAGGGGTTTATTAAGGAGAATTGACTCACACAATCACAAGGTGAAGCCCCATGGTAGGTTGTCTGAAAGTTGAAGATCAAGGAAGGTAGTGGCTCAGTCCAAGTCTCAAAACCTCAAAATAGGGAAGCCAACAGTGCAGTCTTCAGCCTGTGGCAGAAGGCCCAAGAGTCCCTGGCAAACCACTGGTGTAAGTTCAAGGGTCCAAAGCCAAAGTCCTCAGAGTCTGATATTCAAGAGCATGAAGAATCCAACACAGCAGAAAGAAGCAAGTCAGCTTCTTCCATCTTCTTCTGTCTGGTTTTTCTAGCAGTTCCGGCAGTTGACTAGATGGGGCCCACCCACACTGTGGGTGGACCTTCCTGAGGGTGAGTCCTCTCCTAGTCCACTGACTCAAATGTTAATCTCTTCTGGCAACAGCCAGAAACACCCAGATACACCCAGAAGCAATACTTTGCATCCTTCTATCAAGTTGGCACTTAATACTAACCATCGCACTTGGCCTAAGGGAGTGAGATGTAGTCACTTGGACTCTCCCAGACCTCCAAATCCAGCTACCAGCCCTTAACACATTTACTGATAACTTCAGCCCATTTGTACCCTCAACCTGCTCTTCTGGTCCTGGGGACCCTCAGTTGCCTGCCTCACACTGTGCTAGAGTGACCAGGTCACTGTGGAACCCCTCTAGCCTTTCTGCGTTGCCTCTTCCTCAGCCTTTGCTAACCTGTCTTCTCCTCCCCAGCTGATTTGCTCTGGGATCATGCTGAACTTGAGACAGCTCTAACAGGCTTGCAGCCATCACTGCTATGGGTACTTCTGGAGGCAGTACCTTTCTGTGTTTTCCAAGATCTGTCTTGTGACCTCTATCCATATCCACCCAACTCACATCCAGTTTCAATCCCTCAGGGAGAACCAGAGAGCAGGCCTCAAGCTACCACCTAACTGTGCTCTTGTCTCAACCAACTGCCTCTGAAAATCTTCCACCCAGAGTAGAGGAGAGATTGCTCCCCTCAGTGTAATAGGAAACTACAATTTTTTAGTATATGGTACCCTCTATACTACCTGACTGGAAAAAACTCTCCACCCTGAATATTTTCAATAGCACTGTGTTTTGCTATTTAAAAGACAGCAGCTTTTTTTCATTCTGTTTTTTTACTAACATTTTCCTGCAAACAATATTTTCTTAAACCATAACTGAGCGAAGTAGAGCATTAATTTTTTTGAAATTGAGGAAAGTAGCCAACACAAAATACAAATGTCATTAAATATTTAAAATAATAAAAATAAGTAAAAGTAACATATATCCAAATAACATATATTTTTACATTATAAATTTGATGTATGTGAAAAATTTGCAAATCCAAAATAGATCTTTTCTTTTTTTTTACATTTTTAAATTTTATGTTAAGTTCAGGGGTAAATGTGCAGGATGTGCAGGTTTGTCACATAGGTAAACATGTGTCATAGTGATTAGCTGCACAGAGCATCCAATTTCCTAGGTATTAAGCCCAGCATCCATTAGCTATTCTTCCTGATGCTCTCCCTCCTCCCAACCTTCCACAGGCCCCACTGTGAGTGGTTCACCTCCCTGTGCCCATGTGTTCTCATCATTCAGCTCCCAATTATAAGTGAGAACATACAGTGTTTGGTTTTCTGTTCCTGCATTAGTTTGATGAGGATAATGGCCTCCTGCTGCATCCATGTTCCTGCAAAGGACATGATCTCATTTCTTTTTATGGCTGCATGGTATTCCATGGCGTATATGTACCACATTTTCTTTATCCGGTCTATCATTGATGGACATTTATGTAGATTCCATGTGTTTGCTATTGTGAATAGTGCTGCAATGAACATATATGTGCATGTATCTTTATAATAGAATGATTTATATTCCTTTGGGTATATACCCAGTAATTAAATTGCTGATTCAAAGACCCATCTGCCTCTAGGTCTTTGAGGAATCACCACACTGTCTTCCACAATGGTTGCAATAATTTGCTCTCCCATCAATAGCGTAAAAGTGTTTCTTTTTGTCCACAACCATGTCAGTATCTGTTGTTGACTTTTTAATGATAGCCATTCTGACTGGTGTGAGATGGTATCTCATTGTGGTTTTCCTTTGGATTTCTCTAATGATCAGTGATATTGAACTTTTTTTCATATGCTTGTTAGCTGCATGTATGTCTTCTTTTGAGAACTGCCTGTTCATGTCTTTTGCCCCACTTTTTATGGGGTTGTTTTTTTCTAGTAAATTTATTTAAGTTTCTTGTAGATGCTGCATATTAGGCCTTTGTCAGATGAATAGGTTGCAAAATTATTCTCCCATTTTGTAGGCTGTCTGCTTGCTCTGAAAATAGTTTCTTTTGCTGTGCAGATGCTCTTTAGTTTAATTAGGTCCCATTTGCCAATTTTTGCTTTAGTTGTAATTGCTTTTGGCATCTTCGTTATGAAATCTTTGCCTGTGCCTATGTCCTGAATGCTATTGCCTAGGTTTTCTTCTGGAGTTTTTAGAGTTTTGGGTTTTACATTTAAGTCTTTAATCCATCTTGAGTTGATTTTTGTATGTGGTATAAGGAGGGGGTCCAATTTCAATTTTCTGCATATGGCTAGCCTGTTATCCCAGCACCATTTATTAAATAGGGAATCTTTTTCCCATTGCTTATTTTTGTCAGTTTTGTCGAAGATCAGATGATTGTAGGTGTGTGGTCTTACTTCTGGACTCTCTATTCTATGGTTCCATTGGTCTGTGTGTCTGTTCTTATGCCAGTACCATGCTGTTTTGGTTAGTGTAGCCTTGTAGTATAGTTTGAAGAAGGGTAGCATGATGCCTCCAGCTTTGTTCTTTTTGCTTAGGATTGTCTTGGCTATTCAAACTCTTTTTTCGTTTCATATAAATTTTAAAAGAGTTTCTTCTAATTTCATTAAGAATGTCAGTGGTAGTTTAACAGGAATAACATTGAATCTATACATTGCTTTGGGCAGTATGGCCATTTTCACAATATTGATTCTCCGTATCCATGAACATGGAATGTTTTTCCATTTGTGCTCTCTTCGATCTATTTGAGCAGGGGTTTGTAGTTCTCCTTGAAGAGGTCCTTCACTTTCCTTGTTAGCTATATTTCTATGTATTTTATTCTTTTTGTAGCAATTGTGAAAGGTAGTTCATTATGATTTGGCTCTTGGCTTGCCTGTTGTTGGTGTATAGGAATGCTAGTGATTTGTGTACATAATTTTGTATTATGAGACTTTGCTGAAGTTGCTTATCAGCTAATAAGCTTTTGGGCTGAGACAATGGAGTTTTCTAGATATCGGATTATGTCATCTGCAAACAAAGATAATTTGACTTCCTTTCTTCCTACCTGATTACCTTTTATCTTTTTCTCTTGCCTAATTGCCTGGCCAGAACTTCCAATACTATGTTGAATAGGAGTGGTGAGAGAGGGCATCTGTGTCTTGTGCCAGTTTTCAAGGGGAATGCTTCTGGTTTTTGCCCATTCAGTATGCTATTGGCTGTGGGCTTTTCATATGTGGGTCTTATTATTTTGAGGTATGTTCCTTCCATATCTAGTTTTTTGACAGTTTTTAACATGAAGGGATGTTGAATTTTACCAAAGGCCTTTCCTGCATCTACTGAGATAATCATATGGTTTTTGTCTTTAGTTCTGTTTATCCACATTTATGTATTTGGACCTTTTCTTAATGTAAATGACTCAAATTTAAAATGTTTGAAAACAGCAATAAATCAACAAAGGAGATTTTGTAATACTTTTACAAAATATTTGTGGAATTTACAAGTTCATTGGTAATTTAAAATTTTCCAGAATGTTTTATGAGATTTAGGAGCCATTCATATGATAAAATATAAAACTCAGAGACAAATTTAGACTTGATCTAAATGCTTGACAAAAGAAAACTAGAGCTCAAACTAATTTATTACTTAAAATATGAGCACAAATGGAACACAAGAGTGGTTCAATAAGAGAGAATTTGTTAACTCACAATGTAGTAATATAATTCAGCTCATCAGTAGATCAAACAAAATACTCTCTTGTCTGTCACATGGATTTTTGAAATAATCGTGAATAAAACTAAGCATTCATTCTTATTTAAAATAAATAAATAATTTGTGTGTAAAAGAGCAGAAGGATATTCTCTTCATGTGGAGTCAGAACTAGTGTTATGTATAGCTGAGAAATAAAATTTTTGTTTTGTTTCGTGATGGTATTGTTGTTGATGTTACAAGTTTGTATACCATTATTATTGTTCAATATTGCTTCAAAAATTTTGGCTAGGAGTTAGGAAGTTTTGATGGAGACAGTAAAATAGGAAATAAATGTATAAGAAATTGATTTCATATTAATTATATTGAATAAGGTGTTTTATATATATATATAAATACATATATATCATATGATTACCATCATACCTTGCAGGTATTGTGGATTCCGTTCCAGACGAATGCAATAAAGTGAATATTGAAATAATCAAGTCGCACAAAGTTTTTGGTTTTGTAGTACATATAAAAGATATGTTTATACTATATTATAGTCTATTAAGTGTGCAATAATCACATTATATTTGAAATATATATGCCTCAATTTAAAGATATTTTATTGCAAAAAAAATAAAGCTAACACAGAGACACAAAGTGAGCACCCACTGTTGGAAAAATAGTGCTGAGAGACCTACTTGCCACAGGGCTGACGCAAATCTTCCATTCATGAAAACCACAAAATCTGTGAAGTACAACAAAGCGAAGTACAATAAAACAAGGTATTGCCTGTATCTCCCTCACAAATTAAAAGGAAATAACTAAAGAGTATATGATTTAATATAAAAGTATATACAAGTATCTGGTTAAAGAAAATATACCAGCAGCAATAAGATGAGCACAGCATTTACATGATAAAATGTTTAATGAATTAAAACAATTCATATACAATGGAATTTTTGAAATCATGAAATTCATAGAAATTAATTTAATGATGGGTATGAAAACTAGAGAAAGAAAATAATAACCTTAGTTGGAGGACTTTATTAGAAATATTCTGAAAATAGAAAACAACGGTGGGTTCTTGGAAAGAAAAATCAAATATTTAAAAAATATCCATTCTTCTCTAACTAAATGTTTTAATGTAAATAATAAATTATCAATAAAAATTCTAACAAACTAGTTAAATAAAATTATTCTGTAATTAAACTTTAAAATGAAATAGATAAAATATCAAAAAATTCTCTTTAAAAATTAAAGTAGTTGTAAGTAAAAGTGGGCAACAGGATTAATAATACTCTTCACCTATTACACTGCATTAAGAAACACTTTTTTACTAGTGTGAAGCTTGTAAAAAAATCTAAAAATAGCCTTAAGTGTATCAGTAGTTATTCATATAAGAAGACATTCTGATTGGGAGACCACATCCTCCTGAAACATTAAGACAGAGACAGCTAAAAAGAGACAGTGAACTAGAGAAAGATGGAGAAGTATCCAAATATAGATATAGTTGAAGTACATGCTGACAGTGATATTTCAAAGCAGTGGAAAAAACTGCATTTCTCATTAAATGGTATTGGGATAAACCTGATAATATAAATTATCTTGATTCTTTTTCATAGTAGAAAAAATACTCATAACAGGCCGCCTTGCTTTTAAAATAATATATCTATTAAAAAGGCAATTTGTGTTAATACTAATTAGAAATAAAAGTTGTAAAAGAAGAAAACCGCTAGTATCTCATAACCTTTCCAAAGTGAACCACTATTAAATTAGGTTGGTGCAAATGTAATTGCGGTTTTTGCCATTACTTTTAGTGACAAAAACCGCAGTTGCTTTTGCCTCAACCTAATAATAACAATTCAGTGTATTTCCTCCCAGACTATGCTTTATGCTCAACTTCTTATTGTTGACATCATACTTTATACCCAATTGTAACTCTTGCATTTTAAAATCAACATTATATTTACTTCCCATTATATTACAAATGTTTAATAAGCACCATTATTGACAAGTGAAATTTCATCACATTGATTCTTAATTACTTGCTTTACAAAACTATATAGAACATTTGGAATATTTCCTGTTTTTCATCATTATAGATGACAATTGTGGACAATCTTATGCATAAGGCTTTTTGCATACAATATAGGCTTTTAAACTAGGTTCTTCTGTAGCTGAATAGAGGTATGTTTTGTTTGTCTCTTGGCTTTAGTATGGCCATATCTTTTAAGATGCTTGGATAAGAGATAATTATAAAGACATTGATTTTCTTTTTCTTTTTCCCTCCTTCTGTAAATTATTGTTTTATTTAGTATTAAAAAGGTTCAGAAAGGAAGTGAAAATGGTTGTGTAAAATAGTCCCTTAAGAAGCAAGCAATTACAGTTATTTTTACATAGGCTAATCAGTATCCTTTTAAATGTGTAATCAAGTAGCATCTATAATTATTTGAGCCATTTGGCTCAAGCATACAATTGAATCTACCAAAAACGCACGTGTTTACTTTCCTTTCCTAATCTTTCTGAGCTTAAAACTAAGAGTTTGTTTCTATTTTCACCCCAAAAGCTTAGTTTTGGAGGAATTCCAGTACCAGGAAAACCTGGGACCTTTTTAAAGAAAAACTTCCATGGATGCATCGAAAACCTTTACTACAATGGAGTAAACATAATTGACCTGGCTAAGAGACGAAAGCATCAGATCTATACTGTGGTAAGTCAGCCCATCTGTTTTGTCTTGATGGTTTCTACCACTTTGGGGTAAGTCTTGCTTTCACCAGCCCATTCCTGAACCCATTCGTAATGTGTTTATCTTATGCTCTGAGTTCCCATCAGCGTCTGACGTGACACTGGAGAGAAAGAGAATGGCAGATATTGAATCTGTGTTAATTGCACTAGTGGAAGAAACAAAGACATTAGGGCCATCCAGAGAATTCATTTTTTTTTTTTGACTGTGGGTCATATTTCAACTGTGGGTAGTATTTGCAGTCTATATTGGGACAACATGAATTTTTTATTATCTCTGGAATATGAAACAAGAAAACCACATATTCCATTAAATTCTATGGCTTGGGAGTTACATATATGTCTACTTATTGTTAATATTAAAAATAGTTCCTTTTAAATGAGGGAGATTAAACTTTTAGTGTGTTTGAGATTCTCATTTATCATATTGACAAATTAAATGATTTTCTAATTAAGTAACATTTGTCTTCCCTAATAATGAGTTTCATGAGGGTCAGGACTGTGTTTTCTTTTTACTACTGCATTCACAATGCCTAACAGAGTGCCTTAAACGTTGTAGGTGCTCAATAAACGTGTTGATGTTTCCAACAATAATTTTGGATTTGTCTGTTTCTCTCTCCAGTTCTATCCATTTTTGGTTTATATATTTTGTAGCTCTGTTGTTTGGTACATACACATTTAGTATGCTATGTATTCTGGTGGATTCACTCTTTTATCATTATATAATATTATTATTTGTCTCTGATAACTCTCTTTGCTCTGAAGTGTGTCTGATGTTAATATAGCCACTCTTGCTTTTCCTCTATAAAGGTCTTTGTCATGTAACTTTTCCCATCCTTTTGCTCTTAACCTGCCTATGTAATCATTTTTGAAGTAAGTTTCTTGTAAACAACAAATAGTTGGGTCATGTTTTTTAATTCATGCTTTCAATTTCTGTCTTTTAATTGGTCTATTTAGCAAATTTACATTTAATGTAATGAATGTTCTGGGCTTAAGTGCCTGTTTATTTTGTTTCCTGGGTTTTTAAAAATTCTCTATTTTCTCTAACGTCCTGTGTTTCCTGGATAGTTTTTAAAATTCTATTTTTCTTATCTAGTGTTAGAGTATATCTGTGTATAGCTTTTGTTAGTGGTTTCTGTAGACATTATATTATATATGCATAACTTATTGTGGTTTACTGGTTTAATCATTTTACCAATTTAGCTGATATGTAGAAACCTAATTTCCATTGACATCCCTTTATCTTCCCTTATTTATTTTACAATTGTCTTAATTAGGCAATTATATTTTTAGAACCATTTCTATATATTTAGAACCATTTCAAGTGGTATTATTTTGCTACAATGTCAAACATCATTTAAAGAATTCAAAAGGAGAAGGATAGTTTGTTGCATTTACTCATATTTTTGCCCAATATTGACAAAATGTAAAGAAAAACTCTTGAAACCACAAGGGATATGTTTGGCTTGGATTAGTATTAAAGACTCATGACTGCTGCCCATGTGATCTGCAGTGACATCACAGTGTTTGTGGGTGGGTGGGAGAGGGATGCCCTTCATATCACTGGAATGTGATGAAAGTCCTGACTCACCACTAAACCATCTCTGAGACTGCTCCTGCAGGGGATGAAGGGGGTTCCTCATGATAGCTCAGTAGCGGCAGAAGTCTAGGCTTTCCTTGTGATCGCAGTTGATACCATAGGGAGAGACTTGGTTCTATCTGACAATGATTAAATTCACAGATCTTCAGAATTGGCCTTGTAAGCCAGAGAGTCCCAGATTGATCTTCCCATATACCACCCTGGCCAGAAACTTGGGCACCTCACTACAGCATGGCTCAGTGGAAATGGGGCCATAGTCTTTTCTATGGCATTTGGCTTAGGGAGAGAAGTCGTTGTCTAACAGCATCTCTCTTTCTATGCTATCCTTTCCTCATCCTTTGGCTATAGACAGCAGTCTTTTAATGGCAATTTTAAACAAAATTTTATCTGCACCAGTTGGTCTCTCTGGGTTGTCTTTCAGCAGCATACTTAAAACAGATCAGGTTAAGAGAAAATCCAGAGAATTCTCCACTGTGTTTTTCTTTTGGTCCCGAGATTTTTATATATCCTTTATTTCTTTTCCCCACCATTCAGAGATATTTTAGGTAAGTTTTATACATAATTCCTATAGTCTTTTAGTTGTACTTAGCAGAATAAATAGGGAAAACTATGTTACTTCATATTCCTGGAATTGGAAATCTCTTCAACTGACATTTTTTCTTTAATCCATGGCAAGAGTAGGTCACCCTGTCATTGACAGCAAAAATATGATTCTCTTTGCAATCTTATTGTAGAATTATTTGAACAAACTATGGCTTAAATGACTTTGTGTTTGTTTTATTCTTTGATAAATATAATCTATAAGAATTTTTTTGTGTTTTGAGGTATCATATTAACACATTTTCTTGAAAATTGCCATTGGATTCAAGGGTATGAGGCAGAGGATGCTCATGGGGAATCACACTTGGATTAAAGATTGTCAGCATTTTAAAAGGTTTGTGTCAAGTCCCTGACTCCTTCGGTTTGGAAAAGTTAGGATGATGCTAGGGAGGGATTAATTACCTCACTGGCTCTAGAAAAGCCATGACATTACTTGTCCATCTCTGGCTAATGCCCAAGGCTCCTGACAATTCTGCAACTTATCCACATGAGCTTAGGTCAACCATCTCCTAATTAACATAAACACTGGCTTGCTCATGACATTTTTTTTTTTTTTTTTTTGATTCTAGGTTTGGAGTCTTGGGCTATGGAAAGCACACTCATTCCTATCCCTTTCCCAATAATGTTTCAAGAAATATTTCATAATATATCAGTTTCCTTGAGTCCAATCTGCTGACACAGATTGTGATTGGAGCAGGGGCACTACATTGAAATCATGCACTACCAGAAGTTTAGATTAGCCTAATGTCAGAAATATTAAAGGGCATCACTACCTACCATTTTGCTAAGATGTGGCAGAGCAAAGTGAAACAACAGTAAGCTTATAAAAACATTGCACACTCATTGTTCATAAACTGGGGCTTAAAAGTATAAAAGCCTGAGCTTTAGATATAAATAACTAAGATCCCTATAGTAATATTAAAAAAGAATATCTTTATACATATTATGTGTTAAAAAATATCTTTAACGATAAGATAGATTGGAGTTACTGAATAAGCAGAGCAAAAAAAAGGAAGATAAAAAGGAACAAGAGAAAAAAAAAACTTCAGTTTCTGAATATCAGTAGCTTTCACCGTTTCGTTTTCTGAGAGAATCATTATCTAAAACTTTGCTAAGTGTTGTGGTGACTTTTAAACTACTATAGCACTTATCAAGTTGCCTACAACTTTGCTAGCATATGTTACTCCTTGGGGTTTAATTGGCAGTATTGTTAATATGAGGCATAAAGAATCCATTTAGCACTAACGTATTTGGAAAAAAATCCCAAGAAAATTGTTTTATTGTGCAGGTAGGCAACCTTAGTTTTAACCTTCACAATTTAGAAGAAAAAATGTACATTATTTTTCTTCCAAATTGCTTCCAACACCCTGCTTAAGTGAGAATTCGTATCACTATACACTTGCACATGTACACACACACCCACACACATATTTATATACCTAGTCTATCTCCTTTAGGAATTTCTTACGAGAAGCAATGGTTTGCACTGTTAAATACCGAAGTACAAACTCTTTCCTTTCTGTAGTCAAGCTTAAAGTTTCCCCCAAAGACACCATATCTGCTACAAAATCAGCTTTGCTCCATCACTAAGTCACTGTGGTACTAAGTAAGGGCTTTTGGAAGGAATGATATTTTTGTCCTTTTCTAGTGTTCGCAGACTCTCTTACAGTTATTAGGCCTTGGGAAGTTCAGATTCAAGGGATCAACAAATCAGGCAGCAAGAGTACGGTACTACTCATAAATTATAAAATGTGTTTCAAGGCCCACGGAAGCTCCAGCCTTTGCCTAACCTAACGTATGCCTCTTTAGCAGGCTGCATTCAGCAGGCATCCTCATTGCAATCTGTCATCTCTTTCTTGTGGGACCTTCCCACTCCCTGGAGACTTAACAGCTGTTCCATAGGGATAATTCAATTTAGTCTTTATAGCTCGATTTGACTACAAGACAATTCTCCACATCCCGAAATGCAGTAAAACTAACAGCTTAAAGTAGACATAAAAAATACCTCACTATTCTTCCTCAAATCCTTTATTATATGCTAATACAGCACTATATAATAAACAATCAGAAAGCAAATGGCCCATTGAAGTGTGTGTACAGTACCTGTAATATGGATTATTATATATGTAGTATAAGAAATATATTGCTCTGATAGTTTCCTGAAAATGATTAATTTCATACCTTGCACTCCATCAGAAATGATGCTTTTTTTGAGCTGTCCTTTCTGAGTCTTCTATCTCTTCTCCCAGAGGCAAGGAGCATAACATGATTCCCTGGGAGCTGGCTGAAGTTTCACTCCCATTATTGTAGGTCTCAAAATATTTTCCTTTTTATTTAAAAGATCATAGTGGAAATGCATGTGTTACTTTACTTTGTCTTCAATAGAAGGGAAGAAAATGCAAATAACTAATAGGAAGACTCTACTTACAGAGTTGGCTTTGGAGCTAATTGACTATGTCAATTCATTTCTGTACCTTTGTTTCCAAATGGGAATTGGAATCAGGGAATTGGATGGGCGATGGCCAATACTAAGCCAATATAATAATACTCCCAACCCCATGGTTGAAATTGCTAAATAATCACAAAATGCCTTTTCTTTTGTCCTAGAGGGAAACCCAAAGGTCTCACTTCAGTGTTCCTGGAAGCATCCTCAATAAAATCATAATTGAAACATTGACTTCCTAGGTTGTTCATCCCCACTCCATGGCTTATTCAGCTATGGGATCTTGAGAAAGTTACGAAACTTCAGTACCCTCATACATAAAATGAGGGCAAATATAGTATCTACTTCAAAGTGTTAGTGTGAAGATTAAATCTGCAATACCCTTAGGGCAGTGCATGGTACACACTAAGCACCCAGTAGATTGGAGCTATTAATAAAAACATCTATAAATCCATTCAACTGAAGTTGACATATAAGCCAATATTTATTTGCCATTTTAGATAGCTAATTAATGCAGTCACATACAGTTCCAAATAATAAAAGTTGATTGGAGATAGCTCCTGTTCTTTCCTGAATCTGAGTTTCTGTTTACTCCCAAACTATGAGTCATGAAGTGGGTTTGCAGTAAATATATTACAAACTTAATCATCTCATTTATTTGAGAAAATTTGATGAAAATCATTACTTCAGATTTGATCAAATGGTAGACTCCTTTAAAATAAGGAACTTAAAAAAGTGTTGCCTGATAGGCTTGGGTATAACAGATGTATTGAAGAGTAACAACAGTGAGTTTTCTTGAAGTATGTTGCCCTTCGTTTGCATCTCTGCTGTCATGCAACTTATTGGAGCATGGTTGATTATTTCTTATGGCTCTAAAGCCAAGCAAACACTCACTGTCAGAGTTATGTGTAAGAGATAAGGGTGGACATGAGAGCACACACACATTTACATCTGCAGGTGCACACATATAACATACACACACACGTAGTGACAGGCACCTTTATCTTACCTCCCTGTGACCCAAAACCTCATGAAAATTGCTCAGAGAAAACTCCCTACTGTCTAGTAAAGCCTATAATCTCTTTAGCTTGTTTCCGGGATCATGTTTCATCTCTGTGAGTATGCTCTGTGATAAATGATACTTTCTCTTGATCGAAGGAATCATTTGAAAAAGCAACTAACATATTGTGTCTTTTCTCTTCTCATTCCTGCTCTCTTCTACTTCCATTTGACCAGTCGGACATCCACATCACCTGCATCTATGCTGTATGCTCCTCATACCCAGCAAAAATCATTTCCAAGTTATTCACTCACTGAACAGTTGCTTCCTTCCTTTCTTCAGGAAAATTGGAATTAAATAGTTTCAAGGTCATATGAAGAATAATGTGCCTTAAAGAAAAAAGGAAAAACTAACAGTGTAATGGTTAATATCTTAGTCCATCAAGGCAGCTATAACAAAATGTCATAAACTGGGTAGCTTATGAATAAGGGAAATTTATTTCTCACAGCTCTGGAGGCTGGAAAGTCTGAGATCAGAGTGCCAGGACGATCGGGTTCGGGTGAGGGCTCCCTTCCAGGTTTTAGACCTCACAGTTCTCCCTGTGTCTTCCTCCTTCCTCACGTGGTAGAAAAACAAACAAGTCCCTTGGGGCTATTTTGCAGCCATTAATCCCAAGACCTCATGACCTAATCACCTCCTGAAAGGCCTTACCTCCTAATACCAACATACTGGGGATGAAATTTCAATATATGAATTTCAGGAAGGGGAGGATAAAAACATTCAAACTATAGCAGTCAGCCTGTCTGAAAATTGTTTTACCTGAAATTAGTGTTATGACTTTTCCTTTCTATCAGATAAGCAAATGTAACCAGTTTCTTTTGCTCATCTGATAAAATTATTATGTAAAGTATTAAAGAAAATTTCTTTAGAATGTTTTAAAAATATTTCTATATAAAATGAAAATTTGCAAAATACAGAATAGGGTATGCAACCAGCCAGAGAGGAAAACACTGTTCTCATCTATTATAGGTATTTCATTTTCACACTTTAAATGTATATTTATATATCATAGACCACAGTTTATTGACAATTTTATATTTTACCTTTTTAAAGTATTTTCAATGTTTTTAAAACTTTTATTAAAAGTTGTTTCTTCTCTATTTACAAATACTATTTCAGCACTAAATCAATTTACCATAGTTCATTTAAGAATCTACTGTGTTAAAATTTGAGTTGTTTGAATTTTTTTCTGCCAAAAATAATATTGAGATTACAACCATGGTGCAAAAATAATTTTCTTAAATTTAAAACAGATAACTAGAAATGAATATAATTGGGTCAAAGATTGTGAACTTTTGACTCAACCCACATTGCATAAAGCCACACCACATTCCACGCCCACTGGCCGTGTATACAGGAGACGGCTTATCCTGCTAGTTTCACCTGATACTTTTCAAGTCATTTCAATCTTCAAGTGCTTTTTAAAAAAACGGGCTATGTAAAAGTTGAAACGACCTCAGATGTGCTTCCTGATGCAAAACATCCAACTAATGAGCTGAGCATATTCTTTTTATGCTCTCGCACCTGCAGTAATAAACGCAATGACCACTCCCCCATTCGAAGATCCTGTATTTCAGAGAGCTTATAGACAAGGCCACAGATCACGGTGCTAGCACTGGAGGGGCGGTCAGTGGAGGGTTGACTGATGACCTGTGGTTCTATTAGAGATCCTCTGTCTCCTGTGTGTAGCAGGCAGGAGGCAGACATTATTATCCACGTTTTATACCAAAAAATATACTCAGGATTAGGGAAAGTCAATGATATATATTAGTGGCTGTGCCTTTCACAGTCTTCTTCCTCCTCTTATGGAAAGCAATCCACCATCAGGTTTTATTCATTTTTATTAGGCATTTATTTTTTTTAGGGTCCTGAATGACTTTCATGTCAAAGTGAAGAAAAAAATAATACAAGGCTGGGCAGATCCGTGAACAGCACTGATCTCTGAGTATTGAAGACCAATGAGGTGTTTCAGAAATGGCCCCTGTGTGCTTTGTTATTTGCCGAAGAAATCTCTCCTGGGTGTCTCTTGCAATGTAAGAGCTTGAGGGCGGAATCCTTGTCTTTGGTGTGAAAAAGGAAGGAGGGCAGCGAAGGGCAGAGTGTGGAATCCCACTGCTCCCTGGCTCCCAGCGGCTCCTGTCTCTGCATCTGGCTGGCAGGCTCTCCCTCTGGGTTGAAGGAGAAGGAGGCGAATGCTGCAAAGGGTCAAAGCGCTTCCCCAGAAACTCAGCCCTTTGTTTCCAGTGACTCTTGTACTCCTTCAAGGTGAATAGAAACTTTTATGTGAGTGTTTCAAAACTGTTATAATCAGTTTGTCCTACATATAAAAGTTTGCTTCCCAGTTTGTCACTGGTGTGGCCTCTTTTCTAACCAGACCCGGATTACTCGCTGTTTCTGGAATTCACTCCTTGCACATCCTTCTCTCAGCCTTTGCATGTTGTGTTTCTCCCATGCCAGCTGAGCTGTCTTTTTTCTCCTTTACCTCTTCCCTGACCCAGCCCCAAACTAACCATTCTTCTTCAAACTCACTGGTAGGGTTCACATTCTGAACCAGAGTAATGCTCAAAATATTCACCAGGTTCTCAGAGGTAAAGCAGGGTCCTGGAGCCCCCAGGCTATGCTAACCCAGAAACCTGGAGTTGCTACATTGTAGGGAGGCCTAGAGAGCACTGGAAGACAGGCAGGCAAGCCCAGGTTTCAGGGAGCCACTAGGAGCTTGGGACCAGTGGCTACATATCAAGTAATATGGAAGGCTGAAATTGTTAAAAATGGAATCACCATTAGCGCAGGCCGGTATGAACCTGCTGCATACCCTCCATGCCTTATCAACTCCAGGCATTGTGGAGCACAGTGCTGAGAAAAACTGTAGGGCTGTATTCAGAGTGGGTAGAGAAGGCTACTGTAATCTGTAAGCAGTGTCTACCACAGGGTAGGGCAGTGGGGAGTGTTGAATGTGCTGTCTGCCCACCCTGTCCAGGTGCACTCCTTGTCCCACCTTCTCCTCAGAGCCCCTTTCAGACTCTCAGTTTCATAATACCTTTCTTGCTGTGAATTTCATATGTATACAACATGGCATAACTTAGCATTTGAGTCATTATTGTCATTAAAATGCAGTTATTGAACATCTACTGTGTTTACAGCAAATGATCCTTCTTTTCAAAGAGAAGCATCCTCTCTGCTCTCAGAAATTACACACCTGGCATGGTCTTATCTTTGTAGAACTCAGAGTTCACAGCAGATGCCCTGGCCTTGGCCATCTCCTCCGAACTTTCTGCTCTCCTGGCCACCGTTTGACAGCCACCCTTCCCCTTTTTATCTCATTTGCCCTTATGGTTTGACCCTTACTTTTTGTTTGTTTCTCCATCTTGATCACTCATCACAATTCTGGTTTCCCATTTGGCTTTTCCACTTCCTTTCTTTCACCACAACTCCAGCCTGTGGATCCCGACACTACTTCCAACTACCACAGCCACAGCCACTGCACCAGGTGGCAAGACTCAAACACAGCTTATAAGAGCTAGAAAGGAGAAAT
Source organism: Homo sapiens (assembly GCF_000001405.40). Lineage (NCBI taxonomy): Eukaryota > Metazoa > Chordata > Mammalia > Primates > Hominidae > Homo > Homo sapiens. The sequence continues at coordinate 124,484,150 of NC_000002.12, forward strand.
CACAGGGATAGTAAGTTCAGGAAAGACTTTATGTAAGTGCAGGAACTTGGCTTGGATATGGTAGATGCAAAAGCTCAAGGTGGGACTGTGGGAAACAACAAACTTTATTCTAGTCTATTTCTTTGCAAGAGTTATTCCTGTTTCCCTAAGTATATAAAAGAAACACCCTTTTATGTCACTCATGGTGTTAAATATGTGATATACGGTCAGGAAATATATATGGATGAAGGCACTAGGTGTTGAGGAAGAGAATAATCTTTGAAGGAAGTAAGATTAAATCCCAGCCTTACCACGTAATGGATACAAAATTTAGATAAAGTTTTTTAAGCTGTCTCTGCTTCAGTGTCCTTCATCTACATGGTAGAGATAATAATGCCTACTTTACATATATAAAGTGACTCCTAGGATATTATAGGCATTGAATCACTAAGAGCTGATAATATTATCATAATTATTTTTATAGCCTCACTCTGCTCACCATTTCTTCTCACATGTTCCCCATGAAGACCATAGTCCTGTGAGTAATCTCTAGCCTGCTCGACAAATGGCCTTTTAGAAGTACAACACTAAAGGTTATAGATCAGTGATTATTAGTATTTTATAGGGCACACACACCCCTTTAAGAATGTAATGAAAACTATGAACACATTTTACTTCACATAACATTTTTGAGGCTTCATTGATGCCTGTGAAGCTCATCCACAGACAGCAGCCCAAGAACTCCAGGTTAAATTTTAGACAAGGAAACATTTATATGTAAAATAAAACTGTGTTTTTATAAATTCCTAATAACCTTCTATAAGTGTTCCTTGTTGAATCACCAGGACGCCTAGTAAGTAGGGACCGGACACTGGATTTGTTCCATATAAGCCAGTTGGGCGGGCTTCTTAGAAACGCTTCACCTTTTGTCACAAGATTCAGAAGACATCTCTATGTGTCAAGTTCTGAGTTATTAGAAAATGCAAAAAAAAAATTATATAAAAGTGGCTTTCTAGTAGAAGGTGGGTAACTAATAAAACAGGTAAATAGGACTCCAAGTTGTCCAGAAATAGCATGTGCAAAAAATCAGGTACTTTCTCTAGCTTGAGATAGGGTGGACTGTGAAGGAATAAGGACTAGAAATGTTCTCTCTGCCCACCTCCCAGGCTGAGATTCAGACCTCTTCAAGTAGGTGCAGTTACCGGCCGGGCACGGTGGCTCACGCCTGTAATCCCAGCACTTTGGGAGGCCCAGGCGGGTGGATCACGAGGTCAGGAAATTGAGACCATCCTGGCTAACACGGTGAAACCCCGTATCTACTAAAAATACAAAAAATTAACCAGGCGTGGTGGCGGGCACCTGTAGTCCCAGTTACTCAGGAGGCTGAGGCAGGAGAATAGCATGAACCCGGGAGGCGGAGCTTGCAGTGAGCCGAGATCACGCCACTGCACTCCAGCCTGGGCGACACAGAAAGACTCTGTCTCAAAAAAAAAAAAAAAAAAAAAAGAAGAAGGTGCATTTACCGGGGAACACATAGCATACAGATAGCAAAGAAGCTTGCCGGAAAACTTAGGTCCCAGCTTCCTGCAGAAGCTGACGGCTGTGGGGAGACTGAAGCTGGGGTCAACCATGCAGATTCCCTGGGACTCCCACTGAAGAACAGTAATGGAGGACAGGAACCTGGAAGCATCTTCCAGCCTCTGTCACCCTGCAGCGGCCCTCTAGTGCCCCTTATGGACAAAGCATAACATTCAGCCAGTAGACAAAAGAGAAATGTTTGCAGGGTCCAACTCCGCTACCGTTTGATTGAGCAATTTCACTACTAGGTGTCTACCCAGAGGAAAATAAGTCCCTATAAGAGAAAGACACTTGGACTTGCATGTTTATAGCAGCACAATGCACAATTGAAAAAATATAGAACCAGCCTAAATGCCCATCCACCAAATGGAAAAGGAAAATGTGGTATATATGAACCATGGAATACTACTCAGCCATAAAAAGGAACAAAATAATGGCATGTGGAGAAACCTGGATGGAATTAGAGACTATTATTCTACGTGAAGTAACTCAGTAATGGAAAATCAAACATCAGAAGTTCTCACTTATAAGTGGGAGCTAAGCTATGAGGATGCAAAGGTATAATCATAATAAAACGGACTTTGGGGACTTGTGGGGAGGGTGGCTGGAGGGTGAGGGATAAAAGACTACAAACTGTGTGCAGTGTACACTGCTTGGGTGACAGGTCCATCAATATCTCAGAAATCACCACTAAAGAACTTACCGATGTAACCAAACACCACCAATTTACACAAAACTATTGAAATAACACTTTTTTAAATGTAAAAACAAAATGCAGGGCAAAGAAGAGTGGCTTTGGAACTGAACTTCAGAATAAATAATTAGCACAACTGCCAATCTCTTTTCTTCTTTTAAAAATTTGGGTTAAAAACTAGAGACCTTGGACATCTGGAAAAGAGAGTTGGGAAGAAACAAGGAGACATACACATATTCACGGTTTCATATGTCACCTGATCACAGTTTTATGCAATACCAGCATGTCTCACAAATGTATGAAGTCCAAAACCACAAGTATAGGCCTAGGCTCTTGTAATTAGTAAAATGTCAATTTATTTAACTTTGTCATTATGTATATGCTCCATAAAAAAATAGTGAAACTACTACTTTTATTATAGGCCCATGTAATTTATTACATTAAAATGCATTTCTCAGACTCAAAAAGTTTAGAACACTGTATAGGTGGACATGAATTAGAAGTACTCTAATAATTTACCTGTCTACATGAAGATTTACTGTAATTCTCACAAAAACTTATTCATATTTAACCTAAAAATTGTTTTACATAGCTTATTCTTTTCCGCTGAAATTGTTTTATTTCCCTGCCACTTCTTTCTACGTTTGTCTAATACCTTAGTTCAGCTCATCACTCTAACAGTACATCCACCCATGGGGTTATCCAGTATCCCCCATGGTGGCTAGTGATTACTTCAGTATTTTCCCTGATGCTGTAACAAGGTCCAAGATATGCCCTGTGTCAGCCTAGGAAGCAAGCTCTCTGAAGCATATTCAAATTCATCCCCAAGGCATCAGGGAAATTCAGTAGCTAAATAAATATCTTCTCTTTAAAAATATTAATGATCATTTAAGTATAAAAAATAACAGATTGACTAGGTCTTCAAGAATGTGACTCTGAGATGAAGAACAAAGCTAAATGAACATACGTAGCCTTCATAAGCCGCATTTGATGTGTCTGACAGAAATTTCGTATCCAAACACATTTTAGGGTGAAGGTATGCTCTGAAACCCACCATTTACTTCATTTATATGTGCCACATGGTGGATGCCTGTAAGGACAGTATGTTTGTGCAGCTGAAAATCTGATCTTTGTTACAGAAACTTCAATGCTAGCTTCCCAAGGTAAATGGAAGATCCAGCAGCCCCAGAAGATGACTTTGGTAGAGGATTATATGTGCCCATACACACGGAATGAGCTTGCCTAGAAGCTCATTTCATGTGCATGGGCACATATAATCCTCCATATTGCAATCATAATGAATGCTTTCTCTATAGGCTTCTAGTAAACTGGAGTGCATTTTATCAAACTTTTAATTCCTTATGATGACTGGCAAAGACCAAGAAAATCTAGGCTTTTTTTTCCCCCATGTTTTTACCCACAAAATCGAATGCTTATACTAGGATTTGACAATCCACGACATTTGGGTAAAACTTCCAGCTTGTGACCCAAAGATTTTTGCAACCCTCATGCACACTACAGGAAGCAGTCAGTCTCCATGATTCATAAGAGTCCAGAGATCATTAGGTCTAAGACTGCTCTGGAAAAGTACAAGAATCACAGTCTTCTCAACAATGTAACTCAACAACCAAACTATAAGCTAATAAATATCTTGTAAATCACATTGCATTACCATTATTCATGAAAAAATAATACTTATAGATTATAGGAAATTGTGTAAACACCGAAAATCAGAAAGAAAAGAAGTCACCCGCAATTTTATCAAAGCAATCATAAATACTATACAGGTATAGATTTTTTAGTCTTCATTTCAAAAGGACTACTTTGGTGTAATTTTGTGTAATTCCTTTTCTTGTTATCAGTATTCTGCCATGAAAATAACGTGTTGATCATTTATTACATGCCAAATATTGTGTCAATTGATTTTTATATTTATCTATTTTAATCCTCAGAATAACCTTATAAAGTGGATAGCTCTTTGTGGTTTCAGTTTGGGAAAAATGAGGTTCGGTAACATTAAAGTAACTTCCCCAAGATACGTAACTAGCATGTGATAGAATCTGCTTTCCATTAGTGGCCTTTCTAATGCCAAATCTGTGCTTAGCTGCTGTGATGTGCTTAACACACGTTTTATATTTTGCTCTAATCACTGAGTTTCTAAATGTTAACTAAAATGAAATTACATTATAAAAATGGTGATCGATAAATGTTGAATAAGTGAATGCATTTTTAATAAGAAGAGAAATGAGTAATTTTAATTTCCTGTAAAGAAGTGAGCACACTACAAATTGGAGGTGCATAGTAAATATTCATTGAAGCTTATGTTGTGATGATTATACCAAGATGAACTTGAAGGATCTGATGAAAGGTGAAGAAGAATGTCTTCCTAAGGGAGCATCTTCTCATAGAAGGCTGAGCCTCTCTGTACCTAAAGATCTCCATATACACTTAAGAGATCTGTTGCACAGTCTGACTCTTAGCTGCCTGGAGATAGAGTGTTTGAAGATTGTCTTCACGTGTCTCCCTCCACTAAATGTTTTCTCCTTCCCTGATTCAGCAGAGGTGGCAGGACCTAATTAAAAAGAGCCCTGTGTGTGGCAGAAGATGTGGCTTCTCCAGTCAATTGGGCCACTACGTAGCTAGTGGAATCCATTGTTTAAAGTTCACAATGAACTCGTTCTTTCTGGTGCTTTCCATGATTGAGAATTATGTCCTCTGGATAATGTCTAAAATACTTTTCAACTCAGCGGTTTCATTAAGAAAAACTATTAAAACTCCTTCTATCACTGTATTAGTCTGCTCTCACTGCCAAAACAAAATACCACAGACTGTTTGACTAACACAACAGAAATTATTTTCCCACAGTTCTGGAAGCTGGAAGTCCAACATGAAAATGTCAGCAGGGTTGATTCTGAGGGCATCTCCCTTGGTCTGTAGATGGCCCTCTTCTCCCTGTCTTCACATAGTCTCCTCATTGGGCATGTCTGTGTCCTAATATCATTTTCTTATAAGGACACCAGTCCTGTTAGATTAGAGTCTATCCTAACAGTCTCATTTTAATTTATTCACTTCATGAAGTGTACTGTTTCCAAATACAGTCGCATTCTGAGGTACTGGGGGCTGGGCCTTCAACACATGAATTTAGAGGAAACACAGTTCAGTCCACAACAATTAGACTCTGCAAACCATCTAAAGAGCTTGTGTGAGCAGTCTTTAAGACCTCTCCTCCAACTCCACTTCCTAAAACAAAACTAAAATATAGGATTTTCAGCTCCATGAAGTAGTCAGGTATCCAGATCCTTCTGACCCTCTGCTTGGCCATTCCAACCCTCCATCTTCCATTCTGAGAGTCCCAATAGGCTGCTGGAGCTTGAGGTATTCTATCTGCATGCCAGGCTGCAGAAGAAAGGAAGAAGTGAAGGCAAAGGGGATATTCCTCCCAGCTGAGTCAGCTCCCTTCAAGGAGCCTTCCAGTAAGTCCCATCCAATGCTCCTTCCATGCCATGCCTTATAGGTCTGACTTAGTCACCTGAAAATACATGTCTGCAAGGGAAGTGGGGAAATGTAGTCATCCAGTTGAGCACATTCTTGCCTCAAACAAATCATTATTTCACTACCAAGAAATGGAGGAACAGGCAGAGTGCAGTGGCTTAATTATTATTAATTATTACACCTGTAATCCCAGCATTTTGGAAGGCCAAGGCAGGCAGATCACCTGAGATCAGGAGTTCAAGGACAGCCTGGCCAACATGGTGAAACCCCATCTCTACTAAAAATCCAAAAATTAGCCAGGCATGGTGGTGTACACCTATAGTCCCAGCTACTTGGGAGGCTGAGGCAGGAGAATTGCTTGAACCAGGGAGGTGGAGTTTGCAGGGGACCAAGAAGGCACCACTGCACTCTAGCCTGGACAACAGAGCATTGTTGTCCATTTCAGAAAAAAAAAAGAAGAAAGAAAGAGAGAGAGAGAAAGAAAGAGAGGGAGGGAGGGAGGGAGGGAGAAAGGAAGGAAGGAAGGAAAGAAAGAAAGAAAGAAAGGGAAAGAGAAAGAAAGAGCAGGAATAATAATTAATTTTTGTTATATAACTAGGGATCTTTCCACAATCTCTTTGAACAATAAAGATCAGTATATAAGAGTTCTTATGTAAGAAGTAAAACAATTTCTACCTTAGTGTCAAAATTGGCAAAACTATCATTACTATTATAATGATGCACTAGATTTGTGTCATCCAATATGGTAGCCACTAGTCATGTGTAACTATTGAACATTTGAAGTAAGTATGTCTGGTGCAAACTGTGATGTGTTTTAAGGCATCCCAGATTTTTAAGACTTCATATAAAAGTAAAATAATTTTATATAATTATTATGTAATGTTTTTAATACCGATTGTATATTTAAATAATATTTGCATCTACTGAGTTAAATAACCCTGTATTAAAATATAAATTAAGTTACTCTGTTTTAAAAAAAATTTTTTTTAAATACTGCTACTAGAAAATTTTAAATTACTTATGTGGTATGCATTATATTTCTATTAGACAGCATTGACCTGGGATATCACCCCAAATGTCAGTATTTCAGTAGCAGATTTCCTTTTACTTTTTTATTTTAAAACATTTAATTGAAAAATAAAGATAGTATATATGTTCAAGGTGTACAATGTGATAATTTGATGTATGTATACATTGTGTAATAATTACCACAATCAAGTTAATCAACACAACCATCATCGTCTATGCTGTAAATTAGATCCCAGGAACTTGTTTGAACATCTTATAATTGAAAGTTTGTACCCTTTGATTAACATCTCTCCATTTCTCTTACCCTCTAACCCTGACAAGTACTGTTCTATTCTCTGCTCCTGTGAGCTTGACCTCTTGAGATACCACATATTTGCCTTTCTATGTCTGGTTTATTTAACTCAGCATAATGACCTCCTGATTTATTCATGTTGCCACAAATAGCATGGTTTTCCTCTTTCTTATATATGTATGTGTGTATATATATATTCTTATTTATGTATGTGTGTTTATATATATACACACACATATGGAGAGAGAGAGAGAGAGATGTCACAATTTCTTTATTATCTGTTGAGGGACACTAAGGTAGTCTCATGTTTTGGCTATTGTAGATAATGCTGCAATGAACATGAGAGTGCGCATATCTCTTTGAGATACTGATTTCATTTCTTTCAGATGTATACTCAGAAGTGGAATTGCTAATATGGCAGATCTACCTTTTGGTTTCTAGGGAACCTCCATGTTGTTTTGCATAATGCCTGTACCAATTTACATTACTACCAATTGTGTACAAGCCTTCCCTTTCTCTACATTCTCACCAATACTTGTACCTTTTTTTTTTTCTTTTGGATAGCAGCCACCCTAACAGGTATGAGATGGTACCTATTGTGGTTTCAACTTGCATTGTGGTTTGGATTTGCATTTCCCTAAACGATTAACAATATGAATACCTGTTGGCCACTTCAATGTCCTCTTTGGAAAAATCTCTAGTGAAGGTCTTTGCTCTTTTTATTATATTATTTGGGTTTTTTGTTTGTTTGTTTTGTTTTTTGCTATTGAGTTATATTATGAGTTTCTTGCATATTTTGTATAGTACCCTCTTATCAGATAGCTAGCTTGTAAATGTTTTCTCCCATTCTGTAGGTTGCCTTTTCATTCTGTTGCTTCCTTTGCTGTGCAGAAATTTGTTAGTTTGATGTAATCCCACATGTCTATTTTTGCTTTTGTTGCTTGTATTTTTAGTGTAATATCCAAAATCATTGCCTAGACCAATGTCAAGGATATATTCATCTATATTTTCTTCTCAGAGTGTTATGGTTTCAGGTATTATATTTAAGTCTGTAATACATTTCAAGTTAATTTTTGTGAGTGTTGTAAGACAAGGACTTAATTTCATTCTTTTGCAGGAGGATATCCACTTTTCTCAACACCACTGGTTGAAGAGACTATTCTTTCACCACTGTGCAATAAGTTTATTTCTGAGTTCTGAGTTCTTTGTTCTGTTGATCTCTGTGTCTGTTTGTATGCCAGCATCATACTGTTCTGAGTCCTATGGCTTTGTGGTATACCTTGAAATTAGGAAATGTGGTGCTTTCAGCTTTATTTTTTCCTCAGGATTACTTTGGCTATTTGAAGTCTTTTTCGGTTTCATACAAATGTAAGGATTTTTTTATTCTACTTCTATGAAGACTGCCATTGGAAATTTGATAGGGATTATATTAAATATACAGATGACTTTGGGTAGTATGAACATTGTAACAATATTTATTCTTATTACTCGAACATGGGATATCTTTCCATTTTTGATGCTATTGTAAATGGGATTGTTTATTTTATTTTCATATAGTTTGTTGTTAGTGTATAGAAATTCAACTTATTTTTGTATGTTGATTTTGTATCTTGCAACTTTAGGAATTTATTTATTAGTTCTAGCAAATTTTTGGTGGAGTCCTTATGATTTTTTAATATATAATATCATGTCATCTACAAACATAGATAATTTACTTCTTTCTGATTTGGATTTTTTAATAATTTTACTTTTTCTTGCTTAACTTCTTAGGCTAGGACTTCCAGTACCCTGTTGAATAGAGGCAGCAGAAGTGGTTTGTCTTGTTTCTGATGTTAGATGAAAAGCTGTCAACCTTTAATGTTAAGTATGATGTTAGCTATAGGTTTGTCTTATATGGTCTTATATAGCCTTTACTATGTTGAGATACATTCCTTCTACACCTAAATCGTTAAGAGTTTTTTCATGAAGGGATGTTGACTTTTGTCAAATATTCTTTTCTGCGTCTATCAAGATGATCGTAAGATTTTTATCCTTAATTCCTTTAATTGATTTGCATATGTTGAGCTATGCTTGCATTGCAGCCTCTCCTTATTTAATTTTTAATTAAAAATATTTAATTATTATTATCATTATTATTATTATTTTGAGACAGAATCTCGCTTTGTCACTTAGACTGAGGTACAGTGGTGTGATCTCAGCTCACTGCAACTTCCTCCTTCCAGGTTCAAGCGATTCTCCTGCCTCAGCCTCCCTAGTAGCTGGGACTACAGGCGTTTGCCTCCATGTCTGGCTAATTTTTTATATTTTTAGTAGAGACGGGGTTTCACCATGTTGGCCAGGATGGTCTCAATCTCCTGACCTCGTGATCCGCCTGCCTCTGCCTCCCAAGTTCTGGGATTCCAGGGGTGAGCCACCGCATCCTGCCTTAATTAATTTTTTAACTTAAAAGTACTTCATTGAAGATAATTACACACATTCCTTCCTATGTTATAAATATTACTGATTAAATTGAGAAGTTGACTTCTATAACATACTCATTATTTGTTGATGGTACTTTCCCTTCACACACACTTGCTATTTGTTCTATTTTTACTCAAGAACAAAGGTACTCATATTTTCAGAGCTAAGAATATTTTTTCCTGATTAAAGTGAATTTAGTCTAGAAAAGCAGCATATACTTGTATGTGAAGTGGAAAGTTGTTTTGTTTGTGGGCTAAAAAAAGTAGTTTGGAGACAAAAGAAAACCATAAATACACACACACACACACACACACACACACACACACACACTCCACTTCCTTCAGCCTTATGTGTTAGTAAGGGTTCCCTAGAGAGAATCAATAGGAGACTGTGTGTGTGTGTGTGTGTCTGTGTGTGTGTGTGCCTGTGTGTGTGGGTGGGGGGGTAGGGGAAATGATTCACATGGCTGTTAAGGCTGAGAGGACTCACAACATGCCATTTGCAAGGTGGAGACACTGGGATGTTTATAGCGTGACTAACTCCAAGTTTGAAGGCTGGAGAACCAGGGAAGCCAATAGTGTAACTCTCAGGCTGAGGCCAAAGGCCTGAGAACCCAAGGGGGTGGGGTGCACCAGTGTAAGACCTAGAGGCCAAAGGCTGAGGCGCCTGGAGTTGTTGTTCAAGGACAGGAGAGGAAGAGTACATCCCAGCTCCTGCAGATAGATGAACATGTTCATTTTTTCTGTTTTTGTTCTCTCTAGGCCCCTAGCAGGTTGGATGGTGCCTGCCAAACCTGAGGACAGATCTTCCCCTCCTAGTGCACTCAGACTCACATGTCTCCTCTGGAAACACCTTCAGACACACCCACAAATAATGCTTTACCAGGTTTTTAGGTATTCCTTAATTTAGTGAAGTTGACACCTACATTTAACCATCACACCTTACTGTTATAATGACTTGTTGCTTTTGCCTTATGTGAGTAGACTGGACGCATGACTAAAGATTGCAGTAGAGGAGACAAGCAATTCTGAAATTATGCAAAAGTAGAAATCATTTGAAAAGTAGTAGTCATTGGGTTTCAAACCTAGATGCTTCTATTCCTACCTGGATTACCTGCTATTATTTCTTTCAGCAATCTACACTAATTTCCTAATAGCAATTACTGATCCTGAATATTTTTGTCATGAAAGCCTTCAAATAAATTCACATACAGAAAACTGTTTAACTGAAACTCCTAGTATAAAGCTATACCTCTTTATTTTAAATACATTGGAAATACAAAAGATTTTAAGTATGGAAATAAAAATTGCCATAATTCCACCACCCAGAAAGAGTCACTATTTAGTATATTAGTCATGGTCCTATGCCTACATATTTATATGGGTATATTTCACCTGATTCATATGTGTAAATTTGTATTCTATTTGTTCAATTTAATGTTATAAGCAATTTTCTTGCTTGCCATAAACATCGCTACTAGTGGTGGCAAAATAGTTTTTCATATACATATACCATAATTTACTTAAATATTTATATAATTTCAGACCCAGTTTTTTATTATTATAAATAATGGTTCTCAGTGTGTAAATCTTAGTCCAATTTCAAATTATTTCCTGAAGACTTCTAGAAGTGAAAGTAGAGTGTCAAAAGGAGTATTAATATTTTTGAGCTTCTTGATTCATAGTTCCAAATAGCTTTGTGCAATATTTGCTAACGGATATTAAAAAGTAGATTTGGGAGGGCAAAAAAAGAAGCAAAGACAAGAGACCATCTCTGAGGCCAAAGGCAGCATGTGGCTCTAGTAGTTCCCTGTTTACTGGTGCCTGTGCATAGGCAGCTGCTGAGAGGCCAGAGGAGAGGTCATGCAGGGCACCATCTTCTAGCCTGTCCATGCACCATGGCCATTAGCAGGGCCTTCCTTCCATTTCTAAAAATGTGTCTCTCGTGGATGTCTCTCAAATGAAACCCTAATGTGCACGATCTTTATCCTTGAAGGCCTCCTTTGGCAGAAGCAGAATGTTGCCTGTCCATAGTAATGCCACTTGTTTAGTTTCACTTAAATTCCTAACATGTATTATGGACTTCTTTTCAGTACTTGTCCTTTCCGGTTTTCTCTTCCTCCACCCAAGTCCTATTCCCAGCTTCACTCTCTTCCCTGTTTTCTCTTCCTCCACCCAAGTCCTATTCCCAGCTTCACTCCTTCTTACTTGTCCTACAAAGCTCAAATCCAAAGGCACCTCATAAAGCCCTGTAACAATGCTTTGTTACATGCTCTCCCAGCAGAATACGTGTCTCCCTCATGGCACTTGGTCATAGCTGTGATGACATGTTCCATGACCCTTATCCTACTGCCATGTAAGCTCTAGGTGGGCGGGTCTGAGTCTGTCTCACTCCTTCACTGTATCCGTAGTCATGAGAATCAAGGTGGCCCATATGAACTGCTTAATAGAGAACTGCTAAATAGAGAACTGCTAAATAAGTCAATAAAAAAATGAAGGAGCCTGTCTTTCCCAAAAATGAAAAAGAGCCTTGATTTGATTCCCGAGTCACCCTGAGTTTGTGAATAGGAAGGTAGCTTGAGCTCACAGGGCAGTCTTTTCCCTACATTTGCTGACAGCGTGCCAGTCAGTGCTGGTAGTTCTCAGACAAATCAAATTAGAAATGGTTGTACTCATTTGGAAAATCAAGAACTGGCTTTGAAATCTTTCCCCGCAAATTAGATTGGATGAAGATCATTTTCTCCAGCTTATAAATGCTTGATTGGCTTTGTTTGATGCCTCATGACTGAAGCTCAGCTTTGCACTGCTAGCTTTATTTTTTACTCACCAGGGTGTTGTGGCGTCTAGATGATGATTAAAAACAAAACAAACACCCACAATGAAAAAGTTTTGTAAATAACAGCTCAGCACAGTAATGTAACCCTTGGAAGCGTCACACATAAGAAACTTGAAAAATAGCCAAGCTAAGCAGAACTTCAAGCTGGGCCTGCTGTATTCTCTTCAGGTCTTAAAAATTAGTTTCCTGGAGTGGCGGGACAGCCACACCTGACTTACTATTTCCTCTCAGGAATAATGAAGGACGTGCCAGGATCTCACTGTCCCTACGGTAGAGGAGTCTCAATGGGAGCAGACTGTCTGTCTTCCTTCCATCTTCTTCACCAACCCATGCATCCCCTTTCTCTGGCTTCTGCCTTAGTCACCTGATTGGATTCAGATGCATTCTCCTTTCAGTCGTAGCCTATCCATAGCTACCTGGATGTATAACCTCAGGTCTTTTTTCAACAAAGAGTAGTCCCTTATTCTTGTTTTATTCTTCCCAGGTGACTCAAGGTCAGACCAGAGCTTTACTGTTGAGCTGGTAAGCAGTGTTTGAAGCAGTGGTGACAGCCTGGTTGAGAATCCGCTAGAGACCATGGATCTTGCATGGTCCTCACACGCTTTTTATTTATAGCTTTTTTTATTTTCAGGTTTTCATTTAAAGCAGAGCAGCCAACAACTTTCTGGAGTCTTCCACAAAATAGCTAAATGGCTTGAGTCACTAATAGTAAACAGTAATAGGTGTCTTTGGGTAGTGAAAGGAGTCCAAAAGGAATGTGCTTGAATATCCAAAATAACTGACCAATGTTTGACTAGAGGTATAATGCCCACTAATAGAAACACCTCTGAGCCATTTAACAGTGATGGTTCACTTTAGCATAACCTATTGTCTATGCAGCCAACATAGGGTTGGCAAGTAATTCAGTAAAAGTCTTGAAAGAGGATGGACTCCTAGCAGAAATATAAGGCAAAGCCAGCATCCAAATGGAAAATTCAAGCAGAATTGTCTTTTCTTGCTAAGTTCTAAAGTTTTTCATGTACATCAATGACCTCAAGTGAAATAACCAAAGGATTATGTTTAATCATAAAGCCAGGAAATGAGTACAAATGAAGCCATTTGTTAAGAATGTCTCTCTTCTCATTTCTGATAGGTACTTGTTCTAGCTTAGTAAATTATGGTTTCTATGCCACGTGCTGAGACCTGGCAAAAATACCCAGTGACCAATGAACATACGAGAGTCCAGGTTTAGGAATGTTTGACTAACATGGAGGCCTGAGCTCCCTGTTCAATACATTTCAGTCTATTCTTTCTATTATACAATCACATTCAGACCACTGCAGTGGTTCCATCCTTGTGTCTATCAGCAGAGCAGCATCTTCTGAAGTTCTTCGTCTGTGTAACAGATAAGTGTAAATTCATTCGATTGGTTCTGTAGTCACATGACAAAGACTTAACTACTACTGTGTTCTCTGTGTCAAAAGTCTTGAGGAAGTAAACCTTCTGCCATGACACTCCTGTCCATCAGTCATGAGATGATCATGGTAATTACACTATTACTGCAATATCTCCTTTTGGATGAGTTTCTCTGCGACAGAGGAAAGCTTTTAGGTGGATGGGTTTTATTGGATTTCCATCAGCATATGGCACACTTCTGGTTTAGTGGCAGAATGGCCTGAATACGTCTTCAAGGAAGGCGCTGCTTAGAAACTTCATTCTCTCTCACGGTTTGCTTCTGGTTTTCATTGCATAGTCCCTGAACTGGCACCTGTCTAAGTGGCTGCATATAATTTCTCCCATTTTATCTTCTGCAAGAAAGTTGCAACCATTGTAGTTCCTCATACAGCTCAGCATTAATCTAGCTTTCTCTTTGTAAAATATTTTAGGCTACAGTTTCTGGGGAGGGGGAGGGAAGGGGAAAGCATAATCAGTCAATTGGTTATTATACTCTTGTAAGTGTGTTTTAAAATATCAGGCTTCTTATTTACTTTTTAAATAGAGATTGGGTCTCATCATGTTGCCGAGGCAGATCTCAAATTCCTGGATTGAAGTGATCCTCCCACCTCAGCCGTTCTAAGTGCTGGGATTACAGATGTGAGCTACCACGCTTGGCCTTCTTATTTCTTTAACACGTAAAAATATATCATCTTTTGCTCACTTACTTTTTATTTTAATATACTTATCATGGATTGTGATTCTTGGCCTCTTTCCTGCATCAAGACAGGAATTATTAGGGAAGAGGCCTAAGTTTCCCTCTTTAGAGCCTGCATCATTCAAAGAAAAAGTCTTCTAAAATGTAAATACTTGGTTACACTTCTCATGCCAACAACAGAATGATTCAGATGATCCCCAAATCCTCTCCAAAGACAAGACAGATGTTAAAGATGTGGGTCTTCAGTCTCAGATACCCAAGGTTAGAGAAACAAGTGGGAATATTAGGGCCCTCCAGCTCAATAGCCTCAGGTTACAAAAAAGAAACCTAAGCCTCTAGAATTGACTTACCTCTGGCCACCCAGAAAAGCATCAGATCTGGGAAAAGGGAGAAACAATAAGCCAGGAGCAATGCTAGATACATTGCACGTGGTCTCATGTGGTCTTAAATCATCCCACTACTATTATTCCCCAGATCATGAAGGAAACAATGAGGACCAGAGAAAGGCATGTTTTTTTTTCCCTAAATATTTGTAACAAGAATCTAGTTCTGCCTAAATTTAACACCCTCACTTCCTTCAGAATTCAGAGCAAGATGATCTATACCAAATTGTAAACCTATTGTGTAAGGCATGGGCAGTTATCAAAAAGTAGCTAATTATTACAAGGCAGTATAAGAAACATAATAGATTTCCACAGGTAGCACACACGACTGTAAGCCCATGGAGAAGGCAGCCACTGTGGGATGGATGTCAGGAAAGGTCTGGGCATGGGCAAGCCCAGAAGGCTTGCTGGGCCCTGCAGGGCAAAAGTGGGGATGGAGGGTGCAGAGGAATGAAGAGGTCATGCCTGGTGGAGGAAGGAAGGCACAACGTATGTCTAGAGGACAGCTTTGCTTTTAGTGTGTCTCTTCACTCTAGTGAGGGTAGTGCCGATGACGAGGGACACAATCCAAGGGAGGTGATGGTCTATCAGTAGTCAGCAACCATCTGTGCTTTCCTGTTTGAAATCCATTGTACTCTCAGAGAAGAATGGGAACCACACTTGCCCCTCCAGCACCTTCCTCAGTCAACACTTTCTATCAATTGTACTGGCAAATTTCTCATAGATCTGTTTTCTTTTCTCACTCTCCCACATTGTTATTGGTATTAATCAGTGTTCTCCAGAAAAGTAGGGCCAGGATCTCTATATATGTGGAATACATATATGAAAGAGAAATAGATTTGAAAGAGAGATTGAGATTTATAATGAAAAATTGGCTCACTGGACTACAGAGTCTGGGAAGTCTCATGATCTGCAGACCCAGGAAAGTCAGTGCTGGTCTGTATTTGAAGGCCTGAGTACCAGAAGTTGTAAATCCCAGCCTGAACGCTGGAGAAGACGAGATGAAATTTCTTGATGGAGCCAAGAGGAAGGAAAAAAAAAAGTACAAATTCCTCCTTCCTGTGCATTTTACTCTATGCCCTCAACGGAGTGGATGATACCCACCCACATTGGGGAGGGCACTGTACTTTGCCAAGTCCACCAATTTTAATACTAATCTCATCCGGAAACACACAGCGCCACACCCAGAAATAATGTTTAATCCGGGCACCTCATGGCACAGTCGAGCTGACCAAGGAAAGACTGTAGTGGGTCTCTAGAGAAGTGTTGAAAAAACAGTATTCTTTACAATTGTTAGAGAAGATAACGGGGGCTACTAAATGGGGTTTTATAGTAGCAGGAAAGATTGGGCTCAGCTCTGAATGCAATAAAGAAAAGTGGGGATTTATAGCCAAGGAGTAGGGTGGGGGTCAGGGAATGGAAAATTACTTAGAGGTAGGGTACTTCTTTGCTAAACTAGCCCAACAGGAGCTTTGTTGAAGGCAGACAAGTGTGATAATATATCCAAGGAGGTCAGACCAAGGTGGGAGGTTTTGGTATACTGAACTCTGCAGAATTCTTGCTAAAACTGGAAAAAACGGGACATGGACAGAGCCCAACATCACACCTAGTACAAGGGAGGACTCAGAGGAGCCTGGCTAGAGTTAGATCAAGGAAAGAGTCTTTTGCCAGAAAAAACAGACATTGTCTGGGGATCCCTAGGGGCAAATGTCTACTCCATCTTTGGCCCAGCACTTCTGAACATCTTGGCTGTTCGAGAAGGGGCATGTATGACAGTGAAAATATAGGGCACTAAGAACTACCATCTTAGGAACAATAGGAGACCTACACTTGGCGGGACCAGTGACTTGTGGCAGTTGCTGCCCTGGGTGGTCTCATTATCATCTGGAACAGCAGTCACAGTCAGACAGAGGAGCCCACGGTTCAACTGGAGCTTTGGGGGTGTGGTAAGGAAAAGCACTCAGACCCCAAGGATTTCCTTCCTTCCTTGAAGACTGACTTCCTTTTTGGACAATGAAAGACCCTGGAGTTCTTATAAGATATAGGGAGGAAAAAAAGGACCCATGGCAGCTCACTGACTTCCTTTCAATCTCACTTATGAGGTCAAGGCCAGTGGTTTTACCTTGAAGGTTTGATCAATGCATCCTTCCTTGCCAGGCATACTTTGTACCAATTACAGTAAATTAGAGTAAGTACATAAAGTGAATTTAATTACTACAGCATGCAAAGGATCAGGTCACATTTATGTGTACAATTAACTAATCCCTGTGCTTAGCACAATTTTATAATGCTTGAAAAATCTTGAATGAATGTTGAAATCTTGAATGGAATTAAACATACAGAGGGACAAATGGGCTTTGGGGAATGAAACTTCCTTCTCGGGAATAGGAGGAATGATATTTGAGAAAGAGATTAAAAGATATATAGGGTAGAATATAGGCCACTGACCATTTGCCATGTCTCCTTTGACACAATTCTAAAGTAATGTCTTCTCACATGGCTTTTCTAAATGGCCGGTGGGAACTTCCTCAAATGCCGTCTTGAGACAGATTCTGGAGACACAAATGGCACTACTGAAAATGGTCAGTCCATGTTGATTTCAAAAGTAGCATTTTTACATGCAGTTCATTTTTCTTTTTTCTCCTCCCTTTGGTGAATAGGGGTGACACTGATGGCCCTCAACACTGTACGTCATTTCTGTCAGCAGTAAGCACAGCTGAGACAGGACTGTCAGAATAGTGGCACACAGCAGCTATGTGACAGGAAACTGAGCTGCCAACACTCACGTGAGCCCAGAGAGCTGGGTCAGATTCTGTGTAGAAGGAATTTCCCATCCACCCACATATTTTCTCTCCTACTTGCCTTTGGATTTGCCCTTAGAGAATACAGTAGAGGCATGCGCTAAAGACAAAGAAGTTTTAGATAGCTGGAGTGGCTTCACAGGGGCAAGAATGATAGAGGGAAGTGTGAAGGGAATCGGGGGAAGGGAGAGAGAAGCTGGCCTAAGGTGAGCGAGGGAGCTGTCCAAGGACCGAAAGCATATCCCAGTGCATTTCAAAGTTTTCCTGCTTTCTGTTGAGCTAGGTGTGCATCCCCACTCACAACCTTATCTTAATAGTGACAATCTCTGAAGGCATTTATTTAAAGCCCTTGCTCTGGAGAACCAATCCAGGAACTCCTTAGATTCTGAGCAACCCTGTATTGTGCTCAAGAAGTTGGGCCCATTAAACAATGAAATGAAGGGAGACTGAGGAAAGAGAGCCAGGCCTCTGGTCAGATGTGAGCAAACTGATCAAATAAGGAAAGAATCTCAGGTCCTCTACTCCTCCACTGTCCTGAAGCCGCCTTCCATGGCTGTGATCCAGAGAACACTCAGAAGAGGGCTTGGGTGAAGCTAAACTGGGTTTTAGATAACTCCTGGAAAGGGGATACTTTTGCAACCTCCTATGCCTTTGCCTTCTTCATCTTTGTGAACATTCCCACTCTACACAACCTCAGACTTTGAATGCAGCTGTGTTCTGGCAGATTTGTTTTTACAAAAATGATACTGACCTCAGGAAAGGAAAAGATAAATAAAAGTTATTACTACTTCCTAGCTTCTCTGCAGAGCATTTGTGATTTGGCTTCTTCCAAAAGACAGCCCTACCACAATGAGTTGGCCATCATTGGTGATGTTTTTATTCTTGAAAGGGAATTTACCAGAGATCCAAAAATGCAAATTAAAACAACTGTGAGATACCAAGAGCAAGTTGGTGGATTTTTTTTTAAATGGTAGCACTCAGTGCAGAGGATGGAGGTATCAGAGATGGTGGCTAAAAGCAAAAGCCTCCAAGTTAGACAAACATGGGTTTGTCTCCCATGTTTCCTGCTAACTAGGCACATGGCTTTTGCTAAGTTATTTATTCTAAGTCTGGCTTGTGCACCCTTTAAATGAAGAAAATAATACATTACGGCATTGTTGTGCAGAATTCACAAGATATGTATGTAAGTGCCTATCCTATTGCCTAGCACGGTGGGGATGATATATACTGTGGGTGATTGCTTGACGGATATCAAGGTCCTTACCCTTTGACACATTAATTAACTTGTGAGGATCTAGCCTGAAGGGAAGAAAACATCTAAACAACTACAACAAATGATTCATGCAATAATATGCTCATAGCAGTGTGACTGATGGATGAATCATTAGAAATGTGCTACTGGTAGAAGTTTGGGGACTGCTATTCATTTTCAAGAATACAAGACTGTCATAAACAAACATGGTTGGCACCTACGGATGTTCTTCCAGGTAGAGGCTTTTGGAATCAAACCACTACGCTGCTCTGGAACTGAGAACTGTACTGCGTATCTAACTCTGCCACCTGGCCACTTCTGTGGAAAGTTAAATTCAGGTAGCCATTCAGGTTAGGGCATTCCCCTTGTGGGATCCTTACCTTTTTTTTGCTATGCAAAGAATAATCTTCTTACTCTTCTTTTGGGTTCGATGCACACTTAATATTCCCCATGACCAGTCCTTTCATCTACTCCTCATCTATGTTATTGAAAATACTTTTACTAAGTTAAATATATGGCCCATGTCACTGCACTGTTTCTAAGTTTGAATGAAAACCATTCAGGAAGCATCAGAGGGCTTTCAAGCTCTGCCTCTCTTCACCTTTCCAGACTTACCTCCTTTATGCTACCCGGACCTTCCTGTCCCACGAACTACTTAGAAATGGCAGTTTCCCTGGAATTTCATAGGGATGCTGTTTTGCTAATTTCTTCAAGCCTTTGCTGAAAATGCTAGTCAAGTTACCCCCACTCCACCCCTTTCCTAATTCCTTCCTTTGTTTTGTTTTCCTTCGCATAACCTTTGCTTGTCCAGTTATTTCTCCTGTCCGGCTCCCGCTGGAGCTAGTATCTATCCCTTTTTTAGCACGTTCCACATTGTGAGCTTGGCACATAGTTGACTTGCCATAGGTATTTATATAATGAGTAAATGTAATTATTTTTACGCCCCTTAGAAAGTGTGGATACTTCCATCCCCCTTCCTTCTGGGACTCTCAGATGGCCCTCTTTGCAGATAGCATTGTGATCCTTAACAAATGAGCGGAAAACGATCTTGTGAGTGTGTCTGAGCAAAGCCGACATTTTTTTCTTCTTTAAGATCTTGCCGCTGAATGTGGAATGATCCTGAAATTAAGGTCAGCTCCAGGTGGTTGTTTATATCAGCTGTCAGATTGCGGAATAAAAAATGGCTTTTATATGTTTGACTTTTATTGTTTTCCAGGGCAATGTCACTTTTTCCTGCTCCGAACCACAGATTGTGCCCATCACATTTGTCAACTCCAGCGGCAGCTATTTGCTGCTGCCCGGCACCCCCCAAATTGATGGGCTCTCAGTGAGTTTCCAGTTTCGAACATGGAACAAGGATGGTCTGCTTCTGTCCACAGAGCTGTCTGAGGGCTCGGGAACCCTGCTGCTGAGCCTGGAGGGTGGAATCCTGAGACTCGTGATTCAGAAAATGACAGAACGCGTAGCTGAAATCCTCACAGGTACTGTCTGCTGACACTCTGGATCAGCTTCTTGTTTATCCAAGTCGACAAAGGTTGAGGTCCTGACAAAAACATACAGAATCCAAATCTCAGGGATATGGGTTAGCCCAGTATTCACAAATGTACTCCAAGTCTGAAGAGGCAGCATTTTTTTTTTTTTTTTTTTTTTTGAAGATGGAGTCTTGCTGTCCCCAGGCTGGAGTGCAGTGGCTCGATCTCAGCTCACTGCAACCTCCGACTCCTGGGTTCAAGTGATTCTCCTGCCTCAGCTTCCTGAGTAGCTGGGACTACAGATGCACACCACCACATCCAGCTAATTTTTTTTATTTTTAGTAGAGATGGGGTTTCACCATGTTGGCCAGGATGGTCTGCATCTCTTGACCTTGTGATCTGCCCGCCTTGGGCTCTCACAGTGCTGGGATTACAGGCCTGAGCCACTGTGCCTGGCCAGCATTTTTTTTTCTTAGTAGGAAGCAAAACAAAAAGTGAATTTATAATTAGCTATGTCAACTTTGGTTAAGTGCTTAAATTTCTTAGTCTCTTAGCAGTCTCATTGGAAAGATGGGAATAAGAATTCTTACCTGGGAGTATTTAGCATAATCTAGACCATTTATAGAACTCTCTGCTAGGTTCTCTATAAACATGGCATGTTTCATATGGAATCTTCACCATGCTTACGGAAGGAAGTTACTATTTTACACTTAATAAATGAGGAAATCAGAAGTCATGGCAATCACTTCAAAATTCCACGTTCCTAAGTGATGGAGCTGGGAATTTATCCTGAATTTGCCTGACTTCCAAGTCTATATTCTCCTCTTAAACCACATTACCATGGAAGTTTGTATAACCCCTAAATTCTATTTCAAGTAAAAATCAGTAAATTTAAAACCATTTAAAAAATATATATGTATACATATATATTTTAAATGTATTGAGTAAATGCTAGTACATATGACACCAGGGAATGGGAAAACTTTTAAATGGTCCTCAAATGGCCAAAATTTGGGAAACACTGATTCATTGCCATGTACTACAGATCTTACTGCCTAGCAATACACAGCAGGTCGGTGAACAAATTGTATTTCTGGATACCCTGGCTCCTCCAGCTGCTGTTTCTTCAACATGAAACAGTGGAAGTCTCTCTCTCATTCTCTGTTATGTTACCAATCTCTGATGTCCTTCAAGCAGCGGTGTATTTACTAAGTTGACAAATACTCATTGAGGTCAAATCTCACATGCCAAGGATTGGGCAGGGATTGGTCTGCAGCATGCTGATCGATGAAGAAGTTCTTTCAGAAGTCTCCCTGAATAAACAATCTGAATAAAAACCTCCCTCTGCTTTTCACCGCAGGTCAACATCCATCATGGATTATACTACAATTTAATTTAGATGCCTTTTTCTCAACTGGACTGCATGGTTCTTTTATCCAAGTAGATTAGCAAAAATTAAGTTAAATTGTAAAGGATATGACTTAATAGTTGTCGACCTAAAAGGAAGAAGCCAAGGCAATATTAATATAAGTAGATAGTTTATTTGGGCCAAGCTTGAGTATTGCAACCTGGGAATATAGATTCAGGTTGCCCTGAATGTATATTCTGCTCTGATTAGCTGCAGTTAGAAGCAGACTTTTAAAGAAAAAAAAAAAAAAAAAGAGGCAGTTTCTATGTTGTTTATCAGAAATTTACATTAAAATCATACCAGCTAAAGATTGCCTGTGCATTGTTCTTTGTATCGCAGATTCCAGGAGCAAGAAGATAATGGGTGAGGCAGGTAGTCAGGAAAAAAAAATGACTTTAAACAATTGCCTGGAGCATGGGTGCCTTGAGCTCAGGGGAAGGGTGTGTGACTGAAGTTTCATACTCATGCCTCTCTGGGCCCAATATACTTTGCATCACTCACATAGTTCAGACTGCTCTGAGCTGTTTTTCTTTTCTCATAGTTATGGTCATGTCAGACCGTGGGAGACATTCAAATGTCCATAGTGAACAAAATGGCCCACTGAACCCCTGAGCATAGCAGAAAGGCCTGAGTCTGGAAGTCAGGCAGTCAAGTTTAAAAGTATTAATATGTTTTCTCCTTCCTTTCCTGTGGCCCTGGATAAACTTTGTCTCATATGCAAACTGAATTGTATTAGTTATCTATAGTTGCATATCAAGTGACAGCAATATTTAATGGTTGAAAACATTTTTTATTATGTCTCAGTTTCTGTGGATCAGAAATCCAGGGACAACTTGGCTGGGTGACTGGCTCAGAGTCTCCCATAAGGTCACAATTGAATTGCCAATGGGGACTGAAGCCATGGCAAGGTTCAATGGAGGAAGATCTGCTTCCGCACTCACTCATGTGCTCAGGAAGGCCTTAGAAAATCCACTTCCACATGTAGGGAAGTTTACATTTTTACCCTCAAGTTATTTGAGAATAACTTGAGTCTATAAAAGAAATGAATTACAGACAAATTAACAGGAAAAAATGCACACACATTTTATTACATGCACACAGGAGTCACAACGACATACAAAATGTAAAAGCCCAAAGAAATGGCAGATGGTTGATGCTTTTATATCACCTTGAGATTATAGAAAGAACTGGCGTTTAGAGCATGGCCAAAATCACGTTATGGGCCAGGCACGGTGGCTCACACCTGTAATCCTACCACTTTGAGAGGCCAAGGAGGGCAGATCTCATGAGCCCAGAAGTTCAAAATCAGCCTGAGTAACATGGCAAAACCCCATCTTTACAAAAAACTGAAAATTAGCCGGGCATGTGGGTGCATGCCTGTAGTACCAGCTACTCGTCAGGCTCAGGTAGGAGGATCAGCTGAGCCCAGGGAGGCCGAGGCTGCAGTGAGGCATAATCACGCCGCTGCACTCCAGCTTGGGTGGCAAAATGAGATCCCATCTCAAAAAAACAAAACAACAACAACAACAAAACAGGTATGGTAGTAAATCAGGTTATGATGGCAAG
This sequence comes from Homo sapiens, assembly GCF_000001405.40. Taxonomy (NCBI): domain Eukaryota; kingdom Metazoa; phylum Chordata; class Mammalia; order Primates; family Hominidae; genus Homo; species Homo sapiens. Next base: position 124,507,522 of record NC_000002.12, read on the forward strand.
ACAGGTAATTGAGGGGAGAGAAAAGGAGGTTCTGTTTACCAAGGTGGTCTTAAAATGTAGGTGAAGCCATACAGGTATCAGCCCTTAGAGAGAATAAATGACAAATGTTTTTTTCAGACTTTTAAATGTTTGGACTCTCAGTCCTCGATCCATACAAGGGAGAGCCTTACAGAAAGCCTTGTTGTAGCAATGCAGGTTTTCTCTACAGATGCAAGTCCCCCACAAAAGACAGCTTTGCAGGGCTACTTCTTTTGGAACAGCCCTCTCAAAATATGTCAAAGAAGTACATTTTGAGGTGAAATATTTTAGTTTCTTTCACAAGCTTCCTCATGAGCCTCTCCAGAAGGCTGCCAAGGGTGAGTGAGAAAAAGCACCCAAATAGAAGCCGCAGTCTTTTTATAATCTAATATTGAAAATGGCATCTCGTCACTTCTGTCATATTCTATTCCTTAGAAGCAGGTAAATATGCCCAGCTTGTGTCCAAATGGAGGGGATGACATCAGGACTTGGATATTAGCAGGCACAGATTATCCAGGATCATCTTAGATATTGCCTATCACAAGAGATAAAAAAAAAATTATGTTGGTGCTGGCAATTAAATGAGGTAGTATATCTCAAATACTGAACAAAGTGTTGAGTAGCTATTTAACACATTTTTCTTCCTTCCGTGCTGACTCAAGAGATACAGCTAGAAGGGGCCTCTTTCTAGAGAGTCATAAAAGTTAAGAATGAATTTGTGCAGTCAGACGATTTTTATAAAATTTATTAGATTTCCAGTAATGGAGGTGAGTTAATCACTTAGAATTGTAATATTTTTTCATGTTCCAAATTATAAAAATTAAGCCTCAATCCTCCTTATTTGAAAAAGAAAAACGTGAGCTGGCATTGAGCTGTTTCTCTATCGGTGAGATGTTTTTGAGTACAGAGACTTGTAGGCCTCAGGTCAAAAATGAAGTTTTAATACAAGGAAGGCCCTGGCAGCACATTGCTCTTAAAAATCCAGGTGCTGTCTGTATTGTTAAGCGCACGTCAGTCCATTAAAATGCATTTATGACTGAAAGAGAGCCTGGTAAGAGCTGCCACCTTACCCAGCTGCAGAAAGGGAACAAATCATCAGTTATTTCAGACCCACCTCTCAGAAACTGAAATAAGCAAAAAGAAGTTTTTAAAATGTGCAACCAGAGTTCCAAAAACTCTTGTATAATTCTCTCCTAAGGAGAATTTCTATGTTTTTGGAAAATTTGAACTTAATGTTTTTTAGAAAAGGATCAAGGTTTTGTGTATTCTTCGATTTTCCCATCTGGGAGGAGGAAGAACTAACAAATAATCAAACAAAAACAGTTTTCTCTTTCCTTACATTTCTGAGGAAACTTGTTTTCAAAGTACTTGAGCTTATATTGGCTTTAAAAGAAGATGAAAATCTCATATGAACAATGAAAAAATAATGACAATTGTTCCAATAATTTTTGAGAGTCAACGGGGCTATACTTGATGCTTGGTATGTCCCAAATGGGTCAGAGAATGCAGATAATCAAAGGTTTATTTGAGACTAGTTCTAACATCCTGGATCTAAAAGAGAAGGTAATTCCTTTGGAAAGGGCAGTACAATGATGCCTCACACCTTCAACCCTGTTCCCCGAGCTTTGTACAGTGTGCTTGGCTTTTTAGGAAGGAAGTAGTTCTTATTTAGGGATTTTTGCATTGAAGATCAAGGAGAGACTTGCAAAGTAAATGCATCCTCAAAATAGAAGGCATCTGAATTTAGTTATTCTAGGGATGAAGTTTCAGGAAGATGAAGGACAACAGTGGAATCTCTTTCTTGTATTTTTCTTTGTTTTCTATTTTTGTCATCTCCTTTTTTTTTGCAAGCCTTATGTATGTATGTATGAGGAAAGGTAGAAGACCTCATTTCACTGTAAGGGATGTGAAAGTAGAACCAGCAGCCATTGTAGATCTTCTGCCAGTTAGGCATTGTGCTAGGGGCTTGTCATACAAAACTGTAAAAAAACTCATAAAACTTTATCAGGCGGTTAGTATACCAACATACATAGAAAGAAACTGAGAATATGAATTTAAGTTAAAGTAGCCAAAGTGATGTTCAACCTCAGCTTTTTCCTTAGAATTCTCAAGTTCATGGTCTTTACACAGTATCCTGCTGCTCTCCATATTCATTGTGCATACTGTCCATTGCTTAAATAACTCAAATGTAAAGAACCTCTGCTTTTACATCTATAGATAATCTACAGAAGACTCTTAAGGAAAGTGGCTATTTAGGTCTAAAGCTGTGTCTTTCAAAAACAGTTTCATGGTGGTCTTATACAAGAATAAGACTTGGATAAGACCTTGGGATTCACACTAGATTGGAAGTCTGTTGTCTTTATAAACTTCTGTGTACTTTAGCTAAAATTAACTGTATAATATTATTAAGTAAATAATACAGGAGGCTGAGGCGGGTGGATTGCTTGAGGTCAGGAGTTCAAGACCAGCCTCACCAACATGGTGAAACCCATCTGTACTAAAAATACAAAAGTTAGTTGAGTGTGGTGGCGCATGCCTGTAATCCCAGCTACTTGCTACTCGGGAGGCTGAGGCAGGAGAATCACTTGAACCCAGGAGGCAGAGACTGCAGTGAGCCAAGATCCTGCCACTGCACTCCAGCCTAGGTGACAGAGTGAGACTCCATCTAAGAAACAAACAAAAAAGTAAATTATATATCTATATATCTATATCTATATCTATATATCTATATATCTATATCTATATCTATATATCTATATATCTATATATATATCTATATATCTATCTATATATATATCTCCATATGTCAACACACACACACACACACACACACACACACACACACACACAAATATTCATTGGCCACTGCACTCCAGCCTAGGTGACAGAGCAAGACTCCATCAAAAAAACAAACAAAAAAGTAAATTTTATGTATGTGTATATATATATATATATATATATATATATATATATATATATACATATATCTCCATATATCAACACACACACACCAACATTCATTGAGAAAATAGGTCATACTTTCTTCAGACTCTTTTTTTGGTGCTCAGTACTGATTCCTTAAAAGGATTATCATCTAAGGATGAAGGCTGCCAAGTGACATGAGGTCTACTTCAGTAAGGGCCTGTCTACTTCTAAGAACATTGCCCTGCTTTCTGCAGGCTTTCCCATTCTAATTTTCCCCGTGCCCCATGAAACAAGATTAGATCTCTCAGAATTCAAACTGAAAGATCTGATCCATGTGGAAAGCCATGAGTTTCACTAGAGCAGAGAACACCTTCTAGGAGTCTTGCTGGACTGTGAACCTTATCTGAAAATCCATTTAGGCAATTCTCCAATGAATGAGCAACTACCTTGATAACCTAATTTATATATTTTAAGCTCCCAGTTCTTTCTTACTTTTCATAAGGTACCAAGTGCCATGGGGACCTCTCACATGGTCATGTGGTCATGAGGCTCTCTCAAACTCCATACCCTTTCATTGAGCAATAGATATCATGTTCTATTTTTAATGATGGATGTGGTTGCCGTTTTAAAGGCTTTTATGGAGATGCTTAGAATGGAGTTTAGTATTTTTCAAAACAACCTGAATTACTAAGAAAACAGGACATTTCATAAAGGTAAAGGAGACCACCTGGTTTGTTTTCTTAGGAGGAATAGGGCAGACTGTTTTGAATGTCATATGAAATCATAAGCAATCTTAAGAGATAACCGGCACCACTCTAATTATCTGAAAGGGATCTGACATTTCAATGTTATTTTTATTTTTCCGATGGGAAAATACAAGGCAAGGAGAATCAAAAGAAACAGGCATGGAGTTTTAGCTTAAGTTTTTGTTTGTTTGTTTGTTTTTGTTTTTTGTAGTGCTTCTCAAAATGTCAGCCAGTCTGGCCAAAGAGCTTGAACTCAGGCTTCAGTGGTTGTGCGTCAGCCTACCTGTGCTCTAATCAGATGTAGGACATGAGTAAGTCTTGTTCCGTTAGCCTCACTGTCCTCATTTGCTGAAGGAGAGGATCAGTCTAGAATCATGGATGCTCCCTCCAGCACTATTCATGATTTCTTGAGAGAAAACAATAGGCCAACCCACCCCTTATTATCTTCAAAGAAATCATCAACCCAAGGCTCTTCTTTTGAAACTGGCATAAATGGTCCTGAATGATTGGGAGTACCCAGGGCCAAGCCCCTTGCCAGAGGTCATGCTACCCAACTCCCAAAACTCTGGTGCACTTTGTGGAGTCAGAAAAGTAAACTTAGCCTATTTGATACCATGAATTTTGTGGATGAGTTGCTTGCATGGTCTTAAAAAGGTTATGCTATGACTCTTCACAACCTGTAGAGAATTAGGAGACAAATATCTAAACCTGAATAGGGTTTTTTTTTTTTTTGCAACCTTCCTTAAATGTGTATATGTGTGTGTGTGCGCACATCTATGTTGGTAGGAGGGTTAACAAAATATATTAGGTCTTCAACCTATGTTAGTAGAGGAACAATATTGGTTGTAGGTACTGAAGCTATTTCCTGCAGAGAGAAATCCAGGCAGAGACACAGCAAGGGTCTTTGGCTGTGGGACCGGCTTTCTTATAGCTAACGGTTGGTATATGTGAACATCTCTTTAGAAGGCAAAGCAAGCAGCAGTGAGGCAGGCAGAGAGCCCACTTTGGATTCCATTAAAGCATCTTCTCCCCAGAGCTTCCTAGATGCACAGTGTACTGCCCTGATGTCACCAGAGGCATCAAACTCAGCCTGGGATTTTCAGTATTAAAGAGTAAGTCTACATTTTAAATACATGGTTTTGGCACAATAAAATGAAATCCAGAAGGGTGGGTGGGGGGAGAATCCAAACTAAGAGATCTGACCCTGGCGCTGGCACCACTTGCTCATTATTAGCTGAAAAGGCAAAAGGTGAAGCTAATCACCTGGGACAGACAAAATCTCTGGACAAAAGGTGACATGGACAGCAAAGAGCCAGAAACCAAGAAAATACCATGAAAAAGTGTCTATAGTCAAGGCAAATGGCTTATCGGAGGTGCCATCTCAGCGCATCCCATTTAATTCCTAGGAGCAAGCAATAGTGTTTATCATATTTCCTCAACCACCGTATAACATTTCACTCTTTCGATAATTCCTTGAACAGTATTAGTTAGAGATAAGGTATTCCAAAACAAACAAACAAACAAAAATGTAAAAAACATTTAAGCCATCCTTTTTATCAGTTAATTTTCTATAGCCAGTAGACTTCTGTGACTGGCTTGTTCTTTCTCTAGCTTGAAATATGGTGAGATTCTCAGATCAACAGCCATAATGAATGTTTTTTCTGATGATTATTGAGCATTGACTACATTTACATTAAATAAAATATGTCATCCTGTAGCTATGGTCAACATGACACCCTTAGCTTTCAGAATTTAATCTCAATTGATATTTTCTCAAGAAACCTTTCCAAGGCAGGCCAGGTGCCTTGTTTCTTTGGTTTTCTTCTTTTTAACGTTTGTTACTAAGTATGTATATGTATGTATTCATCTGCTCAGGCTGCTATAAGAAAATATCACAGTCTAAGTGTCTTAAACAACAGACATATTTTCTCAGTTTTGGAGGCTACAAATCCAGGATCCAGATGTTGGCAGGATTGATTTCTTCTGAGGGCTTCTCTCTTTGCTTGCAGATGGTTGTCTTTTTCTGTCTTCACATGGTCTTTTCTCTGTGCATGTCTGTGTTCAAATAGCTTCTGCTCATAAGGACACCAAACATATGGAAACTTATTTTACCATAATTACCTTTTTAAAGATCCTGTCTCCAAATACAATTGTGTTTTTAGGTATTAGGTGTTGGGACTTTAACATACGCATTTTGCAGGGACACGATTCAGCTCATGCAATGTATATTAATATGTCTATTTCATTGTTGACCAATGCCCTTCTCATCACTAGAATGTAAGCAACCATGGAAACAAGTACATTATTTGCCCAAGCCTTGGTCCAACACCTTGCTTACCACACGTCTTCCATAACTATTTGCCACACGCATGAATACACTAGTGGAGTTGACCTCTAAAACATTTCTGAAAGATAGAATTTTAACAGGGAAAGAAGAGTTAGTAGTGATTTTTAACAAACAGTCCTGTTACAACAATTATATGCCGCATAATGTGTCAAACCCAGGAATGAGTTATACTCAGGGGGGAGTACTAATTAGGTAAAGGGCAGGGGAGCTCCCAGAGGTAGGGAGATGGCCTGGAGAGCTGCATCGTGCAGGATGGAAGTGCTCACTCTGTGGAATGCTGGCAGCCAGGTGGTTATAGGCTACGGCCCTGCAGTTAACAGAGCTGATCCCCAAATATTGCCCTTTCTCATAGAAGCCATTTGTAGCTAGCCACCATCTGCACATCAAGTAAACATGACGAGGCCGCAAGCTTCATCCTCTGCTTCAATTAAGTTGTCATTAATGCCTCGGTATTTGAGCTAAGATAATGTTAATGAGAAAATCCCATTAGCAAGGGCAAAAAAGTGGATAGCCACAGGGCTGTGACTGTCACAACAAGCTGTCTGGTTTGAGTTTCAGAAGATAGTAACATGATATCACAACAAGCACAGAGTTCGAGTTTCAGAAGATAGTAACATGATGAAGCATTTCGTGTTATGGAAAACTGAGAAATGCAATTGCCTGAACTTTAAGATACCAAGCAAAGGTTGGAAATGTTTACCAAAGTAGTGATTTCTTGGGCGTCTTCAGCTTTTTAAGTTTGGATAATGACAATGGAGACATTGTATTTCTTAACTCACTGTTATTTTCTCTGTCTCTCACTCAAAAGAGGAATTGCAGGAGATAGAATTTTTTTTTATCATAGATTAATCTTCTTGTCAAACCTGCTATCACTTCCCTTTTTCTTTTGTATTTTTTACTTTGACAATTTTCTCATGTAACTTGAAGTTCCTCTCATTGGCTTTAGGAAACTTTTGGAGTATCTACTCTGCACTGGGTACTGTGGTTGAACCTGGGAAGGAGGCACTGCCTTCCAGGAGCTCATAGGCATGGTTGGAAGAGACAGTAAAGAGGCATTAATGAATAATAGAACATGTGCCTGGGACACTGGGGAAGCACTGGGAAGAGGCAGCTGGATAGGTGAGAAAGGGAAGACTTTCTAGAGGTGGGGATATCACAGCTTGGTTCTTAAGAATGAATAGAATTTGGCCAAATATGGAGGGAAGGAAAGGATGCTCTAATAAGAGAAGAGAAATAGAACGAGAACCAGAGGTGTAAGACTATGGAAGCTTAGCTGCCTGGGGCCCAGATGGCAAAAGATGAAGCAGAGTTTTGGTCAGGGACCCCAGAGTTTGTGCTGTATCTTGGAGAGAATAGGGAAATAACTCTCTTGAGTTTAGCTTAATGGTTAGCGTGTGGATGTTTGATCTCAGCATTCAAGTCTACCAAGGAAACCACACTTTCACCATCAACCACAAATGCATCGTGAGTTCCTAACAGACCCTAGCGGATGGCAAAGCCAGATGTTTTCCCTTTATGCACTGATCAAGGCTTTTCAGGATCCAGGTTACCTTGAAATATGAGCCAGGCATTAAACGACTAGGAAAGGTTTAACCTGTGATTTATGGCTAATGCTCACATGAGGGCCTGCTTCTGACACTTGGCAGTGGAGATTCAGTTGGTCTGATGCTCAATCCATCAATGAACCTTGGAGAGCGCAGAATGCTGCCCTGCTGATACTGGGGCAGAGCGGGGGGTGTCCCAAAACGTGACTCAAACTCTGACCCCCAGGTACCTGTTATCCCACTGGGAAGAGGAGACTAACATGGACGGATTGTTAATTAATACCACAAGGCAGTAAATATTATGAGCTAAACAAATAGATCAGACAGTGGATGCTATAGGAATTTAGAAAGAGAAATCACCCTGCACTATTCTAGTCAAGGAAAACCTGCTTCATTCGTTTCCTGATTTATTAACTTACTAATTTATTCAATCAATCAATCATTCATCACGTTTTATATGCCCTGCACTGTGCTAGCTGGCTGTGATAGAAAGTAATAAAACATATGTTCTCTGTCTGTACAGTTTAGGAAAGAATTTGCTGACACGAAAACTTGGCCTTGGAAGATTGGGGGATGGATTTTGATAGCAGGAAATGGTAAGGGTAGCGTATAGGTGGAGCAGAGGCTGGGTATGGAAGCCCCAATTCACTAAGTATATTTACTTGGAGCATAATGAACACATGGTCCAGCTGGAGCAGGGAATTCTTGTAAGGATTTTGGAAAATAGCCTGAAAAGACAGAGGGAGACTTGATTAGAGAAAGAGTAGATTGTCCAACTAAGCAGTGTGATTTTCATTCTCTGGGCTCCATGACCCAGTGGAGGGGTATTTGCTGTGAGGTCCATGATAACCTTGCTCTTTAGGTAGTTGGATCTAGCAAGGTGTCCTCTATCAGAAAGAGACAGGAGGCTGGGAAAAGAGGGGGACCACTAAAGAAATTTCCAGCTTCAGGGATAAGGAATAGAACAAAAATAAGAGAGGGAATTTGAAGGCATATGTGAACTCAATCTACCATAAGTAGGGAAAAGTTAATCGAATTTGATAGCTGATGGATAAACAGTGTGCCAGGAAAACATAACTCAGGCTCTAAATTGTAGCATAATGGTACTAGTAATCGTAATATACTCTTCTACTATGTAACTGACATTTTCAGACTTCCTTATTCAATTATTCATATATTGCCTACTTTATTCTCACAAAAGTTGACTGTGAGACAGTCAACAAAAGTTGACAGCTACCTTCGAATTGTTAAATAAGAGCATGTATGAGAGGACATAGAAAGGCCATTGAATTGAGTTTTCTGGGGAAGATAAAGCCTAGAAACTTTCAAGTCAAGCCAATCTATTTTGTTTCCATTTTACAGATGATGTAATAGGTTTAGAGATATTAAGAAATCTGTCTAAATTTCCGGAAATTTTTAAGTGTCACGCACTTGAGCAAGGAATAACAGGTGAATAAAGCCATCAAGGAAATCTGTAACAAGTTATCTCCAGGGTTGGAAACAGTCTTTAGGGACTATGATCTGGTTTGGGCTGTCTTTTTGCTCTTGTGTGTGGCTGTCATGGCCTAGGGTAGTCACAGCTGACACTTAAGGGCCCTGAACAGCCACTTGGTTACAAAGGTTCATTGACACCTTGCAACATTGATTATGATCTTGCTTTTTATTTTGTCTTCAAAACATAAAAAAAGATGTCAAAATATGGTGACAATTGAAGTGCAAAGATCTGTTAGAAATTTTATGGAGGAATTGGTGGGGTTAGAGAGAAAGAGAGAAAGAGGTACAATTGAGAGCCAGAGTACAAGAGTGTGTCAAGGCTCTGCAACCTCAAAATTATTTCTTTAACTCAATGGTTCTGAGCCAAGGGAAGATTTCCATTCCCACCAAACTCACCTTTTAGCCCACCCATCCTCCACATGGTGAAAAAATGTGCTGTTGGTGATGGGGATTTGTAGTGTTGGTGATAGGGTTGTGCTGTTGGTAATGGAAGGTTGTGGCATTGATGATGGAAGGTTGTGGTATTGGTGATGGAGTGCTGTGGTGTTGGTGATGGAGCATTGTGGTATTGGTGATGGAGTGTTGTGGTGTTGGTGGTGGAGGGTTGTGGTGTTGGTGGTGGAGGGTTGTGGTATTAGTGATGGGAGATTGTAATGTTGGTGATGAGGTGTGGTGGTGGTGATGAGGGTTGTGGTGTTGGTGATGGAGGGTTGTGATGGTGATGGAGGGTTGTGGTGTTGATGATGGAGGGTTATAGTGTTGGTGATGGAGGGTTATGGTGTTGGTAAAGAGGGGTTGTGTTGTTGGTGACGGAGGGTTGTGGTGTTGGTGATGGGAGCTTGTGGTGTTGGTAATGGAAGGTTGTGTTGTTGCTCATGGGAGGTTGTGGTGTTGGTAATGGAGAGTTGTGGTTTTGATGATCGTTCTTTGTGGTGTTGGTGATGGAGGGTTGTAGTGTTGGTGATGGAGGGTTGTGGTGTTGGTGATGGAAGATTGTGGTGTTGGTGATGGAGGGTTGTAGTGTTGGTGAAGAGGGGTTGTGGTGTTGATGATGGAGGGTTGTAGTGTTGGTGATGGAGGGTTGTGGTGTTTGTGATGGAGGGTTGTGGTGGTGATGGGGGTTGTGGTGTTGGTGATGGAGGGTTTTGGTGTTGGTGATGGGGGCTTGTGGTGTTAGTGATGGAAGGTTGTGTTGTTGCTTATGGGGGGTTGTGGTGTTGGTAATGGAGTATTGTGGTTTTGATGATTGTTCCTAATGGTGTTGATGATGGAGGGTTGTAGTGTTGGTGATGGAGGGTTGTGGTATTGGTGAAGAGGGGTTGTGGTGTTGGTGATGGAGGGTGATGATGTTTATAATGGAAGGTTGTGTTGTGATGATGGAGGGTTGTGATGGTGATGGGGGATTGTTATTACCATCTAGTGAGCAGGCGTGCTGCTACACATCTGACACAGGAGGTATACCACAAGACACCTACTCCTAACAAATAATAAGCCAGTCCAGAATACCCAGGGCCAGTGTTGAGGAACCCCACTTTAAGCCCAAACCCTACTCTTGTAAAACAAATTTAGGACCTTAGAATATCTCTTAACTGTTCTGAGTCTCAGTTTCATCAAGTGTGAGCTATAAAGGGCTGTGGAGATCTCATTATCAAAAGCATTTTAAAAGACATATTATATGCTCTGTAACTATTTTTTGTTTTATCTAGAAAGATATATCAAAGTAATAACAATTGACTAGAATTCTAATTTCTGACATAAGTAGACATCCTGAGAAACAAAAGTTGAATTTTCATTTAATTATTTTCAGAAGCTAGGTGATTCACAAAATAACAGAACTAAAGTTTGAAGTTGGTATTGTTAAAAGCGAAGTCATTTGGTGGGAATGTAAAGTAGTGTAGCCACTTTGGAAAAATTCTGGAAGTTCCTCAAAGGGTTAAATATGGAATTGCCCTATGACTGAGCAATTCCAATTCTATATGCACACCTAAGAGTATTGAAAACATGTTCATACAGAAATGTGTACACAAATGTTCATAGCAGCATTATTCTTAATGGTGCCCCAAGTGGAAACAATTCACATATCCATCAACCATAAAAACATACTTAATTGACCAGGTGTGGTAGCTCATGCCTGTAATCCTATCGCTTTGGGAGGCTGAGGTGGGTGGATCACTTGAGGTCAGGAGTTCAAGACCAGCCTGGCCAACGTTATGAAACCCCATCTCTACTAAAAATACAAAAAAATTACCCTGGCGTGGTGGCGGGTGCCTGTGATCCCAGCTACTCAGGAGGCTGAGCCAGGAGAATCGCTTGAACCCAGGAGGCGGAGGTTGCAGTGAGCCAAGATCATGCCACTGTACTTTAGCCTGGGCCGCAAAGTGTACTTTAGCCTGGGCCGCAAAAAAAAAAAAAAAAAAAAAAAAGTACTGATTCATGCTACGTGGATGAATCTTAAAAACATTATGCTAAGGAAAAAATGCCAGTCAGAAAATAGAGCATAATGTATGATTTTATTTATATAAAGTGCCCAGAATAGGCAAATCCATAGAGGCACAAAGGTAGGTTAGCGGTGGTTGGCCAGGGCTGGAGGTGCAGGGATAAGGGGATTGGGAGACAGTATATCAAGGTTACAGAGTATATTTAGGGGATGATGACATGTTTTAAAAATTGATTGTAGTGATTGTATAACTCTGAATCTATTAAAAACCATTGGGTTTCACACTTTAGATGACATATATGGTATGTGAATTTTATCTCAATAAATCTGTTACCAAAAAATAATAAAAATAAAAGCAAAGTAGAATTCAGTAGCAGAACATAAAACTTTTCAGAGCTTTTTGGTCATCAAAGAGATGGCAGGAGCAGGGCAGGGCTGGCTGGAGTTGCCAGCATGATGAGCAAAAGGAGCTCAGCTCCAGTACCCACACTTCCCTTTGAACGCTGGCTCTGCCTCTGAGCAGCCATGGGGCCCTGTGCAGCCTCTCCACTTTTCTCTGTTACATCTATTACATGAGGGCAATCAACTTGACCTCCAGGACTATTGTAAGAATTAGGAATTACATTATTTAAAGTGCCTGGCACATTATAGGCATTTGTTACTGGTAGTGTGATATATTATTAGCTATTTTTACAACTGGGGTATTTCAAAGGTTCATTTGCAAGTTCAGTTGGAAGGATGAAAACTGTCATTCTTTTTTTCTCTATGGAGAAAATTTTCCAAGTCTTTATTTGATTCCTAGGAAAGCGCAGGGCAGCCTATTTAACTCTCTCTCTGTAAGGAACCCTTTATACTGATGCCCTAGGCTGAATTCCAGCACCTGAGAGAAGCCATGAGAACAAAAGTGAAAAGGACAAAAAAGTTTTCTGTCTTTTATTTCAGCTTAAACAGTTTATCAGGTTTTTTTAAGATTATAAAAAATGTACATTAAAAAACACTGAAAATTCCAGTATAATATAAAAGAATCTGTGATTCTGTCATTCTACATTATTGCAGTGTTTTTTGTGGTGTTAGTTTTTAACAAGATGGGAATCATGCAGCACGTCCTATTTATTTAGAGCTTTTCTCTTATCAAGATATCAGTAGCATTCTTGGACATTATGATGTTTAATGACTACATTATATACCATATTAGGAATAAACCATATTTGCTTTAGCTAGCCTGCTACTATGGGAAATATGGGTAGCAGTGAATTTTTGCTATTGTAAATAATGGTGTCAAGAACTACCTTCACCATAAATCTTGGCTACAGCTCTGTTACTATTTTAGAAATAATTCTTCAGAATAAAATTCACAGGAAATGAGGTATGACATTCTTGGGATTTTTGATACTTACTGGTGTATTGCCTTCCAGAAAGAATGTGCAAATTTAGGCTGCCACGAACAACATATAAAATTGACTGTTTCCCTCTATTCTCATTGAGATTGAGCATAATCAGTTTTTATCCTTTATTAGTCTGGGAGATGGCAAATAATACCCAACATGTCTTTAAAGTTCAGAAATTGTATGTTTGTCCTCATCTGTTTCTGGAACCCAAATCCCATCTTTTAGGCCTCAGCCCCTATATCATGGGGGTGCTTAGTGCCCCATATTGGCCCTCAATATCCTGCTCGTCTCTCCTAAGATAATTTTTTTCCCCCATCAAGACATTCTCGGCCTAAAAGGTGTTGCTTTCCTGTTCTCCTCATTGGACACGTCTATTCTTTCAAAGCCATTTATCTCAAGGAAGTTTGGGAAAAAAGCAATCTCATAAGGTGATTTCTCCCTAACTTGTGAATAATTAATAGCACTTCCACTTTTACCTTTAAGAGAGTATTTTTAATAACAATACCTCAGAGAGTCTCTAGGGATGTTATTTTGGATCTGTTAACAGAATGAAGTGAAAACGAGGACCAGGTGAAAGTGGAGATTTTTAGCTGGGGATGTACCACTTCACTTGCCTTGAAACCCATGCCTGGGCAGCTCTCCTGGGCGGGTCCCAATTTCCCAGCTTCTTTCCTTTCTCTTCTGACACCTCCAATGACATGGCTCCTGACCCTGGCTGCAAACAGAATCCAAGGGACCTTTGAACCTTCCAAGTCCTGGGATAATCCCCAGAAATCTGACTTAATTAACCTGGAGTGAGCCCCAGGTTCTGTATTTTCAAAAGCTCCCCAGGCAATACCTGCATTGAGAACTATTGTTCTAATAATTTTCCTCCACAGAGCTAAACTTTTCACCCAGGCTCCCACTGCAGGCATTGGGGAACATGTAGGAAAAGACCAAATTAAAGAAAGGGCAGACCAAAAAATAAAAAGAAAAAAAGAAAACCACCAACCAAGCAAACCCTCATTATGTGAAAACTTGAAAGAGAGACATAGATGGCGATGTGGGGAGAGGACAGGACCCACAATCACAACAGATGATCCTACAGACTCCCATTGAGCAGACCTCTCCCCTCAGGCCAGTGCCATCTGTAACATGAATACATGATAGATACCTAATTCGAGGGGACACTCACTGTGGCCTCTATAAATACATTCTTCTCTACTGTATCACTGATGCCTAGCAGGGTGCTTGGCCTTTAGGGAGTATTTAGAACTTTTATTCTGAACTAGTTACTAACTCCCTTCCAGTCTAGAGTTTACCTGCAAATGCAGTCCCATATGTTATGCAGATGTATTCAAATGAGTATGCAAGTGAAAGTTTTTAAAAAGGACTTACAATTGACTGTGCTCCCCAAATACCCCTGAAAGAAGTCAAATGTTCACCAAGACACACCTGACAGATTCTCTGTCTCATTAGCAGAATCCCTGTGGCCAGGACACAAACCCTGGTCTTGTCTGAGGACAACTGCCTTTGGGAGGAAGTGGGGCCACCAGGCTGAGAAGCCTCTGGGTTCTCTTCTTCACCCCAAGCAGATGTTCAGGATTGCAGTGATCTGGCTTGAGAGATCTGGCTGAAAACACATCAGGTGTCCTACATCTGGGATGCTCTGAGCAGATGGGTCACAGCTGCCCAGGTGCAAATACAGCTGGGCTCCAAGCCTGGTGCTTGTTTCTCCCAGGGCAGCCTCTCCAGCCAACTGGGAGCTCAGGGGTACCGGCTCTTCACTTGCCACTCTGACGGTCTGGCACACCTCTGTGGTGATCCTCAGTGTTTTCTTCCCAGCTGGCTGCTTTGGGGCTGCTCTGGTAGGCTCTACCAAGGCAGGTCTATTTTACCTGCAGAAATAGCTCTGAATCCATCACTTACTTTGCATTTTCACTGCTGCTACTTTTGGTGAGATCCTCTCATTCCGCCTCCTGGGGACTCTGCAAGCAGTAGGACCTGTGAGTTCTGCCTCTAGCCTTGACCCCTTCCAGCTGCTATCATTGGCTCTTGTGCTGGCTGATTCTTTGAATAAACACCTCCCACCCTGATATTACCATCCTAGAGAGCCCTCATGGAGTCCCATGTTCTAAAGCTGTAATTTTCATCTCTGGCTGCACATTAGAACCACCCAAGGAGCTTTTGAAAAAATGCGGATGCCTGGGGCCCATGCCCAGAGATGCTGATGGAATTGGTTTGGGAAAAGTGCTCTTCAGAATAATTTGTCAAAGGATATTGTTTAAAGTCCTCCTGGTATGTGAGACCTCTGGGTGATTGGATCCTCTTTCTAGCTGCCTTCATATTGTCATCTCCTGCTTCTCAGTCCAGACCTTTGTTTCTTTATACAGGCTCTCTGTCTCCTGGAACCCTTGCTCCAAGAATTACAAACTCTTGCTCACTTTCCACGACTCCCCTTAACTGTCATCCACTTCAATGAAACATTCTTGGGATCCTCACATGGAGTTAGTTAGGCTTTCTTTCTTCTCTGCTCACATATTGCTGTTCCACCCAGAATTGCAAGAGGTGGTGTTGTTTGCTTACTTCTCTGTCTACCCCACTAGCCTGAACTCAAAAGACGTTATTTTAATCCTCCTTGCATATGTCTCTGCCTTTTAACAATGGACTACCCTAGGGTAGAGATCATGTGATGTTAATATCCATACCCTCTAATGACAAAGACCATCTCGTATTTGCAGCTCTGTTCATTTTTTAAGCTAATATGACTGCCCACATATGATTGAAATGAACTATTCTGCATACACTGCTGGACTAACTGGCGTAATTCTCACAATGGCCTGTTAAGTACAAACATTGTCCTCTTTGCAAGCGAGGAAACTGACACAATGAGAGGAAAGACAACTCAACATGTAACAGGGCACAATAAATGACTATTTACAATTTAGAATTGTGTGGCTGTGTGCTCTTGCCACAGAAAGTCTTTGTGACCAATCAGTTAATATGACTTTATTTTCTCAGCAAGCACTTTACACCACCAGGACACAGTCTTAATAGATGATAAACTCTTTAAAGGAAATAGTTGAAACCTCATGACTAGTTCCCAAAACAGTTTTTTCAGTAAGGTAGGTCAGCAGCACAGGGTACAGCAAAGACAGCTGGAGCAATGGAATAGGAGAGAAAAGAACCTTACAAAAGCACCCACCTTTCTCCCAGTGCCTTTAGAGAGTGTCGTGCCTCATTTCATTTGATCCCTTTAACAATAATAAGGAATAGGAATCATAATATTTACAGATGATAAAATCAGAGCTTAATGAAAGTGAGTAACTTTGACAATGTCTCCTAATTAGTATGAAAAACGCTGCAATTGGATTATATGTTACCTCTCTCCAACAGGAGGCTGCCTCTGCCTGGCACATCATTGGAATCTAGCTTTCCTCATCTACTTTAAAAATAGCTTACTTTTTCCTAAAATTGTAGGAAAGTATGAGAAAACCAAAATTGCTCTTAACTCTACCACTCAGTTAAAATTGCTGGTAATATTTTGAGTTCGTTTATTTTTGTTTTTTTTTTTTCCTCTGCGTTTATACAACAATAGATCAGAATACGTGACATAACTTTGGTTGTGGTGTGTACAACATTTTGTATTTTTCCCTTTTGTTTTAAAACAAAACATATCAGAAGTAGTTCAGCCGTCTTTTTTAAAAAAGAGATTAGAATGAAGTGGCAAGAAGAGGAAGAACAATGCTTTTTATGAATCTTCCAAGGGCTTGTATCCAGCCGAGTGAGGAGTGGGTTTGCTCTGAGAATGGCATGGACGGCAGCAGGCTGGGAAATGAGCCCCCTCTCTCTAAGTCTTCTGGACCCATCATCTCTATGCTTACTCTCTTGTTTCTCTTGCAGGCAGCAACTTGAATGATGGCCTGTGGCACTCGGTTAGCATCAACGCCAGGAGGAACCGCATCACGCTCACTCTGGATGATGAAGCAGCACCCCCGGCTCCAGACAGCACTTGGGTGCAGATTTATTCTGGAAATAGCTACTATTTTGGAGGTAAATTCTCCAGTCTTTAAGAGGGAAAATTAAGAAGGGAGGGAAATTTAAGTGGGCAATTATTTCACTATGATGGTTCTGGTTTGGTCAATTAGACAATTCTCCCAACACACAAACACACACACACATGCACATACACACACACCCTCAATCTCAAAATAGTGAGAAGCAAAATCTCTCACAGCTGTGTGCAAATATAAATTATCTAGGTCAGTGCTGAGGAAGAAAAGAACTTTAGCTACAAGAGCTGGTGTTATATAACACATCCAAAGGAGATTTTTGTAGCCATGCCAAGCCCTGTAATCACATGGGAAAGGAGAAACTCAGCTGAAAACTTGGAGAAAGTGTATCAAGAGTCAGCAGTACCTGCAAGAGGCAAAATTCAGGTGGAAAGGCACAATCAGCATGCTTAGCACCCAGGCCCTTCCTCTGCCACTTTCCTCTCTTAGTCTCCTGTCCCCTCCTTCCCCACATCCCTAGAGGCCATGCTCGCAGAAATCCAGGAATGAGGAGGAATTAGGAGGCCCATGAATTTGTAACTCCAGGTGTAGAAGCCAGTTCAGATTATTCACATTCTGCCTTCTCTGATGTTAAGTGAGTCCTGGGAACCTTTCCAATGACAAAAACACAAGGGCAAGCTGATGGTGAAGAAAAACATAATTAGGCATCTACTGATTTTTTATAAATGCATATCTATATATATGTATTTAGTCTTTCAAAAGTATTTTTCATTAAAAATTAATATCTAATTTCATAGTTGTTTGTATTATAGAAACAGTCTCTGAAAAGGATTTAACCTCAATAGCTGTCTGACCTTGAGAAAGATACTTATAGTCCCTAAACTTCCTAATCTGAAACACGGGGAAATAAGCTCACCTCCAGAATTTCTGGAAAAGTTAAGTACGACCAAGGTGTAAGCATATGGCAGAGTGTGCCACATGGCAGGGGATGGGGAAACTGGCTCCAGCTCCTATAGATATAAGTCAGGGTCTGGTCTACAGTTTCCTTATTTTTTTCCTATTAGTAAATTGAAGAGAAGTATTGTATAAAATTATGCATAGTCTCTTAAATAGAATTTACAGATCACTTCTCTCATACCAATGGAATGTGGTTAAAGCTTTAAAATGCAAAAGGGATTTTGCACATGTGCAGTGTACATATCGAGGTCTCCTAGGAGGGAAGCAATATCTCTGTGGCTTGATTTTAGGGTGAGGAAGGGCCTGTGACCTTTACCTCAAATGTCCTCCACCTGTGCATGGATAACAAATTCCTTTAGGGAGGGAATACACGTCCAGTCTCTGCAAAAGTTTTTATGACTTAACCTCATTTAATTCATGCAGAAACCTTGTGCAGTAGGTAATATCCCCACTTAATAGATAATAAGACTGGTGTTTGCTGAGATGAAAGAATTTGTGCAAGGCCATAGAGCTCATGAATTCAATTCCAGATCTGTGTTCCCACAGCCCACCAGTGAAAACAGAGATTGGAACAAATGTATTATAATGATCGTAGAACAAGGGTGTTGGGGTCCGAAAAGATAACCTCACAGACCGAATAATTTTGCATCTTATGCAATATTTCAGCATCAGAGGAAAAAACGCTATCTTGCATTTATTCTTGAGGGAAATGTTTGTAAATAATTCTGATACAATAAGCATCCAACATGCCTCAGAGACAAAATGGCTCTCCTCCCTCAGTTGAAGAAGCGTTCTTAGAGGCAAGTTTTAAGGGACCCTGGGTTTAGAAGGTGAAGATGTATCAGTGATTTGAACAGTGTTTAAACAAATGCCCCACGCGTAGACTGTAAACTTAAGGAAGGTGAAAAATGAGTTTCAGTAATAATAGTCAACTTACATAAATTCTCTCTACAGCTTCAATTAGAAGTTGTAGCATCTCTCTTCATTTTACAGTGTGCCTGTGAGCTGTTAACCAGCTGCTGGGCTTCAGCCCAGCAGTGACTGTCTATTAGAGACGGCTGAAATAATTCCCAGTTATTTATGGGTTATTACCATGGTTTCAAGCTTGCATTCCCATATGCTCTGAACCTATTAAAGCCATTGGGATGGAGTTCGTATGGAGCACAAGCACTCATATACCTGCAAGGCTCTATACCTGTCTTAATGAGAAGTAGATATGCCCTGGTTGCAAGCTACACTAAATCAGTGTAATTTTTTAAGAACACTCTTTAAAAAGGTATAGTATTAACCTTTCCCATATGCTATTACAGCCCTAAAATGACATGCATTTAAACCCTTAGTTCCTTCTAAAACCAGCAAAACATCTGATTTTGCTTTGCACATCACGTCAAAATTCCAGTTACGCTCCTGTGTGTACCTTTCTCAGGAACTAAGCCTGTTAATGCTAACAATTAACCAGACAATTACTCTGCTGCCATCCTTACCCAGAGCGTAATTTTCTTTGAAAGTGTAATTCAGAATTGAATCGTGCATTTAGATATGTGTTTCAAGACAGAACCAAAATTCTGAAGCAGCTATAATACATTTCTTCCTTGGGATGAGTGAAGGATGCCATATAAAAGAATAGCAAATAGTTTACCAATGGAAAAACAAAGTAAGAAGGAGACACATGTTACAGTATTGGTATTCCCTTTGCCACGCTTTTTATTTTCTCTACAGTGATGGAGTATACCCTATTTTGTACCAATTCTGTCCCCTCCCTGAGAATGCTAGGATTTATAATGAAAAGGGTGTGCACTGCTGTGAATGAGAAAGCACCAAACTAATTAGACCTCAAGGTCTTCCATCAATAGGTCGCCAAAGCAATGACGGATCATTTCAGCATTCTTCTTCATCTTTTTTCTCTGTCCCACAGGGTGCCCCGACAATCTCACCGATTCCCAATGTTTAAATCCCATTAAGGCTTTCCAAGGCTGCATGAGGCTCATCTTTATTGATAACCAGCCCAAGGACCTCATTTCAGTTCAGCAAGGTTCCCTGGGGAATTTTAGTGATTTACACATTGATCTGTGTAGCATCAAAGACAGGTAATTATTGTCTCTTCTCCTCTGTTCTGCCACCCCCTTCCCATTCTTACTGTTCTAAATATGAGTTTCTTTAAGCAAAATTCTAATCCACCGACATTAGCCACATTAGACATAATTGAGTTGCCTAATGGAAAATATTTCTGAAAGGATTTCAGGCCCAGAGAAAAAATGGTTTAAATTAGTTGAGTCTCTCTTCATGTTGACTTGCAGTAAATGGGATATGCAAATTAAATCAAAATACAAATTTGTGAAAGGATTAAAATTTTATGCATAAACAACATTTGATTACTTTGAAGTTAAAGCAAAAAGGAGGAAGGAATTACTTCTCTCCTAAACCATTTCATTTTTCACTGCTGTGGGTGTCCTTTCTAACACAGGCAGATGAGCATTGGACCATCTGGGAAGTCTGCAGCAGAGGTTCCCGAAATGCCCAATAACACACAACTACTCCTGGGTTTGGCTGGTTTTTGCTCTTACTGCCCCTACCACTGCTTCTCTGGCCCAGAGATCAGAAAAACTCACTTTATCTCTCAATTTCCCCTGGGATCTGGCTCTTCTTATATTAGAAGTTTCTAAATGCAAAGACACACTGCAGAAAACCAAAGAGGATGGATTCTGAATTTGCATCAAGGTTTACCATGTTCTTCTTCTTTCCTCTCCAGAGCCTACCTCCTTCATTCTTCCAGTTCTGCTCACCCTTGTCAAAATATCGTTTATAGAATGGGTGAATAATATCTGTTCAGTGCTTGCCTATGTGTTGATGATAAAGGGTCTCTGCTTATGTTTCATCTGGGAATAAATTAGCAATAAAGTTACAATAAAGTTAGATAAATGACCAAGAAATGCACCCTTATTTGTCAGACACATGGCAGCAGCAACTTAGTCTGACCCTGAGAATGAGTCGAAGAAGGTTTCAGAAGGTGATGCTGAGTTGAATCTTAAAGCAGAAGACACTGGCAGGCTAGGCCAATGTTGAGAGGGGAAGGGAGATTGGCATAGAAGCAGGAGAAAGCATGGATTGCAAGTATTTCATCAATTCAAAATACTTTTTTGGCATTTGAAGGCATTTGAAATCTCTAATAGTTGAATTGGCAATATCTATTTTTCATAGTGGCATATAAAATAATTGTATATCTTACAATTAATGGTGTCTTAGATTCAATAATATATAGCTCAGTAGGGATGGTAGGCCACTGTGGATTGTGAACCTGGTGTGAATAAGTCCAGAGATGTGGGGCAGGACCAGTCATGAAGGACTTTGTGTACCAGTGGGATTTGGTTTCATGCTCTTGGTGAGAACCACAGAGGAAGGTGGCTAGCTTTTCCTGTTAGAAAGAGTACTCAAGAAGAAGTGAGAAAGGTGGATTGGAAGAGAGCTGGCCCACAACTAGGCAGGTGACTGCCCCAGTTCAGGAGAGGAATAATGAGTAGTAGCAGGTGCCTCTACTGAGGGGCACAGAAATCAGCCATGCAGTGCATAGTCTCTGCTAACGCTAGAATGAGCTGCGTAACTTGGTGAAAATTTACACACATTTCTCCATTAATATCACTATGCATGGGATCATCAACAAATCATGCAGATTTTCTGGCTCTTCTGCTTTGTTTTTTTTTTTTTTCTATTTGACCAGCTGAAAAAGTAGTAATAAAATATGTGCTTCATTAAAATGTGCTAGTTTAGAGCTCGGAGAATAAAAGTTATTGCAGGCGATGGTTGGCAACTATTGGCTAGACCAATAGTCTTTAGTAATGGCGAGGGAGAAGCATCCTACTTCATCAGCCAGTGCAGCCTCTTCCAAAGTGTTGATCAATACAGGGAACATTTATCAACAGGGGTCTCTTATGCTACCTTAATTTTTAATCAAGCAAGCTCTCATTATTTTTGATTGCATGAAAGTCATTGCCATGTACTCTGCATCATTAGTTTTGTGTAATTGTAGTCTTGTATAATTGTATTACATACAATTGTGCTTTCATTAATTGTATAATAAGGGATTGTGTTTAGTTTCGTGAGTAAGTGGTAAGTTTTTCTTGATTTACCAGGCACTGTGTCTAACAGAAGGGAAAGCTGGGGCAAGGGACTGTGTTTGAGTCACTATTTCTTAAACTCATAATTAATGTTATCTGAAGAGAGGCAGGAGTTAGAAGGGCAGGTGTTTTCTGAATTTGGTGTTTCATTTTTAATGTGTTAATCAACGTGAGCTGGATTTCAGGTTAATTGCAAACTCTTTGCCTTCAAGGAGCTTGCTACTTGCTGGGAGAAAGGAAGGGAATAGGCTGGCAGTGGTTTTCCTTACCTGGACTGCTGTCTGGAAAGCCCACAGAGGACAATCTGAGAATCTCTTCTTACTCTGAGACCCCTTGCCAGTCCGTTGTTGCAGGCTGTAGAGAACCAGGCCTCCATTTGCCTCTTTGTGGTTGTCCTACCCCTTCTTTTTCTCTCTCAAAGTGAAGTGGGATCCCGCCCTGCCAGCTTTTGTTTTTTGCTGGCCCCAACCGGGCATCTTACATACTTAAACGGTATTAGTGCTAGTCACGTGGGAAAATCAGATATAAGACATCTAAAGTAGAATTCTGGCCGGGCACGGTTGCTCACGTCTGCAATTCCAGTACTTTAGGAGGCCAAGGAAGGCAGATTAACTGAAGCCAGAAGTTCGAGATCAGCCTGGCCAATATGGTAATATCCTGTCTTTACTAAAAATAAAAACTAGCCAGGTGTGGTGACACATGTCTGTAATCTCAGCTACTTGGGAGGCTGAGACAGAAGAATCCCTTGAACCCAGGAGATGGAGGTTGCAATGAGCCGAGATGGCACCTCTACACTCCAGCCTGGGCGACAGAGCAAGACTCCGTCTAAAAATAAATAAATACATAAATAAATAATAAAGTAATAAAGTAGCATTCCTACCTGAGGCACAAATGTTCCAAAATCTCAAGAGCTCCCTCCGGTGGAGGTCCTTTAAGCAACTTCCTTTTGAGGTGGTGCCTAAGACCCTGACACCTGCTTCCCAGTTTGCACTATTTACAAACCACCTTTGATACTTCATCCTGAGCAAAAGCTAAAAGGGTCTCTTCTCAGGGATTAAGAAACTTTAACCAATGTGCATCTCAGGGATGGGCAAATTACCAAATCTTCTGGCTCCTGGGAGGAAAGGACTTGGAAGAACTGGCCTTGCGCACGGCTCTGGAAGCAGGAAGGTGTTGGTACTGGGCAGCTCCAGTGCCTGGCAGTCCATGGGCAGGATGGGAGAAGGAAGCAGTAGGAATTAGAATAAGGCATTCCTGACACACACTGTGCCCTGTTCACGGTCCTTCTAAACCTCTAGGACACAGTGTGCAGCTGCTGCCCCTCTTCTGCAGGCCAAACCACCAGCCTCATAATCTCTACACCCTAAGCCCCTGTCCTTCATAATAACCATCTTTCCAGCCTCTTTGACTTGAAGTAGGCAAAACACAATAGTCTAAGCCAGCGGTCCCCAACCTTTTTGGCATTCAGGGACTGGGGGCTTGGGGAGATGGTTTCAGGATGATTCAAGCACACATTTATTGTGCACTTGATTTCTATTATTATTACATTGTAATATATAATAATTATGTGACTCACCATAATGCAAAGTCAGTGGGAGCCGTGAGCTTGTTTTCCTGCAACTAGATGGTCTCATCTGAGGGTGATCGAAGACAGTGACAGATCATCAGGCATTAGATTCTCATAAGGAGTGTGCAACCTGGATCCCTCACATGCACAGTTCACAATAGGGTTTATATGCCTGTGAGAATCTAATGCTGAAGTTGATCTGATAAGAGGAGGAGCTTAGGCAGTAATGTGAGTGACGAGGAGTGTCTGTAAGTACAGACGAAGCTTTGCTTGCTCACCTGACACTCACCTCCTGCTGTTGGTCCCAGTTCCTAAGAAGCCACGGACCAGCACTGGTTCTGGTTTGTGGCCCAGGGTTTGAGGACCCCTGGTCTAAGCTATCACAAAGAAAAGTCACTTTCAATAAGGCTTTATTCAGTGAACAGCTGTTGATACACCCTCTGTAGTTCTGACTCATAGGTAGGCACTGAGAGAGTGAGACTGACTTACATCTATCCCTGAGTAGGATATGATGCTGTAAAAGCTCTAGAAGCTCTAGGAGTCCAGAGGCACTAATATCCCCACCTTCTAAAAGGGGAAAGCTAAGACCTGGAGACGTATGTCAGTGTTCTCAAGGTCCCATAGGGCTGAAGTTATGATCAAGAGTCAAGCACTGTGTGTATTCTCTCCTTGGTACTATCTAGCAAGGAGGCACTGATCTGGAAAAGGCAGTCACTCTGTGTCAGTGGCTCTAAATGTGTAACCCCATTTTCCAATTGTCGACCTAAAAGGAAAAAGCTGATGCAAAATTAATATAAGTAGAGAGTTCATTTGGGCCGAGCTTGCTTGAGGCAATCCAGGAGCACAGATTCAAGTTGCCCTGAACAGACACTCAGTTTAGCAGCCATTGCAACTGGGTTTCTAAAGGCAAATGGGAGGACAAGGAGTGAACTGATATAAAGTTCTGCCAGGAATTCTCAATGGTTTACAGTTTACAGATTTGATTAGTGATTGGCTATGTATTGTTAAGCTGTAGGGTGTGGGTTCTAGTGTGTCCAGTGTAGCATTATTAGGTTAATAACAAGCAGTTCCAAGAGGTGAGTACACAGCTCAAAGTGGGGGAGTAGAGTATGACTGGGGTGTCATTTTAATGTTTTATTGGCCTGATAAGTAAAAGGACTTGCATTCCTCACATAAAAGTTTTTTTCTTTTCTCATGCTCAACCAGATTGAATTTTTAAGAATATGCAATATGTCAGATTCTTTGTAACATTTATGTGCCTGATGTAATTCCATCTATGAGGGGACATTCAGAGTGGCATGCAATGTCTAGCAGGGTCTGAGTGGAGTAAGGTGAGCCAGGTTCAAAGAGTCTCTGCCCCGCATCCATGTAGATGATTCCCAGTCAATTCCAGGAGCCATGTCCAGTCCTGTGAGGTTCAAGATCCAGGACAGGAGAGACAGATTAGCAAATGCTGTCCAAGAGTATCAACAGGAGACAGGCTCCAAGGTGTGAAGCCAAACCAGGAGGGAAAAACAGGGATGCTGATGAGGAAGGTGTCTGAGGTGGGGAGAAGCAGAGGCCATACCTGGGAAAAATCCAGAATCCCAGTGCAAGTGGCAGCAGCTTTCAGAAGCAGCAGGACACATTTAAATCCACCCCGCCCACAGTCTGAGATGTGACACACATTATTTAAACTTTTGTCCATGTTTTCCCTTTTGCAAAATCAGGATCACAAAACCTACCTTTGTGCTAAGAGTTGAATGAGAGAGTGCGAGAAAAATGAGAGTGTGCGAGAAGTCAGGTGTTCAATTGCATGACTGGAATGCGGTAGATGCTCAGTAAATGTTCACTGTGTTAATTCCTCTGGCCAAAGGTTTGCCGGTTCTCTAGTTTCCATGGGGAGAGAAGAGGCTTAAGTGCCCCGCCACCCTTTCCCCAACCCCCACTGTTGCAAGTGATCCTTAGTAGTTTCTGGGGTGATTCCCATGTGAATATTTCACATTTGTCCCCCCTCCCAAATCAGTCTGCTTTGTGACCCCCCTTGGACTTTGGTCCCACTTTTTCAGAAGACCTGCCATGGCCCATTAGGAAAGCACTCATAAATTTAGGTGCCAAGGTTATGGTCTTCAGATTTTCCTAAAGCATTAGTCTCAAGATCAGGACTAGAATGAGCCTAGAGAGTAAAATTTAAGGAGACCCCTACTTCTAGGGCCATGCATGCATGGAGATCCTGCATTTGCAGAAACCTGAGAGTGAGGGTCTCTTTAAATCTTATAGGCAAATTGGAGCATTTTAACATCAGAATCACCAGAAGTGCTTGTTAAAACACAAATTACTGGGGGTGGAGCCTGGAAATTTGCATTTCTAAGAAATTCGTGTGTGATGCTGCTGCTACTGGGCTGGCCTGGTGGCCGTACTCTGAGAACAATGCTGTAAAGCTTCTGCTCCTGGAGGACGTGGAATTGTGTGGAATCTGCAAAGCTGATGTGGGTGTGGAGGAGAGGGATGGTTCCTGCCCCCACCTAGGGCCTCAAGCAGCTACTCTTCTGGCCAGAGTCTCTCTGAAAAGTTTTTGCAGCTCCCTCAAAGTCCCAAAGTCCCTTTCTCCAAAGAGGTGTTGAAATCAGCCCAAGGGGTGCTGCAGGAGGCCACTGAGTTTCTTCTGCCTCTGAGCTTTCCTGATCTTCCTCTCTCAGCTCCTCCCCTGCTTCCCACTACAAACAAAGCCTTCATGAATAACAAGGAAAATGATCAGATCCTCTGGCACGCCTCAGTGAGGAGTATTTCGGCTGGAGGAAAGTGTGGTTCTAGAACAGCTACAGCTGCTGACAAGCATAACTGTTTGTTGTGAGGTACCCCTGAACGTCACAGCTTGATCTTTCCTTCTAAAATACTTCACAGCCTGCGGGTGGTGGTGGTGCCTATATAATAGGAGTGACTCCACCTCTCCCCAGTATTGCTTAAAAAACTTTATAAAGATTGATGGACACTTTTGCAGCAACATGAATGGTACTTAAGTGAAACAAGTGAGATACAAGGAGATAAATATTGAATGTTTTCACTTATAAGTGGGAGCTAGATAACATGGACATACAGACTTAGAGAGTGTGGAATGATAGGCCATGGAAAAGTGAGGGAGTTGGACTGGGGTGGATAATGAGAAATTACTTAATGGGTTTGTTTTGGATAGGGGTCCTGATCCAAACCTCCAGAGAGAGTTCTTGGATCTCGCGCAATAAAAAATTTGGAGTGACTCCATGGAGTAAAGTGAAAGCAAGTTTATTAAGAAAGTAAAGGAATAGAAAAATGGCTACTCCACAGGCAGAGCAGTGACATGGGCTGCTTTACTGAGTATGCTCATAGTTATTTCTTGATTATATGCTAAACAAGAGGTAGATTATTCATGAGTTTTTCAGGAAAGGGACAGACAATTCCAAGAACTGAGGGTTCTTGCCCTTTTTAGACCATATAAGGTAACTTCCAGATGTTGCCATGGCATTTATAAACTGCCATGTAAACTCTATCACCACTGTATTTTCTCCCACACACATTCATTTAAGAAATTCGGGTGTGGTGGCTCACGCCTGTAGTCCCAGCATTTTGGGAGGCCAAGGCAGGTGGATCACGAGGTCAGGACATGGAGACCATCTTGGTCAACATGGCGAAACCCCGTCTCTACTGAAATACAAAAAAAACAAAAAATGTAATGAACAATGAGGATGAGCAGAGATCACTTTCATCTTGACTTGGTGGGTTTTGGTCGGCTTCTTTACTGGATCCTGTTTTATCAGCAGGGTCTTTATGACTTGTATCTTGTGACACCAGTCCTGTTGACTTCCTATCTCATCCTGTGACTAAGAATGCCTAATCTCTTGGGAATGCAGTTCAATATGTCTCAGCCTTATTTTACCTAGCCCCTATTCAAGACAGTCACTCTGGTTCAAAAGCCTCTGACAGGTTCAGTGTACGTTGTTCTGGTGATGGATATCCTAAAAGACTTAACTTGACCACTAAGCAATCTATGCATATAGCAAAATTACAATTGAACCTCACAATCTATACATATAAAAAAATGATTAGACAGACACTGATTTCATATGGCCTTCTGGTGACCACCGGGCCCATTCCTTCATCATTTCCTCATACAGTGATGCTACCGGGGAAGATCCGAGGAGATCCCCCAGCTCTGGTTGTGCACAGGAGGAAATGGAGGCCACACAGAGGGAGGCAAAGTCAGATATGGAAGCAGGGTGCTGTTCCTGCGGTCTTTGCCTTTGCATCCTATGGAGACTTTTCGCTGTAATCCTTTCTACAATTAAACCATTTACTTTTTCCAAAGAGGAGATCCCATGTGGAGCACCACATTACATTTCTTGTGGCAAACAAGTTATGAAATGTAGCTTCTCCCTCCATCACCACTGTATTTTCTCCCACACACATTCATTTAAGAAAGCCAGGTGTGGTGGCTCACGCCTGTAATCCCAGCACTTTGGGAGGCCAAGAAGGGCGGATCACAAGGTCAGGACATCGAGACCATCCTGGCCAACATGGTGAAACCCCGTCTCTACTGAAATACAAAAAAAAAAAAAAAAAAAAATTAGCTGGGTGTGGTTCTGCAGGCCTGTAATCCCAGCTACTCTGGAGGCTGAGGCATGAGAATCGCTTGAACCCAGGAAGCAGAGGTTGCAGTGAGCCGAGATCGCGCCACTGCACTCCAGAGTGCAGACAGAGCAAGACTCCTTCTCAAAAACAAAAAAAATAAGAAAGAAAAGAAAAAAGAAAAAGAAAGTGTCTACTGAACTCTCTGGTCAAAATTCTTACCTTGTTGGTTCAGGGTTTGGAGTACAGTAAACACTGAAAGTTGGCAAGCATTATGTTGGATTACCTCCCATAAACAGACTCTTGCTAAAAACCCACCCTGTGTGTGGGAGCTTGTTAAAAACAGTGGGTAATATAAAAAGATTACATTGCGCGGTAATACATATGTTTTAGTTCTTCTCTAAAATTGAAAGCCTTTACATTGGGCGCCAGAAAAGCCATTGGAAGGGCAGTGCCCACACAATCTGAGCTTCTAACTCTGAAGTGAGAAATGTTACAATATGCTGTTCTCCCTTAACTCATGGGATGGGGCCAAAATCAAAACAAGATCATTTCTGCTTTACTATTTATCATTTGTGGTCTATTTCACAGAGGGGAAAAAAAGTTATATTTTATGTAACACTTACTGAGCAAACATTCCTAAATGTTATTTCGTTTTATTCTCTCCATAGTCTGCAAGGCCTACCAAGTGGGTTCTCAAAGTATGGCCCCCAGGACTGCAGCATCGGTGTCACCTGGCAACTTGTTAGAAATGCAAGTCTCAGACAGCAACCCAATTCTACTAGATCAGAAATGTGGGTTGGGGGCCGGGGCATCTGTGTTTTAATCATCCTCCAGGTGACTAGGATGCACACTCAAATTTGAGAACCACCACGTTGTTCGGTGATCGCCGTTTTCTACATAAGACAACCAATTCTTAGAGAGGTTCAGTGACTGCCAAGGTCATATCTTAGTATTTGGAAAAGCCGGGATTCGAATTCAGGTTTTTCTGATTCCTCAGTATATATAAATAAGGAAAGCCTGTTACCAAAAGGCCAGAGA
Organism: Homo sapiens; assembly: GCF_000001405.40. Lineage (NCBI taxonomy): Eukaryota > Metazoa > Chordata > Mammalia > Primates > Hominidae > Homo > Homo sapiens. Next base: position 124,536,671 of record NC_000002.12, read on the forward strand.
AAGAGGAGACATGGGCTTGGGTAGCCAGAGCGGGCCAGGGAGGGGGCTACAGAGGAAGCAGCACTTCCTGAGGAACTTGAAGAGCAGGTTGGATTTACGGGGGTCAAGGAGGGGTGCTCCAAGGGCTCTCATGTGGAGAGTGTAAAGCTGGGGTTGGGAAGGGCTGCAGTGCTGAATGTTTGCCCATATTGGAAGGGCTGTCTTGGCAGCAGTGGATGCAAGAGAACTGAAATCAGAACCGGAGTAAACTTGCCAGTGCACAAAACAGTTTAAAACTTGAGAGACCAGACACATTAATAGTGAATCTTTAAATAATGGTTACTGTGGGCCAGGGCAGTGTGACAATGTGTGGTGTGTGTGTGTGTGTGAGAGAGAGAGAGAGAAAGAGAGAGAGAGACAGAGAGACTAATCTTCACCACAATGTTGTGAGGTTAATATTATTAACTCCATTTTACACACAATAAATTGGAGGCACAGAGGTACTAAGTAATTTGCCCAAGGTCACACAGCCTATATGTGGTAGAGCCTGGCTGCAACTCATGGAGTCTATTGGGAGAGATTAGGCCTGTCCTGGCACTGTGGTACTTCTAACCCTGCTGTGGGAAGGTGCCCCACATTCTTCGGCAGGATTGTGAAGTGGAAAATGATGCATTTTTGTCTTGCATTAAAATCACAAAGGTGGTTGTATTAAAGCAGGAAGAGAAGGGCTGTGGAACACCTCGGTGCCTCACGGGTTATCATCCCTATCCTCGCAGCTCACTGTCACTATCTCCTAAAGAACACACTGAGATAGACGCAGAACGAGCTCAGGGCTCCCATGAGACACTGGGCTTGATCTAATTCTTTGAGCTGACTGGGGAATAGAAGAAACTGGGAACTTGCCAGGAATGACTGTCTTGAGAAGACAGGCTTCAAGCTGACTTTGTAAAGGTGTTCCATCTGGAACTGCCCAGAAAAAGGACTGATTCATTTCTCTACTTCTTTAATGAGGGTTTCCTTCCCCCATCTATCTCACACCTGCTTGAATCTCAGAAAAGAAGAAGGTTTTGGAGAAAGGGGGAACCTGGATTTGATTAGAAATAAGCGACCTTGAACAAGTGCATCTGTGTCCTCTTACAAACCTCATCTCTATCATCACTTGTTTTTACAAGAAAAGTGGATCATTATCTTGATGAAATGGTCCTTCTCCACCTGTGCATATGGACGGGCACAAAAGAGCCTTTATTCATGGAAAACACGGAGGGCTGAGCAAGCCAGGTTGGCACTTCATTTTGGCCCACCAGACGGTGGTGAGAATCCTTCCCCACCAACTGGTAATCTGACATATTGATGCTGAAAACGAAGCCAGAACCATGAGCCAGGTGAATTATCACAAGCACTTCCAAAGACGAGGAGTTCATTTCAAGTGCTGTATTTTTGCGATTGAGGTACGACATGCATGTCAACGTATCAGGAAGAAAATGTCTACAAAGTCCCCAGGGCTCTGGATCATATCTGTCCTGAGATATACTGGCTTAGAAATTCAGATGTTTTAGGCCAGGCGCAGTGGCTCATGCCTGTAATCCCAGCACTTTGGGAAACCCAGTTTGGTGGAGACCAGGAGTTTGAGACCAGCCTGTCCAACACAGCAAAACTCCATCTCTACTAAAATACAAAAATTATCCAGGCATGGTGGCGCACGCCTATAATCCCAGCTGATGGGGAGGCTGAGGCATGAGAATCGTTTGAACCCAGGATGTAGAGGATGCAGTGAGCAAAGATCATGCCACTGCACTCCAGCCTGGGTGACACAGTGTGTGAGACTCTGTCAGAAAGAAAGAGAGAGAGAAAGAGAGACTCTGTCAGAAAAGAAAGAAAGAAGGAAAGAAAGAAAGAAAGAGAGAAAGAAAGAAAAGAAAGAAAGAAAGAAGGAAGGAAAGAAAGAAAGGAAGGAAGAAAGAAAGGAAGAAAGGAAAAATGAAAGAATAAGAAAGAAAGGAAAAAGAAGGAAGGAAAGAAAGAAAGGAAGGAAGAAAGGAAGAAAGAAAGAAAGAAATTTAGATGTTTTAGATGGCAGAGTAGCAGAGGAGACTTTTTATCTAGATAGAAATGTGAGAAAAAGGTTTAGATTCTCAAGCCACTTATGTGAAGCAGAGAACATTCATAAATTAATGAAAAGAATAAAGAGATTCCTTGGTATTGATTCCTTTACATGATCGATATCTCAATAAGCCTTCATCCAACATCCCGATAAGAGCCTTCCATCTGTTTCTCATGTTCTCTAAAGAGCACTGCCTTCTGCACAGCCAATGTCACATTAATTTTTTCCTCATTTACATTGATGTCCACTCATGGGGCCCTTGAGGCGAAGCACCTGAAGCCTTTGAATGCTGTTTTTCCCTGGTCCAAAAGCATTCATCGATGGCCCATTATAAGCACCATTTATAGACACAGTTGGAAGAGAGAAGGAGTATAATATGTTTTCAGTTGGGAAAAAGGCAGGTCTGACCTGCAGTAAAAGGTTCTCACCTGTGTCTGCAGTGAAATGTAAATTTAAAATTAGCTCTATGCTACTTACATTTTGAATTAAGATATTTCATAGGAAGTTCATAGAATTCCAATTAGGCCTTGTGGGTTTGATTGTGACATGGATTTCTGAAGGCTGAACTGATACTTCTGCATCTGTATCATAGGCATGGGCAGCGTCATAGATGCCATCCACTTTAACACTTAAAATGCCCAAAGGAAGCATCAGTCTCCCTGGTTGTCAACTGAGAAAATCGATATTCACATAAATTTATTAACTTGCCTCAAATTGGAATCAGACTCAGAATTTTAAGGTGGGAAAGCCTGTGCTGTTCATATTTTAGCCCAATCTTGGACACAATGAATATGTCACTTCTTTGTATCTTAGCTCCCCTAGTTGTCAAATGTAGATAACATGTTATAACTGCAAGGTGTTAAACAAAAGCAAGGCGATATTATTCCCGCCTGCCTCTTGGAATTTTGGCAAGGATTGACTGAGATCGGAAAGAAAAGTTCTTAAAGTTAAAAGCGAGAGAGACAGAAATGGATGGGGTTCTGTGTATATCAGCAGGCCAGGTTTTAGAAAACCCATACATAGGCAGAAAACGATGACATTTCTCTGAATAATTTACCTACATATATAACCTATTTTATTTTTTAGACAAGTGATTAATGTTTTCACTTGATTCAAGTTACAAATATGAAATCTTCCCTCTAGGTTTAGCTTCATCTTAAAAATATCTCTTGGACATGATTTACTAAGCCCACTGCAGGGCTCTTCTCTCCTAATCCTGGGAGTACTGTAGACATAGCAGTAGATATCTCAACACCTGAGAAATGCAAAGGGAACACACAGAGCTAAAACAGAGAGTTAATTGGGAGAATGCAGATTAAGTTGGATTTTATGTCTTGCCAAATTTTAGTCTCTAAACTCGTGTGAGGTCTAGTACATCCAGAACACCGTTAACTTTATTATGACAAAATGTTAGAATCACCTTGCTACCTGCTTTTACCTATGCTGAAAAGTATAACTGTGACTGTAATAATTAGGTAGGGGGCTATCCCTGCTTTGGATATGGAAATCTTCTCAGATGTGGTTCCCAAGTAACTCTAGGTTTATAGGTTTGATCAAATCATTGTATTGAGAATTGTAAAACCCTATACTCTGAAATGAGAATCATTTGTATCAACATTAGCATTTGTGTATGTACATAGCTGTGTATGTGTTCACATGCAATATGATATTAGCCTGTGAATTCTGATGCACACTTCTAGGTCCTACTAACTGAGAGACTGCCTGTGCTCTGCTAATATTCCTCTGTGACCTAGTCATTCATTTATGAACATTTCCTTGCATGCTTACTCTGTACCAGGCACATTTCTTTGCCTGAACATCCAAAAGTGAGCAAGACAGAGAGTTTTTGATCTTAGAGTCATGTCATTGATTTTCCCTGCTCTGATCTTCCTTGGATCAGGAATCTGCTTTTTTTTAGTATTATGAATCATTCATTCATTCATTCATTCATTCTTTCATCTCTTGTGTTTGGAACCTTTCTGCTGTGCCAGGTGCTGGGTAGAAGCTGAGGATATACTTGAGTGCCGACCACAGTAGACAATCTCTAACTTCAGAAAGCTCCATGGAAGGACACACATTTGAACCAAATAATCATGGAAATAAACATATATGCTCCCAAATACCATGAGTGTCCTCATGCACATAAATAGAGCACCAGGAGAGAACCTGAGAGGAAGGCCACTTTATACTGCAGAGGGGGCAGTGTGCCAGGAAAGGGGATGTGGACATTGTTATCTTCAGGCTCTACAAAAGCATCCGTACAGAGGTCGCTGCAAACTTTTCTCAGTCAGTTTCTTAGAGCTTTGTCCTCTCCATGGCTTTCTAAGAACCTCTGGCTGATGACTGTGATCTCCATGTTCTGTGTGTGTCCTCTGCTGAAATCCCTGTTTGGTGTGGAGACTTAGAGGATAAGAAGTACAAAATTCCGATTTTTTTTTTTTTTTTTGGTGAGAAGAAATTTTTTCACTGGTGTTTTAGCTGAAAACAAATTCCCCACATTTTCCCAAAACATGTATGTGCTGGGAATTCCTGTCTGCCATTAATACCACTTTCTTACTCTCCTCCCACCACCTCCCATCCCTTCCCTGGCTGCCATGGTTAAAGGGTCAGGCTTCTAGTAATTCAATTCTAATAGTATATAGGCTACACCCCTACACTTAGAAAAATATGAGAAAAAGTCAGCCTACTCAAAATAAACACCAGTGTAAAGGTGGGACTGATATTTCAGCTAGCAATTTGGTAAATCCCAAGAATCTGAAAGTGACAAAAGGAATATGCATTTTAAAGGTCATTCCAATTACCATGCTTACTCATGTTGAGCTGAAACTCTGGAGTTTATGTGAGAAGACCCACGCACTAGGGGGATAAATGAGAACATGTGGTTGGGAGAAACTCGAACAAATAATAAGGAAGGGAATACAAATCACTGTTGTTTTCTGTGATATTAAATAATTCTTCAACCTCAGAGGCATCTGAGAAGTAGAGGAAAGCCAACTATCGATAAATAGCTGGGCAAATCCTCACAACTCTAAGAGCCCAGGATTCCATGATGGATTTACTTCTGATCTACATTTTGCACACTTATATGAGGATCCAGAAGAAGAGGTCTCAAGGGTGAACTCTTGTCTGCATTAAAATGTCTATTTGCAACCACTGCATTCTCCATGTCATAGTGGATTCCCAACTCAATTTTTCTCAATAGAATTATCCTAAATGTAGATATACCTTTCCTGCTTTTGAAATAGGAAAACAAAATAGCCAAGAATTATTCCTTTAGACAGGGTTTGCCTCATATATCTCTCCCACCTCCCCAAATGCATACGTTATTGCAACTGTAGCTATTCTAACCATCAGATTCTGTATGTGCATTTCACATGACCTCCAGCACATGATGGAGCCTGAGGCATTAAACACACGAATCCAAGTCCTCCTGCTTGACTTTTGCAGTCTTCTGGCCTCACCTGTTCCTCCCTATCTATTTTTACCTCCTACTATATGATGAATAATTCATCATTCCATCTGTGTGCATTTACTGAGCATCTAGTATGTTCCAGGACATATATACATAGTTTCTGCCTTAAAGAAGCTCAAGAGCAAGAGAGCTAGATAAGAAACCTGAAAGCAGACATCTTACAAAGGGAAGTTAATGGCACTGAGGGCCATGAAGTTATGTCCCAGCTGCATTTTAACAGGAGAGAAGTAAGGAAAATGGGAGTGTGATGGGATTCCAGAAGTGCACCACTGCCTGCCACAAAGCAGCCAGCTGCCTTCCAGCCTCCAGGCACTTGCTGCTATTTCTCTTGTCTGGAGCTCCCTTCCCAGTTTCTTTTGCCCAAATCCAGCCCATCTGTCAAAGTCTAGTTCAAATCCTACCTACTCTACGAAGTCTTCTTGACTGCTCACACTCTTCTTTGCTTATTTGGGTGTCTCTGGCACTTTCTTCTTATATTTTGTTTAGCTCCCAACCATAGTCATGACTGGTTTTCTATTTGTATCTTGCCCATCCAAAGTTCATCACGTCTACTGATGCATTCAGCTGAGACACGTGCCCTGTGATTATTTACTTAATGATTTGAACCTTTTGAGCTTTAACAGCATCTGCTCTCAGTAGCTGGGGGATAAACTGCATATGAAGCTAACAAAACTCAACACGACTCTTGGTTTTGGGCAAGTATTGCCTCAAGATATGGAATGAACTTGATAATCTTTAATGTCATTGTATACCCAAAACTCTGGAGGTTGCTATCCGAGATTTAGGAGTTAAAGCCTTTCACTTCTTTTCTCATCTTGAAAACTTCCCAATGTGGTTCACGCCAAATACTGCTCTATTTGAATAGCAAGAGTGCCTAATAAAAGCAACGCCAGAGCCAGCTGTCATCATTCACGTGGTGTTAAGTGCTCCTTCTGTAAGCACTAGCTAGCAAGAGTATTTTTGTTTAGCAAGGCCATCACAAAATTAGACAAGCAAACCATAGCAATGTATTTGAGCAATGTAGTCTATAAATAACACAGTGGAAGGAAGCATAGGAGCACATTATCCATATTACAATCTTGTGCCTTAAAAAAAAAAATAGGTTAGCTCTGTAATAGAAGGCAGCTCCAGAGAAATAGACAAAATGTCTTTGGTGATTGTTAAAGGATGTAAGCAGCCTCCTGGTAATAAGATCTGCTGAGTGTACCCTGTGGATTCTGTGCGCCCCTAAGCAACTCCTACAGGCTGAGTAGTGAACGCTTGTAAAGTTGGCGTTGTTTACCTAGCAGGAATGGAACAAAAAATTTTCGTGGAAGGATGCTGATGTGTCTGTAACCATGTCGGCTGTTTATCTGAAAGTGAAGTTATTGAAGAAGAAAGGTTTCACATTAGCCCAGAAAGCAGCATTCGAATCAGATACGGTCCATACACTGCCACTGTTTTTTAGATTTATTTATTTTTTTCTTTCTTTTTCAGAAGTGCCTGGCAGAAACTTAAACAACATTGTTATTCATTTGGCTTTGTCAAACTCTGTAGCATCGTCAAATGTAGAGAGTTGCTTCCAACTTTTGCCAAATGCCATCTAAAGCCTCTTCATTTAATAAAAAGGAATATAGAAGATATATATTTTTTCTCCTTTGATGTTTTACCGTACTTGTTTCTACAGTGGATTCTAACTAGAATCACCTAGGTTTACTAAAATGCAACAATTGGACCAGATGCTAGCTAGTTTTTTTTTCCTGCTAATTTTCTTGTTCAAATCCATAGAGAACTATAATAAAATATCTTAAAATGAACTATGCTCATTTTACCAAGAAGGACACTGAGGTTCACAGGTATGAAATTACTTTCCCAAGATTACAGAGTTGGCAAGTATCTTCCACCCCCAAAAAACTTAGAAGTTAAAAAAAAGTGCCCTTTGAAAGTTAAACTAACCATCTAACAGGTCTTAAGGGATCATCTTGGAGATACAAGAGAGTATCCATGCAAGGCTAGTTAGTGCTTGGACTAAGGCTAATGTTTCTAAAGAAAAAAAATGTGTCAAATAAAAGTAGGTTGGTAAGAAGATGAGTTATAAATAAGGAAAATCAAATAGATAAAGCTAATTTTAGCTAAAGAACTAAATTAAGACTTCCTAACATCAGATATGTAAAGAAAGAAGCCCATTCTGTGTTGCAACATCAATGGGGAATAATAGAAATAACAATTGTACACTCCCATAGTTCTTAATCCTCTTCTCAGACTGAGTTGGAATATCCCCCCTTATAACTGATAAAGCTTACAGGAATGTAATATAATTATTGCTTCAGTGAATCAAATATTACTTGTCTAGACCAGCACTGTGCAATGGAACACTGTGTGGTGATAGAAATGATCTTCTCTATGCTGTCTTAACATCTTGTTACTATTGGTAATAGAGAACTCAAAATGTGTGATACATTTAGATTTAAGTACCACATGTGGCTAGTGACTACCATATTGGATAGGGCAGGGTTAGACACTCTGCTAGGGCCAGTACTTGTGGATTTTACATTTTTCTTATCCATAAGTTCAGCAGCGGACTGCACCAGAGGTTAAGTATAAAGATTGGGTTTGGGCCTTCAAATTCAGATCTGGTGTGGTAGATTTAATGTCAGCCTTAGCAGCCCAGGCTGGATATGGTCATGGTCACTATCTGTCATGGAGCCCCTTCTCCCAAAGACAATTACATCAGGAGACAAGGGCTTATCACTATTTGACTTAATTTCTCCCAACATCCTTGCAAAGAAGTGATTTAACGATTACTAGATCAAAATGTCAAAAACTTTATATTACTTAAGAAGACAAGTTTACTATATCAAGTGTTCTTTTGCTATTTCTGTTACCCAGTTCAAAGTTCCTTTCTAAATTAGAATTCATGTTAAAAAAACACACATTGTAATCTAAACATAATCCATTTAGTAAGGTTTGGTTTCTAATTTTTTTCTAAAATAAGAGAGTCTTCACTTTTAAAATCTCCAATAGCATACTATATGTTGAAGTTATTGACAGAACTCCCAAAACCACCTGCTCAAATCTGAGTAATTCAGAGTAAGAGGTACTCTGCTTGGTCAACAAAACATGTGAGTTCGTTTTCTAGGGTGGGTTTAGATTAATGCCTATCGCAAAGTAGAGGCATGAAACCCCCAAGTTCTGTGACTATTCTTGTCCTGATTTCAAGCTTAATTCACAGCCCTCAAACATTTGGAAAACCTAAGAAGCTAACCTAAAGGAAGAAAAGATATTGATCAGTCTGGTGGAAATATTGGTCCCTTTGAAAATCATAACATTTAACATATATTTATTAATTGGGATTCTAGTATCACATACTAGTCTCTTGTCAGTTTGCTTGCATGAGTCATTATCGTGGTGACTGTGGTCCTGGGAATCTGTCAAGAGTGAATTTCAGGCCTTATCATGTGGAAAACCCAGTTGGCTTTGATTTCATCTGAGTCTCCGTACTAGCACAAATGGCGTCACATAAAGACCTATACCAGACTACAGATGTTAACCCAGGACACTCTTCAAAGCTAAGGATGGGTTACAAATAATTTTAAAATTCAGCCTCAAGCCAAGTACAGTAGCACAGCCCTCCAGTCCTAATTACTGGGCAGGCTGAGGTGGCAGGATGGCTTCAGCTCAGGAGTTCAAGATTAGGCTGGGATACATAGTAAGATTTCATCTCTAAAATATAAATAAATAAAACATTGAAAGTTAGACCTCAGCCCTACCAACTGATAGCTTCAAACTTTGGAATTCATAAAAATCCATTAAAAGCTCTTTTAATGCAGTTGTTTGGACCCTACAATCCCAGAGATTCTGATTAAGTCCATCTGGAATAGAGGTTGGAATCTGCATTTTATCCAACACCCCAGTTGGATAAAAGACTGACCCTGTGGATCAGTCCTTTAGAAGTACTGTGTCAGAAGATTAAATAAAGACATTTCTTTATTGAATTCATCATAATACAGGCTCATCTAAATTTTTTCCTGCACAGTGGGGAGCTATACTTCCAGTTCTGCCTAATGTTAATGGTAGTCTGTGGAAAATGTTTTCTTTGTTCAAATTAGCTTGAGAAATGCTGGAGTAAGAAAAGTGTGTTTCTTTACTGCAGGATTTCTCAATGTGTGTGTGTGTGTGTGTGCAAGTGTGCATCCTCATGCTTATAAACTGTGCAAGGGGGGAAGTCACTGAAAGCTATGCACAAGTTTACAAACGTATATGACTATGAAGCCCTTGTTTCCACAAAACTACTCATTCACATAAGGAGCTTTTGGAAATGCGGCCCTAGAGTGAATAAATCACAGTAAACACCAGGAACCCCTTGGGCTGCTCATTGTGGGCAGTGGGGCAGCAACTCTGGGAGGTAGTTGGTAGTGTAGACAATGTGGCTTCAAAAGCTACCATTAAAGAGAACTCAGGAGTCATAAGCAGACATTAGCCTTCACTTTCTGCTTTTCTCTACAAAACAAACACCCTTAAAGGTAACTTCTTCTGCCTCTTTTTCCTTCTAGTATGGAGGACTTGTGCTTTTGATTTGTACAAACAAATTTTCAGCCTGCATTTTTAGTGTCTGTGATTTTAACTGACCACTTGACTTGTGAGCCTCCCTTTCCTAGAGATAGTGATACTTGTCTTACAAGATTGTTTTATTGATTCATTGAAGTAATTATTGTGATAAGCTAGCACCAAGTCCAGCACGCTGAGTCCAGAGTTTGACACCTGGTAGAGAAGTTAACTTTATTTTATATGTGTAAATATTTAGGGAGAATTAAGCAAGAAAAGGGAGGGAGCAGAATCTCTCTGTCTTTCCCCTGTCAAACCCACTACCTCCCCCACCCCCGACCAAAACCCTAGAGATAGCAAATAGACTGCAAGTTTTATACCAGCCTCAATGCTAGCAATGGTGGCATCAGACAGTATGCAGATTCCCTGGCAGGCTTTGGGCTCAATAGAGAAACGGTGCATTGAATGACAGATGAGTGAGGTGACATCAGCCACAGGAGTAGCAGGAGAGAGTAAGCCCCGCAAGGAAAAATTAAAAACAAAATGAGGAGTGACCTGAGCCATCTAAGAACTGACTATCTGTATGGCATTTAATTCTAACTTAATAAAAATACAGTTGATGGGCAGTTAAAGACTGAATTTTGTGGTGTGGATTGTTCATTTTGGGAATTCTTTCCCGGGATAGAACTTAAATTGAGCTTAGAATAACAAAGAGGATTTTCATGCAAAAGCGAGAGCCAGTAAAGGCAGGGGACATGTGTATTCCTGTGTGAGGCCCTTTAGAACCCATCTATGATTTGATCAAGGGGCTCCTGTTGTGTCAGTATCTGGGGTGGCTGCTCGTATTCATCTCCCATGGTGTGGTCCTCCAAGAGTTCTGTATTCTTGCGTAAGTGCTTGCCTTGGCCAGGGTGGCTGGTCCAGCCAGGCCAAAGAGAGCCCCTTGCAGGGGTTCTCATATTTAAGATTAAAGAGTAAGGTTCTTTTCTCATAGCAGAAGCCTTAGGCTGCAGGATTCAGCAATTGGCCGCCACAATTCCTGCCACGGGAGGAAGTGGGGATGAGGGAGGGTGAGTGAAATCAACTCACAGAGAAAAGAGATGGCCAGGGAGGAGCCAGCAACCTGGTTGTATTCAAGCCCTGAGGTTCAGCATTTCCTGAAGCTATGCTGTGTCTCTTCCTGCTGTTTAGAGACATTCAGCTCTTACTTGCATCTTCGAGCCCATGTCTCTTTCATTTCCTAAAATGGCTTAAACTGTGTTTTCACCATTTCCATCTGAGGTTTTCATTAGTATAAGTCTTTTTAGACCACATCTTTTACAATCTTAAGTTAGATGATGAAGAATCTAAACAAGTTGAAAGAGGGGGAAAAAACATTAATTGTGGAAGGAAGGATTTAGTGTTTTCCTCTTTGTTTGTGTTCTCCATAATCTCCATGTGTAAGGGTCGTGACATTTTAGCTCAAATTGGATGCAGAATCTATTTCTAGAACAGGCACGATGTCAGGGGCCAATTAAGTTGTTGGCCAGCTGTAGTTTGAATCATTAACAACAACCTGTGGCCACCAGCAGTTTTATGGCGAGGCTGTGCTATACCACTGAGCGTGGCTTAGGATCTCTCTGCCTTAACTGCTCAAGCCCCAGATGCAGATCAGAACTGAAGTGGAGAGGCAGCTGCCCAGTTCACTCCATGAAACCAGGTTTGCTGTTCACAAGGACAGGACACTGATGAAATTTAAATGAACAAAGATGAAGTGTAACCTTTGTTTTCAGCTCCTGTGGTTGGCAACAGAGAATGGAAATCCCAGATCTGCATAGGCAGGCTGAGTAGTATACTGAGCTTAGCAATGTGCAAACCAAATCTCTCTCTCCACGAACTGGAAAAAAAAACAAAACAGTTAAAAAAAGGAAAGAGTGCAGGAAAGAAAAAAACACAGTCTATGACTGTGTCACAAAACCATCTGCAAGTATAAGTGACAAAAATAACAAGAGTTCACAGTTACTTACATTTTACAAGACCTTATTTAGCGCCCACAAGGATTAAGATATTGTGCTTTGTCTTGATTTTAGAAACAGGGACACTAAATCTCTGAAAGGGATCAATAATTGCAAATGTCACAGAGCTAGAAACTGGAGGAACTGGAATTAAAACTTGGGTCTCTAATCTGACGCCTGGGCTATATGACTGAATCTTGTCACCTCTGAAGGAGGTCACACTATGCCTCAGCTGGGGCACAAGGGGATGGTCTCAGACCAGCCTTTACTCCATCACAACAGCCTCCATGCTCAGACATGGTAGCCTCTGGGCACAGTCCCTAATCCTCTGCTTCTCAAACACCAGCTCAATTTTAATTTCATTGCATGACCTTTAAAGCAAAAATTAAAGAATCTTGCAACATGTCAAAATCGATGAGCATCCTGGGTAATCCAGGCACTGCTGGTATCTGTTCACTTCATCCATGGGTTCTAGAGACCACGGCAGCCACTATAGCAGTAAGCGCCAAGCTTGGACAGTGGTAGTCTCCATTGGAAAATGAAACCTAGAGGAGCCGGGATAATAAGATCCAGAGGGAGATTAGTGGACCCAATTATAACCTGTGTCCTTTTTGGCTTGCACTATATGAGTAGTTTTCATTTTTACTTTAATGTGGTGAAATCTTTTTATTCCATCAAATAAAATTTTAGTTCTATCCATAACAAATAAATACAATATTTGAAGATTAAATTAGATAATTCTAGACCTGGTCTATGAAAATAATTCTTTGATCCAGGGGGAGGAGTGTCAAAATTTGCAGTCATACATTAGCCTCAGTATTCATTTTGTTTGGCTGTTCTGGTTTGGTTGCTAAATATTAAGAAAATCTTGATTCACACAAATAAGCTGCCCACTGATAGAAGTTCTAGATACCCTGTTTTGCAATAGTAGATGTTTTTCAATAAGACTGATCTAGAAGCGTTCAAAAGTAGGTATAATTGCTTTTTTTCTTCAAATTTGAGAATCGTTTGCATTTCTTAAAAAAGTAAAAGCCAGATAAATATATAGTCAGTGCTAACACTTGCTATGATACGTTATTATTTTAATGTCATGTTCATCCATTCACTTGTTCTTGCTTCATTATTATGCAGTGGAAAGAGCTTGTAGCATGCAGGTGTTCCTGAGCATGGCTGGGTTTAAGGGGATGGGGCTGTGGAGCAGCGGTGCCCTCTCTGTATCCACGCTACCTGCGTGGGCCTGAGCAGACCTGATAATACATGACAGTGCAGTGTAACATCATTCCCAATTAAAGTTCACAGGAATCCCAGGGGAGGTGGGGAAAGATTTCCATTAAAGTCCCCAGAGTTAGCCTGGAGCTAAAGACTAACATTGCTAGTGCAGTGTGTTAAAACCTGATTCATGACACATTTGAAAACGATACCATTTTAACATAAAACTTACAAAATAATTAGAAATACTTCACAAGAGAGCCCAAAACAAGGAAAGGAAAGGGAAAAAATAAAACCCCACAATTTGCAACCCCTCTGAACCATCTCTACAGAATGACTCTCTACTGAAGTGCAGAACTTTGCTATTCAGTGAGGTCTGGGAGCCAGCAGTTTTCTCATTCCCATAAGCTTATTATAAATGCGGAACCTCTGTATCAGGGTCTTCATTTTAACCAAAGTTTGAGAAGCACTGAGTCAAGTAATAGAATTATTTCTATTCATAGTGGAATCTGAGTGATGTCCTAAAATTAAGAAGACCCTTACAGTAATCCAGAGAGCTCTACTGTCTGTGCGTTTCCTGATAGCTCCAATATTCCAACCGAGGTATCATAATCATGATGCTGAACAAAAGCCTGTGAGTGCAGGGAACACAAAACCTGCTTCCTAGTAGATGTGAGGTGGACTAACCCAACCAGATTTCTCTCCCATTAAATCTACAGCCCCTCTGTCAATTGCGTGGTGGACTTCCATTCTGATGGATCACTTCTAGGTCACTGAGATAAATGGGTTGATTAAAGAAATTTAATTATATTCTATTTTGTGAAAATGACCCCTACCAAGCTAATAGGGGGTTCTCTTCCTTTGTGAATTTTTTGATATATATTATTTTATAGTTTGGTGGTAGGGGACTTGTTTCTAAAGTTCCCAGGTAGCAATGTCTTGCTACTATTTTCATAGGCTCAGGTGGTTTGTCATACTAACAATATTAGTATGCATGATGCTGATACATTCTTCTTGATTCTGAATGTCCTCTGCTTTGAAGAACTGGCCTTTGAAGAACTGAGCACTTCAGGGTCATACATTTTTCAGTGTGCGGTAGAGTAGAGAGAGGACCTTTCCCTTTTCTGTTCAGTGGCCTTCACTGGCCCGTGCAGGGAGAGGCATGTGTGCCCTTTGTGCCCGGCTTCTTCTTGAACCCCAGCATTGTTGCTGGGATCACTGACGTGCATTGCAAACTCATTCGATCATCTTTGCTTGTCCATTATCTGGGGATCATCGCAACAATCTGCGATTGACTCCCTGCTGTGAACTAGACCCTGGAAAATTTAGGAAACTGACTTTTGACACTTTTCTTTTTATTCCCTTAATTTCTTAATGTCTGCATCTGCTGTAATTACAACAAATTTAAATTATAATGGAGATCCAACTGTGGGGGTAAAATGGGATTATGATAATTGTTAGAATGGAAAGACATAGAAATAGGTTTCAAAAGCTTTCAGAAAAGCTATCTGACCAAAACGAGATCAATGCGGTTGGCTGCTAATTAAAGCAAACAGACAAAGGAACGCAACCTAGCTGATTTTTAATGTATGCGCTTCATAACACAGCTTACATTAGTCAGCTTGCATTTTGAGGACTATTGAAATGTTTTGTTCTTTTGTCTCCAAGGAAAGCATATAGAAATTGAAACTGACCTTCAATTTTATAAAGAAGGAATGAGAATTCTTTAAAAGGGAGGTTACTCCATGGAGCATAAATACATTCAGATTCATGTATAGAGAATCATTTATCTGAACATTTGGGAATTTCAAAGGCCTGTCATTTGGTGTCCTATTCATTTCAGTCTGTTATGGGAAATGGAGAAGAGGGAAATTTAACAGGGAAGAAAAATTATTTCCGTAGGTTTTTATTTAAGTACACTGAGTATATTTTTTAATGCTCTTATCTTTTAAGCGATGATTTTCTCAAGATGTGTTCAGGTTGAAGATTTTTTTAAGAGGGGTAGGCATGTGTCTAAACAGTTCATATGTCTAAATAACTGCAATAAAAAATGGGCACTTGGGCACACACAGTTAACTACTGTGCTTATTTTCTTAGACAAAGGACCATTTTCTTTTAATTTTTACAAGAGACTTAGAATGTACATGAATCAATAGGGGGCAATAATGAATGGTGATCATGAGGAGTGTGTTATCAGATGAGCTTAATCCAAAGGAGCAAAGGCCCTCCCCATTTAATTTGATTTCTAGAGTTTGATGAGGGAAGTAGAGGGCAGTCGGCTAGACTTGGGTTTAAATGTTCACTCTGCCCTCACTGGAAATCTGGAACTCGCTGAGTCTCAGGAGCTTCACATGAAAAGGTGACCCCACTACACCCCTCGTGAGTACTATGACAGCTGCATCCAGGCAGTGACACCAGGACAGGCCTGGCATCTCATGGGGCCCTTGAACATATTGGCAATGATACATGTCCAGTGCCCACCTTTCCAGGTGGATTGCCCACGCTCAGATATCTGAACATCTTCTTTTGTCCAGCTGGTCTCATTCCTGGGCTTATAATGTGCCTTAGGACAGCTTGACTCTCTTTTTAGAGACCATTTCCTCCATCAGCTGCATGAATGTCCCTTTACCATTGTCTGATAGCAAGCATATACACACATGCACACACATGCACACATATATGTATGTGTGAGTATATCTATAAATTTGTGTGTGTATATATGTGTGTGTATTTATGTATGCACACATGCATATATACAAACTAAAATAAAATATCTCTACATTTCTTTCCAGACTCATTGCAAAAGCCATGAGCAGAAATATACAAAAAGTGAGATGGTACTTATATTCCCACCGGTAACCACTGTTAACAGTTTTCCAGTCCATTGAAGGACTTTCCAATCTCTTTACGTACAGACGTACTATTCGTTTTAATGTCTCATGGCATTCTACAGTATGGGTGTACCATCATTTATTTAACCATTCCCTAAATGGTAGATTATCTATTAATTATGTTTTTAACTGTTATCAATGATAATAATTTTACATTGTTTTTGTGCATGTAAAAATGCATTTCTGGGACATTATATTCTATTTCTGGGAAAGAAATAGAATTCTAGGTCAAAGCAGATATATAAGTTAAGTTTTTAAAATGCCACTGTGTCCATGGCATTGTGGCAATGTTCTTCATATGCTGCATGAGCAGAAAGTATTATAACACAAAACACTGGCAAAGGCTGTAAAGGGACAATGTGTTCCAAGAAGAAATAGTTGGGCCTGGCAGGGTGGCTCACACCTGCAATCCCAGTACTTTGGGAGGCCGAGGCAGGCAGATCTCCTGAGGTCAGGAGTTCAAGACCAGCCTGGCCAACATGGCAAAACACAGTCTCTACTAAAAATACAAATATTAGCTGGGCACACTGGCGCGTGCCTGTAATCCCAGCTACTTGGGAGGCTGAGGCAGGAAAATCGCTTGAACCTAAGAGGTGGAGGTTGTAGTGAGCCGAAATCATGCCACTGCACTCCAGCCTTGGTAGCAGACCAAGACTCTGTCTCAAAAAAAAAAAAAAAAAGTTAGAATGCATAAGGAAAATAAAAGGATTGATTATGCAGTCTCAAAAAAAAGAATGCAAATAAAATGACGCAAAATGTTTTTCTGTAATATTTGCAAATTAAGAAAAATAAAATCCAGAGTTTTCCAATTTTGAGTAAACAGATTTATCAAAATACTACTTAAGGAGTTTAGGGAATTTGGGTGAACAACTTGGCCAATAGATTAAATCTAAAACCTGTTATTTTCACCAAAAGGCAACCATTGTGGAGACAAAGAGACAGACAGAGGAAGGGAAACTAGAGGTAGAATTCAGTGCTCCAGACTGAACAAATGGAAGTGGCTCCCAGGGTCAGCTCCCGGGCATTTGTGCAGAGCCTGATGGAGAAGCTGAAGTTCTCCTCAGGGATATGAGGGCCAAAGGTGGGATTTAAGAACAGAATTGTGAGCCAAGGCAGGTGCCGATGGGAGTGTTCTGGTGCCTGCAAAGGATGATTTTTGAATGTAGAACAGACTTTAGCAAGATTTATTTTTGGTTTTAAAAAAGTGATGTCGAATTTCTTAAAATTTTAAAATCCTTGTTCTTTAAGTTTTTTTTTCTTTTTTTAAAATTCAACTTACAATGTCTTTTTCTATTTATAAATCTAGCAGGTCTTAGCTATCAAGTCTAAGGGACCTTTGGAAATGTTTAATCCTGGATTTAGTTATTTAAGTACCTTCAAATACTTTAAACTACATATGTGATATATTTTATTAACTTTCCAAGTTCATTGATTTGTTAGTGAACAAACAGAATGTGACAAACACTTGTCAAACTTGAACATTCAGAAAATAAACATTTAACTTAAATGAACTTCTTTCTTAGGTTTTTTACTAAGGAAGATTTCAATTAAGGATCTAAATCAGTTGTCTCATACTTTTTTCTTTTTTTTTTTTTTTTGAGACAGGGTCTTACATTGTCACCCAGACTGGAGTGTAGTGGTGAGGTCATAGCCCACTGCAGCCATAAATTCCTGGGCTCAAGCAATCCTCCCACTTCAGCTTCTCAAGTAGCTAGGACTATAGGCGTGCACCTCCATACCCAGCTAATATTTGAATTTTTTTGTAGAGACAGGGTTTCCATGTGTTGTCCAGACTTATCTTGAACACCTGACCTCAAGCAATCCTCCTGCCTCGGCCTCCTAAAGGGCTGAGATCACAAGGGTGAGCCACTGAGCTCAGCCTTACACATTTTAAAGTGAAGTTTACAAGAATTATACTCGAATAGGCCAAATTCTCTTAAAAACTACAAACACAAAAGGACTATTAAAATATCTTCAAAGTTTTATTATAATCTTCCTACAAGAGACACAAACTAGAGCTGGCCAATTCAAAAATTCACTCTTGGCAGGGGATCTTCATAAGAGAAAAGAAAAATGAGATATTCATTGTTAGACTTAATGTTTTTAGAAAAATTTAAAAATTAAAAACTCAATGAATGATTATTAGACTTCATGACTTGATGTAAGACATTAAGATTCTAAGGGTAAGGTTCTTCCTAAGACTGTCAACTGATACTGAGTCTTAACCCTGTTAAAATTCATCATAAATATGCTCTAGTATTTTTTTTAACTTGGGAATGCTATTTTTTTCTGAGAAAAGTGAAAATTACAACACACAGAAGTTTCTGTCCAGGACCAGTTTTGTGACCTTTTTTCTCTTTCAGTACCATACTTCTTTACCCAAAAACATTCATACCATAGTTTTGATTATTTTAAACTTTTGATACTGAATTTGGAAACTTCTGGGCTTAAAAATTGCATGCCTAAGGAAGACGTGTAATGTGCTAAGTGATGAAGATTTGAGGCTGTCAGTGTTGGTGACTGTGGTGGAGCACTTTGGCCTCTATGCGTGGAAGCTCAGACAAGGTCTCCATAACATCCACAGTTGGCTGACCATGAAACCCATATCACTGTATCATTGGATTCAAAGACCAAATATGAATCCTCAATGAATTTTCCATTTGCTTAATACACATTGATGAACTCTTACATTTTTCTGTACTTGTGGGATTATACAACTTAAGTTTTGCAATAAAAAGTTTGGTAGGTTAAATGATTTTATTTGGCTTGCAATGATAACTAATAAGGTCTTTCTACTAAAAGCAGGCAGAGTCTGAAATTTTCTGACATTAGTAGTAAGAAAGAGGAAGCAACCATGTTAACTTACACAGGCTCAGGACACAGAAAAACTCTGTCATGTGCAAAAAATGTAAACTACAAGAGCAGGGCAGGGGCAAAGGCTGTCTTCTGGGTTAATCTATTTTAAAGATTTCACAAACTAGAAGCGAAGAGGGATTGAAAATAGAATTGACATCTCCTTTCCCATTGGGAATTTGTAGAATAAATTTGATATCATTATGTTAATTGTGCAAACGTACATATTTTTTCTTTAGTGTAATTTTATTTCAAATTAATCCATTTGTCATATTAAGATTCCTTTTCCTACCAAAAATTATCTTTAAAAAAAATCTAAACTGACAACTCCACATTGCATAACAGTGTCTGGAATCAGTGCAAAATATGCAAAGCCCCCTAACCCTCACTTTGGCAGAAGTGATGCCTCAGATGTAGGCTTAGGTATCACTTTTAGGGAGATGATCTGGCATTTGTTTGAAGGAGGATGTGCAGTGCTCTAGAGTACAGGCTTCAGTGACAGGTAGTATGCTTCACCTTCCTGACTCTGTCGCTTTGTACTTGGACAAGTTATTCACCCTCATCTAGTCTCACTTTTTAAATCTGTAAAACAGGGGAAATAATACCATTAAAGCAACATCCCAGATGTGATTGTGAGCACATGTCAAAGTTTTTTCAAGCTTCTTGGCCAGGGAAAAGCCTTAAAGAAGCCAAGATCAAAATTTCCTCTTGGTGGAGATATTTTGTAGGAGAATAGGAAGGAAAAAAAAGTTTGGTTAAAAATTATTAAGATAGTCTTAAGGCTAGTTTAAGGTTATTGTATTTTAAAATATGATCTGCCTTAGGTTTTTATGGGATCCCCTTGCTCTTGTGTTGGGAATTAACTGAAGGGGTCAAGAACGGAAGCTGGAAGACCAGTTAGCTGAAAATTGTAGTTATTCTGGTGAGAGATGCTTGTGGCTCAGACTAGAGGAGCATCGGGGTGGGGTGATAAGTGGTGAGAGTCAGGACAGCTTCTGAAGGCCCAGCCAGCAGGAATTGCTCACATCTTGGATATAGGCTATGAGAGAAGGAGAGCATCTTCAAGTTTCGGGACCTAGATACTGGTAAGAAGGGTATTGCCATCAACTGTGATAGCGAAAAACACAGGTGAAGCAGGTGGTGGGGGCAGGGTGAGGGAGGAGATCAGAAAGTCAGGTTTGGTTAAAGGTAACAAGGATCAAGGTGAGCTGGATGGGTAAATTGAATTTTTCAGCAGACTTTTTATCTCATGAAAATCTATCAAAATTGTACAAAGATTTTATCAGGAATGCTAGATATTCTCCTGCCTTCCCCCCCGCTCAAAAAAAAAAAAAGCTCTAAGTTGCATCATGCATAAGGGTTCTGCTTCTGATCCAATTAGAGGACAATTATCTTTCTAAGTACTTAAGCAATAAAGTTGTTAGGGCCCAAAAATACAGCTCAATGGACATAAGTAATCAAAAGGAATTGCATTACTGACTTGCATCCCTAAGTGGCCACTAAAGAACGTCCAATTTATGGTCTCTATCTTACTTCTCCACTCAGAGAAACCTGAGTTTCTCTTCCCTCTCTCAATTGCTCCTTGCCTGTGGCTGCACAGAAGAAGGCTCTTTTTCCACTGTTTTCTCACCTCTTAAAAAAAAAACACAAAAGTGAGGCTCCTTTGCCTGCCCTCTTTCCTACTGAGCTCTGATTGTGCTGCTCAAGAGCGTGCAGGTAATAGTAAATGGGTGAAGGCCAGCAAGGCTGTGACAAACTGAAGAGGCTTAGCTAACAGAGGGCTGCACCCCAGAAATGCCTGTCATTCATTCACTCAATCTACAACAATTTATAGAGTGCCTACCTTGCTTCCTACTTTGGGTACGTCAGTGGACCAAACAGACAACAAGCAGCGCTCTTATGGAGCTAACGTTCATTTTCAGAGAAACAGACACTGAATCATAAACTGATGGATAAGCAGAGTATCTAGTGTGTCAGAAGATAATACACACTAAAGACAAATAAAATGGCAGGAAAAGAGATTCCAGGGAAACAATGAGGAAGGTTTGCACATTAAATAACATGATGGTGGCAGGCCCCTTTGAGAAGGTGACACTTGAGCAGGAACATGAGCTGAGACATGGGGCATGTGGACATCTGGGGAAAAATGCTTTGGGTAGAGAGAATTCCAGTGCAAGAACCCTGACAAGGTAGCATTCTTGGTGTGCTTTAGGAACAACAAAGTCAACATGGTTGGAGCAGATGTAGAAAAGGGAAAAGTGTAGGGGTGAGTTGAGAGTGTTAAGGGGAGCAGATCAATAAGAACTGGAAGATCATTTTAAGGATGTTGCTTTTACCCTAGATAAAATAGGGAGCCAGAGGAGACGCGTTTAAAATGATCTGCCTTAGGTTTTTATAGGGTCCCCCTTGCTCTTGTGTTGGGAATTAACTGAAGGGGTCAAGGATGGAAGCTGGGAGACCAGTTAGTTGATAATTGCAGTTATTCTGGTGAGTGATGCTTGCATCTCAGACTAGAGGAACATCAGGGGAGGGGTGATAAGTGGTGAGATTCAGGACAGCTTCTGAAGGCCCAGCCGGCAGGAATTGCTCACATCTTGGATATAAGCTATGAGAGAAGGAGAGGACCTTCAAGTTTAAGAACCTGGGTACTAGTAAGGAGGGTGTTGACATCAACTGTGATAGTGAAGAACACAGGTAAAGCAGGTGGTGGGGGCAGGGTGAAGGAGGAGATTGGAAAGTAATATCTATTAGACACCCACGTGGAGCTGTCCAGCAGACAGCTGCGTAGAGGAGTCTGGAGTTCAGGAGCGAAGACTGAACTCAGATCTAAACGTTGAAGTCACTGGTGTGTAGCCGTGAGATTTGCTTTGACTTTGCTCAGTAATCTTATTTTTGCTTTAAAAGAAGCCAAAAATTCATATTTCTTCTGTGAAACTTTACAAATTAAAAACAAACTGCCAGACTGCATTTCCCTGAACTGTCTTGATTCCTACTGCTTTCATCACACTTTTCCCAGGCCTCATCCACTCCAGCTGGAAACTTCAGCCCGGCCCCAGTTAAAGCTAAGTTACAGAGAAATAACCACTCTGATCTTCCTGAAGGAAAGCTGTGGGGGTCCTTTTGTTCTTCTTAAGGCTGACCTAGAGAGAGCATGTTCTGCTGAAAGTGTGCTTGCCAGGATGAAATTGGACTCCAGTTTACATACTCAGAAATGTCTGTCTCTAGTCTACCTAGTGGCTCAATCTCACAACATCCTACAAAATCTTATCTCTGCTCTGAAGCAGTTTATTTGGCTTTCTCCATTGCTGTGCATTTGCCTTTAAAAAGAAATACTTTGTTTCTTCATATTTCCCATGAACAGCAAAACACAGTACAAAACAACCACCTTGAGGCCCAAACCATGTACCTCTGTAGGATGGACTGTGAGCTTAGGTCCATGGACCACTCTAGATAAACCTTTTCACTTTATCTATTACCTGGATTGTCAATAGCCCCACCTAGCAATGATCCTTCTCTTTTGGAAGAATTTTTTATTTGGATAAACATTATAAAGACTTTTAACCCTCTGACTTTTTTTTTCTCCTTTCATTCCTATCTCTTTTCTTTCTTTCAATCCTTTATCTCATTTCCCTTAAGACAATGCACATTCTGCTTTTATACAGAGGCTAACAGCTTCCAATGTGTCTGCCACACTATCTAAGTTTTTCCTGGGACACATCACCAGGGCTTTGGGGAGTAAGAGGAAAGCCATTGTGTCCATGCTGAAAGCTTTCTTTGTTAAACATTGTGCACCAAAGGAGGTCACATCCATCCAGATGCAGTTATAGATGCAATATCGTTAGGATTTTAGAAGACAGATGTTCAATGTGTTTATCTCCTAGCAATTTGGATTAAGAGCCTTACACCTAAAAGAGTGAGTGCCCTCACGCTTAATTCACTCTTTCCACTTCCCAGTTCTATGATGGGTCTTTTTCTGGGTTAATGTCTTCGATGCTCAGTTTATGCCACGTAGACAGAGAAAGAAACAAAAGCCCAGTTAAAATGAGCTGATTAAAGAATGTGGAAATTATACTCATGAAACTGCCCCTTTTAAATAAGAAAATTGGTGTCATGTGTCTTTTATCTCAAGCGTCTTCTTTACAGATGAGTTTTTCTAATCACAGTGTGCATTGAACCAAAATGAACCAAGCTTGAAGGCAGCTCTACTAGTGCTCATTTATTATTATTTTTTCTTTCTCATTCTGGGAAAACTAGATTTTTCCTTGCTCAAGTACTCTTTTACCCTTCCAGGAATGCATCATTGGCTTTTCTGAGTGACCATAGACAAATGAGTTTCTAGTAAGTTAATAAAGATGTAGTTTCTACATTTTTATGGTAAATTGAGTTTATCATTGTAAAACAAGGTCTGTGTGAGGCATATTAAATATGTGTTCTAAGTGCCCAGATATTTCTTAGAGCTTTCCCCTAAACCCTTCTCCCAACATGCCGAAGTAGATTTTGTAATCTTTTGTTTTAAAAACATTTAAAGTGGGGCAGGTGCCATGTGGCTCATGCCTCTAATCCCAGCACTTTGAGAGGCCGAGGCAGGTGGATCACCTGAGGTCAGGAGTTCCAGACCAGACTGGCCAACCCGTAGTAGAGATGGATAAACCTCATCTCTACTAAAAATACAAAAATTAGCTGGGCATGGTGGCAGGCTCCTGTAATCCCAGCTACTCGGGAGGCTGAGGCAGGAGAATCGCTGGAACCCAGGAGGTGGAGGTTGCAGTGGGCTGAGATCTTGCCACTGCACTCCAGCCTGGGTGACAGAGCAAGACTCCATTTCAAAAAAAAAAAAAAAAAACTAAAGTGCAGAAAACGTTTCTTTTTCTTTTTGTAATTACAGGATTCTTCTTTCTTACCCAAAGTTAAAATTCTGTTAGTTGAATGTAAGAGAATCCCAGCTCGGACTATCCTAATTGCATTGGGGATTTTTCTGGAAAAGGGTTAGGCTACTTCACAGCATCTAATATATATGAAAATAGCCAGCTCTTAGGAAGTTCACGGGTGCAATGAAGTCTCAAGGACAGCAGGGACCGACCACACAGTGTTGGCATCCCCCTTTTTTGCTGCTTGCTGCATGTCAGCATATTTTTTGTTTATTCTGTCTCTCTTTCACTGCAGACAAATTTTCTTGTGTCTCAAAACTTGACCACTGAGAATGTCTGGGTTTTTTATTTTATAGTTTCAGCCACCAAAAAAAGTCAACCCTGAACTTTCTTGGGGCCCAAAACAACAAAAAAAAAAACTACAGAATAAGCACCTATTGAGTGTGCTTTGCTCAGTTTTTCTTTCTTAAGGCAATTTCTTGTTTTGTTGGGGGAGGGCAGCAATAATACTATCATTTGCTCATATGGAAATCTCTGTTTGTGTTTACGTGTGTGCTGTGGGGAGGGGATGGGCTGGGGCAAAAGGAGGTGTGGAAAGGTCATGGAAAAACTGGGCAGCTTCAGAAGAGAAAATTATGGCACAAGGTAAACTGCAGAAGAAGCAGTATTTCAGAAGCAGGGAGATGCTGGGATGTGAAAGGAAACAGCGTGTGGGGACAGGGGGCATTCAAAACAGTGCTAGCCCCCCAGGATCTCCTGAGGACATGCCTGGAGAAAGAAATCCTTACTGGGATGAGGACATCAAGGCTCTAAGTTTTTGGAACTTCCCTCCCAGCACAGGCATAGAGCAGGACAGGATCTCTGAGTTACCCAAGAGAAAAGCCTGTGGCCTCTGCTGTCCACCAAGACCAGG
The DNA here is from genome assembly GCF_000001405.40 of Homo sapiens. NCBI lineage: Eukaryota > Metazoa > Chordata > Mammalia > Primates > Hominidae > Homo > Homo sapiens. The sequence goes on from NC_000002.12 coordinate 124,561,475, forward strand.
AGAGTGGGTGGGAATAAAAAGGAAAGGTAGAATTTGAACAGAGAGAGGACCACTTTTTTGTTTGTTTGTTTGTTTGGTTGTTTTGTGTGAATACATCCCGTAACAAAACTATGGGTCCTTTATTTAAATCTTTCCTGTACTTTAGGCTATCGTTGAATACCATAAAGTTATCAACAAGCTTTTCCCAAACATAAGCCCTGTCAGCACAATTGTATATTTGCTGTGCTGAGCAGAAAATTTCTAATATGTCTGAACATATGCAGGAATATTAGTTTCTGGGATTTGAAACAATCATTGCTGGAGGCTTTCCTACTTATATAGGGCAGTCAGAGTAAATCATCTTACTTTTGCTTGCCTCAGATTCTTAGTGGCTTCACAATGAACCCATTTGTTGTATTATATACCACTTCTGTAACTTCATTGCTTGCACCCTCTCTCTTTTTAAATTCGCGGAATTTATTTTCCTGTACTCTCTCAGGCCCTATAAAGATTGTTTTCAAAAATTATGGTATGTATCATTGTTTTTACTCTTAATTTCATTCACTGCATTTACTGAGCACCAACCAGGTTATCTCTTAATGGTGGCAGTATAAGAGGTGCAAAGAATAACCCAAAGGCACCATGTAGTAAAGGGGATTTGAACTCAGATACATGTCTCCCTAAAGTCTGTGATTTCTGTCTGGAAGAAAAAAATGTTACCTCCACTCCCATTAGCCCAAGTCTAAAGATTTTTCCTTTCAACTATTTTTGAAGTTTATAAAGCCTGTGTTTTATTTTGTGGTGTTCATGCTTCGTATCTTAAACTTTTACTTAATCTATTATAATCATGTTTGTCCTGTTATAATCATGTTTGTTATAATCATGTTTGTTCTGTTATAATCATGTTTGTCCACATCATTTGTTGGAGTTTTATGATAGTCCATTAATTTTATGTACTACAGATTTCCTAAGTAATTTTCTAATGTTGGACACTTATGTTGATTCACCATTATGAATGGCATCATTGTGAATAACACTAATTAGCATATATATTTTTCATATTTTGAACAATAGCCTTAAGACAAGGTCATCTCAGTGTGATTGCTGATTCTAATTATATAAATATTTTATGGAGTTTTTAATGTGTGTGGTAAAAATATTTTTCAGAATAGCCATGTTATTTTGACCTTAAGTAGTGAAGCCTTTGTTTTAAGGATAGCATTTACACTTTTACAAATGATAAAATACCCTTGCATTTTAGATGAACAAATATCATCTTTTCTAACTTCGTGTTGTCTTTGTGCAGTTTAAAATAGATACCTGGTCATTCCCCAAAAGAGAAGCATGAGGACAATGACCTCAATTATCTGCCTCTCCTTTAAAAATACAAAACCATTAAAAAATGTAAAATGATTATCTTTATACATTTTATTTTTTAGTAAGTGAAAAACCTTACAAATTCTGACCACTTCAAATTAACTTTAAGTCAACATGAATTTGCCTCAATATTAACATCCTTAACTTAAGTACTTACATCAGCTTTGCGACTTTCATTGCGCAGTAATGCAAGGTGATTCTACCTTTTGTGCTAAAACTGTAATATTCATACTATTTTGATGTCATTCAATCTGCCTTAGGTATGGGAGTATAGCAAATCAATATCTACTATTAATTGAGGCAGTTGGATATGAGACATTTTTGCTTTCCCCTTTCTGCCAAATGATTTGGTTTATTTTCTTTTCATTTATGTTTTCTTCCATTAGGTGTTTGCCAAACTACTGTGAACATGGAGGAAGCTGCTCCCAGTCCTGGACTACCTTCTATTGTAACTGCAGTGACACAAGTTACACTGGTGCCACCTGCCACAACTGTGAGTAGATTGATCATTTGCCCCTGGTGGCTTGGACAAAACTCCAGGAACACCATTGTTAACTTCAGGATGTATTTAGCATGGGGCAGGCATGTTTTATTCACTCATTCAGCATGTGTGTTTTAAGAGGTTATTATATACCAAACACTTTGTTGGGCTCAGAGGATGCATGGATACAAGCCATATTCTTGTGGAGTTTATGGTCTACCAGCAAGACAGGCAGGAAATGAGATCATGACAGTACAGTTGAATAAGTTTAAGGTGGAAGCAAAGGAAGGTGCTGTAGGCACACAAGAGGGAGCTGTTAAGTCAATTGCATAGTCTTGATGAGTTGTTAGGTGGCTATAATAAACAAACTAACATCTCTGTGGTCTAAGTAACAAGGTCCATGCTATACCTGTGTCACATACCCATCATGCATGACAAAGGCCCTTCTTCCACCTTGTCCTTGTTCTTAGATGGTAACAAAATTCTATTATCTGGAAGATTGCTGTAGTAAGAGGAAACACAGGGAGGGAAGCACAGGGAAACATGGGCTAGCTTTTCAAAGCTTCTACTTGGAAGTAGCAAACATTACTTCCACTCACATTCCACTGGCCAAATAAAGCCACGTGGGCACACCCAACCTCAATAGGGGCTGAAGTGCAATCTTGCCGTGGAATGGGAGAAAACAGAACCTGAATATTGGTGAAAAGTGCTAATGACTGCCTGTCAACCGCAGTGTTAGGGAGACTTCAAATAGAAGAACTGAGCTGATCTTGTTGTAGAAATATGGGAGGAAACAAAAACAAGAAAGAAACAAAAAGGATACTCAGAAGCAAAGAAACAAATGGAGACATAAAGCACAGGGGTCCTCTGCTCTGTGGAAAATTGGAATTTTCAAATAGTTTCAGATGGCTGGAGGGTGCTGAAGGTGAGGAGGAGTGATAAGAGGGGAGACAGAGATAGGCTAGGGTGTACACAAGATAAGGAGTGAGGGATAGAAAACAAATAAAGAATATGAGCCTTGATTTTTTATTTGTTTATTTATTTATTTATTTATTTTTTGAGAGAGAGAGTTTTGCTCTTGTTGCCCAGGCTGGAGTCCAGTGGCACGATCTTGGCTCACTGGAACCTCCGCCTCCTGGTTTCAAGTGATTCTCCTGCCTCAGCCTCCTGAATATCTGGGATTACAGGTGCACACCACCACACCGGGCTAAATTTTGTATTTTTGGTGGAGATGGGGTTTCACCGTGTTGGCCAGGCTGGCCTCGAACTCCTGACCTCGTGTTCCGCCTGCCTCAGCCTCCCAAAGCACTGGGATTACAGGCCTGAGCCACTGTGCCCAGCCCAGCCCTGATTTTTATAATTGTATAGTCTTATTGAGACCACGGGTAGGGGGAAACACATGAAAAAGTATAGAAAGTTTGCCAGTCAGAGAAATGTATGCCCAACTACGGACTATAAGTGTGATTGAGAAAGATAATTCTGAAATCACTGTCTGGAATTGCAGAGCATTTCATGAAAAATTAGAAATTTGAAATTGGCTTAGAAGGTAGAAGGGTAAGATAAACATTTTCTAGACGTAAGAGTGCAGCCAACGCCTGGAGCTCTTCTGAGGACTCCAGTGAGAACTATCGCTCAGGGACAGTTCTCTCCGGTTTTTCTTAAGTGCCTGCTGTTTTTGGGCTGGCACTTGGGGATGCAGAAAGAGCATGGTAGATGCCAATAGGGCTGGAACCCTGGGATTCCAGCCAAGGATAAGTAACGTTGATATTCTCATCTTTAAAGACCTCTCAGCCATTCCTTAGCCTCTTCCATTCCTTCAAAGCAGGATTCACTGATGATGTCCATAGGGAAGTCTGATCAATTTAGAGAAGAACTAGTCCACTAGTCCACTGGTCATCAGGGAGTGATGTGGTTATTGCTGTTAGTTGCCTGCAGAAACAAAAAAAATATTGTTTGGCTTTATAAAAATATATCTCATTAAAACTTTTCTACTGATAAATTTAGAAATCAAAGTAACTAGAAGAGTATCATTGGATTGTTCATACCACAAAGGATAAATGCTTGAGGGGATGAATACCCAATTTTCTATGAAGTGATTATTATGCATTGTATGCCGGTACCAAAATATCTCGTGTACCCCATAAACATATACACCTACTATGACCCACAAAAATTAAAAATAAAAATACAATTAAAAAGAAATTTAGAACAGTGAAAAGAACAATAGAATAACAGAGATTGAATTTAAATTTTACCTAGATCCTTTTTTTTTTTTTTTTTTTTTTTTTTTTTTTTTTTTTTTTTTTGAGATGGAGTCTTGCTCTGTCACCCAGGCTGGAGTGCAGTGGCGCGATCTCGGCTCACTGCAACCTCCGCCTCCCAGGTTCACGCCATTCTCCTGCCTCAGCCTCCCGAGTAGCTGGGACTACAGGTGCCCACCACCACGCCCAGCTAATTTTTTATATTTTTAGTAGAGACGGGGTTTCACCGTGTTAGCCAGAATGGTCTTGATCTCCTGAACTCGTGATCCTCCCGCCTTGGCCTCCCAAAGCGCTGGGATTACAGGCGTGAGCCACCACGCCCGGCCTTTACCTAGTTCTTCTATGTGAATACGTATAAGATTTTATCAATTGAGGGATCCTTTTTTTTTTTTTGCAGATCCTAGGAAGAAAAACTAATGAACTCTTGTGGGTCCATCTAAGGCTAAAATTATGTGTTTTTATCTAAGAGTCCCAGTAAACACCAATCTCTAGGTTTTAAGTCTGGTTCCAAAAATATTATCACCAAATAGCCAAGAACACCATATACCTATAGAGAAATGTTGCAGGACCCCCATAAGGCTGTCCAGATTGTAACGTCAGTGCTGCTGTAAGAAGTCAGAGACAACTGAAATGGCCATCAATTTAATAGCAAGACAAGGGAAACATGAAGATTTAAGTCAAAACAACCCGAATTTCAGCCAAATCACATTACAACATTCCCGTGACTGTTAAAGCTTATTCCGCTCACTTTCTCCAAAAGTAATTTAACAATTTTTTGAGGAGTTCATCTCTATGGATACTGTTCTCCTTTAATTTACTTCATCCATCAGGCTAAAAATAGAAGATGTCGAGCTTTAAAAAAAAGTGTGAAGTTGAAAATCAATGGAGGTGAGGTGCTGATTTTTAAAGGAACACTGTCAAGCCTGATGAGCAGGAGACTCAACACACAAAAACCTTAAAAATATCATTTTTTAACACCTTCCTATTTCCTTTTCTGTGAAATTGCTCAATGCCTACACTGTAGGCTGCAACTTTGTGAAACTCTATCTTTGCTTCTGGGCACTCAGCCAGGACAAATCAAAATCCCTTGAATATTTGTGACATTTGGCAAGCACACCTTGGTTCCCTGTGCAATTCAAATATTTGTCCTCCCTCTAACTAATTTCCCCCTCCCCCAGTTGAATGAGGACCATTGTTTTTAGTCATTTTGCAAACCAAGTGATTTCATCAGCAAGCTTGTGCCTCACTCTCAGCAAGCATGGGTCCCACTCACAGGCCAGGTGAGAGCTTCTGCAGTGCAGAAGATGGCACACAGGGCACCCTTTGGCAAAAACAAAAACAAATAGGCCTGAAATTCTGCACTTGTGGAAATGACAGAATCCTTGCTGTGTTTGAGGGATGTTTTACTGAAGGAATTGACCACAGTCGAAACAAGAAATACAAACTCTTTGGATTAATAAATTATTTATAATAATTTCTTGAGTATTCTCTTAGTTTTGTCAAGCTCTTCGAAAACAGTCTTTTCCCCCTCATTGTTGGTGCTTTCTAGTAAATGTGAAGCAAGAGGACAGACTTAGGACAGATAGGATTAACTTTTTTTGTCCAGCCTTTGTGGATAAGAGAGGTCCTGGGTGAGGCGGGCACAATGGACTCTCTAAAAAATAACAGAATGGAAATTCCCAAAGCGTGTAGACACAGCATGCTGCTGTCGAAAGTAGAGATATCTTCAGTCCGTCTTAATTTTCTTATCCTTACCTGATGATACTTAAGGGACTTGGATATGCTAATTTGGTCACTTTTCAAACATACATCATTCAAAACTACCTTTTTAAGAAAAACATGATGAATGTGTGGGCAATTTCTGTCCAATCTGTGGCAGCTTTCCCATATGAAGAGGAAACCTACCTCATAAAGTGCCATTGGAGACTATTATATGATGTTTGTAAGTTGTTATGGTTAGAAAATTTCTCCCAAAGTGGTATCCTATTCTCCACAGGAGTAACCGAATAAAAACAGTGTTTGCACTCCACCAGATCAATCCCTGGCAACCCAACCAATGTTCAATGCCTTCCGACTCCCAGAGACAGATACCATGGTTATTAGTGGAATATAACGTGCAAGTTCAGAAGCCTGTATAATCAAAACCAAGCTTCTAAGTACTCAGGGTATATTTTGGTCATGGTATGTCATATCTACTTTATTACAAATCCAAATTAAGATTAAAAGGAGCAGGTTTTTGATTGTGGGATATTAGGGCATAGATGATAGATAGATAGATAGATAGATAGATAGATAGATAGATAGATAGATATAGATAGATAGATACCATTACAACATATCAATAAAGGGATATGCATAGTGTTATTATTTCCATTTTACAGATGAGAACATTGAGGCCCAGAAAGCTTATGTAAATTCCACAAGGTCTCATATCTAGTAAATGGTAGAAGTTGGGCTTTAAGCCAAGAGAATCTGCGTGTTGATGCCAGATGCTAAATCCTGCATCTTATTTCTTCCTTCAAACAAGCAAGGCATTTGCAAACCTCTGTATTACAAACTTGGTGATGGGACATTCATGACCTCTTTTATATTGCTTAAGACGCAGTAGAATAGTGTGAGATCATAATTGAAAATACAGTTCTAGAAGACTGAGAGATGAGAAAGTTTTTGTGTTCTAGAATAATCATGAAAGCATTATGGAAGGAAGTAGAATGACTTGGAGGACATCTAAAATTGAAGTAGACAAAAGGAAAAGGGAGGTCTGTCGAAAACAGACTGTCAAGGGCTAAGACATGATAGTAGACATACATGTGCTGTATTCTGGGACAATGCAGAACTTGCCTGGCTCAAAAAAAGAAAACATGAATTGCACTAGTCATTCATTCCTGAAGGCCAAATGAGATTCCTATAAAGCACTTTCCCCTAGAGAATACTGAAGCACACTTACTATTATAACCAGAGCTTTTCACATGCTACTGCAACACCTCTAAATATTATTTTAATAACTCCAAATTATTTTAATAACACCAAAATAAGTAGCCCAAGACGTTTTTGTTTCTATATTCAACCATCTTAATATTTTTCTTTGTCTTTCTTATTCTGGTGAGAGAGGCAGAGGATCTGTTTTGTTTCCAAATATTTATTATTGTAGCCAGCACTATGTTAAGCATCTTTGTATTTAAGTATTTTCTGGCCGGGCGCGGTGGCTCACGCCTGTAATCCCAGCCCTTTGGGAGGCCGAGGCGGGCAGATCATGAGGTCAGGAGATCGAGACTATCCTGGCTAACACGGTGAAACCCCGTCTCTACTAAAAAAAATACAAAAAATTACCCTGGCGTGGCGGCGGACGCCTGTAGTCCCAGCTAATCGGGAGGCTGAGGCAGAAGAATGGCATGAGCCTGGGAGGCGGAGCTTGCAGTGAGCCAAGATCGCGCCACTGCACTCCAGCCTGGGCGACAGAGCGAGACTCTGTCTCAAAAGAAAAAAATATATATATATATCTTTTTTCTAATACCACAAGTTCTATGGTTTACTTAAACAAACCTCAGAAACTGCTTTATTGAGTAAAAAGTTCTGAATGGTTTTAAGAATCTTGATTCATATTTCCAACTTGTTTTCCTAAACTCTTATTACGGTTTACACTCTGATCACTACTTTCTGAGATCTTGTTTTACCTTCTCTGACATTATTGTTTACTACAACTTGTAAAACGTTTTTACATGTATTTTTACTAACACAGTGGCATATTAAAATAGAGATTATTATTGACCCTCATTGTGAATTCCAGATTAAAAAAAGAGATTTTTTTCAGATGACTTGTATTATAGGAATAAGATTGCTTCCACAATCTTTTTTCAGATGACTTGTATTATAGGAATAAGATTGCTTCCACAGAATTTTCTTTTTTCATTCAACAAGTACTTTTTGAAAGTACATCTGATTCATTAAACTGTGAATTTAGTGATTACTGTCACATTGAACAGATCCAGTAAGTGATACAAGCACTTGTCCTTGATCTTCTCGATGTTTATGTCTGATGACACTCACATGTGCCCTGTTCAGGATCTTTTCACCATTTCTCAGCCTTTGCCAATCCCTTTTCAACAGTGTAGGCTCTCTGACATCCTAACAATGCCCTTTAGCTCATTTTTCAGCTTTGCAGAAGGATGTCAGCTTTCTTCCTCTTCCAAGCCTGATGTAGTGCTTCTTCTATGGAGAAGTCAATAGCCATGTATTAATTTGAAGCATATCAAGTCATCTGGCTATCAGATGTTATAGTAATCATTGCAGAGGGACAACACTTGCTTTAACAGTAGGTAAATGGTCCTTTGACTGCATGTAGTTATGTTAACTAACTACTGAGACTATAAACCTATTTAGGTGAGAAAACATGCCTTACTCACACTTGTACCAGTCACATTCAAGGCTTTGGTGGCATATAGGCTATTATAGAAATGGTGAGACAGAAGATTAAGCAGAAAAAGATAATACAGTGTGCTCTTAGTGGAAATTCCATAAGAACGGGATGATATCTGAATCTTCCCAGGGTCTCCAGCCTCTGATCTAATCCCTGACACATAGTAGATATCCACTCTTTGATGTATACCAAAAACAAATAAATGAATTTATGAGGCATGTGCACATAACAATGTCAAGTTACTGTAGCAAGAGCATTGTTACTTTCTTGAGAAAGTGAGAAAGTGCTCAAAATAATTGACCTTTTAGCAGAGATTTGAGGGATGAGAAAGAGGAAGAGCACCGACAACGGCCTTGCAGGAAGAGTGAGCTCCATGAGCAAAGGCAAAGTGACACGAATGTCAAACAACAAAGTGGGGGCTATGGGACACCTGGCATAGCTAGAATTGAAGATGAAATGGGGGAGGCAGGAAGGAGATGCAGGAAATGCAGCCAGGGTAGAAAAGGCAGACAATGAATTGAGAAGGAACTTACTTCTCTGCTGGCCAACTAAGAGCCAGCCACAGTTTGTTGGGGATCGGGTTGCTAATATTTGTTTGTTGTTTGCTTTGTTCATCAGTTTCTTTTTTTTAATGTAATGGTGATGGTGCTTTGGAGCATATACTGAAGATGGAAGGTGTGGGTACTAGGGACAGATACTGGATGCAATTTGCAATTTTGTGGGCAGCAAATAATGAGAACCAGCACAAGCTAGAAAGCAGGGACCTGATATGAAAGGCATATCTAAAATTGGATCAAGTATACTTAAAGAAAAATTGAACACAGTAGAGAGAAGGATGACTTTTAGCTTTTTAACTTGGAAGACCTCATGGATGGAGAATGGAGTGACTAAGTCCTGAGGTCTGTCTCACTCTGACAGCCTAGTGTCAAATGCAGGCTCTACAAGTTACAAGATATATGACCTAGGGAAAGAAGCCATGTGAGCTCCATGTGCTTTAACTTCCTCACCTGTCATATGGGGCTAATGATAGCAATCATTTCAAAGAAGTATTATGAGGACTGAGTAAAACAATCTTATTTAGCATGGTTCCTGACAAATACAAATTTCCTGTTCCATGTTAGCTGCTGTTTAAATAGACAGAGGATGTGTAGAAAGAGGAGGAGATTTAGTAGTTGGACTTCAGTCTAGTTTGGGGCACAGTATTTGCCTGGAAAGTTTCCCACTGTGCAGAATTAGCTGGAAAACTCTGGAGGGAGGTCCATAGGGAATATCAGAATCAGTGGGTGTATAGTTGCTGAAGCCTTTTGAGTAGATGAAGTCAATCAGGTGTGGTAGGCCAAGTGTGGGACCTTGAAAGTAAAATATTTTAAGAGACTCAAGAAGAGATACAATCAAGAAGGAATGATAGCCAAAACATATAAATAAAGTACTACGGAAAGTGTAACCTAGGAGTCAGAAGAGGGATGTTTCAGGAATAGACTATTCACAGAGATGTCTAGGTACATGGTATCCCACTGAGTACTTTTTTTTCTTTTTTCTTTTTTTTTTTTTTTTTTTTTGAGACAGAGTCTCACTCTGTCACCCACAGGCTAGAGTGCAGTGGTGCGATCTTGGCTCACTGCAACCTCCGCTTCCCAGGTTCAAGCGATTCTCCTACCTCAGCCTCCCGAGTAGCTAGGATTACAGGCACAGGCCACCACACAAGCTAATTTTTGTATTTTTAGTAGAAATGGGGTTTCACCATGTAGATCAGGCTGGTCTCGAACTCCTGACTTCAGGTGATCCACCCATCTCAGCCTCCCAAAGTGCTGGGATTACAGGCCGAATACTCTTTCATCATAATGATTGGTAATTGTTAAACGACTGGATAGATGTTTAGGGAGAAGATGGAAAAAAAGCACAATAAGGGGGAAAAATGAAATAAGCAAACCAATAAAATTCAACCTGAGGAAGCTAATTCAAAAAAAGAAAGAAAGAAATCAGTAATTTTCTGTCGGCAGCCTAAGACTGTGGCAGTATTGGAATGCACTGGAATTTGCTGATCCAAGAGAATTTGTTTGTTGATGAGTATCCCAGATTTTGTCAGGATCTAGGTGATTCAAAAGCATTCACTGCTGTTGAGAGGATTTCATTCTCCTTCAGGAGAAAAAACTCCAACCTCCTTGAATCCGTTAATGAACAGTGAATGCACTGTGCAATTGAGTGCACAGGACTGCCTGTAAGGGGGAATGCTTCTTCTGGGAGGGAGAGATCTGAGCAGGCTGAACTGGATGTGAGAAAGTCTTCTTAAAAGGAAACAGCAGATACTGGGGTCTACCTGAGGGTGGTGGGGTGGGAGGAGTGAGAGAAGCAGAAAAGATGAGTATTGGTTACTGGGCTTAATACCTGAGTGATGAAATAATCTATACAACAAACCCCCATGACACGTGTTTACCTATGGAACAAACCTGCATGTGTACCCCCAAACCGAAAATAAAATTTAAAAAGGAAGAAAGTCTTCTTAAAGAAGAGATTGGACCTGGGCATAAAGGCTGGACTTGGGGAGTCAGATAGGTGTCAGGAGGATGTTTTTCAAGGGTGGATATTAAAATAAGAACCAAAAATAAGGATGAGCACAGGGGATGTTTGGGGTTCACCCAGTGCTCTAGCCTAAGGGGAAAGGAATGGACATTTGTTGAGCCCTATGTAAGTGCCGTATGCTTTACTCAGTGGTGAATACATGTCATCTCACATTCTCAGCTCTAGCCCTGTTAGACTCCGGCGGCTCTTCAAACAACTAGACCTTCAGATTTGCACATCTCTTGGCCACAAAGACTTCTTACCACTGTCTTTTCCTGAAGAAAATCTGTCAACTGATGCAAGAAATCTGAGCGGACCTTTTGCAGCTATTACTTCTTTTTGCTCCTTTAGCATTCTCTCACATAGCACTTATTCTACCGTATAAAAATTGTCTGCTTCTTGTTTTTCCTTGCAAACTGCCACTTTTCTATGCATTTCTCCTTGCATATTTGGCACCTAGTTACACATAGTAGACAATCACTGAATGTAAACATTCTTTTATGGCCAAAATGCTTAAAGCCACAGAACCGGTGGAGTTTGACCTTAGTTCTAGATGGCTTGAAAACACTTTCTCTTCACATTACAACATCTTAAGTGCATTGAAGAGCACTCTTAAATATTTTATGGAACACAGAAGGATTTAAAAGCAAAACTAATCCAAAGACTTCTTATCAGAGAAAGGAAGGAATGCAGGGTGTATATTCACCTTGGATTGATTTTCTTCCTTTTGAATACATCTCAGTGATTTGAGAGTTTCCCTCAGTCATATCCTACATGTCAATTGGTTCCATTTCTTCTTTCCTTCCTCTTTATCTATGTCTTTCTCTCCATCTTCCTCCAACCCCTTGTTAATTGAGGATACAGTAAAGCCAACTTCAAATATTTACACTGGGTTGATAAAGAGCAAGAAATGTAATCACAAGTTTTAGCTTTGTTCCAAACCCCTACAAGCAACAAAAGATTCCAAAATGTAAGTGAAGATAATTAACTGAATATAATTTAATTGCTGATGTTGCTTCCATTGGAGAATCATTGATATTTACTTTGAATACCAAGCAAGAAAAATTAGCACCTATTTTTAATGTATTTCAATCAACAGAAGATTAATTGCCAGAAAAATACAAAGCTCTAGTATGTCCCATGAGTAAGAAGTTATCTGGAATATACATACATAAAAAATTCAATATATGAAGACACAGTTTTCATTTGTGCCTCCACTTTGAATCCAGACAGATGGAGGTTATCAATAGCTCTCTGGTATCAGACAAATTATTTAACTTCTTTCAGCCTTGGTTGTTTTTGGTCTCTAAAATAACAGTAACTCCTTTACACAATTGTTATGTGGATTAAAGGCAAGAAACAGACAACATCTAGCACAATATTTGAAATTTGGCATTTCCAGGTTAAATGGTATCTATTACATATATATAAAGTTATTGCCATAAAAGTTTAGAAATACTTTTTCATATAAGAGACATCCTTTCTATGCTGCTAGGTCATATGGCTGTTTTCTACTATGGATTTCTACTATACATTTTTTATACTATAGACTACCAAATAGAGGTTAGGTTTTGGCATAGGTGTTGCCATCAGTAGAAAAACCAAGAGGCAAAACGTCACCAGTAGAACCCCGGTGGCAGGTTGCGGGGGGGACGGGGGATACTCCTGCATGAGTCAGATCCTCTCTGCCACAAATGACCTTAGGCAAGTCACTTACTTTTTGTGATCCATGATTCCTCATGAATACTGTGTGGATTATACGTGGATTATACATGGTCACTAAGGAAAACTGTTTTGATTTGCTCTAGCAGCATGACTCAGAATAAGAATGTGATATAATCTCACTCAATAGTTTCTATTTCTTATCTTAGCCATTTTATAATATTCTAGCCTAAAATAACAATTACATAAACCACATAGTCCACATCTTGTCTATAGAAAGCACTAAGTATTAATTTACACTGTTACCTCAAATAGGCTTTTAAAATAAAACAGGTTAAAACATGAGGAATGTTCTGCAAGCATCACAGCTCTTTCAGCTTCCCCTTGAAGTATTTGGTATAGTTTAATTACTTGGGTTTTCATTTGGAATGAGTCAACTCAAACAGTAATAAGAGTAGTGAGCAATAATAAAACGAAGGCATCATGTGATTGTTCAGTATAATTTATCAGTATTTTTTAAAACTATGACTGACTTGACTAAGTTGTCATGAAATGAAGGAATTTCCAGTGTGTTCATTCCGATTCATGCAAATATATTTTGACTATGTAATTCAGAGACAAAAGTCAGAATACATTTCCCTAGTCATTAAAATTCTATAACACAATAACACTGTGACTTATGTATAGCAAGTTATTTCAGCAATGTGAGCCTCATTTGTGCCATATTCAAGGGAAAATAATAGAATCTGCCCCTCAGTGCTGTTGGGATAAATTCATGAATCAATGGGCGTGAAATCTCTCTGACAAGTATGATCATAACCCTTTCTTATAGATTTCTTCTCATGTATTTACATCATTTTTTTCCCACTGCAACCTTGATGAGGGACGAGGCAAGTACGCTTTAATGTACAGAGGAAAGTCATGAGATGTACAATGGTTTAATATGGAGAGCCCAAGGACATTCAGGTACAACAGCCCAGCAGGACACAAGCCTGAATATTGTGACTCTTTCCAAGATTCTTCAGATATATCATGCTCTAGACAAGGTCAGTTGTTAGGGAAAATCCAGGGTTCTTTTAAAATATAGTTTCTGTTGTTTCCTAAAAGTGACTTTGATTATATCATTGCCCAACTTCAAATTCTTTAGTGGCTCTCTATAATCTTATTGAAGAAAACCCTTTACTATTTGATCTCAGTAAGTGAGGCCTTTCATTATTTGGAACGCTCTTGGGTCACAAACCATTTTCAGTCATGGCCCTGTATGTGTCCACTTTATAGCAGTTGTGATCCACTATTCATTCCCTGAGCATGTTCCGTTTTTCTTATCTTTCCAGTATTTTGGCCTTGAAGTTATTTCTCCTGGAATGTTCTTCCTGACTTGTTTTCCAAATAATTGTCTATTCTCTATTCTACTCTATGCTCTGCTCTAGTATCACCTCCACGTATACAGGTGGCTGCAATAATTGACTTTTGATCTTTCTCTGGCATTAGGTTGAGCTCCTTGAGGTCATGCACTTTGGCTTTTCTTGTTTTTTGAATGTGTTCCCAACTCCTAAACCAGGTCTGGAATATTACTCTTGCAAAATAGGTATTGAGAGAATGGAGTTCTAATTTTCAAATTGTTGGCACTACCTTGAAATATACTTATATCCATTCCTTATTGAGGGAAGGTGAAAGATAGCAAATCAGATAACAGGCCACAACCTCCGTTAGGCTTTCCCTTTTAGCAATCAGGTAGGAAAACTTCCCATTTTTAATTTGATGGAAGAATTGAGGATCCTGCTTTTTATTTAAAGAGTATTTCTTAAAGATCCTCACACTACGTCCCCATTTGCTCTCAAACTAGCTTGTAAATGATTCTTCACTTGGCATAGCTGTAGTTCCAGATTTTAAGATATTAGCATAAATAGGATTTTTGGATGGCTGTATATATCTATATCTATATCTATATCTATATCTATATATATGTGCAGAAAACATGAAAAGGAGATAAAATTTTCCATTGTCATAGCGGGACATGCAACTGAGTTTATTAGTCTGTTAACGGAGGAGTTGTCAAAGTCAGTTTTCAGTGGCACAGATTTCCTGCTGGCAGCTAATGTGATGATGAAGACCCTGGCAATCATTCCCTTGTTCCTGTCTGCTTGATTTTGCTGTCGTGATGCCTGGAAGAGGGAGCTAATATTTCTGTCTGCTAACATTTTATTTCATTACTGCATGTTTACTAAATGGGCATTCAATGGAATAACTGTTACATAACATATGCAGATTAGGGATACCTGCAGCTCACAGGCCATCAGAGGAGAAGCTGGGCTCTCTGGCTTCTACTTTAACAGAAGTCTTCCATCTAATGACATCACTGGGGGAATAGTCAAAACTACAGAAAACAAACCCGTTCTGTATTTGGTTTTGTGTTTAATGGCAATGCAGTATGAAAAAGGAATTGTTTTTGAAGATTAGGCTGCCCTGGGTTAAATTCCAGGCTCTAACAATTACTAATTGAGTGACCTGTGGGAAATTATTCACCTTCTCAGAACGTTAGTTCTCTCATCTCTAAATATAGGGATAGTGATATCTATGTCTTAAAATTTTTTAATAAATAAGAGATTATGCTTAGAGTGGTGGATGCAGTGCCTATATAGGAAGTGCCTGATTAAGTTTACTTATTTTACTTCGTCAGTCCTCTACACTTCTACATTTTCTGGCCATCTGTGCGTAGCTTTTGGACTAGTAGCAAGTTCTGATTTCTATGTTTGGAAGGGACTTTTAAGTGCAAGTATGTTTTCTTGCAGACTTCTTCAAATCGATGCTCTAGAAACGGACTGATAAATACCTCCTGTTATCACTGTAGTTCTCCAGTAGCTATAAGATTTATTTCTTTTAGGTAGTAAAATGTACCTTCTAACTTTCCTTAGTTAGTTTTATTTTGGCTCTCAATGATCCTACTATGGACTTGCCATTTTTTCCGCAGCACTATCATCACGTCTCAGTCGCTTGACATGAAGTACACTGGTGGGCTCCATAGCTCCTGAAATCACTGGATTCAGAACATACCTAGGAACAATCAGAGTGAGAAATTGCCTTTACTTATTTTAATTAGCATGTAGTTTACTTATCATTACATTATAATACATCCCTAAATCAGTGAAAGTAGCTGATTCCACAGTTTATTTTGGCTGTTGTTATGACATAATTTCATTGAGATATTTATTTTTATTCAACACCAATTCTTGTACATCTCTCCTATTTTGGGGTCACCCATTCATGCAACACACATTTGTATCAGGCATGTATAAATATCTATTCAGGGTTCAACAGTCAACCAAATATTGTGGGTGACACTTGTGCAATTGAAGGTCTGCTTCCTGTTCTCAAGGACTTTAAAATTAGCAGGAATGTGGGCAGAAGGGAGATGGGTTATATACTAAGAAAATAATGCAAGATTGTACATGGTCAGAAGCTAAATTGAATATAGGAAATGGCCAAAATATAGGCACCAAACAAGGAGAAGGAGATGAGCCGTAAAGGGAAGGGATGCTGGATAATGCTGGACTTGAGCCAAACCCTGTGGCATACATGGGATCTGCACAGACAGAGAATATGACAGAGGGTCAAGAATCAAGACTGACATTAACTTGGTTGGAGTTGGGGTCAGAGGGATATGGACTTGAATAGTTCGGGGATTCTTATTAATGGAGAGAAATAATGATGATAGACAAAACTGGTATCAGCCAGAGTTCAGAGAACAGAACCAGTGGAAAAATACATGACAACAATGGTCACATTGTTATCCTGAATTGACCAAGATGCTGAACATGGCCGGGCACGGTGGCTCATGCCTGTAATCCCAGCACTTTGGGAGGCCGAGGTGGGTGGATCACCTGAGGTCAGGAGTTCGAGACCAGCCTGGCCAACATGGTGAAACCTCCGTCTCCACTAAAAATACAAAAAAAAAAAAAAAAAAAAAAAATTAGCCGGGCATGGTGGCAGGCACCTGTAATCCCAGCTACCTGGGAGGCTGAGACAGGAGAATGGCTTGAACTCGGGAGGCATAGGCTGCAGTGAGCTGAGATGGAACCACTGCACTCCAGTCTGGGGGACAAGAGCGAGACTTTGTCTCAAAAAAAAAAAAAAAAAAGATGCTGAACATGTGAAAAAAAACTGCCCTTGCTTTCTACATTGCAACAAAACTTGGGGATTCATAATCTTACAGCTCAAAAGGGTCTCCCCACAGTCTTGGAACTGTACACCCACTGGAAACCACAGGATAAAGCTCACCAGGGAATTTTCTCCCCAGAGGGAGACAGCATCCCTACTTCAGAAGGCCGAGGCGGTGGATCACTTGAGCTCAGGAGTTTGAGACCAGCTTGGGCAATACAGTGAAACTTTATCTCTACCGAAAACTAAAAAAATTAGCCAAGCACGGTGGTGCACGCCTATAGTCCCAGCTCCTTGTGGGGACTGAGGTGGGAGGATCATTTGAGCCCAGGATGTTGAGTCTGCAGTGAGCTAAGATCACACCACTGCATTCCAGCCTGTGTAACAGAGTGAGACCCTGTCTCAAAAATAAATAAGTAAATAAATAAATAAATAAATAAATAAATGAGACAACAGCATCTTTGATGTGGACAGCTTTTTCCCAGGATCATAGATCAAGACTTCTCTATTATCATGACACTCTTTGTTTTTCAATTTTTTTTTCTTTGCTTATGCCTCTATGAAAGATAGAAGTGACAAGGGAGTCTGTTGTGCACACTCAAGGGATACACTTTTATTTGTGAAAGATTTTTCAGCTAGCTTTAAACATGCATAACCTTATACCTTGATAGATGGGAGATGAAGGGCCAGTGTGGGTGAGAAAATTTTATGGTACATATGTTGCCTCATAATCAGTCAGAAACAGACATTGTTTTACTCCTCTTAACATATGTAATGGATCAAAAATAATGCTGCCAGGAGGTCTTCGCTCTTCTAGAATGGCATCATTTGTTAGGTCCTTTTTACCATGATTTGGAGTAAATGAGGCAATGATTAGAAATTCATTCCTCATGATAGGCTCTATAGTAGATTCTATTGTAAAGGATATGGTTACACAAAATATTTTATATTCTCCCATAAAAGTTATGCTAAATAATAGAATTGCTCTAAATTACTTACTTACTGGATAAACAGAAAAGTATCTGTGCAGCTGCTGGAACTTCTTGTTGTCCATGGAGAAATACATCACATCAGGTATTATAGAGATTCAGTTGTAGGAGATTAACGTAGAGACTGCTTAGCTAAAACAAGTAGACTCTTCATCTAGCTCATTCTTTGATCTATTTTATCTTAGTTGGTTTGGTTTATGGGGACCCTCCAAACTCTTGGTATTATCCCCCGATAGTCATAATAGTAGTCTCCCTGGTGCACTGTATTTTTTCAAAAGTTTTAAATGTTTGCATGCAGCCTTCTCTAGAATGTGAAATGATCTGTCTTCAACTGGGATGACAAGAGCTGAAAAAAATGAGTGATCGTGAGGGCACCATAACCTGTGAATAACATGCTGAGACCAGAAACCCTAAATGATGGTCACTGAGAGTGGTGCTAAGGCCCTAAGTTTTGGTCACACTCTCACCTAAGTGAGAAAATGACCAAAAGGAGGGAGTTTTTAAGCAAAATAATGGGAAGCAATTGTTTTGGACTGAGTTCATGCACTAGGTTCCAACAGACCAGACCAAACCAAAGTGTAGTCACTTATGCTAAATGTGACATAATCAAACTAAGACTTTAAGGAAATACATAGATCCTAGAACAGGCCAGGTTTTGTTCTTTGTTTGTTTGTTTGTTCCATCATAAGGAGGCACCCTCTACTCTAACTTTCACAGAAAATAACCTGAAATCCTGTCCCCACCTTACAAAACTCACTATTCTGCTATTTCCCAGTGGGTTTCAAGACTAAATAAGTACATTGACAATGGTGACAATGACATCAATGACTAAAGTTCTGGTCAGTCTCTCAAAATTGAGAGGATAACCAAAAGCGGGGAATTGTTAAATCAAGTTTAGCCTAAAGCTGCCTCTTTACATATTTTAAGTTCAGCCTAAAGGCTTCTCTGTAAGTTGTCAACTATAACCTAAACAGAGTTGTAAACAGACTGTAGCCACTCACTGAGTTTTGGCCAATCAAAGGTGGTCAACTGTTCAAACCATGTTCAAATAAGGCAGATGCCAAGCTGTAACCAATTTGGTTGTTTCTGTACCTCACTTCCACTTTCTGTCCACATATTTTCTTCTACCACGTGGCTGCACTGGTGTCTCTGAGACAAGTCTGACTCAGGAAGCTGCAAAATTCACGAATCGTTCTTTGCTCAATTAAACACTTAAATGTAATTTGGCTACAGTTTTTCTTTTAACAAGTGCTTGGCCCCCTCCTCCTTACAGCCTCCACAATGCATAACAGTTACGTTTGGTCATGATGCCCAGAAGGGTGCAGTCTCCGTCTCTCTCTCTCAGCTGTCCATCCCCATCTCTCAATATCTGTTTATATAGACCTATGCATGTGTGTATCTGTTCGCCTTAACAAGGTGAGAGGACAAAACCTATGCATATGGAGTGATTTGCATGACAGTACTTGATTCTTTGCTGAATGATAAAATAGATATAAAGGAGAAGTTCAGAACAATATGGGATGTCCTAAGTTTGGGGAATCTTTATACAGGGAGTGAGGAGAAGCGAGGCCTTACAGGATGCAGGTATTTGCATAATGTGTGGAGCACAGGGGGAACGGGAGTCATTGGAAGTAGAGGGAATGCCTGGCTCCTCAAAGGCTCTCACTGAAGGATTATAGAATGTGATGGATATGATAGGGAAGAGCACAGATCGTGGGCTTGGGGCCAATGAGGAAACCAGGGGAATAGGTGGATCACAATGAAGTATCTGCTGGAGAGGCGGTAGGAAACAAGGCTGGAAGTCACTAACCCTTGGAGAGAGAATATCCTGTTTTATGCTTTCAAATTCTTCAAAATTCTTCTCCGAACATGAGTCTTTATTAGCAAAGATCATTTCAGGTTTCTTAATTTTAAATTAAAATCATGCCAAGGTGGGAATAAAAGTGAAACAGGGAAAAAAGTAAAAGTTGAAATAATGCCTTTGTAATAGTCTCTAGTCTCCTCATTTTTCTTTCTTTAAAAAGTCCAATCCTCTAATTAGAAGACAAAGAATAAAAGTGAGTGCATAGATTCCCTTATGTGATTCTTCTACTAAGAAATCAAAGCTCTTTCATTTTCAATTTTCTAGCACGACAACATAAAACAATCTCATTAAGGACTTTGTCGAATATTGGTAAAGGTTAGACAGAGTTCAGGCGGCAGGGACTGAGAAAAAGTGTTTGAGAGTTTGAGCAAAAATTGGAAAACTTCAGATTTAAGTTTTCAGGAAGCTGAAATGGAACAAAAAGAGAAAGCCCACAGGTAATGATCAGTCAAGAGACCCTCCCTTATACCCAAAGACCTAGCCAGCACAGAGATGAACCAGTGTCCTGAAATGCAAACTTAATAGGAAGAAATGTGAGGTGAAGCCCGTTGAGATCCCAGCCTGCTGAGGAAAGAAATCCTATTGTATATGCACATGACGCATCCCCAGGAAGAGAAAGACTACCTGCATTACACCATTCTCCAAAAGCGGCCGTCATATTGCAGTGTCGATGGTACCTCAGGGAACCTATTCTCAAGTCAAAGACAGAGGAACATTCTTAAGCTGGTGCTGTTTCACAAACACGGAGGCAGGGGCTTAGAGTAGGAGTTTAAATTACTTATTAAAACAGATGGTGAAATCTCTCTCTACTTTAAATCTGCGTTAAAATGAATCTTGAAAGACTGAAATCCAAGTGATCTGGAAAGACTACAAATGGAAGTTGCTGTGTAAATCTGGTGAACTTTTCAGTGTAAAGCGATTCCATGCCATTTAGCAGGAGCTTGATTTCTTTGGATCGGAAGGCCTCGGTGGCTGTGTCTCGTGTCTGTCATTTTGCAGGCATGTGGTTGGGAATTGGATGGCACAGGCAGGCACAAAGCAGCCTCATCGGACAGTATTCAAGTGGCAGTAGTTGTTGCTCACCTGGCTTTACTCACTCCAGAAACCAGGATTTGACTCAAAGAGGCAGCTGATTTCCCCTGTCAATTGTCTGTTTATAATAGTTTCTCAAAAGAGATTGAACTCAAGATTTCTGATAAGGACAAAAATAAAAATAAAAAAGCAAACTCAGAGCCTAGAAGTCAAAAGGCAGGATAAAGATCCCTGGACACTAAGCAAACTCTAAATCAAGAGTCCAGGGCTCTTGCCTACCTGGGCTAGCAGCTGGGACACATCCCTGCAAAAGGGGGCTGCCAGCTTGTCTGGATGACCTTGGAAATGATCCAGTTCTGATGGCCTGCTCAGGCTCTGTGCACTGAGCTGGGGCAGACCAAGTTTCAAAGGGCTCAAAATTTATATAATCCATGAAAGTTTTTTTTTCCTAAATTATTTTTGGAATGAGAAAAGAAGTCACTACAAATTACTAACATTTTAGGAAAAAGACAATACCACAGATATTTGCAAATTTTAGAACAACATAATGTTTTAATTAACTTCTTGACACAATTTTATAACACTTTTATTTCCTTACAACTTTTGCCTAGTGTTTGATTGCTTCCTTATATGATGATTTTGTTTAAAAAATTGCAGAAAATAAATAAGTAATTCAGTTTTTCCTCTAGTATGGTTGATAAAATCATTTCTTAAAAAATTATATTCATAATTTAAAAAAGGCTTTTTTTTCCAGCTTGACACCTCATTATTGGTGATGCCACATAAACTTTTATAACTGTGATTGAATTGGGGATATCCATGTGAAGTTCCATAGATTAGATAGTAAGATTTATTAGAATTTCCACAGACCAGCTTCTGCTTCTGTACATTTCACACCTTGCTTCCCTACACGACCTACACTCTTCCATTGCTGGTGCTACAGGAGACATCTCTAGGGAGACATGACCTCTGGCCCTGCACCATTTTTCTCTGATGCTGGATGACTTTGCATAGCAAGGAGCAGGAATACTCAGGGAAGCAACTCCTCAAATGCAATGGCTAACAATCCATGTACATAGCCGGGAACGATATGGTTATATGCTACCAATGTAAACTAAATATGTATCCACAGCATCATTTCCCCTCACTGGATCTTAAAAGTTTCTGTGGCCTCTCCAATGCCACCTGGCTTGAGAAGTGTAACAGTGGGAAGGGCAGGGGAAAGAGACAGTAGTATTAACCCATTGCAGTTCAATATTTTGTTTTTACTGATTGCCATTAAAATAACTTTTGTGAAGTTTAATAGCTTTATAATGTGTCAACACAATTTGACTGAACTAAATTCCAAAGCATTTCCTTTCCTGTATATTTCGACTTAGGGGAAAACCACAGGAAAGATACTTTTGGGAGGTTTGGAAGGGGGAAGGGAGGCTGCAGTCCTTATGTGTTTCACATCCACTACATCCACTGTTGCTGGCTTTTTGACTCATCTCACCGGTGAGGCAGTGTCTGGGCCTGGAACTGCTCCACCTTCCTCTGGATCCTGCTTCAGCATCTCTACCTTCTGGGTCAGGTGTGTGTGTTTAGCTCTGTGACAAAGCCCCCCAGCTTTTCCAGAATACTCACATCACCAAGGTCAATGACAACAGGAAGTTCCATGGGTTGCAGTCTGTCTTCCTGGCCCCAGCATGTCCTCATGGGTTTCAATTTAACCTAGCTCCCGCACCTCCTCACATCCACCTTCTCCTCTCCACTGTGGTCTTCAAACTCCAGCATCTGATGAGAAGACAACAGCTTTCCAGAGATCACTTCACCTGCTCCCACAATAGCATCAGGTCAAATCCTTATAATAAATACAGGTATACCTCCAAACAGCCTACTTCTCTGACAGCCTACACACACCAGCCCTTACTGACACACATAGTTTACAAAATGCATAATGTTGTAAACACATTGCTCGGGTTTTGCAAGAAGATCTTGAAGCTGCAGCTTCCGGAGCTTTAAAATAAATTCATCTCTAGCCCAGAGCTTTCTGCCTCGGTTTTCCTGCTGGTGGTCATGAAGTTTCATGACAATTAGTATTCTCTCATCACTGTGGTGATAAGGAACTTAACTATAAGCATGATCTAGTAGGAAGAATTACAACGTGATTTGTATTTAATCTGGAAATGGGTATCTCATATTGCATTAACATAAAATGTCCTGGGTAACAGAAGTAAATATCCTCTAAGTGTAGCTCATGGCATATTTGTTCATCTTTTCCTCAAACCTCATGTGAACTGCACAAGCTAAAGGACACAGATTTTTCATCGTAAAATATCCTTCTCACAGCTTGAAAAATAGACATTCACCAATTCACACAGAAAGACCACTCTTTAATGGTATGCAAATGCAAAAATGTTTATTATATTACCACCATGGCCTCTGCACAAAGAATTCTGGACTCGTTAAAACAATGACAGTGAAATATAGACAAATAAATACTGTATAATTATTTCCAAGGATGCCTTCAAATAACTTCCACTAGGATAGCCCTTATTACTCTGTCTAGTTGAAACCAGTTTTGAACACTTATGACCACAATATAACTGTTTTATGAGTTTTTTGTTTTCCGCATTTAGAGGCGAAAGCATGGAGCGTAGAGTCAAGAACAAACATCAGATTTACAGATAGAGCCCTTACTAATGGGGGTGGCTTTGGGGAAAGCTCTCACATTGTATGAGCTCATTTGCATTATTCATAAATAGGAATACTTGTTAGCAGGCTCTTTCCCCAGAAGGCTTCAGGAACCGTGCTTAAGTTTAGGGAGCAAGCATGTAGGCTAAGGTGGTAAATGACCCTAACCTGTCAGTGGCTTAGCAAAGGAAAAGTTTCTGTTTTTCTCACTCACACTGCAGGATGGCTGGTACATGAAGCTGTACAGGGGCTCAATCAGCTTCTATGTTATCACTCCATTTCCTTTCAGGTCCTGGGGAGGCTCTTTTCAGCTGATAGAGAGAGAAGAAAATGAGAATCACATGGGAAGTTCTAAGGGTTATGCCTGAAAGTGGGGCACGTGTCTCACTCAGTTTTTACTTGAGCAACACTAAACTACCCTTAGTTCAGAAGCTTGCATACTATCCTGGCAAAACAGGGATGGGAGTGGAGAGAGGAATTCTGTTGAGGGGCATCAAAGTCTAACAGGAAGAATGGATGGATCCAGGAACAGAGATCAACTTGTAAATAGTTCTCTTTGGAATTTGAATGAGCCTAGGAGACAGGATCTGTTCAAAGTGTGGTTACATTCTTGGTCTTACAGGGAGGGGAAGAAAAAACAATTGTTCTTTATTGTGGGTCCAGACATTAGGCATATAAAGGAACTTCAGAGAACAACTTCATTCTGGCTTAGGGACAGTGAGTCAGGGAGAGCTTGAAGCTTTTTTTTTTTTTTTTTTTTTTTTGAGTTAGCATGTGGAAGAGTAGTACTTGGGGTATTGGTTTCTGAGCCCCAACCTTACAAATCTTCTGAAGCAGATCTTTTAGTACCCTTCAAAGAAAACAGAACCTTGGAACAGTAATGAGGCCAGGTTTATAAAACTCATAAATAGCAAAGCCAGGATTTTAATTAAAACCTCCTTGGCTAAAACACTTCTCTCTTTTTTACTGCACACCACGAACTCAACTCTCAACAACAGTATCACTTGGTTGTGAGGTCAAGGCTTACAAATATGAAACAAAGTGTGAACCTCCTCACACAGGATATGGATCTGCTTCTCAATATATGGTCCTGACCAGGAGCTATAAAGAAAGAGGACTGGAGAAGGTGGGTCTGGAATAAGCCTCAGGCAACTTCCTATAGTAGGACTTCTCATATATACTATTTAATACCTGGAGAAAAGAGGCAGGACTTCCTCACTTAGACTCCCTGCTCACTAGATGGCGATTTCAATACCAAAGCCAAGGATCAACGAATGAGCTGTGCTATCTTATCTTTAGAGATTATTTTCTAGTTGTATGACTCAACTGGCAATTTGTACTGATGATTTGATCTGTTCAAGTCCCCAAATTTTCTGAGTTATTGAGGTTTTGTTCCATGTAATATAACAACAATGGCATGAGTCAGGGTCGCTGAGCCCCTGTAAGCATGAGGACAGCTTAGCTACTATCCAGCGGAGCCAGGAGCGGGTGCTGGCCTGCCTGCAGGACACATGATTTTACCTCTCTGAGCTTCAGGTTGAGTTGCTTTCCTGTTTTTGTTTTTAGCTTTTTTATGTATAAAATGAAGAATACAATAATATCCTCATCTTCAAATTCTTAAAAGTCATTTCTTATTTAAACTTTCACCTCTTTACCTTTTTAGCTTAGAGATAGGTTAGATGATGTGATCAAGTCAGAGGCCTCAGAGAAATAAAAGAACAAATAATGTTATCCATGGGGAGGGTGTGTCAAGAGTGAAGTATCACAGCAATCTAAAGGCTTTCTTTGCTATGCATCAAGCTAGAAAGTTGCAATTGGGTGGATAGATCCTTCCAGGGCAACCTCCAACTGTGTTTGGAAGCTAACTACAGGGAACATTTGAAAGTTTGTAAAGATTTCCTGGAGACTCTGATACTGAAATAAGTCTCTGAATATCATATCCGATTTTTTATATTAAATGTACCTGGGTAAGATGCATGAGCTCCTACCTCTGTGAAGGGGAAAATACGCAGAGCAAAGCCTGGCCTGGGTTCAGATACCAGCTTCCTGCTGAATGGTGAGTGGACTTGGACAAGTCAGAGTCCTGTTCTGAGCCTCCTTTTACTTCCCTGTAAAAATGAAGCTCAACCCTGTTGTATGAGATTCCTGACTGTATGTGAGTCAGGCACTATAGGATCAAATGGTAACCACTAACTCAAGTTGTAACTATAGTATCAAATGCTAACTATTGTTATCAGATGGTAGCTACTATGATTTTGTCTTTAGTTCCATGTGCTATAATCATCTGTTCCATGACCATCTCCCTGTGCTGAATACATTTCTCCCCCTCATTATATACTGTATTGTGTAGCATCCTCAATTTATTCTGAGTCTTTGGATAATTTGAAATGGATTACAATGACAGATGCATTTAAGGCTTAAATCTTACCATAGTATTGAATCAACTTGTAAACAATTTTTTGCCCCAGAAGGAAGAAATATTTATATTTTTCTTTGATGTCTGATTGTTTCCATATGTTATACCCAGATATATGGAGTCCAAGATAAGGTATAGAATAGTTGTCTCCAAATTCTAGTGTGCATAAATATGTCCCTCTGCCAAACTTAGGTCTCTTTTTTAAAAGATCTCTTATTGCCTCTTTCTGGCTCAGATCTTTATTCTTCCTCAGGGGGATTGTTGCAATAGTCTCCTCGTCTTTTGGGGCCTTTGTATAGCTAGTTCCACTCTGGCTTCCAGAAAGGTCTCTCAGAAGGCCACGTCTTTATAAATCATCAGTGATGCTTGAATTCAGAGTAATCAGCCTCCAAAAATTATTTCTGGAAAGACCTCAGGTGGTAAGATGATAAAATCACTAGTCGGAGCAGAATTATTGAATAAGTGAGTTGGGAAACATTCTTAACTTACATAGTTACATGATGACTATTTCCCCTAAAAAAAAGTAAGATTACTAGGAAAAACAAAAGAGGAGAGAAGAAATATATATAGAGACTTAGGGTTCTGGGAAAAGGTAAATTTATTGTTTTGACTAGTGGTATGTTGATACATATTGGAAACTTGAGTTTTCAGCAATGGGTTTAAAAGTGTAAAAATCTCAGGCCTGTCACGATTTAATAAGAGTTAATTTTCAAAGTTTCCTTTCCCTTCCCTTTCTCTTTCTTTCTTTCTTTTCTTCCTTCCTTCCCTCCTTTTCCTTCCTTCCTTTTCCTTCCTTCCTTCCTTCCTTCCTTTTCCTTCCTTCCTTCCTTCCTTCTTTCTTTCTTTCTTTCTTTCTTTCTTTCTTTCTTTCTTTCTTTCTTTCTTTCTTTCTTCTTTCTTTATTTCCTCTTTCTTCTTCTTTTCTTTCTACAATGCTTCTGAAATTTTAACTTGCAAAAGAATTACCTGACACTATTATGAAATGCAACTTCCAGATCCCTATCCCCAGAGATTCTGGTTTAATAGGTCAGGATGGGGCCCAATAATTTGCATGCCTATCTTGAAAGCTCAGAGTATGCCAATTGTCGTCGGTCTGAGGAACATACTCAGGGAACCAATACTTTAGAAGGTGTGTGTGCCCACTGAGAAGGTTCAAGCCTTGCCGTATCTTTACATACCAACGACTTTACTTCCAGGCATCTGATGGCCTAGACTCAATTCAGCTTTGAATTACTGGGACAGTTTATATTGAGCTTGCTTATGTATTTATATTTTAAATATAAACCTTATTATTATGTAAATCTCATAGATTAATGTATCAGATCATGGAGGGTCAGGGTGACGTCAATGTAATAAGAATGTTAGTCACAACAACATTCTCTACTTATATTTAGCAACTGTTGCTACGTTTTATCTTAACTAAAATGTGTGGTGGTTTTTAAGAAGAAAATGAAGTACAGATGCCGGCTTGGGTGGTGGTGAAGCTCTAGGCAGGCACAGTGCTTTCTTTGCCTTTCTCACAGAGCCAGAGGTCATCTGGCTCCTGTGTTGCCCTAATCAGACACCACAGGCCAAATCAAGCAGACACCAGGCTCTGGTGCAGTGTGTCCCGGGAGCCTGAAACATCTTTTGGGACCTGACCTACAACATAACATCCCATCCTTTAACTTTTTTTCAGGTTTATTGAAGCATATTTCATAGACCATACATTTCTCCTATTTAAAGTGTACAGGTTAGTGGTTTGTAGCATACTCACCTGGCTGTGCAAGCCTTCTTCACTATCTTAATTGTAGAACATTTCGATGCCCCAAAAAGTGACCCCATACATGGTAAGTCATTCCTCATCTCCCCTCCACCACCCCCAGCCCCTGCAGTCACTAATGTACTTTCTGTCTCTATAGGCTTGTCTAATTTGGACATTTAACATAAATGGAATCATACAATATATGCTCTCCTATGACTGGCTTCTTTCATTTAGCACGTTTTCACGATTTATCTGTGTTGTAGCATGTCTCATTCCTTTTCACTGCCTAGTAATATTTCATGGTATGGAAATACCACATTTGTTTATCCATTCATTGGTTGGTAGGCTTTTGGGTTGTTTCCACTTTTTGACTATTATGAATAATGGACATGCATATGTCAGCTTTTATTTGGGCACATGTGTTCATTTCTCTTAAATATATACCTGCAAGTGAGATTGCTGACTTAACCTCCTGCCTCCTTTTTCGACTTTGTACCTTGACATAATTTATAGTAAACTTTGAACAAAAAAAAGCACTGTGAGGTTCTGTGTACCCCAGTTTCCCCTGTGCTAATATCTTACGTATTTATGGCACGATATTTAAAAGGAAATTGATGTCGGTATACTATATGGAGCTTACTCAGATTGTATCCTTTTTACGTGAACTCAGTTGTGTGTGTGTTTAGTTCCATGGAATTTTAACCACATGTAGACTTGCACAATCACTGCCATAATCAAGAAGCAGAATAGTTTCATCATGAGGATTCCTCCTGCTATCCTTGCTGTGGTTTGAATGTGTTCCCCAAAGTTCACATGTTGAAAACTTAATGCTTAATGCAGCAGTGTTGGGAGGTGGGACCTTTAAGAGGTGATTAGGCCATGAGTGCTCTGACTTCCTGAATGGGTTAATGCTGTTATTATGGGAGTGGGTTAGTTACTATGTTTCTCATCAAAGGATGAGTTTTCCCCTCCCTCTCTCTCTCTGTCTCCCTGCCATTCCACCTTCTACCAACGGATGATATAGGAAGAAGGTCCTCACTAGATGCAGTCCCCTGGACCTTGGACTTGCAAGCTTCTAGAACCATAAAAAAATAAAACTTTGTACTTTATAAATTACTAGGTCTCACATACCCTATTATAGCAGACAGCGAACTAAGACAATCCTGTTATGGCCGCACCTGCACTCTCCTATCTCCATTTGTAACCTGTAGCAACCACTAATCTGGTTCCATCTCTACCAATCTCCTTTTAGGTAATGAAAATGTTACAGAACCTATGTCTATTTTCAGCCTGTACCAGCTATGTGCAGACTGGGACACCAAAAGATCTATTTTCTAATTTAATCCCCAGACACATTGTTTGAACTAATTTCAGCACTCCCATTAGTTTTAACATATTTATTTTTCTTTTCTTCACTGAAATAAGGCCAAGGCAAAGTCCCTCAAACCTACCGCACAAGGGGTTTGATAAACTTAATTAAATAAATGGCTGCTAAATGCAAAATGCTTCACAAGCATTTACTTAATTACTAGAATTAATTTGATCCTATTGATGTCCGTAGGCTGTGCATGGAGATCTGTAACTAAATATGCAGTCATGTGGTAAATATTATATTGCTGGGGACATAGGAACAAAGGAAGAAACAGGACTGATACATTTTTAAGGCCTTAAAAATATGTACTCAGCTTCTTGTCTATTTCTATAGTTTTACAATAGGAATATAAATGGCAGTGCAGAAACACCACATCTCTGACCTTGATACTTGAAAAGGTGAGGTCTAAATAAAACTATTTCGCTGTCTGAATACTATCATTATCTTTAATGAGAGTGGGCATCACAAGGACATTTCAAATTGTACCTTAGGCAATAAATTAGCTGCCAGAACTATATTCAGACTATTTTCCTCAAAAATGAAAACACTGATCCATCTGCTCTGTCCAGCTACATTATACATCTGTTCACATTAATATAAAAATCTATTCTGAAGAGACTTAATATGTCTATCGTTGTCCTTTTCATTGAAGAGCACATATCTTTCTGAGTACCCCTAATACCAGACCTTCAAATGCAACAATAGGTTTACTAGTTACTGTTTTTTCTAATGGAGACAAATCTTGTTACTGATAATGTTTATTTTGCTTTTCCTTCACACTCCCATCTTCTTCCCAACAGAAAATGTGATGATTTCCTCAAAGATGACCTTCAATGCTAATTTAGAGCTTGTGTAAGATGTAGCAAGTCATTTCATATACAGTGGATGGTAATCTCTGTCTTGAGCTTTACTAGGTATTGCAGAGAACAAAGATATTGCCATACAATTTTTAAGTTTAGCTCAATTTAACCTTTACCAAAGGTTAAACAAGAGAGATCAAAATGCTAATCCAAGGATTTCCATACATAGCAGTGGAGAAAGAGAAAGGAAGTCTACCTAACTCAGACTGATGATATGGAAAGGCTTTCTGGAGGAAGGAAGCCTTGGATTTAGTCTTGATGAACATACATATTACACCGATATGTCACCATGTTGCACCCTTGTTGCACTGTTGCTGTTCTATACTGAGAAGGAGCCACCCTGCACTCATATAGTGAACACCTACTCATATTTTAAAGCTTACCTTAATGGTGGGAACATTTATGGTGTCTTCTCTACCTCTGCAGAAAAGATTACTTTATAATTACAAGCAGTTCAAAAAATGCTTGTTTATGGAACAATGTAAAACCAACAAAATAAGTCTTCATCAAACAAGTCTTGCTTTTATTCTTATTCCTTCTTCCTCTTCCTTTCCATTCTCTATACATAACCTTTATAAAAATGCTGTTTTCTTAAAAAAGATAAGCAAATACAAATAAGTTCATACCCCCATTTATTAGATAAACATTAGCATAGTATACATGCATTGTCTGTGCTTTTCTCTCATAGCTATATATTCAGAAGCTCAGCTTGTAGTGTTACGTGTGGGGATGCTTCATTCCTGTTCAAAGCTGAACTATATTCCATGAGTGCAACATAGTTTATTCAACTAGTCCTCAATTGATGAACACCGAGGATGATTTCTGTCTTTTTGCAAGCACAAATGGTGTTTTTAAAAAAATATGGAAACATCTTTTTTCCCCCATTTTTTACCAGTGTTTCTTGGAGCAGATCACTAGACATGGTGTTTCTGGGTCAAAGTTTAAATGTATCTGTAATTTTGCTAGATATTGCTAAATTCCACATTTAGGATTTGTATGATTTTTGCATTCCCTCTCAGCCACATATATATATGTATACGTGTGTATATATATATGTGTGTGTGTGTGTGTGTATCAAAATAAAAGGTTAAATGGACAAATATTTATATATAATTAGCAATGATCCAATATCTATGCTCATGATATGAGTGACCACTCATAGAAAAATAAATGCAAATAAATCTACAACACATAAAAACATGTCTGACCTTGCTTATAGGAAAAAAAAATGCTAAAGAAAATGACATTGAAATCCAATTTTTCACATATCAAATTAGCAATGATCCAAAAGATTGACAACACTCCACTGCTAAGCCTGCTAGGGAAAAGGCCTTTCCCCTATAATATAACTAATATTCTCATTTTCATTAGCACTTATTTTTCTATAAGTAACGTCAGACATCTTTTATGTGTTTTAGATTTATTTGCATTTATTTTTCTATGAGTCTCCACTCATATCATCAGCATATATTCCTATAGGTTGCTACCTATTGTGTCTTTATTTTTAACTTGTAAAAGTATATTAGAAATGTTAGTGCTTTGTGATGCAAATTGTAATTTTTCCCAGTTTGTCCATTTGCCCTTTTTTTGTTTATTGTATCTTTTGCCATTCAAAAATGTTTGTTTATTTTTTTAATTTATTTTGAATATTAGGAAATTTATCTATATTTTTGTTCATTGCTTCTGGATTTTGAATCATTGTTAGTAATACTTTTGCTGCTTCTAATTTACATAGAAATTCAGCCTTGTTTTTCTCTAGTACATGTATGTATTCTATTTTTCAATATTTATTTATTTATTTATTTATTATTATTATTATTTTTTTAATTATACTTTAAGTTTTAGGGTACATGTGCACATAGTGCAGGTTAGTTACATATGTATACATGTGCCATGCTGGTGCGCTGCACCCACTAACTCGTCATCTAGCATTAGGTATATCTCCCAATGCTATCCCTCCCCCCTCCCACCTCCCCACCACAGTCCCCAGAGTGTGATATTCCCCTTCCTGTGTCCATGTGATCTCATTGTTCAATTCCCACCTATGAGTGAGAATATGCGGTGTTTGGTTTTTTGTTCTTGCGATAGTTTACTGAGAATGATGGTTTCCAATTTCATCCATGTCCCTACAAAGGACATGAACTCATCATTTTTTATGGCTGCCTAGTATTCCATGGTGTATATGTGCCACATTTTCTTAATCCAGTCTATCATTGTTGGACATTTGGGTTGGTTCCAAGTCTTTGCTATTGTGAATAATGCCGCAATAAACATACGTGTGCATGTGTCTTTATAGCAGCATGATTTATAGTCATTTGGGTATATACCCAGTAATGGGATGGCTGGGTCAAATGGTATTTCTAGTTCTAGATCCCTGAGGAATCGCCACACTGACTTCCACAATGGTTGAACTAGTTTATAGTCCCACCAACAGTGTAAAAGTGTTCCTATTTCTCCACATCCTCTCCAGCACCTGTTGTTTCCTGACTTTTTAATGATTGCCATTCTAACTGGTGTGAGATGATATCTCATAGTGGTTTTGATTTGCATTTCTCTGATGGCCAGTGATGATGAGCATTTTTTCATGTGTTTTTTGGCTGCATAAATGTCTTCTTTTGAGAAGTTTCTGTTCATGTCCTTCGCCCACTTTTTGATGGGGTTGTTTGTTTTTTTCTTGTAAATTTGTTTGAGTTCATTGTAGATTCTGGATATTAGCCCTTTGTCAGATGAGTAGGTTGCGAAAATTTTCTCCCATGTTGCAGGTTGCCTGTTCACTCTGATGGTAGTTTCTTTTGCTGTGCAGAAGCTCTTTAGTTTAATTAGATCCCATTTGTCAATTTTGGCTTTGGTTGCCATTGCTTTTGGTGTTTTGGACATGAAGTCCTTGCCCACGCCTATGTCCTGAATGGTAATGCCTAGGTTTTCTTCTAGGGTTTTTATGGTTTTAGGTCTAACGTTTAAATCTTTAATCCATCTTGAATTGATTTTTGTATAAGGTGTAAGGAAGGGATCCAGTTTCAGCTTTCTACATATGGCTAGCCAGTTTTCCCAGCATCGTTTATTAAATAGGGAATCCTTTCCCCATTGCTTGTTTTTCTCAGGTTTGTCAAAGATCAGATAGTTGTAGGTAAGTGGTGTTATTTCTGAGGACTCTGTTCTGTTCCATTGATCTATATCTCTGTTTTGGTACCAGTACCATGCTGTTTTGGTTACTGTAGCCTTGTAGTATAGTTTGAAGTCAGGTAGTGTGATGCCTCCAGCTTTGTTCTTTTGGCTTAGGATTGACTTGGCGATGCGGGCTCTTTTTTGGTTCCATATGAACTTTAAAGTAGTTTTTTCCAATTCTGTGAAGAAAGGCATTGGTAGCTTGATGGCAATGGCATTGAATCTGTAAATTACCTTGGGCAGTATGGCCATTTTCACGATATTGATTCTTCCTACCCATGAGCATGGAATGTTCTTCCATTTGTTTGTATCCTCTTTTATTTCCTTGAGCAGTGGTTTGTAATTCTCCTTGAAGAGGTCCTTCACATCCCTTGTAAGTTGGATTCCTAGGTATTTTATTCTCTTTGAAGCAATTGTGAATGGGAGTTCACTCATGATTTGGCTCTCTGTTTGTCTGTTGTTGGTGTATAGGAATGCTTGTGATTTTTGTACATTGATTTTGTATCCTGAGACTTTGCTGAAGTTGCTTATCAGCTTAAGGAGATTTTGGGCTGAGATGATGGGGTTTTCTAGATAAACAATCATGTCGTCTGCAAACAAGGACAATTTGACTTCCTCTTTTCCTAATTGAATACCCTTTATTTCCTTCTCCTGCCTGATTGCCCTGGCCAGAACTTCCAGCACTATGTTGAATAGGAGCGGTGAGAGAGGGCATCCCTGTCTTGTGCCAGTTTTCAAAGGGAATGCTTCCAGTTTTTGCCCATTCAGTATGATATTGGCTGTGGGTTTGTCATAGATAGCTCTTATTATTTTGAAATACGTCCCATCAATACCTAATTTATTGAGAGTTTGTAGCATGAAGGGTTGTTGAATTTTGTCAAAGGCTTTTTCTGCATCTATTGAGATAATCATGTGGTTTTTGTCTTTGGCTCTGTTTATATGCTGGATTACATTTATTGATTTGCGTATATTGAACCAGCCTTGCATCCCAGGGATGAAGCCCACTTGATCATGGTGGATAAGCTTTTTGATGTGCTGCTGGATTCGTTTTGCCAGTATTTTATTGAGGATTTTTGCATCAATGTTCATCAAGGATATTGGTCTAAAATTCTCTTTTTTGGTTGTGTCTCTGCCCGGCTTTGGTATCAGAATGATGCTGGCCTCATAAAATGAGTTAGGGAGGATTCCCTCTTTTTCTATTGATTGGAATAGTTTCAGAAGGAATGGTACCAGTTCCTCCTTGTACCTCTGGTAGAATTCGGCTGTGAATCCATCTGGTCCTGGACTCTTTTTGGTTGGTAAACTATTGATTATTGCTACAATTTCAGCTCCTGTTATTGGTCTATTCAGAGATTCAACTTCTTCCTGGTTTAGTCTTGGGAGAGTGTATGTGTCCAGGAATTTATCCATTTCTTCTAGATTTTCTAGTTTATTTGCGTAGAGGTGTTTGTAGTATTCTCTGATGGTAGTTTGTATTTCTGTGGGATCGGTGGTGATATCCCCTTTATCATTTTTTATTGTGTCTATTTGATTCTTCTCTCTTTTTTTCTTTATTAGTCTTGCTAGCAGTCTATCAATTTTGTTGATCCTTTCAAAAAACCAGCTCCTGGATTCATTGATTTTTTGAAGAGTTTTTTGTGTCTCTATTTCCTTCAGTTCTGCTCTGATTTTAGTTATTTCTTGCCTTCTGCTAGCTTTTGAATGTGTTTGCTCTTGCTTTTCTAGTTCTTTTAATTGTGATGTTAGGGTGTCAATTTTGGATCTTTCCTGCTTTCTCTTGTGGGCATTTAGTGCTATAAATTTCCCTCTACACACTGCTTTGAATGCGTCCCAGAGATTCTGGTATGTTGTGTCTTTGTTCTCGTTGGTTTCAAAGAACATCTTTATTTCTGCCTTCATTTCGTTATGTATCCAGTAGTCATTCAGGAGCAGGTTGTTCAGTTTCCATGTAGTTGAGCGGCTTTGAGTGAGATTCTTAATCCTGAGTTCTAGTTTGATTGCACTGTGGTCTGAGACATAGTTTGTTATAATTTCTGTTCTTTTACATTTGCTGAGGAGAGCTTTACTTCCAACTATGTGGTCAATTTTGGAATAGGTGTGGTGTGGTGCTGAAAAAAATGTATATTCTGTTGATTTGGGGTGGAGAGTTCTGTAGATGTCTATTAGGTCTGCTTGGTGCAGAGCTGAGTTCAATTCCTGGGTATCCTTGTTGACTTTCTGTCTCGTTGATCTGTCTAATGTTGACAGTGGGGTGTTAAAGTCTCCCATTATTAATGTGTGGGAGTCTAAGTCTCTTTGTAGGTCACTCAGGACTTGCTTTATGAATCTGGGTGCTCCTGTATTGGGTGCATATATATTTAGGATAGTTAGCTCCTCTTGTTGAATTGATCCCTTTACCATTATGTAATGGCCTTCTTTGTCTCTTCTGATCTTTGTTGGTTTAAAGTCTGTTTTATTAGAGACTAGGATTGCAACCCCTGCCTTTTTTTGTTTTCCATTTGCTTGGTAGATCTTCCTCCATCCTTTTATTTTGAGCCTATGTGTGTCTCTGTACGTGAGATGGGTTTCCTGAATACAGCACACTGAATACAGCTCTTGACTCTTTATCCAATTTGCCAGTCTGTGTCTTTTAATTGGAGCATTTAGTCCATTTACATTTAAAGTTAATATTGTTATGTGTGAATTTGATCCTGTCATTATGATGTTAGCTGGTGATTTTGCTCGTTAGTTGATGCAGTTTATTCCTAGTCTCGATGGTC
Source organism: Homo sapiens (assembly GCF_000001405.40). Classification (NCBI taxonomy): domain Eukaryota; kingdom Metazoa; phylum Chordata; class Mammalia; order Primates; family Hominidae; genus Homo; species Homo sapiens. Next base: position 124,597,246 of record NC_000002.12, read on the forward strand.
TTTACATTTTGGCATGATTTTGCAGCGGCTGGTACCGGTTGTTCCTTTCCATGTTTAGCGCTTCCTTCAGGAGCTCTTTTAGGGCAGGCCTGGTGGTGACAAAATCTCTCAGCATTTGCTTGTCTGTGAAGTATTTTATTTCTCCTTCACTTATGAAGCTTAGTTTGGCTGGATATGAAATTCTGGGTTGAAAATTCTTTTCTTTAAGAATGTTGAATATTGGCCCCCACTCTCTTCTGGCTTGTAGGGTTTCTGCCAAGAGATCCGCTGTTAGTCTGATGGGCTTCCCTTTGAGGGTAACCCGAACTTTTTCTCTGGCTGCCCTTAACATTTTTTTCCTTCATTTCAACTTTGGTGAATCTGACAATTATGTGTCTTGGAGTTGCTCTTCTCGAGGAGTATCTTTGTGGCGTTCTCTGTATTTCCTGAATCTGAACGTTGGCCTGCCTTGCTAGATTGGAGAAGTTCTCCTGGATAATATCCTGCAGAGTGTTTTCCAACTTGGTTCCATTCTCCGCATCACTTTCAGGCACACCAATCAGACGTAGATTTGGTCTTTTCACATAGTCCCATATTTCTTGGAGGCTTTGCTCATTTCTTTTTATTCTTTTTTCTCTAAACTTCCCTTCTTGCTTCATTTCATTCATTTCATCTTCCATTGCTGATACCCTTTCTTCCAGTTGATCGCATCGGCTCCTGAGGCTTCTGCATTCTTCACTTAGTTCTCGAGCCTTGGGTTTCAGCTCCATCAGCTCCTTTAAGCACTTCTCTGTATTGGTTATTCTAGTTATACATTCTTCTAAATTTTTTTCAAAGTTTTCAGCTTCTTTGCCTTTGGTTTGAATGTCCTCCCGTAGCTCAGAGTAATTTGATCGTCTGAAGCCTTCTTCTCTCAGCTCATCAAAATCATTCTCCATCCAGCTTTGTTCCGTTGCTGGTGAGGAACTGCGTTCCTTTGGAGGAGGAGAGGCGCTCTGCATTTTAGAGTTTCCAGTTTTTCTGTTCTGTTTTTTCCCCATCTTTGTGGTTTTATCTACTTTTGGTCTTTGATGATGGTGATGTACAGATGGGTTTTTGGTGTGGATGTCCTTTCTGTTTGTTAGTTTTCCTTCTAACAGACAGGACCCTCAGCTGCAGGTCTGTTGGAATACCCTGCCGTGTGAGGTGTCAGTGTGCCCCTGCTGGGGGGTGCCTCCCAGTTAGGCTGCTCGGGGGTCAGGGGTCAGGGACCCACTTGAGGAGGCAGTCTGCCCATTCTCAGATCTCCAGCTGCGTGCTGGGAGAACCACTGCTCTCTTCAAGGCTGTCAGACAGGGACATTTAAGTCTGCAGAGGTTACTGCTGTCTTTTTGTTTGTCTGTGCCCTGCCCCCAGAGGTGGAGCCTACAGAGGCAGGCAGGCCTCCTTGAGCTGTGGTGGGCTCCACCCAGTTTGAGCTTCCCGGCTGCTTTGTTTACCTAATCAAGCCTGGGCAATGGCGGGCGCCCCTCCCCCAGCCTCGCTGCCGCCTTGCAGTTTGATCTCAGACTGCTGTCCTAGCAATCAGCGAGATTCCGTGGGCATAGGACCCTCCGAGCCAGGTGTGGGATATAGTCTTGTGGTGCGCCGTTTTTTAAGCCGGTCTGAAAAGCGCAATATTCGGGTGGGAGTGACCCGATTTTCCAGGTGCGTCCGTCACCCCTTTCTTTGACTCGGAAAGGGAACTCCCTGACCCCTTGCGCTTCCCAGGTGAGGCAATGCCTCGCCCTGCTTCGGCTCACGCACGGTGCGCACACCCACTGGCCTGCGCCCACTGTCTGGCACTCCCTAGTGAGATGAACCCGGTACCTCAGATGGAAATGCAGAAATCACCCGTCTTCTGCGTCGCTCACGCTGGGAGCTGTAGACCGGAGCTGTTCCTATTCGGCCATCTTGGCTCCTCCCACCTTCAATATTTAAATCTCTGATTCAATTAAAATTTGATCGTGGTCTGCAGTATGAGGAGTGGATTTAATTTCATCTTTTTCCATATAGTTTCCCAATTATCTCAATACCACATGTAATTTTTTTTGTTTTTCTACTGATTTGAGTTGCCTTTATCAACAAATATCTATAGTTGTGAATTATTTATTTAAATATTTAGATAAATTATTAAATATTGAACCTCTCTTGATTTTTTGGATTAAACATTCCCTTGGCCATTATGTAATTTTAAAATACGTTATTTAGTTCTGTTTGCTGACACTATATTTAAAATTTTGTGATTGATATTCATGAGTGATTCTATAATTTTGGTTTTCTTTCTTTATGATGTTTGTCAGGTTAAGGATCAGCTTTGCATTTACTTTACATAACAAATGTGGAAGATGGGAAGATATCTTTCTTCTTCTGTTCTTTGGAGAAATAGAAGTACCAGTGAGATGATTTGTTCTTTAAAAGGTTCATTTGAGAAACCATTTACTCTCACAATATTACAATCTTACTCTATTATCTCAGGGAGTTTTTTTGTTTTTGTTTTTGTTTTTGGAGATGGAGTATTACTTACTCAGTGACCCAGGCTGGAATGCAATGGCAAAAATGTGGCTTATTGCAGCCTCAAACTCATGGGTTGGGGGGAGCTCCTTAAATACTTTTCCTATTTTTTATAGGAACAGGTCGATTTAAATTTTGTGTCAGATTGAGGTTAATGTTGGTAAGTTTAAGACGCTGAATAACTTGAGATTTAGAACCATGTCTTTTTTTTTTGCATGTGATTTTCTCAGAGCTTACCTTAGATTAGTGAAAAACAAGTGCATTCTCAATAAACGTGTGTGGAGTATTTGTTCCATAATGTGTTAGGCAAGCAATGTAGGCCGAATAATTTAGTAAACAAAAGTGTATGCTTGTACTTCCTGAAACAGTTGGTGAATTGCACATGTGTGTTTAACTTTGTTTCCTTACACTCCTCATGAAGAATAGTAAATGGTTTTTTTTTTATTTTTATTTTTTAATGGCTCTGTAAGCCAGCAGCAAATCAGAGGAACTCTTTGTCGTTTACCATCTCCAAAACAGCAACTTCAGTGATGGGGTGCTCATAGGAGACTGAAAATTCACCTGGCTAGAAATTAGGCTAGAAATGAGGGAAGCTGAAGGAGAAGGTAGCCCATCTGGAGTAACGCACTAGTAACATGTATCAGTAGATGAGCCCATCTGGCTGCCACACACTAGTAACATGTATCAGTAGATGAGCAATGATGTGTGTAAATCTACAGTAGCACATCCTGCCCTTCATTGACCTTACACACATGGAATCAATGTCTGTGCTATGCTCTTGCACCTGCCGCATCTCATGTAAAATGTCTGTTGTGGGATATGCTGACCAGAGCTATGCAAGGAAAGGAATTCTGGTAAATGTAGTTCCAGTTTGGCTTAAATTGACACAACTCGAATCCACCACAATGGCATGACAAAAGGAGACAAATACAGGGGCACACACACAAAAACCCCCAAAATACAACAACAATACTCAGAGAGAGAGAGAGAGAGAGAGAGAGAGAGAGAGAGAAAGAGAGAGAAAGAGAGAAGCAAAAACCACAGGGGAAAAGGGCAAGAAAATGTTGAAAGCAGAAAGTGAGTAGACGAATAGGAACAGGTAACAGATTAACATAATTATAATGCTGAATCTTAATTTACATGCAGTGAAATCCAAGAAACAAACAAATCCACATTACAAAATCCCCCAAAGGCACAGAAGTAGGAATCATCAGTCACCTTTGCAAGTGAAGGTGAAGGTAAGATAAATACAGGAAGAGTAAATCTACATCTGTGTAAGAAGTAGTTAGATTATCAATCCTCTTTCCAGTTGTGGACACTTGGTGATTGCTCCTTCACCACTGAGAGAGAAGACTGGAAGTTTTTCTTTTGGAGAAAACACAATTCCTAAAACTGAGAGAAAACATGTATGGTTGAAGAAGGTTGTACCATATTGAAAATGGGGTAAGGTATGAAAACATTTATATAGAAAGAATGCTAAGACCTGGCCTTCTTCTCTTCAGCTCCGAGATATTCCACAGCCAAGCATACATCCTCTAAATCATAGACTCTAACAAGAGCAAGAGAAAGACAAAAGACACTAACGTGAGCATTTCTCACAAAATTCTTCAGCCAGATAAGCCTACATTAAAGTCCTTGGAAGGCAAACCACAGACATTTGTTTACAAATACCAAGTAGTATTTCAGGGACCACTATCAAATACGAGAGAACATCCCAGAAAGCACTATTACATGAAATGTAAGATAGAGACCAAAACAAAACACACAACAATTAAAGCAATTAACCAAACAAGCACAGCTTAAAGGGAACAGCCTATACGGAGCAAAGAAAGGATCAAAGGTACTGTAATATGATTAATATTCTTAGAGACATGAATGAAGTATTGCGTCAATGAGTCAAGCATCACGTGCTATTAGAGAAAATAATATTCAAAGGAAAAAAACCAATCTTCTATAATTTTAAAAATACTACAACTGAAATAGCTTAAAACGGAAACAACCCAAATGTTCTTCAGTGGATTAATTATTAAACTGTAGTATGTCCATGTTATGAAATACTACTCAGCAGTGAAACTGGAATTGACAACTGATACATCACAAAGCTTGAATGGATCTCAAGGGAATTATTTTTAGTGAAAAAGGCCAGTTTTAAAAGGAATATCCAGCTTGAGGGTGAGGAGATGCTTTGGGGAGACAACTGTAACCAGACGGGTAGCTCAATATCCCGTATTACAGCAAGTCAGAAGAATCCAGAAGATACTTTTGATTTTCAAACACATTTTCAAACATATGAAAAAGATAAAATCGGCCAGGCGCGGTGGCTCACACCTGTAATCCCAGCACTTTGGGAGGCCGAGGCGGGTGGATCACGACGTCAGGAGTTCGAGACCAGCCTGGCCAACAGGTGAAACCTCATCTCTATGAAAAATACAAAAAGTAGCTGGGCATAGTGGCATGTGCCTGTAATCCCAGCTACTCGGGAGGCTGAGGCAGGAGAATAGCTTGAACCAGGAAGTCGGAGGTTGTAGTGAGCCAAGATCATGCCACTGCACTCCAGCCTGGCGACAGAGCAAGACTTCACCAAAAAAAAAAAAAAAAAAAAAAGAATAAAGGCAATATCATGTAATTGTCCCACATGTATCCTTCATTCAGGCTCAACAGTTATCAATATTCTCTCATTTTTATTTCGACTATCCCCTCCTCACTTGTTTGATGCAACATCTTATTTATTTGTTTGTTTGTGTTTTTTTAAACTGAGACAGGGTCTTGCTCTGTCACCCAGGCTGGAGTGCAGTGGCTTAATCATAGCTCACTGCAGGCTCAAACTCTTGGACTCAAGCTACTCTTCTGCTTCAGCCTCCTGGGTAGCTGAGACTATAGGCACAAGCTACGCACCCAGCTAATTTTAAATTTTTTGTAAAAACGGGGATCTAACTATGTTGCTCAGGCTGGTCTCGAGCTCTCAGCCTCAAGTGATTGTGCCACCTCAGCCTCCCAAAATGTTGGAATTACAGGTGTGAACCACTGTGCCCAGCTGATGGAGAATTTTAGAAACAAATTGTGGACATATAATTTTACTACAACTACAGTATTCATAGTGAACAACTCTCTAACACAGGACAACTCATCTTTTAAAACATAATCACACTGCCATAATTGTAACTATCAAAATTAAAAATACTTAATATAATCTGTTATAAAATCTGATCTATAATTTTTGTGGTTATCTTAAAACATCTTCCCTCTCTCCCTCCCTCCCTCCCTCCCTCCCTTCTTTCCTTCCTACCTTCCTTCCTTCCTTCTTCTTTTCTTCCTTTCTTTCTTTCTCATCTTTTCTTTAATGTGTTTGAATTAGGGTCTAAACAAGATCTAAGCATAGTGTTTGACTGACTGATATATCTTTTGCATTTCAACTCCATTTTTGCCATTTTTGTTGAAGAAACTAAGTGAAACATTCCAGTATTGTAGATTTAACTAATTGCATTCTTACAGTGTGGCTGGGCATGTGGGCCTCTTTCTGTAAATTGGTGTTTAGATCTTGGGGCTCGAATACATTTATCTTCAATTTTTGTGGCAAGAATGTGTTTTAGATGGTGTTACATATGTCTTATTGTGCCACATTAGAGGCACCCTGATAATCACTTTTCATGATGTTAAGATTGACCCATGAGTTCAGGTGTTAATTGAATCCACTGACTAAAATATCCCATTAATGTTTCAACTAATGGTTTGGCAGTCCTTGATGATCATTGTTTAATCCTTTATCTCACTGGGCATTACTAAAGGATGATTTTCAAATTCTATTATTCTTTTGCAGATTCTGGTTTGGTTATTCTCTAAAGACTTTTTTCATGGACTGTTAAGTTGCATTCAAATACATTTATACAAGAAAGACAGGATATGATCTCTGTTCTTTCTAATATTCAGGACATGACTTCATTCTCTATTAAACTTCAGAGGGGACCAATGGACTTGAGTAGAGAGACAAGATAGATGCTACGTAGGTAGATAGATAGATAAATAAATACATACATACATATATACATACATACCTACATACATACATGCATACATATATAAATTGATTGATGGATAGATAGAAACTAATAAATTGTATATATTTAACAATCAAAGTGACTATTATTTTTTATGCCCAAATTGTCCCATCAAACTAACTCCTGGGCTGTTTTGAGATAATTCCAGTCTTTAATAAAAGTCTTGTTTTTAGGCAAAGCAAGACATTCCACTTTCATTCTGTACTTTTCATGGTCCCAAAATTGACTCAGTAAAATCTTTTTTCCTTTTATGTGTTAACTTTTATTTAGAGACAACTCTCTGTGCATTAATTTGCTTCTTGCACTTTCAGTGGTCCAAATGTGAAAATGCATCATTTTTTGAAAGCATTAAATTATAAGCTTAAGCTTATTACCAATTCTAAGATATATTGCAGAATTTTATCTGTTTGCATTTTATATTTTATCTTTTATGATAAGTAATTTAGTTTCTGTTGATAAGACAATTATTAGCTTTTTCTTGCTATGTTTAATAGTTTCATAATATAATAGCAATATCGTTTAAAATGAGGTTATTAAATGTATTTTTATATTTTAAATTTTTTTGGTAGGATACATCCTACTAGTCAAACTACTGTTTCAATATCAAATATGTTTAAATCTATACATTCATAATAATACTAAAAATATTTTCATCCGTTACTTTGGGGCACCCTAGGGAAACATTTCAGCATTTCGAAACTGATGAATTAAAGTGAAAGCATCAACCATGTAACTCGCTTTTCCCAAATAATCTTGTAGTTTAGGGAAATCAAACGATGAAGGTTGTTTCAGTTTTGTAAAACATTCCCATTAATAAATCAGGAAGGGATGATAGCATTAGATTAACCACCTACAAGCTGGTTTGTCTTTGGGCAAAGTACTTATATTTTATGAACTCATTTACAGTGTCCATAAATGGCAATGCTGTTACCAGGCTTTGCCCTCAGAGATCTCCCAGTTACTGAGCCAGCATTTAAGGAACAAGTATATCAATAACAGTAGGTTAACTAAGATGGTAAATCACCCCAAGATCTCAATGACTTAGTGAAATAAACATTTATTTTATGTTCACATCCCATGCTGTGTGACCTGTTCAATGAAGTCAAACAATGATAAAATCCATGTCTACCCTATTGATCCATTTCATTTAGCTTCTTGGGATTTTTTTCTGAGAATTTTGGATGCCTCACTGATTTGCCTTGGGCAATGGGGCATCAGCAAACATCATGCAAGCAGAGGCCTGACAAGTACTTTGTTTCTTGCTGTTCTGGGAGGCTGTACCATGTAAACTCCCCTGCTACAGTGTGAGAGGCCACGTGGGCCGAAGCAAAGAACTACAGCTTACCACCACCCAGCCTGGCTGACCCAGCAGCTGACTGCAGATGCATGAACTGCCCAGCCAATCCCAGACTAAATGGCTGGCCTGCAGAATCATGGCTTAGTCATGACTTAAAGTCAAATTTGGAGTTTTATGTGTGTTTGTTTTTATACAGCAAAAGAACTGATGCACTGAGGATATAGATGATGGAAGATTAGCAATATACTGGGAGTTGCTGAAGCTGGTTGTGATGCTAGCAGGATCCTCTCTGTGCTCTTTGTATTTGAAAGTTTCTGCAATGAGAAAGTTAAAAAGAAAATATTAAATTTCAATATTGCTTTAAATAATTCCTGGTTAAATTATCTTGTTTTCATTTTCTTTCAATGTTTAAGAACTATTATTCTAGGCTGAGTGTGGTGGCTCACACCTGTAATCCCTGCACTTTGGGAGGCTGAGGCAGGTGGATCACACGGTCAGGAATTTGAGACCAGCTTGACTAACATGGTGAAACCCTGTCTCTACTAAAAACAGAAAAAATTAGCCAGATGCGGTGGTGTGTGCCTGTAGTCCCAGCTACTCGGGAGGCTGAGGCAGGAGAATTGCTTGGACCTGGCGGAGGTTGCAGTGAGGCAAGAGCATGCCACTGCATTCCAGCCTGGGTGACCGAGCAAGACTCTGTCAAAAAAAAAAAAAAAAAAAAAAAAGAAGGAAAGAAAGAAAGAAAGAATAGAAAGAATTATTATATTTAACTTTTAAAAATTATTGAAAATAGTTTTATGGTTTCAAAATTAAAAATATAAGACATTCAGAAATGTCTCACTTTCATCTTTGTCCCCTCCCACATTTTTCTCTCTCTCCATAGTTATCCTCTTATGTTAATTCTTACCTGAACATTTTGGTAGATATTTTAGATAGTTGTTAGTAAATTTGGAGTTAAATTAGCAATTTATATGTAGAAAACTAGGCAAATGAGAAAATATGACAATTTTAAATTTCAAGAAAAACTAAATTTTGTTCAGAAAAGAAAAAGTAATCACATTATAATATGTAGTTAATCTATGAATAGCATTTACAATGTCATATCACCAAAATAGTAATCATTGATGTAGCTAAAATTATTATACAACTAGACTGGATGGATGGGGGAATGGAAAGTTGTTTTTATTTTGGGGATGGGGGGATAAAAAGGGCTAAATTCCCATTTTCCAACTGTTAAATAAATAGATAACTTGTAAAAGTAAAAAAAAAATAAGAAGTAACAATATAGACATGCTATTTAGTCATTCCAGTCAATAACAGAAAAATGAACTAAGAATGAAAAGTTATTTCTGTGCAGAAGGGAAGTTGGAGCTACTGATCTTTTATACCAAGGCTTGTGGTTTATGATGAAAATTGAAAAAAAAAATCAGGTATACAAAAACTGTATTAGTCCGTTTTCACGCTGCTGATAAAAACATACCTGAGACTGCGCAATTTACAAAAGAAAGAGGTTTAATTGGACTCACAGTTCCCCATGGCTGGGAAAACCTCACAATCATGGCAGAGGGCAAGGAGGAACAATTCACATCTTAAGTGGATGGCGGCAGGCAAAGAAAAAAGAGCTGGTGCAGGGAAACTCTCCCTTTTAAAAATGATCAGATCTCTTGAGACTCGTTAACTATCATGAGAGCAGCTCAGGAAAGACCCGCCCCCTAATTCAATTACCTCGCACCAGGTTCCTCCCACAACACATGGGAATTGTGGGAGTTACAATTCAAGACGAGATTTGGATGAGGACACAGCGAAACCATATTAAAAACTCATAAAAAAAGGAGAGGCAACAAGTCATGAAACAACACTACTACTATTAATAATATAGGCTCATATTAATCAAGCACTTTCTATGTGCCATATGTGGATTGTGTCTTTGAATCCTTACTACAACAGTATGAGGGAGGCTCTTTTTGAGTTACTGTAGTCTAATGAGACAATTTATACTTCGAGAGTTGATTAGCTACCTATTGTAATGAAGGATTCTAAAACAACACCTGGAAACAACAGACATTATCATCTCAGAGTGTCTCTGGGACCGTAAGCAACTTAGCTAGGTGGTTCTGTCTTGGTCTCTCATGCAGCTGCAAAAAAGATGTCCACAGGGCTGCTTTCGTTTTAAGGCTTGATATGGGGATCTTGCTTTGGTGCCCATTCTCAGGGCATGCTACCAAAACTTCCAGGCTCACTCCTGTGGGCCTCTTGCAAGGGCTGCCTTGTTACATTGGAGTTGGCTTCTACCACCGTGAGTGACCTAGAACACCCAAGATGGAAGTCACTGTTGTTTTATAATCTAATCTTGGAAATGGTATCTACCACACTATCATATTCTATTTGTTAGAGCAAGCCAGTAAGTCCAGCCCACTTGGAGGGAGGATGTGATTTTGTCAGCAGAACATGAATCCCAGGAAGTATCTGTCCATCACGGGAATTACCTTAGAGGTTGCCTAGCACAGGTGGGGTAGCTTGTCCACGCTTCCACAGGGAGAAAGGGGTAGCCCTGCCAGGAAAAACCACCCATTCTGATTCCAAGGTTTATGTTCTTAACTACTATGCAACTGCTCACATGCTGTGGGGTGGTGTTTCCCTTTTGTGGGACAACAGCAACTCCTTCCACATAGCTGTCATCCCGGGAATGTGGGAGTGGTTGGGAGGTCAACATAGACAACAGCTGATTTTCACCTTTGTGACAAACACCCAAGGGCATTATCAGGTTTAGGCAAACAAAAATAATCTGTACATTATGCTCACAATGTGGGGCACAGATTGTGGCACTCCCACATACCTCCTGCTGCGGAAAGTTTGCTGGAATGCAAGAGAGAATGCCATGAGAACAAGGATAACCTTGAGTTCACTCTAATTTATAAAAAGTCAAACCCTCTCAGGCTTCATAACTTTCCTGGTAATAAATTATTTGAGCCACCCCTCACATTTGATCATGACAAACTGCAGCTTCCTCTTCCTGGGATGGGACATTAGTCACAAGGGGCAGGAGTTGGCTAGGAGAGGAGTTGGTACTATATCTTGAAAGCTGTTGGGAGCCACTGAAATGTTTAAAGCATCATAGGGTGACATGATTGGAGATGTAGCTGCTGCTCTGAGCAACAGCATTTTGTCTGAAGCATCAGACAACATTCTATATTCTCATATATGAGACAGTAGATGTCTCCTTTATACCCCCAACAGATTTATTCATGTTAGCCTAATAAAATTTATATATTTCCCAAACTTGCAGATTTATCAAAGCTCCCTATCTCAGGACACCTGAACCTGCCTCTATCTGAGCATGCAGACTTTTGTGGCTGCCAATCAAGCTGTGAGCTTTCTGGGGTAGAGATTTATTGCCTCCTCCATGGTTCCATCCTCTGGTGGCAACCTCATCTGTTGACACGTATTAGGAACTCAGTAAATGCTTATTAAGTCAAAATAAACTGAACTTCGTTGTGCACTTACTACATGTTATGTACTATACTTAGTACTAGGTACATAAAAATAAGACAGTCTGGGCCAGGCGCAGTGGTTCACACATGTAATCCCAGCACTTTGGGAGGCTGAGGTGGGTGGATCACGAGGTCAGGAGTTCGAGACCAGCCTGATCAATATGGTGAAACCCCGTCTCTACTAAAAATATAAAAATTAGCTGGGCGTGGTGGCATGTGCCTGTAATCTCAGCTACTCAGGAGTCCGAGGCAGGAGAATCTCTTGAACCCGGGAGGCGAGTTTGTAGTGAGCCAAGATCAAGCCACGGCACTCCAGCCTGGGCAACAGAGCAGACTCTACCTCAAGAAAAAAAAAAAAAGAAAAAGTCTTTAATTAGTAAAAAGCCATACTGTATGTAAGCAGTAATTTTTTTAATTCATGAGTCAAACATTGGCTCAGGCCCTGCTGTGATTGTTGCACTCTGCTAGATGCTGGGGCACAACATCAAATGACACGTGACCACTACTCTTACAGGTTCTGTAACCCATTGAAAGAGACACAATGGTATTTGGATGATCCAAGCTCAGTATACAGTGGGAGCAAGGAGGAAGGTCATAGAGATAAGCAAAGAGGAGGGCCATGTAAGAGGTGAGGGGCCACATTTTGAGAGGCATTACCTCTGCACTGATTTTAAAAGAATGAATGAATTTAAATAAATGGAAAATAAGGCTGGGCCTGGCGGATCATGCCTATAATCCCAGCAGCTTGAGAGACTGAGGCAGGAGAATCAGTTGAGGCTAGGAGTTCAAGACCAACCTGGATAACAGAGTGAGACCCCATCTCTATAAACATTTTTTTAAAAAAATTAGTCAGGGTGGTGGCTCACACCTATACTCCCAGCTACTCGGGAGACTGAAGTGGGAGATCACTTGAGCCTGGGAGTTTGAGGCTGCAATGTGCCGTGAGCCGTGATCGTGCTACTGCAGTCTAAAACAAATAATAATAAAAAGAGAGAGAGAGAGAGATGAATGGAAAATCTGAATGTCAAACATCAGTATCAAGCCACTGGTACTGGTGTGTTAAGGCTTGGGGAAAAAGTCAAGGATATAGAAGGAGGGAAATGAATACACATAGAGCAAATCTAAGTAGGAGTTACTGATTCCTGCAAAGGGATATGCAGAGCCAAGCAAAGTTTTATCTCTGCTGCCTTTGTCTTTCCAGCCATCTACGAGCAATCCTGCGAGGTGTACAGGCACCAGGGGAATACAGCCGGCTTCTTCTACATCGACTCAGATGGCAGCGGCCCACTGGGACCTCTCCAGGTGTACTGCAATATCACTGGTAAGGGTGCAGTAGCCCTACTCACACTTAACCACCCCACTTCATGGAAGGAAGCAAAAATAAATTCACTGGAGGGGGATACCTACGTGAATAAAAATTTGAAAGACCAACTGGTCTCCTTTGGGGAGGAAATGGTATTCTGGTGAGTAATGCAAATTTGCAGCTAGGTTAATTTTCATGAGACAGAAAAAAGAAAACTTGTTAATGGTCTTGATAATGTTTCACTGAAGCAAGAATTAATTATCAGTGGTTTTCTTTAGGGCCTCCAAGGGCATTTTCTCTCCTGAAACTCAAAAACAGAAAGAAAAGGTAAATAAGCAAACAAACAAACAAAACTCCAAATCAGTGGGAAGCCCTGACTCAGGAAGCTGGAAAGCTTGATTCCACTCTGGCCCCAAGGGATGCATGACCCTTAGGTGAATACTATAGTTTCTCTGAGCTTTATCAGTGAAATGAGAATAATAGTGGCTACCCCCAGAGCTGTGAGAATTAGATACAATCATGTGTATTGGAGCAGCTAGCCAGGCTGGTTGTTCTTAGATGCCTAACCAAAACAAAACAAAATGAAAAGGTGAGTTTTTTCATTTTTCTCTGGAAATTTCTTGATAGCTTAAACTTATTTCTCAAATGCAGAAGGACATGGTAAGAGGCAATCATTACATGGGCTTAGAAATGACATATGATCCTTAATTTACCATGAAATACATTTCCACAAAACCAAATCTTGAGGTAATCATTATTTAAAAATCCAGCTATGCAGCCAGGTGCGATGGCTCACGCCTGTAATCCCAGCACTTTGGGAGGCCTAGGCAGGCAGACCACGAGGTCAGGAGATCCAGACCATCCTGGCCAACACGGTGAAACCCTGTCTCTACTAAAAATACAAAAATTAGCTGGGTGCGGTGGCATGTGACTAATCCCAACTACTCCCGAGGCTGAGGCACGAGACTCGCTTGAACCCGGGAGACGGAGGTTGCAGTCAGCCGAGATCGTGCCACTGCACTCCAGCCTGCGACAGGGCGAGACACCGTCTCAAAAAAAAAAAAAAAAATCCAGCTATGCAAGCACTCCTATTATGAGCATCATTAATTGGCACACGCACATTTTTTGTTTGTTTGTTTGTTTCAAGCACTGGTCTTCAGAGATGCCAGCTGCATCATGTAATGAAGCAGGAACGTAGGGGCCTCTTTAGGCTCATTGAGCCTTCAGGCCTCAGGATTTTCTGCAACAAAGCAACCACATTTATGGAGTGCTTTCTGTAGGCAGACACTGTTTTAGATACAGAGGGTATGAAAAGTAAGACACAGTGGCTGTTGTTCATGAGGCAGTAAAGTCAGGAACACTACCGTGAGGTATCTCCAGCTAAATGCAAGAAAACTATTGGAAAGAAATGGTGAGTAAGGAAGCACAGTAATTTGCCCATCTGGATACAAAGTCCTATGCTGTCTGCGTAGAAAATGCTGGTGACCTGGCATTGGGTGCCACGTCCTTGCATTTCCGTAATAACTTTCTTTATCTCTCCAAAATGGTTGTATGATAGCTGCTTTTCAAAAGCCCTGTAACATAATTAGAAATTGTGCTCCTGTTGTCTTTTCATGGTTGTGGTAACCTATAGTGTTCAACAACCTGGTCAAAAACTAGGCTTCTCAGTGGATCTCGGTTATTTTAAAAATGTAATTAACATATGGACTCTTGCTAAAAAGGCAGATTTCCCAGCCCCAGAAATTCCAATTCAGTAAATGCACTTTTACTGAGCTTTTCAAGTGATTCTGATGCAAATTGTCCCTGTTCCACTTTTCCAAAAAACAGGGAAAGTAATTTGGCTGCAAATAAGGCAAAAGAGATAAATGCCCACTGCTGAGTGGCCAGGTGTGACTTGTAATAATAAGAGTGGTATAATGGACAGCAATTACTGAGCTTCGACTCTCTCTGGGAATTGAGCTGGGAGTTTACAAATACCATCTCTTTTCATCCTCACAACAAAAATCAGAGGCAGACATTTTTTTTATCTCCATCTAACGTAGAAGGGAAGAGAATATGAGCATTTCATGACTGGCTCAAGGTAAATTCTGTGACTAACAGTCAAGACTTAGGAAGCGGGCATAGCCTTCTGGTTCAGTAATAATTCATATCACTAAAATGTTAATTGGATATGTTCTATTACATACATTTTGTTTTTAAAGTGTTGTTTTATTGTTAGAAAATTTTGTAACAATAATTGAAGAAATTTTGAGGGAAAAAAGTATGAAGGAAATATTAAAGCCAACTGTAATCCGCAATCCAGAGATTGCCATTGTTATTAAATTATTAGAATTTCCTCAAGACATTTTAAAATGAATGTTTATGTGTGTTTTTGCTATGAATGTGTATGTTATATATATACATACAGACACAGAAATATACATATACATTTAAATTATAAATTTTAATTTTAATGTGTTGTGTAGATTTTCCCTATTAAAATATATATTGAAATTAAGATAAATATAGCTTAGAAATGTTAAACTCTTCAAAATAATGCAAGGACAAGGACTTAGAGAGTCTGACTGATACATAGGTTTCATGTACATGAAACTCTCTGCCTCACCATCCAACAGCCTTCTCCCAGGGTTTATGTTTGATCATTTGTCCAAGAATGGCTAAAGGTGAGTGTGTACTTGTATTTAAAGGTTACTGTTTTGCTGATATGATCCTGAAGAAATCAGAGCCTCTGAATTGTGTCCCGAGTTGATCAGCTTGATGCGTATGGTGGGGTATTTATTTTGAATATGATTTTTTTGGGTCATATTCAGCTGCACGATGTCTAACTTTCTGTTTTTGTTTTTTAAAATACCTGCAAAAATAAAAGCAGACCAGGCATAGTGATTCATGCCTGTAATCCCAACACTTTGGGAGACCAAGGCAGGAGGATCATTTGAGGTCAGGAGTTCGAGACCAGCCTGACCAACATGGTGAAAACCCATCTCTACTAAAAATACAAAAATTAGCCAGGTATTGTGGTGCATGCATGTAGTCCCAGCTACTTGGAGGCTGAGGCAGGAGAATCACATGAACCTGGGAGGCAGAGATTGCAGTGAGCCGAGATTGTGCCACTGCACTCCAGCCTGGGTGACAGAGTAAGACTCTGTCTCAAATAAATAAATAAACAAATAAAAATAAAATAAAAGCAAAGCTCTGTGTAGGCTGAACTACACAACTCTCATATTTAAATGGAAAACAATTTTCTGATACATACATGTAATGATGATCAAATATGCATCTTTCTATTTGAAAATTTTATAAGTTGAATGTTGTTAAAACATGAGTGACTTATCACAGTATGAAAAGTGTGACACAGTGGTCCAGGGAAGAGAGTCAGGAAGAAGGGAGAGAAGAAACAGAAGGAAACTTGTGCTATCTTTAACACTGGGATAATCCCAGAATGGGTGTCCAGAGCACCAGAAGGCAGGAAAACCAAGCTCTCTTTCTGCACCTTGTGCCTGTCAGCTCAGTTAAGTGCCTGGGGCCCAAGCCCACATCTGTAAAATTAAGATCTGGGTCCTCTGGCTTCCACAGCCTTTCCTCGTTGAGAATTCTCTGAGCTTTTCTTTGAGGTTCCAGAGAAAAGAGACTTTTCTTCTAAGAAGTCTACAGATACTTGCAAATGGATGTCATGGGACTGAAGATGGACAGGTTTCCATTGTAGAAAGCAATAGTACATTTGAGTCCCAGCTGTCTCCTCTTACAGTGCACCCTGGGGAACGTTAGCTCCCCCTTCCTATATGCAAAGTAGTCCCTAACCTGTCCTGGGAGATGTAAGTCTGTGCATCTCACCTGCACACAGGGCAGTCTTCAGGAGGGGAGTTCCCCAAATGCTCAACCAGCAACCACCCTATGTAATGTAAAAAGCCATAATCTCTGTGAAAGGAAATTAACTTAAGGGAGATGATTAAGCTTACTGATAAAGTGGACTGAATCTGGACCTCCGCACACTTTTGACGGGGTGCCATCCTTGGAACTATGTTCTAAGTTGCTTCACCACAGGGCTATCAGATGGGAGACGGGGAGAGCACAATTTTTGGTTGGAGAATTGAGTGAAGTGATGGATAAGGAAGTTAAAGAGTAAGCTTCCAGAGGAACACACACTTGTCAGACTTTTAACAATTTTTTTAAGTGATTTACAATAAGGTTCAGCCAATATAATTTTACTCAATATAAATTTGGGCATTGTGGGCACTGTGAAAGTGCTGTAGTTTTAATAGTGTGTCTATATTAGTTTCCTAGGGCTCTATAACAAACTACATAACACTGGTTTTATTTCACACCACTGCAATAAAATGAGTATCACAATAAAGCAAGTCACATGAATTTTCTGGTTTCCAAGTATTACCGCAAAGGGGTCCTGATCCAGACCCCAAGAGAAAGTTCTTGGACTTCACTCAAGAAAGAATTTGGGGAGAGTCTATACAGTAAAGTTAAAGCAAGTTTATTAAGAAAGTAAAAGAATAAAGAATAGCTATTCCATAGGCAGAGCAGCCCCATCGGTTGCTGGTTGGCCATTTTTATGGTTATTTCTGGATTATATGCTAAACAAGGGGGGATTTATCATGAGTTTTCCAGGAAAGTGGTGGGCAGTTCCCAGGACTGAGGGTTTCTCCCCTTTTTAGACCATGTATGATAACTTCCTGATGTTGCCATGACATTTGTAGACTGTCATGGCTCTGGCGGGAGTGTCTCTTAGCATGCTGAGGCTATTATTATTAGTGTATAATGAGCAGTGAGGATGACCAGAGGTCAGTTTTGTCACCATCTCGGTTTTGGTGGTATTTGGCCAGCTTCTTTGCAGCATCCTGTTTTATCAGCAAGGTCTTTGTGACCAGTATCTTGTGCCACCCTCCTATCACATCCTGTGACTAAGAATGCCTTAACCTCCTGAGGATGCAGCCCAGTAGGTCTCAGCCTTATTTTACCCAGTCCCTATTCAAGACGGAGTCACTCTGGTTTAAATGTCTCTGACACAAGTTCATATAAAAGTTATGTTTACACTACATGGTAAACTATTAATTGTGCAATAGCATTATATCAAAAAAAAAAAAAACCAAAGTCTATGTCTTAATTAAAAAAATACTTTACTGCTAAAAAATGCTAACAACCTTCTGAGCCTTCAGTGAGTCTTAAGAGACCCCATCATTTTTGCTGGTGGAGGAAAAAGATGTTAGTGGCTGCTAACTGATTAGGATGGTGGTTGCTGAAGGTTGGGGTGGCTGCGGCAATTTCTTAAAATAAGACTACAATAAAGAATGTCACATAATTGACTATTTCTTTTATGAAGGATTTCTGTGTAGTGTGTAATTTTGTTTGATAGCATTTCACCCACAGTAGAACTTCTTTCAAAATTGAAGTCAATCATTCCAAATTCTGCCACTGCTTTAGCAACTAAGCTTGTGGAATATTCTAAACCTTTTGTTGTCATTTTAACAATGTTTACAGCCTCTTCACCAAGAGTAGATTCCATCTCAAGAAGCCACTTTATTTGTTCATCCATAAGAAGCAACTCCTCATCCGTTAAAATTTTATCATGAGAATATAGCAGTTCAGTCACATTTTCAGGTTCCACTTCTAATTCTAGTTCTGTTGCTATTTCCACCAAATCTGCAGTTACTCCCTCCACTGAAGTAATGAACTTCTCAAAATCATCCATGAGGACTGGAATCAACTTCTTCCAGTCTCCTGTTTGATATTTTGGCCTCTCCCATAAATCATGAATGTTCTTAATGAGATCTACAATGGCAAATGCTTTCCAGAAGGTCTTCAATTTACTTTGCCCAGACACATGGGAGGAATTACTATCTATGGCATTTGTAGACTTATAAACTGTATTTCTTAAGTAATAAGACTGAAAAGTCAAAATTACTCCTTGATCCATGAGCTGCAGAGTAAATGTGATAGCAGGCAGGAAAACAACATTAACCTCTTTGTAGATCTCCATCAGAGCTCTTGAGTGACCTGGTTCATTGTCCATAAGCAGTAATATTTTGAAAGAAATCCTTTTTTTGTTGTTTATGGACAGGAGTTCTCAATGGTGGGCTTAAAATATTCAGTAAACCATGCTGTCAACAAATGTGGTCCCATCCAGGCTTTATTATTCCATTTAGAGAGTACAGGCAGAGTAGATTTAGCATAATTCTTATGGATCCTAGGATTTTGAGAATGGCAAATGAGCATTAGCACTTGCATTAGTCCCTACCAAGAGATACAGCCTATCCTTGGAAGCTTTAAAGATAGGCATTGTCTTTCTTCTCTTCTCTACCTCTGATAATCTTAGATGGCACCTATTGCTTAGTGTAGCCACTTTCATCAATGATCTTTGTTATACCTTATGGGTAACTTACATCAGCACTTGCTGCTTCACCTTAAACTTTTATGTTACGAAGATGGCTTCTTTAATTAAACCTCATGATCCGGCCTCTGCTAGCTTCAAACTTTTCTTCTGCAGCTTCCTCACCTCTCTCAGCCTTTATAGAATTGAAGAGGGTTAGGGCCTTGCTCTGGGTTAGGCTTTGGTTTAACGGAATGTCGTGCCTGGCTTGATCTTCTATTCAGCAGCTAAAATTTTCTCCACATCACCCAGAAGGCTGTTTTGCTTTCTTATCATTCACATGTTCACTGAAGTAGCATTTTAATTTTCTTCAAGAACTTTTCCTTTGCATTCACAACTTGGCTAACTTGCACAAGAGGCCTAGCTTTTGGTCTATCTCCACTTTCAACACACCTTCCTCATTAAGGTTAATCATTTCCAGCTTTTGATTTAAAATGAGAGATGTGCCACTCTTCCTTTCACTTGAATTCTTAGAGGTTATTGTGGGGTTACTATTTGGCCTAATTTTGATATTGTTCCATCTCAGGGAGTAGGGAGGCCTAAGGAGAAGGAAAGAGACAGAAATCATTGGCCAGTAGAGCAGTCAGAACACACAATATTGGTCAATTAAGTTCATTGCCTTATATGGGTGCAGTTCATGATGCCCCAAAACAATTAGAATAATAACATTAGTGACCACTGATCGCAGATCACCATAGCAAATGTAATAATAATAAACAATTTGAAATATTGCAGTGGTGGATTCGTGGCTCTTGCCAATGTTCAGGCTCTAAGGATATAACAATGATAATAATATAATATAATAACGATAATTATAATAATAATATACATAAATTACCAAAATGTAACACAGAGACATGAAGTGAGCACACAATATTGGAAAAATGGTACCGACAGACTTGCTCAACATAGGGTTGCCACAAATCTTCACTTTTTTTTTAATGAACTATCTGTGAAGCACAGTAAAGTGAAGTTCAATAAAACAAGCTATGCTTGAACCAGAGACTGGGTGACTTATAAAACAGAGGTATATTTTCTCACAGTTCTAGAGCCCAGAAATCCAAAAGTACCTGCAGTGCCACACTTCCTGTTAAACCTGTAGGGTGAATCTCTTCTTGCCACTTCCTAGCTTTTGATGGTTTGCTCAATCCTTGGCACTCCTTCACTTGCAGCCTCAGCACTTTAATCTCTGCCTTCTAGAGATTGCTACCCTGCCTTCATGTGATGTTGTCACGTGGCCTTCTCCTCCCATGTGCCTGTGTGTCCATTTCTTTTCTTCTTACAAGGATACCCTTCATACTGGATTAAGCCCACCCTAATGGAGTGTGACTTCATCTTAACTTGTTTACGCCTGTAAAGAATCTCTTTCCAAATAGATTACATTCACAGGTACGGAGGGTTAGGACTTCAATATATTATCTTTCTGGTGACAAAATTCAACCCTTAATAGTATTATTTCAGTCTTCTTCACAGACTAATCAAGGAGATGACACAGCAGCAATTAACGTATAAGGACAATGACAAGGTGTGCATAGTGCTTGTTGGGAGCTCACAGGAGAGACCCTAACCTAGCCTGGTGTGCAGTGGGAAGGCTACTGGGCAGCAGATAATGCCTCTGAAACCTGAATAGGAGTAGAAGCTGGTCAAGAGCTGCAGGAAAGCATTTCCAGGAAGACAGAATGAAGGGCAGGAACAAAGGACCAGCATCCCTAGAACCTGCATGTTTTTAGGAGTCACCAACCCACTGAGCTGACTTGATAGGTTGGAACCCAGAAAATCTCATAAAGCTGTGACTGAACAGAAGAGAAAGGATCAAATTGACTTGAGCAGCAGCAAGCAAAGGCTGTTGAAGCTCTGTAATCTGAACTAGAGTTTCCCAGCACAAACATCTGCTGTCTCAGATTCAACAGAATAGAAAAGGAGGAATGGCTTTATCATAGATAGCTCTTCAGCATGTGAGACTATTTAGCTGGCCCTGAAAAAAATTAAAAAAAAAGATGAGCAACAGACTAAGAGGTAGCAACAAGATGTCCTCACAGCATGCATGGACCTTAGCACTGACCCCATATCTTGAGGACAGTGGATCTCTCGTATGGCTTGTTCAAATTAGGGACTATTCATAAAGGTGTGAATATATAAAAGGAATTTATAGTGTAGGGACTATAGCACAGAGATACTAACAGAGTGGGAAAAAGGCACATGTTCAGAAGCTGTGCCTCTGGAGATCTGTGGCCCCCTGTGTGGGAAGCAGCCAGCTCAATCCAGTGACCACTTTGACCTCAGTCTCTCGTTGCTCCTTCTAGGCTCCTTTCTATGCTCCCCTCTGATGAAACCCAACTAGAATCGAGAATGCAGGAGTGCGTATTGATAGAATGCTTTTAGTCAGCCTTCCTGCGCACAGAGAAGGCTGGAGATGTGCAGAAAGTGGAACTGGTGGGGCAAGTGGAAGATTTCCATATTGACCTGCTTAAAGGACTGACCAAAAACGTCTGGGGAAAATGATTAAAATTCATAAGAATTAAGGATGGTGGTGAGGGTAGGGGCTGTAAGTGGAATTCACAAACCATCCAAATAAATGAAGCGTAGACTTGTTAAATCAATTTTAACCTGAACAAGAAAAGACCACTCTTTATGGGTTAAATGGCACTAAGGTTAGAATGAATGTAAGAAACACACACTGAATAAGATATTTAGAAAATGACCTACTCCAAGATTTAATACAGGTACTCAATTTATAAACAACCTAGAAACAAGTAAATAAGTAAGAAAAACTGTGACATGCTTAAACGTAATATTTTGTCAAAAGGTAGTTCTCGGCTTCATACCTCCATCGGATGATAAAAATCTGGAATGGATGCAGAGCATTTCAGCCAATGATGTAGGAGTTTGTGATCATCCTTTGCTGCACCAATCTAATTGGGTCGGTAGGGAAAGATGCATTTGAGACAACCAGGAGTCCACTGGGGACTAAGAATTGGGTTTCTGGATGAAAATGCACATAAGGAGACCTTGCAGGATGGGTGAGATGTCACCAGGAAGAAAAGGAGTTCTTGGAACTGGGTCCCATATAAAAGAAATGGAGAAAGAGCAGGTCACAGTAACTAATTGAAATCCGTGAACACCTGAGGTGGCTGTATAGGAAGCTTGGGTTGATAAAACAGAAGAATCGGCTTCTGAGGTGGGGCGATCTGCCCTTGGGGTGATGGTTAATTTTATGTATCAACTTGGCTGGAACATGGTACCTAATATGTGAACATACTGTCCTGAATGTTTCCTGTAAAAGTGTTTTTGGATGAGATAAACATTTAAATCAGTGGACTTTGAGCAAAGCAGATTGACCTCCATAATGGGGATGGACCTCATCCAATCAGTTGAAGGCCTTAATAGAACAAACACTAACCTCTCCCAAATGAGGAGGAATTCTGAAAGCAGATGTCTCTGGTCTGGAACTGCAGCTACTTCCTGGGTCTCTTGTCTGCCAGCTTCCCCTGCAGATTTTGGGCATACTAAACCTTCATAATCCAATTTCCTGAAAATCAATCTCCTTCTCTCACTGTCTCATTCATATATATATATATATATATATATATATATATATATATATATACTCCTTCTCTCACTGTCTCATTCATATATATATATATATATATATATATATGTAGTGCACACACACACAGTTTAGTTTATTCAGGTAGTTCTGTCTCTGGACAACCCTGACTCATCCATTTGGGTGTCTCAAGATGGGTTTAATGCCCCTACTCTGTGTTCTGCTCATGACATTAATCACACTGCATTATAATGCAGTGTTTACCTATGTGTCCCCACAGGGCTGTGAGCTCCTTGTTGGAAAATAAGGAACAGGGTGTGATGAATCTTTGGATCTACTTTTATACACACTTGAATGAGTCTAGTGTAAATTGAACTCTGAGAAATCACTGCCAAATTGAAGACTAATTTCTATCTTTCCCGTTTTTTTCTTTCCTGTTTCCATAATCTATCTTTGACTCAAGCCCTGTTCCATTAAATCAATAACAGTTTGGGATGTTGGAAACAGCCTCAGTATTTAATCTTGACTGAGCTTGAGTCATTCCTACTCTTTGCAATGCCTTCTATAAGTCCAAGAGTACAGAGTGCCCATCTGTTCCTCACTGCCTTCATGACTGTTTGTTGCTGCTCAACCTCTCTCCAAGTTGCTGTTTCCTTCAAACATAGAAATGACTAATGGGTAGAAATATGATTTGGAGTCACACTGGAGTTTAAATTCTAGCACATTCTAGCTGTATGACCTTGGATAAATCATCTAATATTTCTAGATCTTGGTTTTTCTAGCTGGATGGCCTTGGATAAATCATCTAACATTTCTAGATCTTGGTTTTTTTATCAGTAGTGTGGAGACAATAAAAAATTGGTGACATGTAAGATTGTGAGAATTAGCATATATATATATGCTACACACACACACACATGCACACACACACACACACACACACACACACATATATATGCAAACTTTCTAGCCTTAAAAAGTAGATGGTCATTTAATATGCTAATGTAATGTCATGGTGTGATTATTAATTGTGTCTACAACCACTCTTACAGTTGACATAGTATGAATGATATTACATAGTCATTCTAGTCATGAAAGATAGCTATCACCTTTGCCAGCGATAGAAATAGAATCTTTACTTGTATAGGCACCATGAGATTTCAGAGGCTCTTGGAGCCTGGAGAGAGCATTTCTGCTGGGACTCCTTCAATATTGATAAAACAGAATTATAAGGGTGAGGCACCCTGACAAGATTTTCCTTGAAACTTGACATTAAACTGATTCTACTCAGTTTACATTGTGCCTTTTTTAATGTTAACAGGACACACTGTCAATGTGTTAAAAGATATTTCTTAGCTGTATACTGTTTTTCCTTTGTACAGTACAATTGTACATTGATATGCAAAATTGTTTGTCTAGAATCACTAGCAAAAACACATTTATTTCTTATCTTGATGGATTCAATGCCAATTTCATGCATGTGGATCTGTAAGGCAATCATCAGGCATTACAAGGAATTTGCAAGGAACATTTAGTCAAATCTCTAAAGCGAAACTTATTTTCCATTCTCAAACAGCTCATAATCCATTTGCAAACCAACTTACAAGTCTCCATATCTTGTCACTCTGGCTATTATGATGCTCTGTTTCTCACTCCTTTGGCAGCAGCCTCTGTTTTCATTAAAACTCATCAAAGCATGCATAATGGAGTAGGTAGAAAGCTGCAATTGAGGTCTCTCCAATATTTCTGCACATAATTGTGCAGTGTGATTGCAGTAATAGATTATCATCCCAGGTATTGACATAAAGAAAGAAATGTATCCATGTGGTTTGGCCTAAATTGGTAGCCTTGCTTCCTGAAGTTAGAGCGATGTCAGTGAATTTACCTGTGGGCTGCACCCAGGTCTGCCAGTGTAGGGGAAATGAGAATGATCCATGACATAAAATGGGACCACTGGTTATGAAACATTTATTTCTCCCCAGCCTTCTTAGGATGTTGTTAATTTTGCCAGCTGTATCATATAGCAAAGTAAGTAGAATTTAGTTGATTACGTGATTTGTATCTGTAATACAATTTGGTACTGGTATCTCCTTGCAGATTCCTGTTTGAAAACACTCTACTTTCTTTTTTTTTCTTCAACTTTTATTTTAAGTTCAGTGCTACATATGCACGATGTGGAGGTTTTTTACATAGGTAAACGTGTGCCGTGATGGTTTGCTGCACAGATCACCCCATCACCTAGATATTAAGCCCAGCATCCATTAGCTATTCTTCCTGATGCTCTCCCACCCCCGAACCCCCACCCTTTGACAAGCTCCAGTGTGTGTTGTTCCCCCTCCATGTGTCCATGTGTTCTCATCATTCAGTTCCCACTTGTAGATGAGAACATGTGGTGTTTGGTTTTCCTGTTCCTATGTTAGTTTGCTGAGGATAATGGCTTCCACCTCCATCCATGTCCCTGCAAAGACATGATCTCATTTCTTTTTATTGCTGCATAGTATTCCATGGTGCATATGAACTATATTTTCTTTATCCAGTCTATCATTGGTGGGCATTTAGGTTGATTCCATGTCTTTACTAATGTGAATAATGTTGCAATGAACATACACATGCATGTATTTTTATAAAAGGATGATTTAGATTCCTTTGGGTATATAACCGGTAACAGGATTGCTGGGTCAAATGGTATATCTGCCTCTAGGTCTTTGGGGAATTGCCACACTGTATTCCACAATGGGCGAACTAATTTATACTCCCACCGACAGTGTAAAAGCATTCCTTTTTCTCCACAGTGTCATCAGCGTCTGTTGTTTTTACTTTTTAATTGTAGCCATCCTGATTGGTGTGACACGATATCTCATTGGAAAACACTCTACTTTCAAAACCCACACACACTCACACACACACTCACACATGCACAAGTGTCAACTTCCATTGCCCTACTTCAGGCTTATACAAAAGCAAGCTGAGTTCAAGTTCTGAAGTTTGCTTTTTTATCACAAGTTGGGTAATCATCATTGCAAAAGTATTGTTACCACAAAGTTGTCATTTGATTACAGACTGTAAAATATTGCACAGAATATCTACAGGGTACCAAGCTAGTACAACATGCATTATGATGAAGTAGCTGGAATAATTTTTATTTTATAAGTGCACGAATGAGGCTAGTAAGTACTAGAAACAGGATACCAATTATAGCTGTCTAGAGATGAAGCTTCTGCCCTGTATGCTGTGCTTTTTATCAAAGGGTAGTAAGGCATGGGTGGCAACACTTCCTCTACTATGTTGAATCAATATTCATTGGTTATCTGTTCTGGCCAGGCACTGACAAGCCACTGGGAATATAGAAATGATTAAGATATGGTCCTGCAAGTTCACAGACTTTATAATCTCATGTCCTTGTGGGAAAAAATGCCCATGTCTTCAGCTTTCCCCATCGTGATTCATAATTCACACAACAGCTAGGCTGATCTTTAAAAAACACAGGGATGGCCATGTCTCCCCATCCCTTCCACCTCTACCTGAATAAATTCCCATCTCCTACCCATGGCTTACAATGTTTGAAGGGCATGGTTGTGAATCTTTATAAGTTTATATGCATCAATGAAAACTCTTAGAACAGTGCCCATAATCACTACACCTTCTGAATTACTATATTATTGTCTAATTACTTTGTGGGGACATGAGTAAAACCCTCCATCTTTATACTTTAGTTTCTCTGTCTGTAAAAGGAGGGTGATGATGACAGCTTTTTATGGTTGCCACATAGTCAATTGAATGAGTTAACATGTAAACAATGTCAGAAAGTGACAGTCACAGAGAAGGTGGGAAAGAAAGCCTAGATCCTTCTCCTTATCTTCTTTTGCCTTTCCTTGGAAACACATCCACTGTCTTTAGGGACAGCAGGTTTAGTTCATCCTAGGGAGGAGCTCACAAGCTGAGTCCCCTGGTGGCACAAGCATTGTTTCCTGGTTGAGACTCACTCATGGGTGACATATGTGCTGTGGCTCACTGGTAGTTTAATCAGTTGGAATAATACTTGTATTGTTGCTTATATTTCAGAGGGACAATTTGCTTTCTGTAAATGAAGCTTTTCCAGAGGACTATTTTAGGCTGAAGAATAGTAATTTAACAGCTTAGAGGTGGGAATTTTTATTTAAGTGTCTCTCTTTTCTCTCTAATGGGTTTATGATGTTGACCAAAGTGTGGTGACCACATAGGGCTTCCAGAAGGCTGGTCTCTTAGGCGAAGCTCTGGAGCTGCTCTGCGTGTGTTGAAGGGCTGAGCTTTAAAGTGGTCTCTCTGGACTAGTGGCAGAAGGCATAATCTCCTGCTAAATTGGGCCATTAAATAAAACTACTAAGTCATAAAGCTGTAGTATTACCCTGAAATTAAAGCATTGTCACCTTTGAGTTGCCAAGAATTTTAACAGGCACTTAGAGAAATTCCTTTCACATACCCGTTTTAGCACGGCCAGTTGACTCCAACCCACATGGATGGTAGCAGGAGGCTCAGGTGATTGCAGTGTGATTTTAATTCATTTACTTGATCATTCATTCATCCATCCCTCCCTTTACTAACTTATTTGCTGCTTTCTTGAATTCCTTTATTATCTTCTCATTTATGTATTCATTTGTTAATTCTCTCATTTATTTACTTCCTCATTTATTTTTTCAGGTTTTTAATTACTTACACATTATTCATTAATTCAGTCACTCTGTCAATTATTCAGTTGGTAATTCAGAAATTAAGTAATTCAAATAAACTTTTGAATATTGACTGAACTTGACATCAAGTTTACAAAATAAATAAATCTGTTCTTGTCCTCAAGGAATTCACAGTTTGGAGAAGATGGACATTGTAAATGGATATTTTGCACAGTGTGGAAAATAGAATAGAAGCTGGTAGATGGTACAGAAATAGTACAAAGGAAACAGGGGTTGAAAGTACACAAGGAGGCTGGGGGTGGTGGGCAGAGAAGATGCCCTTGAAGAGCTGCCCTCTGAGCTGAATTTTGTAGTAGAAGCAGCTAACATTTATCCAGCAGCTGCTGGTATTAGGCACCATGCTAGGTATTTTATATTCAAGATGTTATTTGATTTTCTTAGCAATCCATGTTACAGAGATAGGCACCATCTGGAGAGACTAAGCAACTAGCCCAAGGTCTCACAAGGAGCAAACGGTAAAGCCAGGAATGGAAGCTATGGGTGAGGTTGTGAGGCTGGGTTATTAAGGCCAGGTGACACAGTCTCTGAAACAGAGAAAGCCTCCTGTGTCCAAACAGAATTCCCCTCTGGCCTGCATTGCCCTGTCTCTTGTTCACAGTCCCTTAACTCAATGCCATGGTGGAAAACTCCTCCAGGAAGTAGCCTTGAAGGGTGAGGGCTCCATTATACCCACTTTACCTCCGTGTCCGTCACTTTCCTCATCTGTAATGTGGGGGAAATCATACCCACTTTTCCAGGTTTTCCTGAGTATCATATGGAAATTATATAAAGCAGAGGTTCACAAAGCTTAGTTTTCTAAAGCATGAGCTGGGATGAACATTTAAGACGCTATTTTCTAGGCCTATTCCCAGCAATGTTTATTCAGTAGGTATAGCATAGTATACTTACTACAGTATACATAGTATAGTATACATAGTATAGTAGTGATCAGAAATAGCATGTTTAGCAAGCACCTGAAGATACTGGACTTTGGGATATATCTATATAAGGTGATTAGCACAGTGCTCAGTGCTTAATAAGTCCCCATCCTTATGTATCTCCCCACTTCCGAGGGGCTCAGGCCAGGGCCTAGAATCGCTGCTCTTCTAAGCACTGAACACAGGGCTTATCCTGACTCCTTCCGGATGGGTCTTTTCATCTTTTACTGCAGATAACTGGTGAGTCTCATTTTTGGCATCAGGGGATTGGGAGACAGTCCAGTCAACAAAGATTTATTGAGGCACTGCTTGCGTAATGTAAGCTGCTGGTCCACACACAAAGGACCTCACACTGTAACAAGAAAATAAAGCCATCCATCTCTTACAGCAATTTTAGCTAGGCCATTTTATTTATTCGTACAACTATCCTGTAGCAACTTGACAATGGAATCCTGGTCAAGTTGCCTAACTTTTATGAGGCTTAATTTCCTCATCTGTATAATAGAAATGATCACTTATTCTTACCTCAATGAGTTGTACAAAATTAGATAGAATTAAATAAGCAAATGTACCCAACACACCCAGTACAATATCTGACATGCCCTAAGACCTCCTAAAATAAAAGTAATCACTTTTATTTCAGAGCCAACATCATAGAATGATCTAGATGCTAAAGGAATTTAGAGACAGGAATAGTCAAGGAAGCATTATGGGAGACACTAGGCTTGGGTTTGACCTTGGAAGACAGGTATCCTGGGGTGTGTTAGTCCACTCTCACATTGCTATAAAAGTTATACCTGGTAAGAAAGGGGCCGAGATGGCAGAAAAGAAACAGCTCTAGCCTGCAGCTCCCAGTGAGACGAATGCAGAACGTGGGTGATTACTGCATTTCCAACTGAGGTACCCAGTTCATCTAATTGGGACTGACTAGGTGGTGGGCTTGACCTACAGAGAATGAGAAGAAGCAGAGTGGGTCATCATTTCACCTGGGAGCTGCACTGAGTGGGTGTACCTCCCCGCTGAGCCAAGGGAAATGGTGAGGGACTGTGCTACCTGCCAAGGGTACTATGCTTTTCCCATGGATTTTTGCCATCTGTGGATCAGGAGATTCCCTCGTGAGCCTACACCACCAGGGCTCTCAGTCTCAAGCACAAAACTGGGTGGCTGTTCGAGCAGGCACTGAGCTGCAAGAGTTTTTACATACATCGGGGGTGCCTTGAGCTCCAGTAAGACAGGAGAACAGTCCACTCCCCTGGAAAGGGGGCTGTAGCCAGGGAGCCAAGCAATCTCGCTCAGCAGGTCCCACTTCCATGGGCCCAGCAAGCTAAGAACCACTAGCTTGAAATCCCCGCTGCCAGCACAGCAGTCTGGAGTTGGCCTGGGACCACTGAGTTCCCGGTGGGAGGAGTGACCATCATTACTGTGGCTTTAGTTTTCCCCTGACAGTGCTAAGGAGACTGGGAGATTTGGACTGAGCAGAATTCACCACAGTGCAGCAAAGGAGCTGTGGCAGATCATGGCTAGATGGCTTCTTTAGATCCCTCCTCACTGGAGAGGGCCTCCCTGTAGGAAATCTAGCAGCTATAGTCAAAGACTTACAGAAAGAGCTCTCACCTCCCTGAGACCCAGCATCTGCGGGGAGGGGAAGCCGTCATCTCAGGTTCAGCAGACTTAATCTTTCCTGCCTGCCGGCTCTGAAAAAATCAGCTGATCCAAATGAGGAGGATTCCCCCCAGCACAGCACACCAGCTCCCCTAAGGGGCAGACTGTCTTCTCAAGCGGATCCCTGACCCTGTGCCTCCTGACTGGGTGAGACCTCCCAACAGGGGTCACCAGAAACCACAGACAGGAAAATCCCAGCGGACATCAGGTCAGTGTCCCTCTAGGATGAAGCTTCCAGAGGAAGGAGCAGGCAGCAACCTTTGCTGTTCTGCAGCTTGTACTGGTGATATCCAGGAGAAAAGGGTCTGGAGTGGACCCCCAGCAAACCACAGCAGACCTGCAGAAGAAAGGCCTGTTAGAAGAAAAACAAACAGAAAGCAACAACAACATCAAAAAAAAAAAAAAAAGACCCCACAAAAACCCCATCCAAAGTTATCACCCTCAAGATCAAAGGTAGATAAATCCATGAAGATGAGGAAAAACCAATGCAGAAACACTGAAAAATCCCAAAAGTCAAAATGCCTCTTCTCCTCCAAATGATTGCAACGTCTCCAGCAAGGTCACAGAACGGAGCTGAAGCTGAGATGGATGAACTGACAGAAATAGACTTCAGAAAGTGGGTAATAATAAACATCACTGAGCTAAAGGATTATGTTTTAACCCAATGCAAAGGAGCTAAGAACCATGATAAAAGATTACAGCAGCTGTTAACTAGAATAACCAGTTTAGAGAGGAACATAAATGACCTGATGGAGCTGAAAAACACAGCACAAGACAATCATAATGCAAACACAAGTATCAATAGCCGAACTGACCAAGTGGAAGAGAAATGGCAGAGCTTAAGGACTATCTTGCTAAAATAAGGCAGGCCAACAAGATTAGAGAAAACAAATGAAAAGGAACAAACAAAGCCTCCAAGAATTATGGTGCTATGTAAAAAGACTGAGCCTACTACTGATTGGAGTATCTTTAAGAGATGGGGAGAATGGAACCAAGTTGTAAAACACACTTCAGTGTATCATCCGGGAGGACTTCCCCAACCTAGAAAGACAAGCCAATATTCAAATTCAGAAAACCCAGGGAACCCCAATAAGATAATCTATGAAAAGATCTACCCCAGGACATAATCATCAGATTCTCCAAGGTTGAAATGAAGCAAAAAAATGTTAAGAGCAGCCAGAGAGAAAGGCCAAATCACATACAAAAGGAAGCCCATCAGACTGACAGTGGACCTCTCAGTAGAAACTGTACAAACCAGAAGAGCTTGGGGGCCAATATTCACCATTCTTAACAAAAATAAATTCCAACCCAGAATTTCATATCTGGCCAAACTAAGGTTTATGAGCAAAGAAAAAAGTAAAATCTTTTTCAGACACGCAAATGCTGAGGCATTTTTTCACCAGCAGGCCTGCCTTGCAAGAGCTCCTGAAGGAAGCACTAAACATAGATAGGAAAAACCATTAGCAGCCACTACAAAAACACACTGAAGTACACAGACCAACAACACTACTAAACAACTACATTAACAAGTCTGCAAAATTAACCAGTTAGCATCATGACAGGGTCAAATTCACATATAACAATATCAACATTACATTAAATGGGCTAAATGCCCCAAATAAAAGACACAGAATGGAAACCTGGGTACTAAGACCAGACCCATCAGTGTGCCATATTAAAGAGACACATCTCATGTCCAAAGATGCACATAGAATCATAATAAAGGGATGGAGGAAAATTTATCAAGCAAACGGAAAGCAGAAAAAAGCAGGAGTAGCAATCCTAGTTTCTGACAAAATAGACTTTAAGCCAACAAAGGTAAAAAAAGACAAAGAAGGGCATTACATCATGCTGAAGCGTTCAATTCAACAAAAGGAGCTATTTAAAATATATATGCACCCAATACAGGAACACCTAGATTTATAAAACAAGTTCTTAGAGACCCACAAAGAGACTCAGACCCCCACACAATGATAGTGGGAGACTTTAAAACCCTACTGTCAGTATTAGATAGATCACGGAGACAGAAAATTAACAAAGATATTCAAGGCTTGAATGCAGCTCTAGGCCAAGTGGACCTGATAGATATCTACAGAACTCTCTACCCCAAAGCAACAGAATATACATTTTTTCCTGGCACCACAGGGCACTTACTCTAAAATTGATCACATAACTGAAAGTAAAACACTCCTCAGCAAATGAAGAACAACTGAAATTATAACAAACAATCTCTCAGATCACTGTGCAATTAAATTAGAACTCAAGATTGAAAGGTCCACTCAAAACCACACAGCTACTTGGAAATTGAACAACCTGCTCCTGAATGACTCCTGGGTAAATAATGAAATGAAGGCAGAAATCAAGAAGTTCTTTGAAACCAATGAGAACAAAGAGACAATTTATCAGAATCTCTGGGACACAGCTAAAGCAGTATTAAGAGAGAAATTTATAGGATTAAATGCTCACATCGGAAAGTGGGAAAGATCTAAAATTGATACCCTACCATCACAACTAATAGAACTAGAGAACCAGGAGCAAACAAACCCCAGAGCTAGCAGAAGACAAGGAATAACCAAACTCAGAGTGGAACTGGAGATAGATATATGAAAAACCCTTCAAATAATCAATGGATCCAGGAGCTGTTTTTTTTTTTTTTTGAAAAAACCAATAAAATAGATAGACTGCTAGCAAGACTAACAAGAAGAGAGAAGATTCAAATAAACACAATCAGAAACTATAAGGGGGATACCACCATTGGCCCCACAGAAATATAACCATCAGAGAATACTATAAACACCTCTATGCAAAAAAAAAAAAAAAAAAACTGGAAAACCTGGAAGAAATGGATAAATTCCTGGACACATACAACCTCCCATTCTGAACCAGGAATAAGTTAAATTCCTGAATAGACCAATATCAAGTTCTGAAATTGAGGCAGCAATAAATAGCCTACCAACCAAAAAAAAAAGAATCCCAAGTCCAGATAGATTTATAGCTGAACTCTACCAGAGGTACAAAGAGGAGCCGGTACCATTTCTTCTGAAACAATTCCAAACAATTGAAAAGGAATGACTCCTCCCTAACTCATTTTATGACACCAGCATAATCCTGATTCCAAAACCTGGCAGAGATAAAACAAAAAAGAAAACTTCAGGCCAATATCCCTGATGAACATTGATACAAAAATCTCCAACAAAATACTGGCAAACCAAACCCAGCAGCACATCAAATAGCTTATCCACCACGATCAAGTTGGTTTCATCCCTGGCATGCAAGGCTTGTTCAACATACACAAATCAATAAATGTAATTCATCACATAAACAGAACTAAAGATAAAAACCACATGATTATCTCAATAGACACAGAAAAGGCCTTCAATAAAATTTAACATCTATTCATGTTAAAAACTCTCAATAATCTAGGTATTGAAGGAACATACCTCAAAATAATAAGAACCATTTATGAAAAACCCACAGCCAACATCATACTGAATGGACAAAAACTGGAAGCATTCCCCTTAAAAACTGGCACAAGACAAGGATGTTCTTCCTCATCACTCTTATTCAACATAGTAGTGTTGGGAGTTCTGGCCAGGGCAATCAGGCAAGAGAAAGAAATAAAGGGTATTCAAATAGGAACAGAGGAAATCAATGTCTTTGTTTTAGATGACATAATCCTGTATCTAGAAAACCCCATCAACTCAACCCAAAAGCTTCTTAAGCTGATAAGCAACTTCAGCAAAGTCTTGGGACACAAAATAAGTGTGCAGAAATCACAAGCATTCCTATACACCAACAAAAGACAAGCAGAGAGTCAAATCATGAATGAGCTCCCATTCACAATTGCCACAAAGAACATAAAATACTTAGGAATACAGCTAACAGGAGAAGTGAAGGACCTCTTCAAGGAAAACTAAAAACCACTGATCAAGGAAATCAGACAGGACACAAGCAGATGGAAAAACACTACATGCTCATGGATAACAAGAATCAATATCATGAAAATGGCCATACTTCCCAAAGCAATGTATAGATTCAGTGCTATTTCCATTAAACTACCATTGACGTTCTTCACAAAATTACAAATAACTATTTTAAATTCATATGGAACCAAAAAAAAAGCTCGCATAGCCAAGACAATCCTAAGCAAAAAGAACAAAGCTGGAGGTATCATGCTATATAACTTCAAACTATACTACAAGGCTGTAGTAAACAAAGCAATATGGTATTGCTACAAAAACAGGCATATAGACCAATGGAACAGAATAGAGAATTCAGAAATGAAACCATACGTCTACAACCATCTCATCTTTGACAAACCTCACAAAAACAAGCAATGGGGAAAAGATTCCCTATTTAATAAGGTGCTGGGAGAACTGGCTAGCCATATGCAGAAAATCGAAACTAGATCCCTTCCTTACACCTTATACAAAAATCAACTCAAGATGGATTAAAGACTTAAGGGCATAACCCAAAGCTAACAAACCCTAGAAGAGAATCTAGGCAATACCATTCAGGACATAGGCAAGGGGAAAGACTTTATGATGAAATTGCCAAAAGCAATTACAACAAAACCAAAAATTGACAAATGGGATCTAATTAAACTAAAGAGTTTCTGCACAGCAAATGAAACTATCATCAGAGCAAACAGACAACCTACAGAATGGGAGAACATTTCTGCAATTTATCCATCGACAAAGGTCTAATATCCAGAATCTACAAGGAACTTAAGCAAACTCACAAGAAAATAAAACCATTAAAAAGTGGGCAAAGGATATTAACAGACACTTCTCAGAAAAGGCACACATGCGGCCAATAAACATGAAAATAAAGCTCAACATCACTGATCATTAGAGAAATACAAATCAAAACCACAATGAGATACTATCTCACACTCATCAGAATGGCATTATTAAAAAGTCAGATGCTGGCGAGGTTGCAGAGAAATAGGAATGGTTTTATACTCTTGGTGGGAATCTAAATTAGTTCAACCATTGTGCAAGACAGTGTGGCAATTCCTCAAAGACTTAGAACTGGAAATACCATTTGACCCAGCAATCCCATTACTGGGTATATGCCCAGTGGAATGTAAATTATTCTATTATAAAGTTACATGCGTGCATATGTTCAATGCAGCACTATTCACAATAGCAAAGACATTGGAATCAACCCAAATGCCCATCAATAATAGACTGGATAAAGAAAATGTGGTACATAAACAGCACAGAATACTATGCAGCAATAAAAAGAAACGAGATCATGTCCTTTGCAGGGACACGAATGAAGCTGAAAGCTGTTATCCTCAGCAAACTAATTCAGGAACAGAAAACCAAACACTACATGTTCTCACTTATAAGCAGGAGCTGAGCAATGAGAATACGTGGGCACAGGGAGGGGAACAGCACTTATTGGGGCCTGTTAGGGGAGGTGGGGGAGGGGAGTGCATTAGGGGAAAAATCTAATTCGTGCTGGGCTTAATACCTATGTGATGGGTTGATAGGTGCAGCAAACCACCATGACACATGTTTATGTATGTTACAAACCTGCACATCCTGCACATGTACCCTGTAACTTGAAAAAAAAAACAATAAAATGTTTGTTTAAAAATATACCTGAGACTGGGTAATTTATTTTTAAAAAGAGGTTTCATTGGCTCATAGTTCCACAGGCTGTACAGGGAGCATGATGCTTCTGGGGAGGCCTCAGAAAAGTTTCAGTCATGGCAGAAAGGGAAGCAGAAGCAGGCATGTCTTACATGTCCAAAGCTGGGGGAAGAGAGGCAGGCAGGGAAGTGCTATACACTTTTAAACAATGAGATCTCATGAGAACTCTATCATGAGAACAGCACTAGGAGAATGGTGCTATTTAAAAACCCACCCCATGATCCAGTCACTTCCCACCAGACCCCACTTCCAACATTGGGGATTACAATTGAACAGGAGATTTGGGCAGGGACACAGCTCCAAATCAAATAATTCTGCCTCTAGCCCCTCCAAATCTCATGTCCTTCTCATATTTCAAAATACAATCATGCCTACCCAACAGTCCCCCTAAATTTTAACTCATGTTAACATTAACTCAAAAGTCCTCAATCCAGTGTCTCACTTGAGACAAGGCAAGTCCCTTTCACCTATGAGCCTGTAAAATGAAAAACAAATTTGTTACTCCCAAGATACAATGGGGTTATAGGCATTTGGTAAATAGCCTTATTCCAAAACAGAGAAATTGGCCAAAAGAAAGGGGGTACAGGCACCATGAAACTCAGCAGGGCAGTCATTACCTTAAAGCTCCAAAATAATCTCTTTTGACTTCATGTCTCACCTCCAGAGCACATTGGTGCAAGGGGCTAGCTCCCAAGGCTTTGGGAAGCTCTGCCCCTCCGGCTTTGCAAGGTACAGCCTCTGTGGCTGCTTTCACAGACTCACAGTGCAAGCTGTTAGTGGATCTACTATTTGGGGGTCTGGAGGATGGTGGCCCTCTTCTCATAGCTCTACTAGGCAGTGCTCCAGTAAGGACTTTGTGTGGGGGCTCCAACTCCACATTTCCCCTCCACACTGCCCTAGTAGAGCTTCTTCTTGAGGGCTCTATCCCTGGAGCAGGTTTTTGCCTGGACATACAGGCTTTCCAAATAATTTTTGAAATCTAGCTGGAGTCTCCCAAGCCTCAATTCTTGTACTCTGTGAACCCTCAGACTTAACACCACCTGGAAACCACCAAGGCTTATGGCTCGCACCCTTTGAAGCAGCAGCTCAAGCTATATCTGGGTCCCTTTAAGCCACACTGAAGCTGAATAGGCTAAGATGCAGGGAGCAATGTCTCCAGGCTACACAGGGCAGTGGGGCCCTGGTCCCGACCCATGAAACCATTCTGTCCTCCCAGGCCTCCAGGCTTGTGATGGGAGAGGCTGCCATGGAGGTCTCTGAAATGTCTTTGAGGCTTTCCCATTGTCATGGATATTAATATTCTGCTCCTCTTTACTTATGCAAATTTCTGCAGCCAGCTTGAATGCTTTCCCTGAAAGTGGGCTTTTCTTTTCTACCACATGGCCAGGCTGCAAATTTTTCAAACCTTTACA
Organism: Homo sapiens; assembly: GCF_000001405.40. NCBI lineage: Eukaryota > Metazoa > Chordata > Mammalia > Primates > Hominidae > Homo > Homo sapiens. Next base: position 124,634,207 of record NC_000002.12, read on the forward strand.
CTCTGCTTTCCTTTTAAATATAAGTTCTAGTTTCAGGTCATTTCTTTGCTCATGAATATGAGCACATGCTGTTAAAAGCAAGCAGGCCACATCGTGAAAGCTCTGCTGCTTAGAAATGTCTTTCTCCAGATACTCTAAATCATCACTCTCAAATTCAAAATTCCACAGATCCCAAGAGCAGGGGCACAATGCTACCATGTTCTTTACTAAAGCATAGTAAAAGTGACCTTTGCTCCAGTTCCTAATAAGTTTCTTTTTATATATGATGCACACACAGGCACACACGTGTGTGTGTGTGTGTATACATATATTTTTTAAATGAGGCACGGTATCACTTTGTCACCTAGGCTGGAGTGCAGTGGCATGATCTTGGTTCACAGTAGTGTTGACATCTGGGTTCAAGTGATTCTTCTGCCTCAGCCCCCCAAGTAGCTGGGATTACAGGCATGCACTACCATGCCTGGCTAATTTTTTTTTGATAGAGATGGAGTTTCACCATGTTGCTCAGGCTGGTCTCAAACTCGTGAGCTCAAGTGATTCATCCACCTATGCTTCCCAAAGTGTTAGGATTACAGATGTGAGCCACTGTACCTCACGTAATAAATTTCATATCTCCATCTGAAATCTCATCAGCCTGGATATTATTGCCCATATGACTCAGAATTTTGGTCAAAACAATTTAACAAGTCTCTAGGAAGTTCCAAACTTTCCTGCACCTTCCTGTAGTCTTCTGAGCCCTTCAAACTGTTGCAATATCTGCTGATTACCCAATTCCAAAGTTGCTTCCACATTTCCAGGCATCCTTAGAGAAATTCCCCATTACCAGTACCAATTTTCTACAGTAGTCCATTCTTGCACTGCTGTAAGGAAATACTTGAGACTGAGTAATTTATCAGGAAAAGAGGTTTAATTAGCTAACAGTTCCACAGGCTGTACAGGAAGTATGATGGCTTCTGGGGAGGCCTCGGGAAACTTTCAATCGTAATGGAAAGTGAATGAAAAGCAGGCATGACTTACATGGTGGGAGCAGGAGAAAGAGAGGTTGTAGGGAGAGGCTACACACTTTTAAACAACCAGATCCCATGAAAACTCTATGATGAGAACAGTATTCGGGAGGATAGTGCTAAACCATTAGAAATTGCCACCATGTTCCAGTCACCTCCCACCAGGATTCATCTCTAACATTGGAGATGACAATTGAACATGAGATTTGGGTAGGAACACAGATCAAACCATATCATGGGGCTAGGCAAAGAAGGGAAACCGGAGGAAAGACAAGCCTTGTTGAGCTCAGCAGGATCATGAATGCAGAGATGCAATGAGAAGGTCCATCAAGTCCTCCTGACTTCCCTGGGTGTTCTGATGGTCTGATGTTGGCTGAATGAATACTTTTCCTGTTTGGAAGTGGAAAATAACAAATGGGTGTCAAAGGTGTCTCCCAGAAAGCCTGCTTGCTCTTGTTCACTTTTGTTCTGAGCCCCAGTTTCCAAGGAGAGATGATGAATCAAAGTAAGTCTAGACATTCCAAAGAATAAAAGGGCCAAGATTGACTGTGGTCCTTGTTCTGGGAAGTAGGCAGGCCAAGCACCCCTTGCTTGAGAGCTTTTTCTTACTATTCCTCCTGAGCAGGCTCACGTCACAGGAACACCAATCAGCCTGCATTCTCAGTGTGCATGTGTTTGAGTTCTCATATTTATGTCTATTTGTAAAGAGAAGCAAGTAGGAGACATTGACTGATTGCTGTCCATAGGGACAATTTCAACATGGGTTTTCCAGTGCTAGCTGTGAGTAGTCTAACTTTTATGTCTTACAGGAAGTTTTGCTCTCCCTCTTTAGAGTATGCTGTCATTTTGTTCTCATGTAAAGCTCCTTTGAAAGTCACAATTTTTATGCTTGTAATTGAAAAACATCTACCAAGTTAGTTATTTAGAGTGTGGGCTTGGTAGGAATCCCAGCACTCACATTTCCTACTTTTGGCAAATTATTTGACTTAGTTGAGTTACCCAGCCTCCTTATACCTCAGTTTCTTCCTTTATAATTAATCATAGAATCTATTTATAAGTTTGTTGTGAAGCTTCTATGAGGTAATCGATGTAAACTGCAAGAAAAAAGACTTGACATTACATATCTAATGCATGGTAGATACTGTTAGTTATTATTTTCATTATTCTGTCCCCAGAAATATAGACTCTGGTTTCTTGGTGTTTCTGGGGACATGGTGATAAAAATAATGACTAGTAACTTTTTTTGTGTGCATAACACCTGACACAATGAAAGCACTCATGAAAATTAATTCAACAGAGTGAATAACTACTTATACTTGAACATGAATGATCTACCATAATGTAAATGGTTAAATTTAATAATGATTGTAATTTAGTTTAAATTTAGTAATAGCTTTCTGGTCATTATTTTGCCAATTACTCCTTAACTCTGTGTGTGTGTGTCTGTGTGTGTCTGTGTGTGTATGTGTTGGTGCTGTTATAAAAGCATGTGCATGTGAATTTTTTGGAGCTTAGAATAATTTTCAGCACTTACTACATGTGAAACTTTCTGGCAAACTATCTTGTTTTCCCAGAGTTTTATTCCTAAATGTCCAAACCTACAGAAAAGTTGAAAAAATAATGAGTAGCCAGATACCCTTCACGTTTACGATTCTGCCACATTTGCAAATTTGTGCCCTCCTCATCTCTTTCTCTTTTTCTCCTCTCCTCATTTTCTCAGACATTTTAAAAAAATTTTTACGGAACCATTTGAAAGTAAGTTGTAGACACAGCGATAATTTAAATCGAAAGACTTTAGGTTTTATCTTCTAAGAACAAATATATTCTTCTATGTAACCAGACATAAGAAACCATTCATAAGAAAATAAGCATTAATTAAATTAATTATCCAATATATAGTCCATGCACCAAGAATCCAAAGTCCTACAATGTGTTTTATAGCAGTGTCTATTTTCATATTTTTATTCATAATTCAAGCAGTGTCTACAATTTGGAATTGATTGCCACGACCCTTCAACCTCCTTTAATCTGGAAGGCCCAACTCCCTGACCCCTTCTTTTTGCTTTTGTTGTTGTTGTTGGTTGGTTGGTTTTCATGACATTGATCTTTTCTGGAGATTAAAAGACAGTTGTTAAATAAAATATCCCATACTTTGGATATTTCTGATTATTTAATCAGTGTAGAACATTTTGGCCAGAAAGTCTCATGAACAATGCTTGCCTTTTTAGTGCAGCCCGTGAGCAGACACATGACATCAGTTTGTCCCGATACTGGGGATGCTTCTCGCTATCATTTGGCTAACACAGCTCTGCCAGATCGTTGCATTGTGAAGGCAGTTTACAACCAGTGAGTGAGTTATCTGTAGTATTACGTGAGCACACTATGTGAATGCCCTGTTCCTCAACATTTCCTCCCAATATGGTAGGGATCCTGACTCTTTTAAGTTATTACACTGGAATCTGTGACGTGTTGCTTTTCTAATTCTACAATTTCCTTTCATATTTATTGCTGCCATTCTGAAGTCTTACCTACAGAAGAGATTTTTTTCCCTTTCCCTGACTCCATCTCCCCTTGTGTCGTTATGGACTCTAATTCATGGTCCCTTTAATTCTGCTCCAGTTTCTTTTTTACATGTGTCTATTAATATTGGAGCATTTTCTTGTGTTCTTGCATGGAAAGATATTCTCAATGTCAACTAGAACTTTCCCTACCCTAGAACCAGACTCAGCTCTTTTCCTAAAGAAGCCTACCTCTTTTTTGTAGCAAATGGTATTTGGAAACCAAGACCTAGATGTTTGTTTGCTCATTGTTTCTGGGCCCTTTCAGTGGGCAGAACTAAAATTGTGTGTGTGCATGTGTGTGTGTGCGTGTATGTGTGTGTGTGTGTTTATGAGTTCATAAGGTTATTTACAAAACAAACCTAGTTCCATTAGATTCTTTTCTCATCATTCTGTCTTCTATATATATATGATATATATGAGATATATATAATACATATATATGATACATATATATGATACATATATATGTAACTTCTCTCACAGTGAGACCTTGTTTCAGCAATGTCAGTATATTTACCCATTTGCTCCATTCTGCAGTATGCACACAATCATTTCAGAATTACTTCAGCAATATCACATCAATAACAATGTAAAGTTAAAGATTTCCTTGAATTTTAATTTTTATCCTTAGAATTTATTCTGCCAAGGGTATATAGTGAGACAGAATACTATTTGAAAGTTGCTTAAATTAACTTTTTTCTTTTTTATAGTTATTTTATCAATTTAATGTACAGCTAGGCTTTTTAGTTTCTGATTAATATTCAACTTTTGGACTTGCCTTTTCTTTATCCTTTTGATTTTAACAGTGTAAAGCATTTTCATGTTACAAAAGTCAAATACAGACAAATATGCACACACTGGCTGATCAGAGACATTTTGCTCTCATTCCTATTGCCTTCATCTTGTTCTTATCCAACTTTTTTAGATAACTATTTATATCAGTTTGTCCTTTCTGTGTGTATTCATTTTTCTCTTTTGTACCTTCACAAAATGTATCATACTCTTTTGTGCATCAATACCTTGATTTTGTCACTTTACAATATACAGTGGAAATCATTCTGGATCAGTTTACAGAGATCTTATGTATTATTTATTATGGCTGCATTGTACTTTACTGTGTCAGTTAACAATGCTTTATTCGATCAGACACCTATGGATGTGTATTTAATTTTTTTCCAATATTCCGCTATTTGCAATATATAACCTCGGCTGCACAGCGGAATTTCAAGTATGTATCTAAACATCCTTTCCCACCATGTGTCACTTTCATGCTGATTTCAAAAGCTGTCACTGAAGTGGATAAAAATTCTGGTAGTCCGTTAAGTGTTTAGTAGTAAGTGAATACCTACTTTAGGCCATATGTTAGAGACACGGAGATTTCTGAGACAGGTTTTCATATGTAGTACTTGCAGTATAGCATGGGATACTGAGGAAACAGGTTGTTGTAATACCATGTAAATGCGACGAGCACGGGATGTTGGCAGGACTGGAAAAGACCACCCGTTGGAGAGGCCACCAGCATCACACAATCTCATTCATCTTGTGATGAGCTCCAGAGTAGAGATGTCAGCTGAAAGAAAGATGAGTAATTCTGCTCTTGTCTCTGAGTTTTCTTTTTGTCAATCCCCTCCAGAATCAGAATATAAGCTCCATGAGAGCAGAGTAAGTAGATGCTCTCACCCTTAGAGAAGGCGTCTCTTCTTTTCTGACCCGGTACAAGGAGATATAAATGCTGCCTTTGGATATCTCTTCAAAAGACAAAGGCTAGCCCTTTGCAATCAGCTCACTAGCTCATGACGTCCTCTGAGTTCAATACTGGCTACTTTAGATCTTATAAACAGAGGGACAACAAGTACTATTATACTTATACTATTACAGCACAACAAACACAAGAACTGTTTATTATGAACTTGTGTTCCAGTACATTATGTACTTATGTGGGTCCCCAGTCTTATCCTCAGTGTGCACCAAAATAGTTTCTATGACCATGATACTCCTAATGACCTCATAAAGCTTTCTAATGGCAATCAAAACACTTATCAACAGCCTCACAGTCCTCTTTCCATCAGGTGACTTAGACTTAGGGCTTCTTTTCTCCTTTTCCTTTGCCCCAAATGCCAATACACTGAGTATGGGGGGAATGGTATCTTGTTCCCACCCACTCCCCCCTTTGCTGCTGCAGATACTCTTCCCAACAGGAATGCAACACAAGGCAGTCTGCCTTCCTAGAACCAGCTGTGAACTCCCTGAGCTCAGGGTCCAGCCTGTTAGCGAAACTTGCACCCCTCATCCGACCCCTTTCCAGTCCCTAACATAGTGCTCTGCATACACTAGGTGTCTAAATTAAATAATAATAATAAACTAGTGAACAACAAATAAACAAATATGATACAGTGCACATAGAATCCGTTCCACACCACTACCCCCTAAGACCATAAAACAAATTTCCCAGGTCTCTTTGATCATACCTATTTTAAAGCAAGAAAAAAGAGAAAAATTACCCCCCTGAAAAGATACATAAAAAGTAAAGGCTAAAGTGAAGTGTGAATATAAATCAGCCAAGTATGTTGTCTGGAAGTCGTAAAGTGTGGCCCACGCAGGCAGGTGGAAGGCAGTAATGGACGGAGCCCGCCACGCTGCGGTGTCTGCATGGCACTAATGCAGAGCGCATGGTAGCCCTACCAGCCACCCTGAACCGGTAATGCGCACACCTCCAAACAGCTGAAACCCAGACACTAAAAGCAGCCACGTCTGCCGTGGTTTTAGTGAGGCACGGATGGATTCTCGCACAGACAGCTGGGCTGGTACACATGGGAGGGAAAACAGCTCCTGGGGGATTTCTGAAGCCTTTTAAAGGAATTGGAAATCACTTTACACCAATTGTCTCCCTTCCTTTTAAAGGTCGGGCGGGGGGAAGGTGCAATGTACCCCCTCAGTAAAGGTTCCCAGAAGTGTTTCTAATAATGAAATAATCTCTTCACATCCTCCCGGCTTCGCTTCAACAGAACGGTTCATAGCAGATCAGCTTTGACTTGGAGTCAGGTACCAGGTGAAGGGTTAGGAAGGAGGAGCAGGCTGGGCCCGGTGGCTCACGCTTGTAATCCCAGCACTTTGGGAGACCGAGGCAGGAGGATTACCTGAGGTTGGAGTTCAAGACCAGCCTAACCAACCTGGAAAAACCCTGTCTGTACTAAAAAATACAAAATTAGCTGGGCGTGGTGGCGCATGACTGTAATCCCAGCTACTTGGAAGGCTGAGGCAAGAGAATTGCTTGAACCCGGGAGGCAGAGGTTGCAGTGAGCCGAGATTACGCCATTACACTCCAGACTGGGCAACAAGAGCGAAACTCCATCTCAAAAAAAAAAAAAAAAAAAAAAGACAAAAAAAAGGACGGAGGAGCACCACTCAGAGCCAGCACCACGCTCAGTTCAACCCTATGCTTTCTATTCAGTGTTTATGACAACACTGCACAATGAGTTATGCCGTTTACAGAGGAGGAGACTGAGGCTGGGGGAGGTGATAGGTCTCTTGCATGTCCAGGAATCCAGTGGGTGGCAGAGCTGGCATTGGAAGCCAGCCCTAATGATGACAAAGCTCAAGCTTCCCCTCATCACATCTGCCTCCATGAACCATGAAGCCCTTTCCAAGCCTATATTTACTAGCAGTCATTACCTATGATTTAAATGGAGAGATAAGGGAGAAACATATGAAAAATTAAATAACTATCAATGCAAAATGACAAGAGATATCACAAGATTGCCAATGAGTAGATGGAAAATGAGAGGTAGAGACAGTACTTTGAGGATTATTTAAACTGTCTTTACCCTTGGCATAGAAAATTCACTTTGTCAACATAGATAACTACAGCAGAAGTGACCCTGGGGACCTTAATATAGACTTGCTCTATTACAATAGGAGTATAAGTGAATTGGCACACTGTTCAAAGGATGAGAAGCAGCTCCCCACAGATATTTCAGTTCAATTAAGCTGGGTATTGACAATCTGTAGGCTTCCCTTCCTTCCAAGCACATTGATATAAAAATTGCAGTTTTTTTCTGGCTCTGCAAAGAGACAGATATGTGTGTAGAATGAGGTCTTATTAATCAGAGTTATTTCTTGTGTCTCCTTTTTTACTTTCCTTTTGTTTGCTATTTCTTCTGAGTTGTGATCCCCATGGTAACAGATGGAATTGCTTACAGCGTCTGTAATTACTATTATTAATAATAATGATCATCATAATCAGACCAATCTGATATGATGAGAGAAAAAATATGAAAGAAAATTAAATTGTGGCTCTGTATGTAAACTGTTTACGGCTTCCAAAATGAGAGCCAGAGGAACAAGGTAGGTCACACAGAGATGCACTAGTGAAGGCTGTCTGGGAGCTTTTCTGGGGTAATGACCAGGGAAGATTTTACCACACTGATGCGAATACAAAATGTTTCAGAATATTCCACCATTACTACTCTGCTGGCTCTTTGTACAGCCTCTTTTTCTTTTCTCTTTTTGTTATTGTTGAGTGTGCGTGTGTGTGTATGTGTGTGTTTTGATCTTTTAACTTGAGACTTCTTTTCAGTTTGGACTATTACATAATACAGGCTTAAAAGAGCAGCTTCAGAAATGCCGAAACTAAGAACCTGACAGTATACAAAGGACTAATTAGTTTCTTCACTTGACGAAGCCATCCAGAAGTGCTAACTCAGGTGCTCAGTCCTAGCTTAGGTTCTGGTAGCCTGAGGATGAAAGACCACTCTTGACCTTGGAAGTTCTCAAGGAAAAGAGTGCACAGACTTCACTGCGCAGGGCTCTCTAATAACCTCTACCCATGAACTTTGCCCCAGACAGATCTCTGGAAAGCCCCTCTTCCTTTACTTGTAGTCTACAGAGTATTTATAACAGCCTCAGACATTTGTCATTCTTGTGTACACAACTTTCTCCCCAGATGATGGTAGGCTTTTGGAGAAGTTAACATATTTTCCTCCAGTGTATGTACTCTGGTGGATAGCAGAGCACTAACTGGGCACATATTTAAACACAAAAATGAATTATGCATTTCATGTCCTAAAAGATCTCATAGCTTTATGAAGAAATGAACTTGAAAGCTCAAAATCACAATGCAACTTGGGAAATACTTTACTGGTTTATATATCAATACACAGTCTGCCTTTGGAAGCCATGGGGCACAGTATTTGATGGCCCATAACTCATAGTTCCTTTCTACATGAAGAAGGCATGATAGCTGCTCTGGATCTGAATCATGAGATCATTGACACTCATGCCAACCCACTGTGCTGAATGCAACTTTAAAAAAGCCAATATTTCACTTAGATAACTATTACTTTCAGGGAACCAGAATGCTTAGTGAAGTGGCCCTATTTCCTTTCCCAGCTAATGATGAACAGGTTCCTGCCTATTCAAAAATCTCCAAATGCAGTCCTCTCCTAAGTAAAAGAATTGATCTGGGTTAGTCAATACATGTATGCCTTTGAGCAGTGAAAGAGAAGAGGCTATGTGTCTAATTGTGGGATTGGGTAGTGGTGTGCAGTAGAAGTAATGAAAGAGAAAAACAAACTGGGTAGCAAAAAGTAGTATCAGAGGGCAATATTTTTCCAGGTTTCTGGCTCCATGAGTACTAAAGAGCAAATTATCTTGAAGGAATTTCAGGAAATGCAAAGGACACAAATAAAGACAGAGATACATAGGGCAATTCTATAGTGGAAAAAAAAAACTTAACAAGGTGGTAATAATTTAGTATATACAGGAGCAGCTATATTACAAGAAATCACAGTCCATCGCACTTGTTAACCTCATTTGCAGAGTATGTTCCCCATCGCAGTCCTCTAAGGAATGAAGTCCAAGCCCTCACTCTAATGTTGTAGAAAACTTCTAATGCTTAGAGTCTTTACTCATTTGAGTGCCAGACAGTCTATGTGCACCAAATCATTATGATACTTCTATGGATGCAAAGATTGGTGTAAATATGACCATTTTCCAATGAGGAAACCTCAGAAATGTTATGAAACTTGCCAAAAGCTTTACTGCTGACATGGAGCAGAACATAGATTCCAATCCGAATAGGATTGTTTCTAAAGCCAACCTGTTTCATGGTCTTATTGGTGCCATTGCTGCTTTTCAAATATGACCAATAAGAAAACTGGGCATTGAAGAAGTAATAATTTCATCAGGGTTGCTCCCACAGTTAGTGTTGTGCTGGCACACAAACCCAGATTTGCTGACTCCAGAGCCCATACTTTGTTCACTAACCTCCACTGTCCAACTAACTTGACCATCTTGAACATTTAAGTTTGTGGGTCCAATTTTCATTGAAGTCATGTGTGAGTCCACTTAAAAGAGAATCTCCACCTCCTCACCCATCTAAAGGATGGTCAAAATGAATTTTGCTTGTTAAAAAATCATTCAAAGATGACTGTCACATAAACCTCTCCAGCTCAAACCACCCTTCCCTAGCCTAGAGCAGGCATCAGGAGTATCTGTCACCACAGCTGACTTTCTTTCAGTGGCATTAACACCTGACCTTTCAATATTTAGTCAGGATGCAGGGCTAAATCTACACAACCACCAATGCAGCTGAGGAAGAAAAGATAGGAAGCGAGGAAAAATATTATGGCAATAATATTAGTGGCTTTAAGATGAAAGATTGACTCTCTAATACAACTTTATTTTCTTTATTGCCAAAAACAATATGATATTGGTAAAGCAATTCAATGAGTAAATGAATAAGGAAATCAATAAATGAATGTATGAACAATCAGATGAATTAATATATGGATATGAAAATCTATGTTTACTTAGAAGGAAATATAAATCTATATGAATTAGTAAATATGGAGACCAATTTTGGAATCAGATTGGATGCACTGAGACTGGGGACAAGTCTAAGAGACAGATACAGATGATACAGGTGGAAAAAATGATATACATTTACTTCCTTGTTTCAGTCTTTATCCTGCTGTCTCCCAGGAGAACAGTAATCAGAGGACATAGGGCAGATTCAAAATAAAAGCCAACTCAGGGGCTCTAGGTTTCAAGCAATCATTTCTCCTGTCCCTCGTACAGTGTTTGAAGCTAAGGGTTGTGATGTCAGTTATATATATCATATGATCACACACACATACACACACACACACACACACACTGTGTGTGGTGGATTATTGTGAGTACTGGAGATAATATATGCTAAATGTGCTGGAATAAACCAGTAGCACAACATTTAGTATTATAGATTAGACAGGGTTTTCCTTGTCTTCTTTGTATAAACATCATGGACATTTCAAAACTGTCCATCTTTATTTCTCCCTCTACAATGTTTCATTATTGATGGATAAGATTTTTGGTTATTTTATCAGCATTTGTCTATACTGGTATGAATAACATTTTAAAAGTTCTGGGTTAATTGTTTTTATAATATTATTATCTTTACCAACATGAATTATGTCTTATTTTTGTTTTTAAAGTCAAAAGCAAATAACATCAACTTGTTTAGACTTTATGGAAAATATAATCTTAGGTTGGATGCAGTGGCTCATGTCTATAATCCCAGCACTTTGGCAGGTTGTTTGAGGCCAGGAGTTTAAGACCAGCCTGGGCAATATAATGAGAGCCCATCTCTAAAAAACTTTTTAAAGATTATCTGAGTGTGATAGTACATACCTGTGGTTCTAGCTACTTGGGAGTCTGAGGCAGGAGGATCGCTTGAGCCCAGGTGGCCAAGGCTGCAGTGAGCCACGATCGTGCCACTGTCCTCCAGCCTGGGCAACATAGCAAGCCCCTGTATCTAAACAATAAAATATAACCTTGCCTCAGTGAAACACTGGGGACATGTGGGTTATCAATGGGCTGGTTTTAGGAAATAGTCTTAAGACAAGTCAGAATGTTTGAGCACAGTTTAATTTTTTGCTGTGTATTAGGCCATTTTTGCATTGCTAAATGGGAATACCTGAAACTGGGTAATTTAGAAAGAAAAGGAGTTTGATTAATTGGCTCATGGTTTTGCAGGATGTACAGGAAGCATGGTGATGGCATCTATCATCAGCTTCTGGGGAGGTCTCAGGGAGCTTAGAATCATGGTGGAAGGTGAAGAGGGAGCAGGCAGTTCAGACGGCAAGAGCAGGAGCAAGAGAGAGAGTGAATGGAAGGTGCCATGCACTTTAAACAACCAGATGTCACTGTCGCAAAGACAGCACCAAGCCATGAGGGATCCACTCCCAAGACCCAAACACCTCCCTCCAGGTCCCATCTCCAACACTGGGGATTACAATTCAACTTGAGATTTGGGCAGGGACAAATATCCAAACCATATCATGCTGGAAGAAGTATTTTCTTTTATAGAATTGGAAAATCCTTTAGAGGTAATTAAAATCATACTCTCTTTTTCTCCTGCTTCTAATATGTTGAAACTAAGGTTTGGAAAGATGAAACGACATGTCCCAAGTTGTGTACAGAGCTAGTGAGGGAGAAAGGATTAACCAAGGGCACCCAAGTGGCCTATTCTTTTCTCTTTTCAGCTCAGTCATGCCAACTGCTGTGCTTCTGCCTTGTAGCTGTGCTAATTAATCGTGGTGACTTTCAGTGTATGTGCTCATCATTACTGTTTCATGGATGTGCCTCGGGTCATTTCTTTACTTTCTGGACCTTAGTTTCTCCATTTGTAAGGCTAAGAGGATGGGGAGGGAAGAAACCACATGATTTCTATGCTAGATTCCTTTTCAGCTCTCAGAATTTATGAAGAGTAATGATGTAATTATGCGGGCAAGATTCTCAGATGACAAAAGCTTTTCAAGTCTTCCTATTTCCTCTTTTGCTGTATTTGAGAGGATGTTCAGAATTAAATTGCATGTCCAATTGCAGTAAATGTTTTAGCCTAGGTTATTACTACAGAGTGTCTGATACATCCCAGATAGAGCCTTGCAACTTTGTATTTGTGGTTGCTTTTCCATATTACCAGTGCTACCAGGGTATTGCTCTCTTGTTTTTGTTGCAATTGTTGTTGTTTTCTTAACTGACTATAAAACTAAGCTTCAGAAAAGAGAAGGGGGCTGGGCACGCTGGCTCATGCCTGTGGTACCAGCTACTTGGGAGGCTGAGGTGGGAGAATTGCTTGAGCCCAGGAATTTGAAGCTACAATGAGTTATGATCACCCTACTGCACTCTAGCCAGGGCAACAGAGAGAGACCCTGTCTCTTTAAAAATAAAAATTTTTTTAATAAAAGGAAGTGATTTATCCAAGCTTGTTCTTGGCAGATACAGGCTTCAAATACAGATCTCCCATGTTCTAATGCCCAAATATCTCCCCTCTCTCACTGCCTTACCTTCTTTCGCCTATTAGGCAAAATATGTCCTTCCGTCATGATTTAAAGGTCCTCATCTTTCATTGTAAATCTTCCCAAATATTTTTGGCAAAGAGAGGTAATACGGGGAATAAATACTAAACAAAACAAAACCCTACAATTAACTTCATTGCATGCAGAGTGTGGATCACACAATCTCAACCTTGTTCTCTGAGAAAATGGTTCTCTGAAAACATGCTAGTGTTTCTCTTGTGAGGAAGTGTGTCAGTAGCTTTGGAGTCAGACATCCTAGGCTCAAGTCCTTGCTTAGTCACTTATTAACTGTGGGATATTGGGTGAGTTGCCTAATTTTCTTTCACATTTTCCTCATTTTTGACATAGCGGTATTGCTTCACTTCCAACTTAGGCATTGTCAATTTTAACTGAGATCATGGGATTAAATGCTTACTGTAGAGCCTGTGGGAAAAGGGCTCCGCAAATTGAGCTCTTAAGATTACTGACCCCCATCCTAACTCTGGTGGAGCTCCATGGGGAAACACAATTTCTCTGTCCTACTCTCCATACGGTACCGGAGTGTTGATTAATGTTGCACGCTGAGTGGCCCATCACACTGCTCACATGCTCCATTTTTGACATTGCTTCTAACGTCTCTTGCTTTGTGTTGTGTTGTCTGGGCAGAGGACAAGATCTGGACATCAGTGCAGCACAACAATACAGAGCTGACCCGAGTGCGGGGCGCTAACCCTGAGAAGCCCTATGCCATGGCCTTGGACTACGGGGGCAGCATGGAACAGCTGGAGGCCGTGATCGACGGCTCTGAGCACTGTGAGCAGGAGGTGGCCTACCACTGCAGGAGGTCCCGCCTGCTCAACACGCCGGGTAAGGCCTCTGCATGCATGACCACAGTGGGATAGATGGGACCCTCAGACCTGGAGTATTAGGCAAAGGAAAATTTGCCAAGAAGGGGGCTATAGTTACAGTTAGTCACTGTGCACTCGAGAGAAACACAACAAGAGGGGTCTGGTTATGTAGTAATCCTGGCTCTGAAATTCAGCATGGAAGCTAGAGTGAGTTCTGTCACCTTTCAAAGTTTTCTCCTCATCATAAAGAAAACGATTCCAACACCCACCCTGCAACAGTTGTGAGAATGAAGAACATCTGAAGAGGAATGGGCCTCAAAGAGGGCATTTGAGCTTGACATAGAAAGTGTGGCCATGGGAAATGCTAGTTTGGGGAGAGAGAATAGAGCTTGATAAGGCACCAGGATCTCAGCACACCCACCCGAGAGGGATGAGTTATGTCTGGGGTGGAGGATGCCTGGATGCCTAAGGGGGCAGTGTTAGGCAGGGAGGCCAGCAAGATAGGCAGGGCAAACCTGTGGGTTCATGGCATGAACGGAGCCTGAGAAATAGGGGCTTTAGGGGAAATGACTCTTTTTATAAGTAAAGTGTGCTTCTAGAAAAAATTAAACTAACACTGCATATGAATTTATTTATTTTCCCATGGTTATTTTTTACAGTAAATGGATGATTTAGTTATTAACATGCTTTGAAAAGGAAAAAAAACAAAACAAAACACAACAACAAAAACAACTTCTAGAACTGCTTACTAAGACTCAAGAGTTTCTGTAAAATGTAAGATAGGGTTCATCAAAATTTACATGTTTCCTGGGAGTCAGTCATTTTTTTGTGAATGTCAGTTCATCATTTGTTTCATGGGAGAAAAAAGGACAAAAGATCTGAAGTATCTAAGAAAGGGTGTTATAATCTCTAGCCTCAAGAAACTTACATTCCAGCACTTAGAAGTTAAGAACTTTGAAAGGCTGGGGAAAAAATGGAGAATAAAATATCAACAAAGGGGAAATCATAGAAACCTAACTAAATTCAACAGAATGCCTCCTTGATCTAGGATCTTCAGGGAAGACGTTGTTCCACGTAATTGAATTTTCCAGGTAACTGTCACTTATCCTTTTAAGCACCAAAAATCTTTCCAAAGAATTTTTAACTATTTGAAATGAAAATCTTTCTCAAATGGATTACACGCTTCCATGCCTTCTTAACCAGAGAATTCTGAACATAAAATGTAACCTTTCTTGGTGACTCAGCATCAGCATTGTGAAAATCAATTATTGTACTCTCCTTAGATTCAGCCAGGCTTGCAGGGCTGATTAGATCAGACGTACTGGTTCGTGTCCCTTTACCCAGCATCCTCAGAGGGTGCTGCCCTGCCAGAGTCAATGTTTATATTTATGTGTGTTTCTCTCTCCATGTCTGTCAAGCCTGCACGTGCTACCTCAGCACAGTTCTCAGGGTGCCTGTCTCCAGAAATGCCCTTCCCTCTTCTCATTGCGTTGTTTCTAGTTTTTGAAGGTTTCGGTTTGGCCGAATTGTAGGACTAATGGCGGGGCATGTTCATTCTGACTATGGGACTTCTTTTAGGATACGCACTCCGTGATATCAATTTGGCTACACCATTGACTTTGCAAATGTGTTCTTTTCCTAACTCAGCTGCCTCACTGTCCCTGGCCTTATTTGAGTGGGAGGGCACGGGTTTGGCAGCAAGTCATATTGGGAGTAAGGGCTTGATGCTGTCATTTACCAGTTATGTGACTTTGTGCAAGTTGCTCAATTTCTATAGTTTCGATTTCACCACCTGAAAAGTTTGCATGAAAATCCTGAACCCATGCAGTTGATCTGAGGATGGAAGAAAAAATTTAGTCTGAACTCCTTGTGCTATGCCTGGTACATAATAGGTATTCAACAAATACTGGTGTCCTTATTCGTAGCTTCCATTGCAGCAGGGAACATCCAAAATTGTTCCATAATGGGAAACAAGCACAAAGGGAAATTTTATTTCTATTTTAACAATGTAAATAGAATAATTGTCATAATTATGTAGTAACAGAATTGATTAGAAAACTCAACGTAGATAATCTCATCCCCTGAAGATGGCAACTTTAACATTCAGATGTGAATCCTTCCAGACATTCTTCCATGTGTATATTCTCAAAGGCACAAGGAAGACACACCATATTTTTGTGCATGAGGGTCTTCATTAATCGTCTTTCCCCATGTGCTCTGAATCAAAAGGAGGGAGATAAAGGAGAACAATGGGTATGTAGGCTCAGTGTCTACTTTCTTCTTGTGAGCTGGCTTGGAGAATGTAGCATGAACCACTTCATCCTCTTGGCTTCCACCTCCAGACTAGACACTGCTTGTGGGGCAAGAGAGTCCTCATTTACCCAGACAGTCCCGTAGAGGTGTGATTTAGCTTCACACTTTCACTGCCAGGACAGAAGCCACCTCGTCCCCCATGCATGTGAGCTCACCGTCTGGAAAAGCAGGAATGGGAAAAACAATATATAACATTTGTAGCCACATGGATTCAACAGCCAGCATCCAGGGCATACACCTACATGAATGTTTTCCTGGTCCTTATTATTATTAAGCCACTCATTCCCTTCCCAAGAGGAAGCCCAAGGACAGAAGCAGAGGAGGATAGAGGCCATCTCCTCCTTACCTATCTAAGATTCTGGAAGAAGTTTGTGCAAGTTTTTCCTTTATCAGATGAATCTGTGGTCTATGCTGGGAAGAGATTCCCGACCCTGTGATACTCTTTTACAGCCTGTATTTGTCACACACAGGAAATGTACAAATACCTTTCTTTATCAATAAATACAACTTCATATCATCATTTTCATTAACTATAGAGTATTTTATTATATGGAGCTACTCCAATGAACAAATCTCCTATTTGGACCTGTAGATTGTTTCCATTTTTTTCTCTGTTACACGTAATGCTGCAGAACAGTTTTGCATTTAGATCTTTGTGAACATAACTGATTATATCCTCAGGACAAATTCCTTGAGGTGCCATTTGCAGGGCAGCGAGTATGCATATTTTTAAGACTCTTGCCACATTGAATTCTGCAATGCATCAAGGTTGTACCAATTCATACTCCCAACGACACTATGAGACTGAGTGCCCGTTTCCCAGCGATAGATACTATTATCTTCCTTCAACTTTGGTAATGTGATAAGTGCAAAGGTGGGGAGTCAAAGATGATTATAAATAGTTTTGTTATTAATTTTTAAAAGCGTGCAGGCTGATTACCATAGCCTACTGGCTATTGCTAACTAGTAGCCAGGGTGAGTAGACGTTATGAAAAATTATAAATTATGGCTGCAGGTGCATTTAAATCAATAAGAGAATGTGGGGGTTGCCTTGTGGGCATAGATTCTCCTATATACTATGCACAATGGTTAATAAATGGATACAATATAAGAAGGCAAAATGAAAGACAAAGAAATATTTAAATGGCCAATAATGACTGAGATTTCTTATGTTTGAGGATATGTGTGGGGTGAGCTACTGGAATTATCTCTAACCCAGACAACAGATCTGCACCATAAGAGTCATTGTCCCCATCTGATATTTCAGGAAACAGAAACTCAGAGAGAATAAGATGCTTGTTTAATGCCACACAGAAAGGGGCAGATCTAACTCTTGCAACCAAAATCTCCTGAAGTCAGAGCAAAAGTGCTATTTCTGATACATCACAAAAGCGGCCAAGAGCCAAGAGTTACAAGTAAATGAAGGAGTCAGAAAAAACATGATTTTGTATAAATTTCCTTATTGTGTAGGAAAATGGAAGGAGAGAGAAGCGCACCAAGCACTGTCTCTGTGAAGGCCACGGAGTTGTCAGGGTTGCCTGAACTGGGCACATTCCTGGGCGGCATCAGAGGGTTTGCATCATCCTGGCCTAGACTCATCACCTTCCATGGCTCACGCACCCCTTCATGGGAAGGCCTGTGTATCCCTACACAGCATCCCCAGAGCCTCCTTCTGCCTGCTCTCGGCTCCAGCAAGGGCTCTGGTTCCATTCATTTAGCAGCGGCAGAGGGAGAAGGAAGAGACAGGCAGGATAAGGTCGTGCATGGGTCACCACTGGGCCTTTTTCATTCAGTTGGTGACTGAACCATGACACTGTCATTTTATGACAGTCTCCTTGGATATTTTTTTCCCAGAACTACTGATAAGTGCCAACCAATGGAATGCATCCTCCATCTCTGTAGCTGAAGGTTTATACTAGAAACTCTCCAATGTCTCACCAGGACATCCGTATCCCAGGGAAAGTGTCTTTGTGATTCTCATGGATCTTTGTCTTTCCCCTCACTCTGCTTGCTGCTTTCTACTCTGAGCTTTCTGCAGGGCTGGAGGCCCTTTGCTACAGTGCAGCTTCCAGTACAGAGCCCAGGGGGGGAGAATCACCACAGCCTGCCAGTACTCACAGTACCTTGTCACAGGGAAGGAGACAACACTTATCCCCACTGAAAAAGGCTACCTTGGTTGAGCCCAGACCTTTTCTCTCTTGTCAGCACCTTCATAGGCATTTTGCCTGAGGCTAGAGTCCTGAAGGCGACATGTGATGAGCATACGAAATGAAACAGGAGGACAGAAAAATAAATATCAAAGCCATAGTCTGGAAGATTCTTGAATCACATGGCCAATTAGCTCTATAACCCATAACTTTCCCCTGGAAGGAGGACAAGATGGAGAGGGGTATAGCAAGTGACCGCATGGGGAAACTGAGTGCCCAGATCTCTGCTGGGAATGGGCATTGGAAGGCCTCCCTATCCCACAATTCTCTTGCAATAGTCTCCATGGTGCCTTGAAAGTCCCCCGCCACTGGATTCCGTCATTAGGGTGTCAGTATCCGGTGTAGGCATCCTCTTGCACTCACCACTCCAAGTAATGGAAATCTGTTTGTGGAAACCCTCTTCAGTAAAGCTGTGACCTCTTGCAGGCAGAGGGAAGAAGTCAATATTGAAACACGTGAAAGCACTGGAAATTCAGACTCCATTACTTTGAAATCTAATGGCTGTAGGACAGCCTGAGCTGGAATTTACTTTGATTTTTCTGAACAGAAAGCATTTGCGGAGCAAATCAGTCATGGAAGCAAGATTGCCGTGAGGATTGTGTAAGTTCTTCAGGAGCCCTAAGAATCCAGAGCCCTACAGCATCACAGAACCTCTGTTTACCTACCAGTAACATGCTGGTTAAAAGCCATTCCTATTAATTCATTCATGCAGCTGAGAGTGGTTTCTACCTGCAGTCAATTGCTTTACCTAGTCATGTTACAATGGAATTTAAAGGGACAGCATGCTATTTATTTTAAAGTATTTTAAAATTCTGAATTTTTTCTTTAATTACTGATACTTTAGTGAGCATACAGCTAACTGACTATATATACCATACATAATAATCTAGACTATATAATACATAGTATATAGTATGGATAAATATATATGTGTCTGTATGATAGTATATAGTATATAGTATATAGTATGGATAAATATACATATATACAATATATGATGTATATACTATATAGTATATGCTATGTCATATTTGTCCATAATGCTATATACATTCATCACGTACTCTTTATGTGTCCAAACAGCTCTGTAAATACACTTGTGCATATTAATTCTGTTTATTTGCAATATTCCCCTTCACATGTGAAAAATTAATGATTTAGTTTAGAAATCTGAGTAAGGAATTGTGATGTAGAAAAGTCAAATTACAGGTAGAAAAGAAACAGTATGTCAAGATACTCTGGGGTTCACAAAACTAAAAATGCTTTCTTCTCAATACTTGTACCACCCAAGATCAATTAGCAGAATTAACATTTTTCTTTCATACACTAGGCATTTTTGAGTATCTGTTTTGTGCCAGGCACTGGGGAGTGAAAATAAAACACTGAAAAAACAGAGTTCTTGCCTGCATACTTGTAGTAGGGAAGACAGAAACATGCCCCCACTGCCCCCAACCCCCCCCCCCCGCCACACACACACAATCAGTGCATGTTGAAAGTGATGCTGAAAGGTCCAGAAGGACAAATGACTAGAGTATCAGTGGATGTGGGGAGCTGCATCTCACATGAGGTGGTGGGAAAGTCCTCCCAGTGTGCAGGAGCTATCCAGCAGGACCCTGAGTGAAGGGACAGGATGAGGCAGGTGCCTTTTTGGGGCAGAAGATTCCAGGCTGAAGAATAGCCAAAAGGCCAGTGTGGCTAGAGGAGGAGCAAGGGTGGGAGGAAAATGATGGAAAGTGGTATCCAGAGGCCAGATTTTACAAAGCCTGGGACTGCAAATTTTATTCTAAGAGTAAAGGGAAGTCACTGGAAGATTTTAAGCAGAGGATTCTCTTTCTGTTTCAAATCCAAAGGGTAATGTCAGTTTATGTAAGTCAGGCTAAACCAGGTATGAATATTTTCATATGAATAATTTGCTAAGCACATAGACATTTTAAGTCATCTCCTATGCCTAGTGAACTGGAAAAAGGTATGAGCTCCCTGAAGGAAGAAACATGTCTTATATCACTCTGTAACCTCACATTCTAATTCGGGGCTGTGTGTGGAAGGCTGTGACCACCTTGGATCCCCTCTGATTCATGGTGGTGATTCTGTTCTTTCTCACCCAATTAACTGAGCTGCGATTGCTTTGGCTACTTCACCCGCTATGTTCTTGCTGCGGCCCACTTTCACCATGCTCACAAAGCTTGGAGGTCCGCGTCAGAGAGCTGCAATCTTTGCAGTCTATGGCACCACCTCTGCTCCCATATTTCTTTCCTTTCTTAATTCCCTCTTTCTTTCATCTTTTTCTTTGTCCTTCCTTCTTTCTTAACCACCCCCCGCCTCCACAGACACACGCCTAAACATACACAAATATGTGGGTAGAACTGATCCCCAGTGTCTACCGTTCTTCCACACCAGAATTAAAAC
Source organism: Homo sapiens (assembly GCF_000001405.40). Taxonomy (NCBI): domain Eukaryota; kingdom Metazoa; phylum Chordata; class Mammalia; order Primates; family Hominidae; genus Homo; species Homo sapiens. The sequence continues at coordinate 124,654,866 of NC_000002.12, forward strand.
CACAAACTTACATCATGACATCTGGAAGACAAAATATCAGGGTAGTATTTGACTTTTTTTTTTTACTTATTTCTTAAATTATGCTCCCTATCATCTTTTTATTATTATTATTGTTATTATTATTATTATACTTTAGGTTCTGGGATACATGTGCAGAATGTGCATGTTTGTTACACAGGCATACATGTGCCATGGTGTTTTTCTGCACCTATCAACCCGCCATCTAGGTTTTAAGTCCAGCATGCATTAGGTATTTGTCCTAATGCTCTCTGTCCCCTTTCCCCTAACCCTCTGATGAGCCCCAGTGTGTGATGTTTCCCTCCCTGTGTCCATGTGTTCTCATTGTTCAATTCCCACTTATGAGTGGGAACATGTGGTGTTTGGTTTTCTGTTCTTGTGTTACTTTGCTGAGAATGTTGGTTTTCAGCTTCATCCATGTCCCTGCAAAGGACATGAACTCATTCTTTTTTATGGCTGCATAGTATTCCATGGTGTATATGTGCCACATTTTCTTAATCCAGTCTATCACTGATGGACATTTAGGTTGGTCCCAAGTCTTTGTTACTGTAAATAGTGCTGCAATAAACGTACGTGTGCATGTGTCTTTATAGCAGAATGATTTATAATCCTTTGGGTTATATACCCAGTAATGGGATTTCTGCATCAAATGATTATATATATATATATATATATATTTACCAAAAAGCTATTTCTACTTTATGTACAACAAGAATATAATAAACCCAGGTGGACTGGGTGCCATGGCTTACACCTTTAATCCCAGAGTTTTGAGACGCCGAGGTGGGAGGATGGCTTGAGAACAGGAGTTGGAGATCAGCTTGGGCAACAAAGCAAGACCTTGACCCTACAAAAGATATTTAAAAAGTTATCCAGGTGTGGTGGGGCACACTTGTAGTCCTATCTCCTCTAGAGGCTGAAGTGGAAGGATTGCTTGATCCCAGGAGTTCTAGGCTGCAGTGAGCTATAATTGTGCTACTGCACTCCAGCCTCAACAACACGTGAGACCTCAACTGGAAAGAAAAGAAAGAAAGACAGAAAGAGAGAGAGAGAGAGAGAGAGAGAAAGAAAGAAAGAAAGAAAGAAAGAAAGAAAGAAAGAAAGAAAGAAAGAAAAAAGGAAGGAAGGAAGGAAGGAAGGGAGGGCACACCTTGGTGACAGAATAAGACTTTATCTCAAAAAAAAAAAAAAAAGAAAAAGTCACTGCCACTAGCCCACATTCCAGGGGAGGGAAATCTGCTTCTATCTTCTAATGGAACAGGTATACAGACATGTTTTAAATGACAATGTCATCTTCAAAATTTTACATGAATAGTCAACTACCCTAAGAAATGCAGTGAATACAGGGCAGAGTCGAGAGTCAAACCAAGCTCTTTCTAACTCAAAGTCTAGGCCCTTAGACTCTGGTGTCTAAGTCAGTTATAATTCATGTTGGAAATGGGTTTGGCCCTCCATTTTTTCCCGTGAGGGACTTTTGTTACCCTTAAAGTGATACAGCTAAAATGTGTTTTTAAGCGTTTGCCACAGCTTTCAAAAATAAAGAGATCATCACATGAATCAAGCCAGTGCAATTTACAGTGCATGAAAGCCAAAGCCATCTTTCCTAATGTCCTAGTAATTTACTCTTGGTATTTCACTGGGGACTTGAAGTCAAAATTAGAAGTGGGTGGGTCTTACCAACAAGGTGGATAACTTAATCAAGCTAAAGATGTTGATATGAATCTGAGGAAAAATAAAAACTATCCTATGTAAAGTCAACAGATGGTATATATCTGACCACAATTGAGTTGCTGTTCAGACCATGAATTATTTAAATAATCAAAGTTGATTGCCCAAGAATCAACACTCAGACACTACATAAAATAAAATATGCATTTTTCCCATCACTTTATGAAAGCCCATGTCCACTTCCTTTATCTCAAGGATAAAGGAATGCACATGTAGGAAGAAGAATACAATGTTCTAATATTAAGATACGGTACAGTGGCAGCACAATGGAAAGAACATGGATTTTCTTCACTGTTTTCTCTTCCTTTATTAATTGTGAGACCTTAAGTAAGTTAAATGGGCCTTCTGAGCCTCAGTTTTCTTATGTGTGACATTTAATGAGACAGATGCCATGTCTGGCACAGAGTAGGCCCTCTGGACACTGCTGTTATTTTAGCCAGTATTTTATCACATTATCCAGCGGCAAGGAGAACATTAGGTCCCTTAGGTACTGATAGAGGGTCTCCCAATCTCATAGTGTGGCCATTCAAAGAGTTCAGTTGTGGAGCTTGCCTCTTCATAGCTTGGGGGCACACCTACTTTCTAAATTGCACTTCATTTATTTGTAACTTATGGCATTTACCTACTCCTGGTAGCACTGTTGAAAGTGTAGAGTTAGGTCTATGTTCCTCTCCCCATTTCTGCCAAATACCCAAATCCACTCATCTGCTTATCTTTCTCATTTCAGTAAATGCTACCTTCATCTACTGAGTTTTTTAAGACCAAAACCTACGATTCCTTCCTCTTCACCATCTCCATTCCCCATTCAGTATATTCTCCAGTCTCTTCTCTCTAATTCCACATCAACCACCTCCATTCACACCCTCATCATCTCCTCACCATACTAGACAAGTGCAGTAGATTCCTGCTTCCTGTCTTCCACCATCCCATGCCCCATTTCCCCACAGCGGATATCCCAGCCTGCAGCCAGAGTGATAATCTTTTCAAAATTAGATTATATAACCATGGCTCCAAACCTTTCCCTCTGGCCTGGAAGCAAAACCCAGACTCCTAACTGTAGCCTGCAGAGCTCTGCCAGCCACAGGCCTCTGCCAGCCCCTGTTCTCCCATTAATACAGTGAACTTGGCCCCACTTTGCTTTTTGTTGCTTCTTGCCCAGCTTGCCCCACCTCTCAGACCTGATACACTGACTGCTCTCTCTACCCAGAAGCCTTGTTCCTCTCTCCATGCTTAGCTGTCTCTGATTTTACGTACAACTAAAGTATTCACTTCATTACTGTTAACTGCTTCATCCTTCCTGAATAGTCTGCATTGAAGTTGTTTCTATCAGATACCTTCTTCTTGCTTATTTGTTCACTATCTGCCTCTGTCAATAGAATGTGAGCTTCTTGTAAGAGGGGCCTTCTTTGTCTCATTCTTTATTCCCAAAATGCTTAGAATAGTACCTGGCACCTAGGGACAATTGAGTGAATAGTTGTTGAATGAATAAAGGGTCTCTTCTCAGTAGTAAGTATCACCAGTAGTCATATGATGTCAAAGGACAGATGACAACACACGTGCACTTGGCCAAGCCTGTCACACAGACCCTGGTGGGAGGAGAGCAACTTCACAGAGCAAGAGGCTAGGCTTGTGGGGAGCTGCCCTCTGACTCCCAGCTTTGCCATTGATTCTCTGTAACCTTGAGATGTTACTGATGTTTTATGGGCCACAGGTTTCTCCTCTTTGATACTAGAGGCTTATATTTAATGTTCTCTGAGTGTCCTTTTCACTCTGGCACTCCATGTCTCTATATTCACCACACAAAGTTAGTTAAAACACATGTCAGAGTTTATTACTTTTTTGTCACAGTAAGGAACTTGTCGGGGTTAGTAAAACAAACAAACCAAAAAAAAAAAAAAGACTTTTGTCAGCCTCTCAAGCTTATGAAATGTGCTAATATAGTTATGTAATAGGTGATATTTTTTGACACCTTCATACACCTACTCTCCTCAGAACATACTTTCCTTACCGTGGCATAGATTGTGCAAAGAAGGTATGAAACTTCCCTAGGGTCATACATAACAAGTCAAGAATAGCAAGAAAAACAATTTATTACTGTAGCATATGTTTGTGTGTATTACCGTAGAATATGTATGCATGTATTTTCTTTATAAACAAACATATTTGGTGGCTTACGGGGTAGATATGGAAACGAAATTATACCAACTACACAGATGAGGTTAATGGGTCTGCATAGGTGTTAGGCTATAATGGCACCTCTGAGCTTGCTTTTCAGGGGGCCATGGCTAGATACTAGACTTTCTTCACACCTGAGTCCTCACTGGAACCTTCCCAAAGAGAAGGCTCCAGAGTTCTGGTGATGAGCTCACTTACATGTTGCATCAGTTGCTTTGGTTCAAGCACTTGCTCCACTCCTACCGCCATGTGACCTTAGATGAGGTACTCACCATCTCTAAGCCTCAGTTTCCTCAACTCTAAGAATGAAGATGAGAAAAATAACATTAATGATACCCACATCATTGGAAGAATAAAAAGTGTTTGAAAATTTCACTCTTCATAACTTTTTAGTTTACCTAAGTTGTTTTGAAATTACAGGGGTGCCTTTCTGAACATAATTTTCATTGTCTTATTATTTGCTGAGAAGAGGGAGTGGGTTTTCTGTGTGTGTGTTTACGTGTGTGTGTCAGATCAGATGAGGAAATACCAAATGTGCTTTCTATATGGTAGCGGTGATTTCACAGCGAAGATATGAAGCTTCCTAAAACTGGTAAATCATTATCTTGGAAAGAGACAGTGGAAATGTTTTAGCCTCTGAATAAAAAAATAAAAAAATAAACACAACATAATTCCCCCACTCTGCCACTTATTTTTGGAGTAGCCATCATCAGGAAAGGTAATCTGAATCTGCATTTCATTTTCTTCTCTGCGAAATAGCTAACATATTGACCTCACTTGCATCTCATTTTCTTCTCTGCGAAATAGCTAACATATTGACCTCACTTGCATCTCATTTTCTTCTCTGCAAAATAGTTAACATGTTGACCTAACACTATGCATGCGTAGTATGGGGCTGGACTAGTGGCTATTATTATTTAAGGAGCCTATCCCCCTACAGGCAGAACTAGAGACTATATGTACATGTGAGCAAGGTATACAGGGCTCTGAAAAGGAGAAACTACTTCTAGTTAGGTGAACACCTTTCCAGAGGTTTTCTATGGAAAAGCACCTCTTCTTTGTGGACACAACATGGGTAGAAGTCATTCTGAGTTGAGGGAAGTGATGGGGAAAGGCATGAAGGGAAGACTGACCCTCAGAGAATGGGGGAGACATTGTAGGAATAAAACAGTTAAAAGTTCTTGCTGCTTATTTCAGATAAGGAGTCACAGAGGATGGAAAGAAAAAAGGAAGAAAGGAGGAAGGAAGGAAGGAAGAAAGGAAGGAAGGAAGGAAGGAAGGAAGGAAGGAAGGAAGGGAGGGAGATAGGAAGGAAGATGGAGATCTTTCTATGTTTCAGATACTTCCCAGCATGCTCCTATAGATTAACTCACCTTCTTTCACTGAATGAAGACATTTGAACTGGAGAAGGTTAACCATGTGGATGGAGGTAGAGAGAACGCACTGAGTCTGAAGGAGAGCACAGAGAGAGGCTAGGTAGGCATCTATCTTAGCGGTCTAGGGAAGAGTTAAAAAGCATGGAGGTGATGCGTCATAGGAATAGAAAGATAAAGAAAGACACTAACACTTAGATGAAAGCACTAGTACAGGCTGGTGAGTTACTGGTTTCAATGAACCAAGTAGTATCTAAAACAGTGCTGTCCAATGAAAATATAGCACAAGCCACATGGGCAATTTAAAATTTTCTAATAGCCCCATGTTAAATATAAAAAGAAATAGGTGAAATTAATTTTAATAATATGTTATTTTTATGCCAAGATATCCAAAGCAATACCATTTTAACATGTAATTAGTAAAGAAAAACCCTAATACACTGTTTTACATTATTTTTTATACCAAATCTTCAAAATTGGGTGCGTTTTTTGCATTTACAGCACATTTTAATTCACAGCCTGTTGCTGTACTGAATACTGTAGGCAACTATAATACAATGGTAAATATTTTTACATCTAAACATACCTAAATATGAAACAGGAATAGTAAAAATACAAGACAAAAGATACAAAAATGAGCTGGGCACTGTGGCTCAAACCTGTAATCCCAGCTACTAAGGAGGCTGAGGCACAAGAATCACTTGAACCCGGAAGGCAGAGGTTGCAGTGAGCCAAGATTTTGCCACTGCACTCCAGTCTGGGCAACAGAGTGAGACTGGGTCTCAAAAAAAAAAAAAAAAAAAGAAAAAGAAAAAAAAATTTACGCTGTGTAGGGCACTTACCATGAACAGAGCTTTCAGGACTAAAAGTTGAAAGTTGCTCTGGGTGAGGCAGAGAGGGAATGATGTGTGAATGTGAAGGTCTAGGAAATTACAAGGTGCCACTGTACACTTTATAAACACTGCACACTTAGGCTACACTACATTTAAAAAAATATTTTTTCTTCAATAACAAATTAACATTAATTTACTGAAACTTTTTTACTCTATAAACATTTGCATTTTTAACATTTTTACTCTTTTATAATAACACAACTGAAAACACACATTGCACATCTGTACAAAAATATTTTCTCTCTTCTACCTTCATTCTATAAGCTTTTTTCTATTTTTAATCTTTTAATCTTATTTTTACTTTGAAACTTTTTTTGTTAAAAATAAAGACAAATACACATACTAAACTGGGCCCGCAAAGAATCAGGATTATCATCATCACTGTCTTCTATCTCCACATCTTGTCCCATTGGTAGGTTTTCAGAGGCAATAACATACATGAAGCTGTTGTCTCTTATTATAACAATGCCTTTTTCTGGAATTCCCCCGAAGGGCCTGCCTGAGGCTGTTTCACTTTTTTTTTTAATAAGTAGAAATGGTACACTCTAAAATACTGATAAAAATAGTATAATAAATGCATAAACCAGGAACATAGTCATTTATTATTATTATAAAGTATTATGTACTGTACATAATTAAATGTGCCATACTTTCATAAAACTGGCAACAAAGTAGATTTGTTTACACCAGTATGTACACATTAGTAATTCATTGCACAATAACTTGAAAAGGACTACTACATCACTGGGCAATACAAATTTTTTAGCTCCATTATAATCTTTTATAAATTTTATAGCTCCATTATAATCTTTTTTTAATATATATATTATACTTTAAGTTCTAGGTTACATGTGCAGAACATGCAGGTATACATGTGCCATGGTGGTTTGCTGCACCAGTCAGTCCATCATCTACATTAGGTATTTCTCCTAATGCTATCCCTCCCCTTGTCTCCCACCCCCCGATAGGCCTCGGTGTGTGATCTTCCCCTCCCTGTGTCCATGTGTTCTCATTGTTCAACTCCCACTTATGAGTGAGAACATGCAGTGTTTTGCTGAGAATGATGGTTTCCAGCTTCATCCATGTCCCTGAAAAGGACATGAACTCATCCTTTTTTATGGCTGCATAGAATTATATGGTATATATGTGCCACATTTTCTTTATCCAGTCTATTATTGATGGGCATGTGGGTTTGTTCCAAGTCTTTGCTATTGTGAACAGTGCTGTGATAAACATACGTGTGCATGTGTCTTTATAGTAGAATGATTTATAATCCTTTGGGTATATACCCAATAATAGGGTTGTTGGGTCAAATGATATTTCTGGTTCTAGATCCTTGAGGAATCAGCTCCATTATAATCTTATGGGGCCACCCTTGTACATGAGATCTGTTGTTGACCCAAATGCCATTCTGCAGCACATGACTGTATACATGTATTTATATAAATGTGTGTGTATTACAACAGCCGTTAAATATGATCTTGTTAGTCCAGTTATATAAATGAGGAAATGGACACTTAGAGGTGAAGTAAATTGCCTGAAGTCTTACACAAAGGATGGGATTCTAGGCAGATCTAATTTCAAAGCCCATACAAAGTCACAGACACATGTCAAGAGAGAATGAAGGTAAAGCAGGATCAGGAGACCTTGAGTCCAAATACTTTTGCTCTATGTGATGGTTCTGCCAAATGAGGAGGGAGATGTTTGCCAACTAGAACATACTATACGTAGTTGATTACAAATGTCATATGTATCCACATGTCAAATAAACTCTTACCTATATATTATTGCATATGATACAAATATATGTACATATATGCACTTTACATGTTTTTTCTGGTTCCTAAATAATCTTTATGGAGGAAACACTTAAAATATGGAAATAGAAAAAGGAAAGCTGTTAACATTAGCCCAGCTTTTGATTGTAACAGCTGAAATGGGCCAGGCTTTGTGGTAAGTATTTTCAGTTCCTAGTACACACAAATTACAAAACCATCTGAGTTAATCCTTCGAATCCCGTGAGGTGTAGGTTATTACCAAGGAACAAACGCATGTTCAAAGAGGTTAAGTAAAGTAAGAACCATGTGACCCTATCTGTAACTGTAGGATTACACACCAATCTAGTAAAACCTGTTACGGTTAAATCCCGCTGCATGGAAAGACAAAAACAATCCTTGCTTAAATCAGCCATGTCGCCAGCTGCCCAGACGCCAGTTAGACATTCGCTTGAACTGTGCCAAACCTAGACTGGATTTTAGCTAGTAAACTAGTATTATATAGACATAATCTGAAGTCACTCAAAAGCTATCTGAGTAATCATTCCATAAGTTGCCCCCCAAAAATAAAAAGCTAAATATTTCTGTGAATGCATCATTGACAAGGAAAAGGAATAAGATAAGAAGAAAATCAGAAACAAAGTTGCCGACACTGTAAAAATTTATCTGTATATTCAGCACAATTTTTGCATTAGAATTTAGAAAGGATAAAACATTAGGATATTGGAGTAGTTGCAGAATCCATTTTGGGAGTATGGAGGTTGGGGGCTAGGGAGAAAGAGAGAGAGGAAAGGAGGGAAAATCCTTTGGGGAATTGCCTCTGAGTTAGAAACCTGTACTCTGCTTCATTTTTTATCTTGAGTAAATGAAGAGAGATTCTCAACATGGAGACATGATCTTAGGTACATAACCCTTTGTGATCTTCCCAAGGGCCATACATTATGATGCTGAAAAACAAGAGTCCATGATAATGACCCACAGCTATTTAAAATAGCAACATTCCACAATGAATTCCTCCCTTCTTAAAGGAAGACAGGGATATGGTGGCAATGGGAGCTCAGAGTTGGCAATTTCTTGGCAGCTAAGAAGCTCAACAGGGATGAATTCTTTGGTGGTAAAATTGAAATACAAATTCCTTTTTCAAGTGGAACTTTTCTAACTCTCTGAGTTTTCAAAAACAGTAACTGGGTCATATTTATTTCTGAATACCTCTAGAGCCATTTTAGTGACTGGCACAAAGTAGGTCTCCCTCCCAAATTTTCTTGGATATGAAAATCCTGTGAGAATATGATCCAAAAAAGTACTTTGAAGACAATAATTGGAATTCTCATATGAGACACAAAAAGGTGACAGGGCTTGGTGGCTCACACATTTAATCCCAGCACTTCGGGAGGCTGAGGTGGGATGACTGCTTGAGCCCAAGTGGTCAAGGCTCCAGTGAGCTATGATTGTGCCACTGCACTCCAGTCTGGGCGACAGAGTGAGACCCTGTCTCAAGAAAAAAAAAAAAAAAAAAGGAAAGAAAAAGCTTAAGTGTGGTGCAATAACAACAAGGTAAAAACAAACAAAACCCAGAAACAGAACATCTTAATGGCTTAAAACAGCATCCTTTCATTTCTCAAGTAGGCCAGATATGTTTCATGAATTGGCTTGGGGCTCTGTGTTAAGTTTTCTCCTCCCAGCACCCGGAGTGATAGAGTAGCACTTCTCTCAAGTGTTACTGGTCACCTTGGCAGATGCAAAGAGGGCTCTGGAGTACGTCAAACCTGCTGCAGTCTGGGAATGACACATGTCACTTCTGCTTACAGCACATTGCCCTGAATGAAATACATGCAATCCGCAGGGGACAAAGAAGTTTTGTTTGTTTGTTTCTTTTGAGACGGAGTTTTGCTCTTATCACCCAGGCTGGAGGACAATGGCGCAATCTTGTCTCACTGCAACTTCTGCCTCCCAGGTTCAAGCGATTCTTCTGCTTCAGCCTCCCGAGTAGCTGGGATTACAGGCATGTGCCACCATGCCCACCTCATTTTTGTATTTTTAGTAGAGATGGGGTTTCACCATGTTGGCCAGGCTGGTCTCGATCTCCTGACGTCAGGTGATCCACCCGCCTTGGCCTCCCAAAGTGCTGGGATTATAGGCGTGAGCCACTGCACCTGGCCAGGAAGTTTAATCCTACCGTGTGCTCAGAAGGTGACGAGACAGAAGTAATTGGTGCATAGCCTTAACGTCTATCAGCCAGTGAGAACACAATGAACAAACCAACAAACAAAAGGCAAAAACAGGAAAAAAAGAAAAAAAGAAAAATATCATACCCAATAGAAGAATTGAAATCAAAGGGTATATTTACAATATTGTCTTTCCCTTTTTATCTTCTATCTACTATAAAGTGAATCGTTCCTTAATGCATGGCACACCAAAGAAAAATCCATCAGACCTCTGAAGTACTATGAACTATTTTTAAATTTGTAACTCTATTTATAGATCCTCATGTAATCATGAATATGAATATCCTGAATTTTAGTTTCAGCTAACATCAAATATTTGGTTAACGTCAAAATTAGCTTTACTATTTAGTTAATATTATAGTTTCAGTGTTAGTTCAAGCTAATGTCAACATCAACTGACGAGCAAATATTTGGAAAGCATTATTTTATTCCCTTTTTTAGAAAAAGCAAAGCAAATTTTCAAAATTAACTTTGTGATTAGTCACAAAGCCCTCACATACGTGTGGATAAAACTGTCTCCATATATATGTTGATGTGTAGCTAAAAAATATTGGCCAGGCGTGGTGGCTTATGCCTGTAATCCCAGCACTTTGGGAGGCCGAGACCGGCAGATCACAAGGTCAGGAGATCGAGACCATCCTGGCTAACACGGTGAAACCCCGTCTCTACTAAAAATACAAAAAATTAGCCGGGCGTGGTGGCGGGCACCTGTAGTCCCAGCTGCTTAGGAGGCTGAGGCAGGAGAATGGCGGGAACCCGGGAGGAAGAGCTTGCAGTGAGCCGAGATCAAGCCACTGCACTCCGGCCTGGGCGACAGAGCAAGACTCCGTCTCAAAAAAAAAAAAAATTATACATATTTATTGATACAGCATCCCATTTAATGCTGCTTTTATAAATCTGTGGCCTCTGAAATAGTGTTCATACATGTGTTTTTGTGTACATGTATTTTTAAAGGAAAAAACAAACTGTAAAATACTTTAAAGAGATTTATTCTGAGCTAATATGAGTGACCGTGACCTGGGTAAAATATAACCCAAAGAAGCCCTGAGTAAGTAGTCCTGAAGCGGTTGGGTTACAGTTTGGTTTTATACATTTTAGGGAGACAGAAGTTACAGGCAAACACACATATCAATCCATGGAAAGTATACATTGATTTGGCCCAGAAAGTTGGGGCATCTTGAGTCAGGGGCTTAGAGGTTATAGGTGGATTAAAAGATTCTTTAATTTGCCATGGGTTAAAGGAGTAAAGCTTTGTCTAAAAATTTGGAGTCAGCAGAAAAAAATATTTAAGATAAGGAGGTCTGTTAACCAGTACACTGGGTGAGAGTGACTTGTAGAGGTGTGTGACTTAACCCTTGTCTGGCAGAGCCTTAGGTCTTATTTATTAGTATCTTATTGTCACAAAGAGTTTGTTTTGTTAGTCTTTGTAATATTAATGCTGGTCAGCTGTGCCTAAACTCCAACAGAGAGGTGTCATCACAAGGCATGTCTGATCTCCCTTCCCATCATGACAGGGAATTCGCTTTTTCAGATTTCTCTAGAGTCCCCTTGGCCAAGGGGCGAGGGGTCTCTTCAGAGATGAGGGGATCTTAGGGTTTTATTTTTGTTTACAGTATAAAATGGTACACCACTATGCACTGTTGACATATTTTTCCTCATCCCCTAAATACTGTCCTATTCTCTGGCAGCTGGCCAGTGAGGGCCATCACCTCACTCTGCAAGTGCCCATGGCTGCAAGTATTCTTTTGAGCCATCCTGCAGGGAGCGCATCCCAGCAGCTTGCGTTTCTTTCCCATACTGACCTCTTCTGCTGCTGCATATTTTGTGCTTGAAATTGCTGTTTGGATTCCTCAAGACTTTCAAAGATGTTCAGGATGGTGCATAACTACAGCAAAGAACTAAAGGGAGACTATTACTCTGGACATTAAATACACATTTTATGATAGCTTGATGTGCTTTAAGAAGAACGATGGGGGAAACATGAGCAATGATTGGGCAGTTAGAGATGGGTAGAAGTCCATTGATATTATAAAGGACTTTAAACATCTTGGTAGCTGGGAAAGATTAACCAAGGAATGAGCTAGAAGAACAGATTGCCCCAGGGCAGTTTATGACTGCATGCAATTTGAATGCACCTCAGTAGGGTGTGCTAAGACCATTATAGTCCTGATTGATTAGCACCAGAAAAGTATTTCTACTTCCTGCTAAATGGAGGATGGCTGCTCTGTGCAATCTCAGAGGATTGTTTAATGTACACGTGTGTACTCCAGGTGCCACAGAATTCTACAGCCTTGATTTGACAACTCAGGTCTGTGCTATCTTCCTGATATTACTCATTTCACAGTCTGAATATGAGAGTATCTTTGTCACTGAACAACAGTGTTCATGTATGTAAACCTGCTCATTGCACCTGCTCCTTGCCATTTTGGTCAAGGTAAGTATAATGCCTCTTGCAGTCATTCATCAGTACCGTTGGGTTTTGGTGGGTGTGTTCTTCCCTGCCTCAGGGCAATGCTAATTTCATTTCTCATCCTCCACCATGCCTGAATACACAGTTTACCTAAAGGTTAAGAATTGAGTCCAATTAAGAGGATGGAGCAATTCCACTACATTAACATTAATAGTGCATGGAAAACACTCCCTATGTCTTCATTTTTTAAGCAGTAGCCATTTTCCTGTCTATTCTCTCTCTCTTATTTTTTCTTCCTGCACCACTTAATGAAAATCTAATGGTAGCAATGGCACCTTTGTTGATGAAAGAGAAAAAGTGATAATCGTTCCTGCTTGTCTCTTTCTCATTTCTCCCGTAAGGGAAGCTAAGAGTGGCATCCTTGAGACAGGTTTGCTTTACTGATCAAAGACAGTCCTTGGGAGAAACGACCCAGAGGATGAGGAATTGTCAAGAAAGCTTTGCCACAGACGAATATGATGGAACTAGTTCATCAAATGATAAAATGTGAACTTTCCTTTCATCCTGGAATGGAAAAGTCATTACAGGAAAGAGTGAATGTTATAAAGGTTAAACGTGAGTGACTGATGATGATGTATCAGGGAATTCCCTGGCCCTGTAAGGCTGTCTGGTATCAGGCTCTCTTGGCCTGTTTCAATTTATACACAACCATGAGGGCCTTACATCCATCTGTTAAAGCATGCTGTAGTCATACATTTAGCTAGGAAAAACCTTTGGCATCCGGGGCTTCTGCAGGGAGCAGGCCAAGAGATTCCACTAGGTTATGGATCTCCTTCTCCCTGAGGGAGGCATAAGTGGCAGAGAAGCTGAGAGATCTTAAGCAGCTAACGGAAAGGTTTGGGACCAGCTGTTTAGCATGACAAGCATTCCAGAGGCATTGAGGGGCAAGGAGGAAATTGAGCATGTGTTGAATCATTACTGTAAAGAAATAAATTGCCCTGGAAACTGTGTATCAGGGAGAGGCCTTCATAATTACTTTATTTACCAAGCCTTGCCAAGCTCCATCCTATCTTCACACTTGTTTCCCTCCACAGGCCCTCCCTGCTACTCTGTGCTTGAGTGCAGGAATTCTCAAGGTATGAAACACAGGAAAGGTTTATGTGATGCATGGATGGAATTTTTGAAAACATCATTTTTTTCTATTTTAATGTGTTATAAAAAGGTATACCATTAGCACTTAAAATTTATAATTTCAAATCTCTTATTACTAAGAGAGTAGTGTAAGTTAAAAAGAAATTAGTAATTCACGTCAATTAACTTAAAGAGATTTGAAGTAAGTGGTCATTTGGGTAGAAATGGCAACAAACTGGAAGATGCTTCTGGAATGAGGGAAGGAATGAGGGAAGGTTAGGAAGTGCTAGGGCACTTTTCCTTCCTCAGACACATCCTTTAAGGATGTGGTGCTATACCTTTAAGCCTTACTCACTCACTCCTCTTCCCACTTCCAGAGGTGCCTTCTTCCTGCAGTCCTATTGGTAACATTACATTTTGCTTTACCAGCTCTGCCTCCTCTGTGAAGCCCACCCTGATTTATTCAGAATAATTCAGCATGTGTTCTTTCTGCTCCCTTTTTATGTGGTTCATATTTTAATTGCATTATTCACTCACTTTCATTTCAGTCAGTTGCACACCTAAAGATGTTATGCAAATGGTATTCATTTTTATATCCTCAGGGACAGGACCTGCATTTGGGAGATATTAAATGATTAGTTTTGAGCAAACAAGTTATTCATATCCTTTCTTATCAAAGTTTCATCAAGCTCTACAGCCGCCAAATCCCATGGCAATACTAGGAGATCATTTCTTGATTAGTGGCATTTGACACAGTTGACCATGTCCTATTTTGAAATACTTGCTTTACTTAACTTCTAGAATGTGATACCCTCCAGTGTGGTCTTGCCTCTGACTGTACTTCTGCTACCTTGTTTGTTGGCTCCTTCCACGTTAAACAAGAAGAAGGTCTTAGGGCTCAGCCCAGGGCTCTCTTCATCATCTATGCATTCTTCTTGGATTGCCATTCAGTCACATGCTGGAGAATCTCAAATTTAGATCTCCAGCCAAGATTCCTTTTCTGAATACAAGATGCATATATCCACCTGCCTACTGGTCTTATGATGTCCCAAAATAATTTCCTGATCTTCTTCCTCCAAATATGCTCTTCCAGCATTCTTTCCCAAACTTTGTAAATAGCAAGTCATTCTTCCGGACACTCAGACCAAAAAACCTATGAGTTATCCTTGGTTCCTCTCTTTTTCCCATACTTTCTGATAAAAACGTTCCTAATCCAACTGGCTATCATTGAAACAGATGCAAAACTTAAGCACTGTGTTCGCTACCTTGGCCATTCCCAGGCCCAAGATGCATCACCTGTCTTTTTGATTACTACGATTGCTTCTTCTCAAACACCTCTCAGTTATAGAGGGACAAACTGCTCACAATATCTATGTGTTTCCTCCTGACTTCAGTGATCCAGTGTCCATCCCCATCCCCATTTCACTACTCACAGCGAGACCAGGGGCCCTCTTAGACCTTCCATGTTCTGGAGGCACTGGATCTCTCTATATTGTGCTGACACTTGCCTGCCTGCCTTCCTTTCCTTTTCCTTCCTTCTTTCCTTCCTTCCTTCCTTCCTTCCTTCCTTCCTTCCTTCCTTCCTCCCTCTCTTTCTCTTTCTCTCTCTTTCCTTCTTTCCCTCTTTCTTTCTTTCTTTCTTTCTTTTCTTTCTTTCTTTCTTAAGAGTTATGTTGGTGAATATGAAGCATATGTCATTGTGGTTTTGATTTTCATTCTCTAATAATTAATGATGTCAGGTATCTTTTCATGTACTTGCTGGCCATCTGTGTGTCTTCTGTGGAAAAATGTCTACTCAGCTCCTTTGACCTTGTATAATTGAGTTGTTTGTCTTTTTGTTGTTGCACTGTAAAAGTTCTTTATCTCAGATACTAGACTGTTATCAAACATATGACTGCAAATATTTTTCCCATTCTATCTTTTCACTTTATTGACATTGTCCTTTGATGTAAAGTTTCTAATTTTGATGAAGCCCAATTGAACTATTTTCTTGTTGTTGTTGTTTGTACTTTTGATGTCAAAGCTAAAATCCACCTTAGAGGTGTTGCACTTGTTGTTGTTGTTTGTACTTTTGATGTCAAAGCTAAAATCCACCTTAGAGGTGTTGCACTTGTTGTTCCCCTGATTGCAAATCTCTTTTCCAATTTACCACATGCCTTGCTCGTTCACCTCTTTCAAAATTCCGTATAAATAGAACCTTCTTAGCAAGCTTTATTTCTGTTCACTCTATTTAAAATTGCAATCTTTTCTGGACACAGCAAACCTGGGCCCCTTTTTTCCACTTTATTTTTCCTCAGTATTTATTTTCATATGATATAATTTACTAACTTATGTAAGCATGTTTTTAGACTTAAGCTTCCTAAGTCAGAGGTTAGTGTCTGTTCATGTGTGATTGTATTTTCCATGCCCAGAGCACAGCTTGCTACAGAGGAGGTGCCCAATATACCCAACTGGCAGGGGAGTTCAGCCTGTCGCCACGGGCCTCATTCTTCCTGTGTAAAAGCAGTTTTATCTGCCTTTCCTCACCCATCCTTGACCTCAACTGTTACTTTATCATTGGTATAATTATTAGCATAATCATCACTACCAAGAAATGTTTAGAAAGTTTCCACCTCTTCATGGTGTTAAGCTAAGCATAGGCATAGAAGCACGTATCTGGGATTTCCCAAGACAATCCTGATTTAAAAATAAGTTTATTAGAGAATGTAATCTAATTTTTGTTTTCAAAAAACAAAGGCATAAGAAACAGCAATTCTACATTTTTGCTCCTGAGCTGAGTGACATTATAGCAATGGCATGGTCTTTCTGAACCACAGTTTTCTCACCTGTAAAATGGGGTTGTTGTGAGGATTAAAGAAAATTATTTTTTTAAAGACAAAGGAGGAAAAAATGTAATAATGTAATACTCATGGCCCTATAATTTAATTTAAGTGATCTTTCAAGACTTTACAAAAAGCAGAATTTTCTGAATTCTTTGCTTATCTCTTTTGTTTCAGGAATGTGCTATGAATGCTAACTTTAATCTTAGAGACTCTTATTTTTATTTTTAGTTATTTATATTTTTGAGATGGGGTCTCACTCTGTTGCCCAGGCTGGAGTACAATGGTGCAATCTTGGCTCACTGCAACTTCTGCCTCCCAGGTTCAAGTGATTCTCTTGATTCAGCCTCCCAAGTACCTGTGATTACAGGTGTGCACCACCATGCCTGGCTAGTTTTTGTATTTTTAGTAGAGACAGAGTTTCATTATGTTGGCCAGGCTGGTCTCAAATTCCTGACCTCAGGTGATCCTCCCGCTTTGGCCTCCCAAAGTGCTGTAATTACAGGCATGAGCCACCATACCTCGCCAAGACTCTTTTAAAGAAAGCCCAAAGGCCACCACTTTAGATATACCCAGTGAGACTTGTGTTCATGTGTTAACGATGCCATCACAGGGTTCCACAAACTGGTAGCTTACACAAGAGAAATTTGTTTTACCTCCTCACATTTCTGAAGGCTGGAAACCAAGACCAAGGTGTGAGCAGGATTGGTTTATTCCAAGACCTCTCTTTTTGGCTTGGAGGTGGCCACCCTCTTCTGGTGTCTTCACATGACCTACCCTCTGTGTGTGTCACTGTCCTAATCTTACAAGGACACCAGCCATATTAAATAAGGGCCCACCCATTTGCCCTCATTTTACTTTAATTATGTCTTTGAAGGCTCTTTCTCCAAAGACAGTTGCATTCTGAGGCATTGGGTATTAGAAATTCAATATATGAATTTAGGAAGACACAGGTTAGCTCATAACAGTGAAAAAATATGCAGGAGGAAATTTTTGTAAAATTTTTTACTTTATTAATGCACTGAAAAGAAAGAAATACTGAAAGTCAAAAAAAGTGTAGGAGAATCTAAATCCATCATTGAGGTTGGCTTCTACCTTGACAGCATGTGCCTAATACAGGTGATCTTGACCTTTGGTCCTCAAGGCCTTTAGGGCCCCAAAAGAAGAGGACATTTCTTAGGGCACAGCTAAGGCAAGGAGTTTAATGAGAGATGTTAACTTCTCATACTTTATAAAACTGAAATTTAAAGGAGAAACTTGAAATCAATTCCCAAGGGAACACACGGAAAATTTCCTGTACCAATCAGGATGGAATAAAAATCTCTCCTATAAATATGTTCAATAAGTTGGTGTACATGTTAAAAAGACTAAAATATGAGTAGGAAACTATTTCAAGTGACCAAGAAGATTTAAAGAAATATAAATAATTTCTCAAAATTAAAAATGTAATAATTAAAACTAAAAGCACAAGGGATAAACTTAAGAGATAATTAGAAGTGACTAAAAAGAGAATTACAGAACTAGAAAATATTTCTGAAAAAAATTACCCAGAATGCATCACAGAGCAAAGAAATAGAAAACAGAAAAAATATTTAAGTGATGGAGAATAAAATTGTAATTGCTAACATATATCAAATTGGCATTTTGGTAAGAAAATCATTCCTGAGATGCTGTGCAAAATGTAAATTGTGTGCTTAATTTTATTTGCTAGTAAACCTGGCAAATAATACTTTAAATGGTAGCTATTATTAGCAGTATTGAGCTTACTACTAACAATAACAGTTCTGTCTTAAGAGTCGAGTACACAATCTTAAAACACTACATTCTCTTAAAAAAAACACATTTAAAAGCACTAACATGTTCTCAGAATGTGCTTTCCTAATGAATTTAATCTGGTGATTGCAGTTGCAGTGATGGCACTGATGACGATGACTAAAATGAGCAATAATGAATGAGGAATTTGCAATTTTTGATAGGGCGGTAGTAACACCATGTCATAAAAAATGTTAAGGTACTTGAGAGTTACAGTTTCTTTTTTTTTTTCCCTAGCTCTCATCTTGATTTCCTAGGTATTTTAGATAACTTACGTTTCTTGAAGGCCTCACACATGAGGGTATATGTTAATATTTCCAACAGGCTTTGTTTTTGGGACTCACTTTTGTACATAATAAATTATCTACCAGGACAATAAAAGTGGCATCCTTTTATTAAATAACTACTCTGTGTCAGAAAGCCAGGCCTCTAACTATGGGCATTACGTAATTTAATAATCACGTATTATTTTTCTGATTTTATAGAGAAGCATCTAAGGCATAGAGAGAATAAGTAATTTCTGCAGAGTCCTACAGCATTAAAAAAAAAAAAAGAGATCCTCTAGACAATTTTTCTGACTCCAATGCCCTCAAATATTTTCACGATGATAAGGTACTCATTTTTAAGTTTTATTAAGATATATTTAATAAGACATTAAATGTACTCACAAAAATGTATAATTTACTGTTTTTAGTATATTCAGAGTTGCAAATATCACCACAATTTAATTTTAGAATACTTTAACACTCCCAAATAATATCTTCTACATATTTTCAGTCATTCCCCATTCCTGCTCCCACCTTGCCGCATTCACCACAATGTCCCAAACCCAGCAGTGATATATCCTCTTTCATCCCTGTTTTAGTGATTTTAGTCTTCTCTCTTTTTTCTTGCTCAATCAAGCTAAAGGTTTATCAAATGTTTTGATCTTCTCAAATAATCTACTTTTAGTCTTATTGATTTTTCTCTATAGTTTTACTATTATCTGTTTCATTTATTTGTGTGTAATCTTTAATATTCCTTCTCCTTGATTTTGGCTTAGTTTGCGCTTCTTACTCTAAGTTTTTAAGGCTAAAGGTAAGGTTGTTGATTTGAGAACCATCCTTCCCTCCTTCCCTCCCTCCCTCCCTTCTTCCCTCCCTCCCTCCTTCCCTCCCTCCTTTGTTCTTTCTTTCCTTCCTTCCTTCCCTCCCTCCCTCCTCCTCTCCTCTCCTTCCTTTCCTTTCCCTTCCTTCCTTTCCCTCCCTCCCTCCCTCTCTCCCTCTCTACTTCCTTTCTTTCTTTCTCTTTCTTTCTTTCTTTCTTTCTTTCTTTCTTTCTTTCTTTCTTCCTTTCTTCCTTTCTTTCTTTCTTTTCATCTCCTCCTACTCCTTCTTCTTCTTAAATACAGGCATTTACAACAATAGATTTTCCTCTAGGCCTGTTTTCTTGCATCCCAAAAAGTTTGGGTATGTTCTGCTTTTGTTCTCTTTTGTTTCAAAGTTTTTCTTATTTCCATTGTGATTTCTTTTTGACCAATTGGTTATTTGGAAGTGTACTGTTAAATTTCCACTTATTTGTAACCTTTTCAAGTTTAAATTGTTGATTTTTAATTTAAATTTAAGAATTTTGGGTAACATACTTTTAATGATTTTAATCGTTATAAATTCATTAAATCTTGTTTTATTTTTAAGCATATGGTCTATCTTGGATAATTTTTATTGTGTACTTACAAGATTATGCATTCTGTTGCTATTTGGAGTTTTCTATTGATGTATACTGTTTTTTAAATGTTCTATGTTCTTGATCTTCTGCCTACTTCTATTTATTTTTAACACAAGAGTGTTGGATTCTCAACCATTATTGCTAAATTGCCCATTTCTTCAACTTTTTTTGTGCATATGTCTCATTACTTTAGGGCTCTGTTGTTAGTCGTATAAATGTTTATAATCGTTTTATTTTCCTGATGATTTTCTCTTATTATTATAAAATGTCCTTCTTTGTCATTAGTAACAATTGATTTCTTAAAATTTATTTTCTCCAACATTATTTTGTGGCTAAAATAATGTTAGCTCTCTTTTATAGTTATGCTTGCATGGTGTATCTTTTACCATCCATTTATTTCCAACATATTTGTGTGTTTGAATATGATGTATATCTCATATAGACAACATATTCCAATCATCATTTAAATATTCTCCATTTTTTGTATCAATCTCTACCTTATGATTAATTTAATTCACTTATATTTAATGTAATTATAGATCTGACAGGATTCCCACTTGCCATTTTTCTACTTCTTTATTGGAGTCTATTTTTCAATTTGGTTATCCTGGGAATTACAATTGGCACCTTATTTTTAAACAATCAAGTTTGCATTAATCCTAACTCAATTTCAATCGTATACAAAAGCTTTTGTGCAACATATTTTATTTCTTCTTTCCTCCATTCTATATTCATTACAATGCAATTTACATCTGTATATAAGCCCACTAATACAGTTTAGTATGTACTGCTTTGTGCAGTTAGTTGTCTTATTTGTCGAGATATTGTTGTCATATTTTCCTTTAATTCTTTAGAGATATTTTTATTTATTTATTTGAACATATTTATGACAGCTGATTTAAAGTCTTTGTCTAATTAGTTCAACATTTGGTCTTCTTTAGGAACAGTTTTTGTTGACTTTTGTTCTGTGTATGGGCCATAATTTCCTGTTTATATCTAGTAATGTGTTTCTTGAAAATAGGACATTTCAGATAATATAATGTGGAAATTCTGAAATACAGATACAGGTTTGTTTTCTGTTGTTTTTATTGTTTCTGATGATGTTTAATTGTTTACTGGACTAATGATAAAATATCTGTATTCATTTTTGTGTGTGGCCACTGAAGATTCTGCTTAATTAGCATTGTTTTCAGCTAACTATTAGATTACATTTCTTAAATGCCCTGAACCAATAAGTCTTTCAGGCTTTGCTGAGTGTCTCTGACTTGTGTTGTAACATTACTTAAATGCAAGCAGTTTACAACTCCTCCTTAGCTTTCACATCCTGCTTCTGCAAGTCCTTAAGATTAGTGGGATGTAAGAAACTAAGGTTTTTTTGGTTATTTTCTGAGCATGTGCACAGCCCTGCACATGTGCATAGCCCTTCAGGTTTACCAGAAATATGCTGAAGCTTATCAAAACCCTTATTGTCATACCATTCCCCAATTTTTCCTTTAACAGTTTTAGTCAACTTCTTATTCCCAATTGGCATCACTGCCTCAGGCAGATGTGATATTAAACAATTGTCACTGAAAGATTTCAACAAATGCTATGGGAATAGGGCTGCTCCCATGGACTGATATCTGAGTGAGACTCTGGAAATGGAGCTTCTTAGTGAGATTTGAGAAAGGTCAAATAGTAAACATTCTCTGTAGCTGGGGCATTTGAGGAGGCTACCAAACTCATTCTGCTCCCTTGCATAGCTGTTAGGCTACTGTACTTGTGAGGGTGTTGGTTTTCGAGGCTGCCATGGAGCTAAGTGAAGAAGGAAGGGAGCAGAGCAAGTTAAAGCACCATAATAAGCCTTGCCATTCTTACTGAGATTCAGCTATTTTTATTAAAGACTCCTTGGATGGTTAAAAGCCTCTATTATTTTCCAGACATTTGAAAAAGTTAATTTTTGACAATTTTGAATAGTGCTCTCATTGCTTTTATGAAGGTGTAGATTTTTGGAGGCCCTTCCTCCACCATCTGGAAGTGCTTCTGTTACTGGGAAGTGTGGAGCATCTCAGTTCTTGACATTTTGGAAGACATAATATGTCCGGAATTGATTCCTTCTGGTGGGTTCTTGGTCTCACTGACTTCAAGAATAAAGCTGCAGACCCTCGTGGTGAGTGTTATAGTTCTTAAAGATGGTGTGTCCTGAGTTCGTTCCTTCAGATGTTCAGATGTGTCCAGAGTTTCTTCCTTCCGGTGGGTTCACGGTCTCACTGACTTCAGGAGTGAAGCTGCAGACCTTCACAGTGAGTGTTACAGCTCTTAAAGGTGGCGCGTCTGGGGTAGCTTTTTCCTCCCAGTGGGTTCATGGTCTTGCTGACTTCAGGAATGAAGCCAGAGAACCCTGTGGTGAGTGTTACAGCTCATAAAGGTAGTGTGGACCTAAAGAGTAAGCAGCAGCAAGATTTAGTGTGAAGAGTGAAAGAACAAACATTCCACAGCATGGAAGGGGACCTGAGCAGGTTGCTGCTGCTGGCTGGGGTGGCCAGCTTTTATTCCCTTATTTGGCCCCGCCCACATCCTGCTGATTGGTCCATTTTACAGAGTGCTGATTGGTCTGTTTTTATAGAGTACTGATTGGTGTGTTTACAAACCTTTAGCTAGACACAGAGCACTGATTGGTGCATTTTTACAGAGTGCTGACTGGTGCATTTACAATCCTTCAGCTAGACACAGAGTGCTGATTGGTGCGTTTTTAGAGTGCTGATTGGTGTGTTTACAATCCTTTAGCTAGACACAGAGTGCTGATTGGTGTGGTTTTACAGAGCGCTGATTGGTGCATTTACAATCCTTTAGCTAGACACAGAGTGCTGATTGGTGCGTTTACAATCCTCTAGCTAGACAGAAAAGTTCTCCAAGTCCCCACCCAACCCAGAAGCCCACCTGGCTTCACCTCTCAATAATTCAGCCGAGAGACCAATTAGTAAAGTAAGCAGAAAGGTTTATTAAGGGAATAAAAGTACACTCCAAGAGAGGAGTGGGCTGACCTGGCTAAAAACACCCCCAAGAATTCTGCGTTGCAGTTTTTATCATGTTGGGCGTTTCTTTAAGTTCCCACATGTCTTAAGTCTCTGCCTTTTTGTTTGTCTAGTTTTCCACTGTTGTCTTACATCCCCATCTTTGTTCCCATCTAGTTCCCACCCAGGTTTGTGGGATCCTCCCTTACTGTCATTTGGTGCACATGCCTGGGGTCCAGTGATCAATAGGAATCCAACCTAATGATGACATTGTTCATGACTGCCTCCCCAGGAAGGTTGCATAGCAGTTAAAACTGTACTGATTGTGCCTGAGTATGTCAGGAATTTCCCCTTTATCCTTTCTCCTTTCTTGTCAGCATGTAGCTGGCTACATTCTGACAATTTAACCACAGAATGAGCAATTACTGGGTGTCTTAAGCGGCATTTCAGGACGTTCCTGTCTACATAGGTATCACCCCTTCTCTCTGCTAATACCTAACTACATGTTTCAGGTGGTCTCTGAGGCACAAGATTTTCCAGAGCTTCCTCACCGAGAGCATTCCTTTTCTGCTCTTGTCTGCCTGCCTGCTCTAAAAATTCCAGAATGTGAGGGTTTGGACCTAGTGTAGGACTTGATGCTCAGCTTTATTAAATGTTATGTCCTATGATGGGAGCTGACTGGCCCAAAAAGGATTCCCGAGGTGAGGGTAGAAAAGTGGGAACTACAGCAAATGGAACCCCCTGTTATGAAAAGGAGAGGCCAGGAAAGGAATGCACCATTTTTGTCATGGCCTCCTTCTCCAACTCTCCTTGGGCTAGATATTTGGCTTCTCTGTGCTCTTCCATGCTCATACTTATCTTTATTCCAGATCCAATTGCCTGGTAGCTTAACTGTTGCTTCTGCTTCTTCACCAGAAGATAAATTCTCTCAAGGGCAAGACAAATGTCTGATTGCCTCTTTGCATCCTTGTGGCTTAGCACAATGCTTGGCATGCTATAGGCACTCAATAAATGTTTATGAAGTAAAGTCAACCACAAACACCTTTCATTTCAGAATCTCAAACATAGGATAGGCAGGGCATAGTAAACTCTGCAACAAACCTGTTTCAGGCAGGAAAGCAGAAAGGGAACTGTCAGCTCCACCCATATCTTCTTTATTAGAGGGATGAATGGCCAGAGTCAAAGTCACAGAAGACAGGCAGGCATTGACAAGGCAGAGAGGTATGCAGCAACTTCTGGTTTGAGAGGTGCCTCTGTGGTAAGCGAGATAAATAAAACTGGTAAATGATGGATCTCCTCAAGGAGATGAATTGAGCCAAGAGCTAGCCTTGGCTGCTGGTGCACACATCAGGAAAGCAGTATTTGAGATCCGGGAGTCTTGTTCTTTATTAATAGGAGGATCTGGCTATGCCTCCTCATTTTCATTGCATTGAAAGTAATCACTAACATCATTATCATCTCATCCCTTCTGATTCTGAAGGACTTTGACATTTATAAAACAATCACATATGGTGACCCTCATAGAGGACAGACACCCTTTAATCTCTATTTTACAGGTGAGGAAACTGAGGCGCTTTTTCCAAATCACTAATTATGATAAGTGACAGAGTTGATCCTAGAACCCAAAATGCTGGCTAATTGTCCCATATCTTTTTTTTTTTTGGAGCGGGGAGTGGGGGACAGGGTCTCTGTCATTCAGGTTGGAGTGCAGTGATGCAATCACTGCAGCCTCCGGCTCCCTGGCTCAAGTTATCCTCCCACCTCAGCCTCCTGAGCAGCTGGGACTGCAGGCACCACCATGCCTGGCTAATTTTTGTAATTTTTGTAGAAACAGGGTCTCGACATGTTGCCCAGGCTAGTCTCAGACTCCTGGGCTCAAGTGATCTGCCCACCTCGGCCTCCCTAAGTGCTGGGATTACAGGCATGAGCCACCTCATTGGCCTCATATCTTATTACGGTTTGTCTTGAGTTCAAAGCAAAATGCATTTCTTTGCTAATTTCTTTGGGTACATGGCTGTTTGTCTTCTCAAGAAGTTCGAGACCCCCGCCCCCACAACTCTGCAGCAGTCTCTGTATTTCCATCGATTTTTTATCCTATGGATACCCTGTTTTCCACCTTTGTTTGAAGGAATAGAAATTATAACCTGACCCTCAAATGAGTATCCAGAAAAAAGTGTACCACTTCTAGTCAGATTCCCTCAAAAGTTCTTTGTCAGATTTTAATTTGTTTGAAGGTCAACCAGATTCCTCTTTATCCCTCAAGGTTCAGCATAAATGTCATGTACTCTGGAAGGTCTTCTTGAATTCCCCAGGCCAGGTTAGGTTCCTCCTTTGGAAGTTTCCATGGTATTCAGTACTTTTCTTTACAGAGACATTAGCATAACCCTCTGCAACCACTTCTCAAAACAGTGCATGTACTGCCCCTCTACTGGTCTAAGTCACCTAAGTGAGTACCATGTCAAGGAAAGCGAAGAACAATTGTCCCCAACTGCATTCCTGTGGCTTGCCCAAATTCTGACACACAGTGGGCTCCCAGCATTTTCCAAATCACAGACTCTGATTATTTCAGTTCTCAGACCTGGGTCCCAGAAGGGCTGCCTTCACTTTGGTTTCTCTAGGCCAGCAGCTTCTTGTATACCAAGTCCAAAATCTGGATCTCCTCAGGGGCATATTCTGTTGGCTATATTTCCCCCCACCCACTATGTATAGGGCAGAATTTCTTCTTTCACTGCATGTCTCATAAATTTTTGTTGGAAATTGGTCATTCAATTTGCAATATACTATATATTATTGTCATTCAATGTCAGTTTGAGATAATGACTTCTTGGTCTGTACATATAAACATTGTTGTAAGGATGATGCTAATGATGAAAGCGCATGCAATATATATTTTTACATAATTTGGGTATGAACCTTTTTTGTGGGGGTTGGCTAACGTAGTAATAGTTGGTAAGATTAAGGGGATGAGGGCTATTATAGTAGTGGAAGAATACATGTTTGTAACTTTTATTTGGAGTTGCACCAATATTTTTGCTTCCTAAGACCAGTGGATGACTCTAATCCTTTAAAAGTTGAGAAAGCTGACCGGGTGCGGGGCTCATGCCTGTAATCCCAGCACTTTGGGAGGTCGAGGTGTGTGGATCACCTGAGGTCAGGAGTTTGAGACCAGCCTGGCCAACATAGTGAAACCTCATCTCTACTAAAAAAAATAAATAAATAAAAATACAAAAATTAGCCGGGCATGGTGGTGGGCGCCTCTAATCCCAGCCACTCAGGATGCTAAGGCAGGAGAATCGCTTGCACCTGGAAGGCGGAGGTTGTAGTGAGCTGAGATCGAGCCACTGTACTCCAGCCCTAGCAACAGTGTGAGACTCCATCTCAAAAAAAAAAAAAAAAAAAAGTTGAGACAGCCATGTTGTGGGCATGGGGGCATATATTATACAGATAATATCTTGTAACAACTCTTTTATCAGATTTCTCCACAGCCCAGTGTTCATGGCTGTTGCTGGTTTGTTGCTGTTTTTCTTGTTGTTGCGTGTTCATGTAGTGACCTTCCTGAATTAATTCTGTCTATTCTGTTTTCCTGGGAGTTTGCAGCTTCTAAGTTCTCTTCTAGCTCTTATTTGTTTTTATTTTTGTTTGTTTGTTTTCTTCTGTTTTGAGACGGAGTTTCACACTGTCGCTCAGGCCGGAGTGCAGTGCTACGATCTCTGCTCACTGCAACTTCCACCTCCCTGGTTCAAGCTATTCGCCTGCCTCAGCCTCCTGAGTAGCTGGGACTACAGGTGCATGCCACCATGGCAGGCTAATTTTTTGTATTTTTATTAGAGACGGGTTTCACCATTTTAGCCAGGATGGTCTCGATCTCCTGACCTCGTGATCTGCCCGCCTCGGCCTTCCTAATTGCTGGGATTGCAGGCATGAACCACCATGCCAGGCCCTTGTTTTTGTTTTTTAGTTCTTGTTTTTATTTTTCAATCCTGATTCCTAGTGATTATGTCTCTGTCAGTATAATTTAGTGGCCAGCCAATGAGTGGTCAGATTTTAAAAAATGCTTTGCTATGTGTCTTCCTCCCTTTGCCAAAGGGACCTATGTGGATACCTTGAACTTCAAGCATCTTACAAGACAGCCTTAGCTTTTACTTCCTGCTTGTGCAGGGCCTCAAGGTCAGTCATAGGTGAGTGATTGGTGCTCTCTTCTTTCCGAGGTCTTTTTCGGCATGTACACATCCATGCACATGAATGCAACCTTGAAGATTCCCAGGAGCATGTAGGAGATTTTCAGAGTCTCTCTGATCTTCTCCAAAATTTGCCATTAAATTCCACACCAAGCTCTTCTTTGCTCCAGCTAAAATCGCAACCTTATGCAGCTGAGAGGTCATCAACAATGTGCTGTCGTTTTGGTCATGCGCTGGAGTTAGCCCTGCTTCTCCCCAAACCAGCTGAGGTCTGACTTCAATTAAATAACCACCACACTGTGAGAACAGAGATTTGTCAGGGCAACATGACTTTAAACAAAGTGTTGACTGTGCTCTAATAATGGTGCTTTTTTAATGGAACGTCAAAAGTTCTCAGATCTTTCAATTGTCTGCAAGACTGCAGGCTTCTGGCCACTGGACCACTGGACCACTGGACTGGGAAGAAGGGGAAAAATGGAAACATCAAATACCCCACATCTTCCCGAGGCTCAGTAGTTTCTCTCGGGTAGACAATTTTCAGTTCTTCAATGGCTTAGGTTAATTGCTAGAACTCTGAAATGGTTGATTTTATTTATTTTGCCTGTATTTATGTTGTTTTAGAGAGAGAGAGAATCTACCAGGTTCCTCAATCTGCAATTCTGGAAGAGGTAGTGAATGTGTAGTTTTGAACTTGTGAGTGTTGGTGGGATTTTGAATGAATCGTGCCACCTTACCAGCTATGGAAAAGGATGTTGGCTAATTAGTGGCACAAAAATAGGATACAAGCAATCTAGGAACTTAACCAAAAAAATTGTTTTAATTACTCTGCAAATATTTACTTACACGTAAACAACTGCAGTGATCATCACACATTTTTCTTATCTATCTAAAGTGAATTTTTAGGTTTGTGTTGTTGCAGTTGGTGGCCATGGTAATGAGTTGTGTATGTCTTGTGAACACTTTTTTGGGGTAAAGTCAACTATTTTTAGAAACTGAAAGCAATAATTTTGGTGTTTACTCCTGTTAATCTCAATTATTGAGGAGTACACAGAGTGTGGCTGATGTATGAATCTCAGCTGTTGGGGGAGCCGTGTGCCCCACTCTCCCATATACTATGTAGATTCTTTTCAGACTGCTTTGTTGGCCCATTGCTGGATTTTATTTTTTAATGTTTTATTCTGAAGTAATTTCATGACTTATTTGGCATTACAGGAAACAAGCCAGTGGTAAGAATATTTAAGTGGTTAGGTAAGCAAAGCTGAACTGTAAAACTTTTTTTTATTAAAACAGTTTTTATTTCAGTTTTTTTTGGGGAGAAAAGGTGGTATTTGGTTTCATGGATAAGTTTTTTGGTGGTTATTTATGAGATTTTATGGCACCCATCACCCAAGCAGTGTACGCTGTACCCAATGTGTAGTCTTTTGTCTCTTACCTGCCTCCCACCCTTCCCCTTGAGTCCACAAAGTCCATTGTATCATTCTTATGCCTTTGCATCCTTATCATTGCTGGCTTTTTAAATAAGGGAATCTATGAGGCATTTCTTACTAATTCCATTGATGTTTATTTTTCTGTTCCGTTAATCACTAGAAACAAGGGAATATTTGTGGCTTTGCTCATGTTAACTTTTATCTCTCACTGAATTCTGGACACGCTAAGTTATATATGTGCTGCACTTCACTTTTCTACCCTCTTCAAGACAAAAACAGAAAAAAAAGTTTTCTAGTCACAAAATGTTAGGCAACTAACGTTTATTGCCTGACTAATCATTTTACTTTATTGACTGAGTAATCATTTTATCTACATGATGCCACTGGGAGGTAGTAATTTGTGAAATACCACCTTGGACAATTCATTTTCTTTCTCCGCACAAGGCCTGGGGATGCTTCGAGCCAGATTGTGCTAAAGA
Organism: Homo sapiens; assembly: GCF_000001405.40. Lineage (NCBI taxonomy): Eukaryota > Metazoa > Chordata > Mammalia > Primates > Hominidae > Homo > Homo sapiens. The sequence continues at coordinate 124,684,006 of NC_000002.12, forward strand.
ATGTCATGTTTCCAAAGGATAAGGTTTATCTTCCATGAAACAGACCATTTGCAAAATTAATAGGTAAATTAGCAAAGTGCAACAGCCCATTAGACCCACTGTCAGAGTTTAGAATCTGAGTTGGGGAAAGGAAGTAAAAGCTAAATGTGTAAACAGAAGTACCCTGAAATGACAGCAGCTGTCATTCTGTGGTGGAGGGTTGCAGCTGCTTAAACAAAGCCAGCGGAGTGCTGTTAACATGCAGTCCTGTCAATATCTGAATATACACTCACAGGGCAAATGCATGGGCTATAAGACCAGAGCTAGGAATCATGCTTACTCAGTGTATGTTAAAAACATTATACTGCAGGGAAAGAGTCAGAGCTTATATCTACCAACCATTTCTTCATTTATTTGAAAAGTTTCTATTGAACACTAGCTGTGCTGAAATTTTAATAATCCTTACTCTATACCAAAGCTCTGGGTATGGCCATCCTTTTCTCCCTGGAGAGCTGACTTTCTCTTGTAAACTGGAAACAGCTGCCTTGATAGCCAAAAGGTTATTGACTATTTTGGCTTAAGCATGGACTTTACAATCAAATGGACTGTTTGAAAGCTGTGTGACCTTGGAAGGTTTTTGAGGCTTTCATTGTAAAGTGAGGAGGATCCCACCTTGCGGAGTAGTCTTGTGATGATTAAGCGAGAAAAATCTATGCAATACTCATCATAGATAGCTCTTATTTAATTATTAGTATGTGCCAGGCAGTGTGCTAGGAGATCTACATATAGCATGCCATTTAATTCTCACAACAAACTGTAAGGTGGCAATTATTATGATCCACAGCTTACATTTGGGGAAACTGATATTTAAGAGGTCACACAAGTTGTCCAAGGTCACTGAGCTAGTGAGTGGTGAAAGTGGACTTGAGATCCATGACATCAGGCCCCAAAGCCTTGACTTTTAATCACCAGGCCTTCCTATGCTTACAGATGGTAGCCCTCAACAGATGCTGGGTTCCTTCTTTGTCCTTATTACCCACTTCCACCCCTCATGCCTGCCATAGGAATTAAAACTCTTCAAAGTACTTTTCTAGATAGCCTCTGAGGTACACAATCTTCACATTGGTTAATAAAGGTTGTTGATCTTCAAAATGTAAATTGCTTGTGAGCCGAGACACCCCTGGATGAAAATCCCCTCGGATACTTCTTGTAATTCTGACTGCAAAAGTGCAGGGGGTTCATTTCCCTTTTCCTTCTCATATAAATTAAAGAAGACACATTATTTCCATTTTCCTGTCTCAGATCTTGCCTTCTCCACTATTTTGGAGGCTGTGCAGAATAAATACTGTAAAATGGCTCATTTCTGCTTACACTTTATTTCTTAGTACCCACATAGATCATCTCAATCACCTATAGAAATATTTGTGTCAAAGGCTAAGGCAGCTGATAAAATATTTTCCTTGTAGGTTATGCATCTGAGTATCCCAGCATCTCTTCATTGAAAGAAAAATAGTTACATTTGGTGATTGTGATGACTTAAGGTAGTGAAAATATTTTTACTGCCAACAAAAGCAGTTTTATGGTGCTCAATCCTGAATCACTAAAATCTGGATTTTCAGTAGAGCAAATTGTACTGCTTATAACTGAGGTTTTTTAAAACGAATGCAATTTATTATCTAGGCAGTCTTCTGTGGCAGATTTGTCTATGTGGTTAATGCCTCTAAAGAGTCTGTAGACACCCAATATCTAAAGTAAGTGTGTGTGTGTGTGTGTGTGTGCGCGCGCGTGTTATTGAGCATTCCTGTGATAGCGAGGGAATGAATGGCACATAAGCTAAAATGCTGAGCTCCTAATTTATGTAAGATTCAGAAGCCTCATGTTATAATTCTCTTGAGTCCTCATTTTTTTTGCTGTTTTTTCCCTCCGCTTTCTAAGTTTCTTATTCTATAATTAACTTTTCATAAATTTAGGTCATCTTCACAATTTTATTATGAAGACCTCACAGTTGTTTTGAAGCAATTGAGGTAATAGAATGTTGGACATAGAATTTAACCCTTGGCCCATCTAATTCCAGAATTTCTTGTCATACTACCTTCTGTAGAAATTGGTGAACAGTCTCCTACTCTTAAATAGAGACAGTAGTGTCTGGGGTGAGTGGGAGAATTCAATTCAATCTTTTATTTATTAGTGGCTTACTTTTTGCTCAGCACTCAGCTGTGAGCTGGCAACTGGGGAGAGGTACACAGACACTAGATAGTTCAGACCCAATTCCTTTCCTTAAGAAAATTATCATATATTTTGGAGGAGTGGAGTAAAGAAGGCAGCATGATCTCAAGAAAGATTTAAAGGACAACATGACACTTATTTGAACAGCAGAATTCTGGAAGCAAATTAGTCTTGTGGAAATTTAGAAAACTGAACTGAAGGGGTAGGAGGATACTTTGTGGTAGACTGTGATTTAATGGATGTGCTAAATACTCCCCAAAGATGGCTCACCTATAGAAGAAAAGGACCTGGTACCGGAGAGAGGGAAAGATCCAGCTTCCCCTTTGTTCCAGATGAGCCCAGCCTTGTCAACAGTCCTTTCCCACATGACAGACATGGGAGTGAAGTTATCTTGGACATTCCAATCCCAGCTGCCATCTGACTGCAGAAGTTTGGGAAGCTCCAAGAAAAACTAGAAAAAGAACATAGTCAACCTGCGGAGTTGTGAAAAATAATAAAATAGTGCTTTAAAGCCACAGCATATTTGGGGTGGTTTGTTATGCAGCAATAGATATGTGGAGCTTTGAAGATTTGATATAATCTAGACAAGTCGACCAGAATTATAAGCACCAGAAGTTGTGAGAAATAATATGAAATTTATTGACTTCCGATACAAGTTTTAAATACATTTTTAAAAATCCCAAGTAAATTCTATAAAGCAGCACTGCCCAATAGAACTTCCTGAAACGGTAGAAATGTTCTTAGCTACACTGTCCAATATGGCAGCCACTAGCCCTGTGGGTGTAGAGCACTTGAAATGCAGTCATTGCGAATGATCTTTTTGCAATCCACAAGTTGAGTTGATAGGAGAGAAATTACCAGAGTTTGTGGCTATGTTCCTTCTAGGTTTGGCGTGTGATTAGTTGGGTACCTGGGGCTAGAGTTGCAACGGAGAGAAGGGCCATAGTGCCACTAATTCTCTCCATGCCAGTGTCTCTCAAATCATGGTATGTAAGATTGGGATACCTGTTAAAAATCTCCCACACAAGTTCTTCTGCTTGAAGAGCCTGAGCACTGCATTATAAGAGGGAGTCTGGATTAGGTAGTGCAGGTGCAGTCTCTATACTCAGGTCTTCACTTAACAACCACCCAATTTATCTAGATGACTGTGGGTGGTGTTAACAGCTAGGCCTTCCTGAACAGTTATTAAGCATTTCATTAGATATGTTTAACATTCTTTAAGACCTTTTAAATATTACCTGTTTTTTCTTTAATCTGAAATGTGCTACTCTGCAAGTTTCATTATGGTTCATGGGTTTCCTTTTCACACGGAATTACATTTTTCTTAACTTCCTCTCTTGAGTGCTTGGAGAATATTGATGTGAAAGGTGGTTGGTAATCACAGGAAGCAACTTCTATATTCAGAAAGGATGGTACTTCCTGATCATGGAAACTATGGAGAAACTTGTACGTGGCAAGTAGAGAGATCTGATTGAACTACAAAAAGTCTGTAATGAAAAATAGCTATTTTCCTTTAGAACATACTTTCTCTCAGGCAAAAACCCTGATTTTAATGAATATAGAATAATCATTTGTAATATTAGTTACCATGTACATAAAATTAGGGTAATAAAATGTGGAGGTATGTTATGTGTTTTTAATAGATTAAATTTGCCCTGTTTTGTTATACTGAGGTAGACATTTACTTATCAAATTATGTATTCAAAAATTGAAGAATTTATTCAAGTACATTTTACTAGTACTAATTCTGAATTGATAGTGTTCAAATTTATGAAACTCCTGTAGTCATCAAAAGCAGGTGAGAATCCTAGGGTCACACCCCCTCCAGACCTTGCTTTATTTCCTTGTAGACATTGAAGGAAGCATTGCTAGCTATAAGATAGTCTTTCCTGGGATTTTTCCATAAATTCTCTACTGCAAATTTCATACTATAACTTAACTCTGTATCAATTGCCAACAACAAAGACGGCAAGATTCTCTAATTGGACTTTGTTTTGTTGAAATACAGCTATGATAGATTCTTTTGGCAATAATATCTTTGGAAATGCTGGAATAAAGTTTTTTTAAAAAAACGAATAGAATCCTGAGGGCATATGGGGAGTCTAGACCTTATTTTTTCCTTGAAGATATTGGAGGAAACATTGCTATCTATGAGATATTATTTGCTGGGATGTTTCCATAAATCGCTACCACTTGAGGTATTATTTTCATAAATTTGCTAAAGGGGGCAAAATTCAGGGAAAACATCAGTTAGTCTGGATGACTATTTTAGAAAAAGGAAAATGCAGAGGAGTGAGTCAGATAGAATGACGTAGAATTTTAGGATAAGTCATAGAATGTTGGGTTCATGAGGAAGCACATGATAATTCAATTAATACAAAAAGGAAGAATCCATTGTACGATTGGAAATACTATGAGGCTGAGTTCACTCGGGGACATGCAGTTAGCTAGCAAGTGTCTGGGGAAGGGGAGGAATTACAAAGCAGAGCTGTGAAATATCTAATCAGATGGACCTTTTAAGCAATAATGTATTGCCAAACTGATGAAAAGTCATTACCTTTGAATAATAGCCCACATCTGAGAGTTAATTATTACAGGGTGAGACTATGGGTGCCTCATGCGGACAAGGTCAATTATCTTATACCTATTAAAATGTATTATGAATAATTCACAGGTAAAAGTTAGCTGTAAAACACGATAAAAATAAAAGGTGAGGAAAACATTGAATTCAGTGGTAATGTATTTTGATAATAGCAGGCAGATAATTATACAAGGATAATGTTCACACATAGGATATGAAGAATTACTAGTCAGATTGGTCTTCTTAAATGAACACAACAACCCCTGCCATTCTCCTGCTTCAGAGAACTGTCATGTTATTGCTTTTAATGTCACTACTGTTTCTACTTTGCATGCCACCACGCCCAGCTCAGTAGACATTTATCAAATATTTACTCTTTCCTTGGGTTTATGTCAATTCCTGGGGATTCAGTGGTAAGACCAGAGCACTGCTCCTTGGAAACTCACAGTCTGATGCAGGAGATAAATCAGTAAACAAATAATTTTAAACAAATTAACCATTATCGGGATGAAGATATTTGTAGAGGCCTAGCCCTGGGAATGGATTCTTGAGAGAGATTAGGACTGAGCAATTCTTGGATCTTGGAAGGTGAATGGGAATTGACCAAGCTAAGATGAGGTCGGAGGAGGCATGTGGCTAGAAGGTGAAGTTGGGTCATCAGCAAAGGCTCTGTAACATAAAATAGTATCTGGTATTTGCATGTGTGTCTCTGCATGTATACATGTGTATGCACACATGTGTTTGCCTGTCCACATATATGTATATGTGTGCACGTGTGTGGATATGTGTGTTTATATCTGTGTATATGCATGTGTGCATTTATGTGCACATATGTGTATGTTCAGATGTGTGAATGTGCATGTGTGTTTATGGTGCGTGTGTGTGTTTGATTGGGTGGGGCAATGGAATCAGAGGTGAGTCAGTATCTCTGCAGCATAGGTCAAAAAACACTTCAATCTCTATTTATAATCTTCATAATATTTTTATTCTTAGTTCAGTTGGTCTTGCTGTGAGCAGAAGTACAGACTTCTGTAAGAAGTAAAATTAGCATTACTTCTTTTCTCTCCCATTTTGCCTGTGTGCCCAATATAGGACAATGAGTCTTTATACTTTTGTAGAACAAAGGGAAAGGGGGTGTTCAGAAGGAAATTGTAAGAGATGCCAAAAGGGGAAGTTCTGTTCTCCCTCACACTCTTTCTGTTTTACAACTCTTTCATCTTCACTTACGGGAAATTTTTTTTTGTAATGAATATACATTACTTTTATAACTTGAGAAGAAACAAGGGATGCTTTAAAAACCTTATGTTAAGCACCAGTATGAATTCTCACTTGGAGTGAAAAGTAAAAAAAATAAAATCATCTATATCTATTAAAAACACATTAAGTATCAGCACAAGGTCTATTATAGAAATGTGAAACTATTCAGTTCTTGAATATTAAATTAATTATTTAGATTCATTCAGAGTGCATTTTGATTCAAGTGGTCTTACTACAAGTCAACATGCTTTGTATTAGTTATTTATTTGAGGACTCTTCCTCATGCATAGTTTTTCCTCTAAACCAGTCTCCAGAAGCAGTGTTTCCCCTCACTGAGCAACATGAATATACAGACAATATTCAAACGAATTTTTTCCCCAAATCACCACCAATTCTTGTCTGCAATACTTAATAGTCTTCTATCAGATGTCCCTGTTTCCAGTTCTTTGTTTCACCAATATCTGTTATGCAATGTTGCTTAAATTCTTACCTACCAGGTAAATGATAGACATCTGCCCAAGTCACTCAAGGCCCTCTGTGACCCTGCTCCCTGCTGGCTGGGATCTCCAGCCTCTCTCCTGCTATTCCTCTACACTTCCCCTAACCATCCAAGCTCTTTCTAGCCTCTTCACATTTTCACACTGCTCCCTCTGCCTAGAATACCCCCATGTCTGGTACATCACTTCAACCCCTCCTTAGGCATTAAGATTTCATTCTAATATGGTCTCCTCCTCAAAGCCTTCCTTAATGTCTCCAAGCTAAATTCTCCTGAATATATTCCCATGGCTCTTTGCTTATTCAAAAATTTATCATGTCTTAGTGTAAAATTTATCATGTTGCTATACGGGCAAAGGGAAAACTTCCCCTTTACCCTCAAGGTTTGCAGAAAATCAATGACAAAAGGCAGATTAATAGGAGAAAAGGCAAACAAATTTACTTGATCATACTTTTACACAATACAGAAGCCTTCAGCGTGAAGGCCCAAAGGTACAGGGGAAACTCCATTTTTATATTTAGGCTCAACACAATATGAACAACTGTGCAGAAAGATGATTGGACGAGAAGGCTATGATCTAATGCAAACAGACTGAGTTGGAAAACTCAGAAAAGCCTGTCTGTTGGCTTTTCAGAAGGGTAAGAATTTAAGCAACATTTTTCTTGGCTTCTCTGCGTAGCATTCTTCCTTCTGGGTGTAGGGGTTTTATGACCTATAATCATACAAGGTAGGTCAGATCATTTCTTTATGGCCAGTTTTTATACAAAAAGTTGGTGGGTAAAGTTAGAGTAATGCTTTTAGGTTTTATGGCTGGCTTTGGAGAAAAGGGATTCTGATTTCTATTGTCTGCCTTGAGGAAGAGGGATTCTAGTTTCTATGCCTAGCCTTAGGGGAGAATAAGAGGCCAGAAACAGCAGGGCAGGAGATGGTCACAGGACAATGTTGGCTTTCTGAGGACTTCATTTCATTTAGGGATATCGTTTTCTGATCCTCAGTATTGTTGAAATTATTTTGTTTCAGGCTCATTTATCTCATATTGTCTTGTAAATTCAAAGAGGAAGATGCTTCTGTGTTTGTAACCCTGGCACCATAGCACAGTCGCTGGCACCTATTGAAAACTCAGTCAGCGTTTCATGGGTGAATTAATCATTCCATGCGCTCAGTGGTCCCAGTTTTCTTCAATTAGACCATGAACTTCTGTGATCTGGAACTTCTGCACACACTATTGTACTAGATAAAACATGTGATGTGATAAATGCAATGAGGGGTTGTCTGTGAGGATGTCCACCAGCAATTCCTTCCATCCCTGTCTGTGCACTCTGCTCTTCTTATTAAGAGACAAAATCGTTTTCCTTCCCCATGAGCCTAGGCTGCCTTGCCACTATGATTTGCTTTGAACACGTAGCTCTGGGCCAGTCCTCTGTCTTGGCATTAGGAGATATATCGGCTTTTACTTTTGTGCTCTTGGTATCTAACAGCCATGTAAAGAAGCACGAATTAGATTATTGGATGATAAGAGACCACATGGGCAAAGAAAGGATGAAAAAGTTCTCAGTTCTTCCAACTACCCTAGTTGAGGTGCCAGACACATGAGTGAAGCCCTTTGGGGATGTTCCAGCACCAGATGAGTGTGGTCACAGTGAATATCACATTAGAAAGCAACAGCCCAGGAAATTCTGAGAAATAGTTAACTATTTTCAACCAGAGGTCAGCAAACAATAGCTCATGTGGCCCACTGTTTGTTTTTGTAAATAAAGGTTTATTGGAATACAGCTAAGTGTATTCAGTTACATATTGACTATAGCTACTTTTGCACTACTGAGGGGAGTTGAGTAGTTGTGTCTGAGACCATATGGCTTGCAAAGCTTAAAATATATACAATCTGGCCTTTTACAGAAAAATGTATGGACTCTGTTTTAAGGCACTAAGTTTGATCAAGTTTGTTAAACAGCAAAAGATCACTGAAACAACTGCTCTCAGATTTCAGCTTATCCATGGAGGTTGGAAGGGGGAAGGAAAGATGTCACAAGTGATATGAGGTCAGGCCTTAATGTGCATGCACTGATGAGAGTCCAGGACATGAAGGTTGGTACAAACAGAAATCGATCTCTTTTTAGCTCCAGATTTTTTCTCCCCCTTTCTTACTAATTTTGAGAAAGAAAATACTAGCACAGACTAAGCAAAGTTAAGTAAAACATATTCCCCAATTATATGCAGATGATGGGATTAGAGTTGCTGAAGGTATTATCTTCCCTCATTACCAAAAGAAACTGCACAGTGAACTGTTGAAAGGCCAGGAGAATGAGCGCCAATGGTCTCTGGGGGAAGGTCCTGGCTGATGAGTTGGCCTCTTCTTGTTCAGCTTCTTTAACTCCCTCCCAGCTTGTGATTCCCCAAAGGGCACATCCATCTGTTCTTCAGAAATCAAAGAATTCTTTGTGTTTTTTTTCCTGTGACATATGAATCTTTTCTGGTAAATTCTGAAATTTTTTTACCCACAAATTTCAGTTAATAGAAAGGTGGCAGCATGGCTTGGTAGCAAGAGTGTGAGTTTCAGAGACACACAGATACGGGTTCAAATCTTGGCTTCACTATTTTTTTTTCCCCGTTTGGGCCTGGACCAAGTGCTTTAACCTTCCTGTGCACCACTTTCCACAAAGTGTGGACAAAAATGGAAACATAGTTGGCACAGAATAAATGCCTTTTTGTTATTTTTATAATCAAAATGTATTCTTTGACTATGCTCTGAGATGATCTCATTCAATGTTCAAAATAAAAATCCCAGGAATATCACTGCTTACCCAGAAGAGTTTAACAGTAATCACCATTTGTTTGGGAACATAATGTGTCCAAGACATTGTGCAAAGTTCTGAAATAACAAAGATGAATATCATAAGTCATAGAAACCTCTTTAGTATGAGGATTCAGAGGTGTTAACAGTCAGACCTACTGGGATAGAGGGCTAGGCTGAGTTTTATTCGTTTTTCTGAAATTAGAATGGTAACCATTGATATCCATTAAGTGCTTACCATGTGCCTAATTTTAAGTACTTTACACGTGTTAGTTACTCTGTTCCTGACGCCCCTGTGGAGGCCGTGGCTGAGACACAGATGTACCATAATGAGCTGTCCTTTCCCTACTGGGCTCCACTGCCCTACTTTAACATCGCAGGCATGGGCCAGTTTATTTTTCAATAGAGTGGAAATGTGAAGATGTTTAAGCCTATATCATATTAAATGGTGTCATAAGGCAAAATAAAACAAAAGAAAAAACAAAAGAAAGCAAAAAAAAAAGGCAAAAAAAAAAAAAACCAACCAACCAGCTTGACTGTTGTGTTTCTTCACAGCTGGCTCTAACCAGCACAAGCTGACAAGGGGCAGTGAGCTTTGAATGTCCATTATCTGACCTAGCTGAAGACACTTGCCTGACCCATGAACAATGGGATTTCGTATAAACAACAATGGGATTTCGTATAAACAACTGTGTACACACTTATGGGCTCATTCTGTTTTGTCTGAGTGCTGGTGTTCATTGCTGAGTTGGCACAGCTCCATGACCTCCCACTTCTAACTTTAAAACTCCTGAGCTTCCCCCTCTTTAGTGACCTACTCAGTAAGTTTCTTCAAATGAATGCTTTCAGGCCTAGGTAGTAAACAAACTTGACATTTTAATTATTTAAAAAAATAGTTTTGTCTTATTTTTAAACTCTAGTCATTTTTATTTAGTTCTTTGATGAGGCATAGAGTGAATAAGTAATTTGCTGACTCCAGCTTGTAGTTGGCAAAGCTGACATTTGAACCCAAGCAGGCTGTCCCTAGAACCTGCATTCCTGCCATCTTATGCTGCTCGCCTGCATAGAGTCAAATACTGAGCACCAGGCTCTTTTCTATAGTGAAATATCAGGTGCTTAAACATAGTCTGAAATGATCTTCATAGCTGTGTGGTTTGGCAGAATATTGGTAAAGACCTTAATGATATAAAAAATAAAAATCACTGATTATAATACATGTAAACACATAGGCACAGGTTTTTAGTGTCCCTAGTGTTTTAATGGTAATGTTTAATAACAAGGTCTCCAAAAAAATGTGAATGTGTCTAGATACAAGCTTATTATAAATTTACTGGCATAGAGGATGCAGAGCAATTTACAAATAATAGTAAAAATGCATGCTATTCTTACTGTACATTCCACATGGGCATTTTATTCTCACAGAATGTATTCATTGATTTTTTTTCCAAATCCTGGCATTCATAGTCAACCTACAGTTAACAATTGTTGAAAGCATATAAACACAAGTACCAGTCAGTATTTTCATTTACATCAGTGAGTAAGACAAAAGTGAAACAATGAAGGCATATGCTAAAGCTTTGCTTGTTTGTCAATGATGGAAGCTGCTTCTTTGGCGAGTCAAATAATAGCTTTAGAATACTAGTAGAATATTTCCTAAATTGTGTGTGTGTGTGTGTGTGTGTGTGTGTTACAATGTAATGGAAGCAACATGACACACTTTTAAGTTTAAATCTATATTACTAGTATTTTCTCCATCGCTTTCTTCAGTCCAGAGAATCGATAAAACAATACATCAGGCCATGATTTGTATAATAACAGTGTATAGTTTCTGTGGTGTGAATAATCGCACCATGGCCAATCTTACCGTACCACCATGCAGTTCCTGAAGGTGGACCTGAGCAGAAGTGTGCAGTAGCACAGCACTTGCAGTTACAATAGATATAAACAATCTCAAGATCACAGACATTTGTGAAATGCAGTCAAAGGACAGAAAATCATGAGTTGAGTATTGTCTTTGTTTTTAATATGATTCATCAGTTGTAAGTTTGTGTAATTTATCTTTTAATAACAACTATGTTTCACAGCCAATTCACAAAATTTCTGAATATTTAGCAAGCAGCTCCCCTGAACTAGTATAAGCTGTCTGCAGAACACCAATGGGTGTACATGAAGAATTTGTGTACAGGGAAAATACAATCACTGTTTTGAGTTAGACTTCAAAATATGCACCTAAACTCTCAGACATTTTCATATCATTTATAATAGAGGAAATGTCTTCCAAACTTAAGTGGGATGCAAAGGGTATGTTAACATATCTCAAGAAAGTCTGTGTTAATCGAAAGGAATCTGGTCAGCTGAAGCAGCAGCAATCTACATTGGGTCCAGATGGAGGGAGCTAGGACTGATAGACAGCTCATACCGATGTCCCCATTGCCCAGGCTGTCCTCATACAGCAGGTGGAGAGAAGCATCACTCTGTTGTCTTCTGGGTGATCATTGCAGAGTGAAGAGTGCTCGGCACCTGTCCCAGGTTCCTTGTGCATATTTTTGCTTGTAATTGTTAAAACAAATTTCCCCTAGGTAGTAGCATTGCTTCTAGTTTTAAAACCATGAAACTGAGGTTGAAGACTTGTGAAGTAATTTTCTCAAAATCACTTGTCTGTTAAGAGGTGGAGTCAGAATGTCAACCTGGAGAAGAACCCCAAAGCTTTCCCTCTTTTATCCTGAAGATTCAAATAAATAAAAAATACTTAGAGCTGAGAATCACCTCGGATGTTGGTAAAGGTCATGATGCTGCTGGAGGTTGTTCAGAGGATCCAGACAATGATGGCTGGAATGATTCCTATTAAAAGTGAAGAAATGTTACTGGAGTGAAGTTTGGAATATTTCAGAGCATATGTTTTCCCCCAGTAGCAAGAATTCTTTTGCTGGTAAGTTAAAGAGGCAGGAAACAATGCAGTGATATTTTCTGCTTTCCCTTATGCCTTCTGCACTTTTATCCCAGAACTTCAAGTGCAAATTAAATAAAAAGGCTTGTGATCTTTTCTATCCTAGAGAAATAACTCCTTAAACATCCATTCTCTTAGTTTTACTTATCTTTTCTTACCTTCTGCCTCTCAGTGAGAAGTAGTCTTTAAATGACCAGTGAAAGGCTGATTCCTGTCTAGTGGCCATAGTCAGCCCTGCCTTCTCTCCCTGGAGCTACTCGGTGCCTGTCTAAGTCACTGAGTCATATGTCCCTGAAAAGGAACAAGGAAGTTATGTTCATTTAATAATCTCTTAAAATATGGCCTTCGTCAAATAAATCAATGAACTTAAGAAAACCCAGAACTCAGGGCGACTTGCCTTCTGACTGTGTGACTTTTGAAGCATCTAAGGTGAGCGTGTCAAATAATACATGACGATCTTCAATTCTCAAACGTATGCCCAGTCCTGACACCATCACCACTAAACACACATTCACACACACACATACGTATCCATAAGTACATTTTTCTTGTAACTTCCAGGTTAAGATTTGGTTCAATAAAGCAGATCTGGTATAGCTAGTGTATCACTTATGGATTGGGGCTTTTATTTCTCTTTTTAAATTCATGGAATTTTATAACTTTGTGGGAAAGTAAGTTTTGTTTCTTTCAGCCTTTTCATTGCATGAGAATACAGTGTCTCAGGAAGGTTAATTGACTTCATTTGAGTCATACAAACATGGATCCACTTAATAATAAATCTGCTTATACAACTCAGATGCCTTGATTTTTTTAAAAAAAATCTTTATTTGTTTTAGAATTTTTTAAATTTACGGAAATACTGAGACAATACTATGGAGTTCCCATATACACTGTACCCAGTTTCTTCATTATTCACATTGTACATTTGTGTGGTGCACTTATTGCAATTAATGGGCCCATATTGATAAATGGTCATTAACTGAAGTCCAGAGTTACTTGGATTACCTTAGTTCCTACCCAATGTCTTTTTTCTCTTCTGAGATTCCATCCAGGATGCCATGTTACAGTTACATGTCATGCCTCCTTAGGCTCCTCTTGGCTCTGACAGTTTCTTAGACATTCCTCGTTGAAAACCTTGACAGCTTTGAGGAGCACTGGTCACATGTTTTGTAGAATGATCCCCTCATTTTTAATCCAGTGTTATCTCTCTGTTTATTCAATACTTGACTTTTTTTCTCTAGGAACTTCAACAAGGCCTTATCTTACCTTAAGTGAGCAATGTGAATGAGTAATTTGATGAAAAGATCTGAAAGGACATCCCTTAGTTTGAAAAAAAAAAAAAAAAAGCTGTACCCTTCCAGAAGCCTGGCATAAGGCCAGCACATCCTTCACTAGAGACTTCTTCATGCAGGAGTGCCCTCCGGAGTGCAGACGCTGCCTGAGCAGAAGCAACACACCAATGCTTCATCATCTGTTAATATCCTTGCACAATTACTTTATATATATATTTGCAAACATCTACCTGCTATATACTAGGCACTGTTCTATGAACTTGCATTAATTAATTATTACATTATTTCAGCACCCTTATCAGATAGATTCTATTATTATCCTCATTTTGTATAAGAAAACCAAGGTACACAATTAGGATGTAATGTGCACCAAGACCCAGAGGGGAGACAGAGGATGGACTCATAGAAAAGTAGAAGACATTTTAGCATGAAGAGGTGTGAGTGGTATATGATGGGGCCACATCCTGGAAGCCCTTTTTGGCCATGCTAAGACCATAGATTTTTTCCCCAAATAATGATATAATACAGAAAGATTATAAAAAGGGGTATGATCTGCTCAGATTCATATTTTAAGGGAATTCCTTTCCTGCAGCATGCAAAATGGGTTTGAGGTGGACTAGACTGGATCAGAGAGGCTGTTAGATCTTATGGGTGAGAGAGATAATCTGCATAAAGGCTGAGGAAAGGGGAATATTTCTTGGTCTCTGAAATTTTGCTTCAAACAGGCCTCATTCTCTGCAGATACTCAGAGATGCAACTGCAAAACTCAAGATTTTAATATGCCCAAGTAGACGAGAGGATACACACACACACACACACACACACACACACACGTTTGCTTATTTATATGTATATATTTAGTTATTTATCATAAATTGATTGGTAGCAGGTACTAAATCTTTTTTCTTAAACTTTTGTAAGCAAGAAATAGAACATTTTTGTATTTTGTTCCTATCAAATTGAATCTGAATCTGAGCTGAGATGCAATCTTGGTGATGATTGGGTCATTCTACCTGGGCATGAGGACTCTGGAAGGCTCACATAGTACCCTGAACTGGGGGAGGTCTTCTATGCTTCTGCTCATCATGGTCGACACTGGCATTCCCATTGTCCAGGCAGGTGCTTTCCACTGCTGACTCCTGAGAGATGTAGGCCAAAGCCCTTGTCTCTGCCCCAAGTGCCAAGGTGTGTGGTTGGCCATCCTAGCCCCTGGGGAGCCTCCCACTCTGAGGATTTCCCACCCCCTAGGCCATTAGAAAACCTGCATGAGAGACTCACTCTGCCCTCTTTCCACAGAGGGACACTTCCTCTCTTTTCCTCAGTGTCTCTGCCTCTGATCCTTCGAAGAGTGGCAGCCCAGTGTGAGGAATGGAATTCTGTATGATGATGGACATGTTCTATTCTGCATTTTCCAGAATTGTAGCCACTAACCATCATTTGAAATATGGCTAGTGCAAATGAGCGATTTAATATTTAATTTTATGTAATTTAAATTGAAGTTTAAATAGCCTCTATGGCTGACAGCTACAATACTGTATAGTGAGAGAGAGGGAGAAGCCAGGAAGGAAGTTGATTTAAGCAGCTGTGCTTTCTGCCTTGCAATGCAAATCACCCCTAAGAAGATTACGTGCACAGGGGCTTTGTGGTCTGCTTAGAATGGGGAGGGAAATATACAGAAATTCTTATCTCAATACATCATCCTGACACAGATACATTCACTTTCATGCTTATATGCTTTGGATGCGTTGCCTGTTTGTAGGTTGCAGGGAGGGGCTCAGATTGGTAATTGAAGCAATACTGGAAAACTCCCCCAGAATATTTTCTGCTTTCCTTTCTCACCCTACAGTCTACCCATTGGAAGCATGGCCAAAGTCAGGGAGGTTCAGGACATTCAATGCTGAGCGAGGTCAGCTTCAGCCTTGCTTCACTCAGCAGAGTCAAGTGAACAGGCTGTGCTGGGAAATGGGATTTCTCAGACTCTCAAGGTTGTGCGGATGTGCCACCACCCACCAACCTCTCCCTTGGCTGTCCCTCACTGCTTCAGTAACCCATACTTAGAAAGCACATTCACCATGAATGCTCTTAGCAATCCTGGGAGGTTAATTGATGGAGGTGGTCAAGACAAAGAGGCATTTGGTCATGCCTAGAAGTCACTGCCAGGCTCTCCCACAATTCTCAGTTTCAGAGTCCTATAATTTGTTCTTTCTCCTTTCTTTCTTTTCTTTCTTTCTTTCTCTTTCTTTCTTTCTTTCCTTCTCTTTCTTTCTTCTCTTCTTAGATATAATTCATATATCATAAAATTCATCGTTTTAAAGTGTTTGTTTCAGTGGTTCTTAGTATATTCACAAGGTTGTACAACTATCACCACTATGTGATCTTAAATACGTTCATCAACCCAAAATGAAACCCTGTACTTGTTAGCAACTTCTCTCCATTCTCTTCTCCTCTAAGCCTTTGGCAACCATTAACACTAATCTATTAACTTTCTGTCTTTATGGATTTGCCTATTCTGGATCATTTATATGAATAAAACCACTCAATAAATGGTCATTTGTTTCTGGCTTCTTCCACTTAATAGAATGTTTTCATGATTTGTCCATGTTGTAGTATATTTCAGTACTTCCTTCCTTTTTAAGGCTGAGTAATATTCCATTGTGTATACATATCACATTTTGTTTACCCGTTCCTCAATTAACAAACATTTGGATTATTTATACTATTTGGATCTTATGAATAATGCTGCTATGAATATCACTACAAGTTTTTGTAAATATGTTTTTAATTTTCTTGAGTGCATACCTAGGAGTGGAATGGCTGGATCATATGGTAATTCTATGTTTACATTTTTAAGAATCACCAAACTTTTTTCCATAGAAGCTGCACCATTTTACATTTTTATTAGGAGTACTTGAAGAGTCTAATTTCTCCACAACCTTGCCAACACTTGTCATTGTCTTTTTATTATAGTTATCCTAGTGGGTGTGAAATGGCATCTCATTACTGTTTGATTTGCATTTTCCTCCTCACCAATGGCATTGAACATCCTTTCATGGTAAAGGATTTGTCATTTTATTTAAATTGCATTACTTTTCTTTGTGTTGTTGATTTGCAAGAGGTTTTTTTATGTAATCTATATACTAGGCCCTTGTCTGATATATCATTTGAAAATATGTTCTTCAATTCTATGAGTTTTCTTTTTTGTATTTTTACAATATATTTAATAGTATATATTTAAGGTATACAAAACATGATATTATGAGATACATATAGATATTAGGTTGGTGCAAATGCAATTGCGTTTTTTGCCACTATTTTTAATGGCAAAAACCACAAATACATTTGCACCAACCTAATAGTAAAAAGGTTATTATACTGAGGCAAATTAACGTATCTATCATCTCACATAGTTACGCATTTTTTTTGTTTGTTTTTGTGGCAAGAGCAGCCAAATCTACTAGTTTAGCATGAATCCCATACACAGTACGCTCTTATTACCTGTATGGTCCTCATAATGTACCTTAGATCTCTAGACTTGGTCCTCCTGCATGGCTGCTGCTTTGTGTCCTCTGACCTATATATTCCCATTTCCTATGCATTTTCTACCCTCCTCTGTCAACCCTGGTAACCAATGTGTTGTTCTCGATCTCTGTATATTTGAATTATTATTTTTTAGGATCTACCTATAAGTGAGATCATGCAATAGTTTCTTTTCTGTGTCTGGCTCATTTCACTTACCCTCGTGTCCTCCATGCTCATCTATGTTGTGACAAATGGCAAGATCTCACTCAGTTTTAGGGCTGAATAATATTCCATTGTATATATGTACCTCAGTTTCTTTATTCATGCCTTCAATGATGGATGCTTACGTTGTTTTCATATATTGGGTATTGTGAATAATGCTGCTGTAAGCATGGGAGATCAGACATCTTTATGAGATGGTGATTCCATTTCTTTTGGGGGTATGCATTGAATAGGGATCACTAGGTTGTATGGTAGTTTTATTTTTAATTTCTTCATAATTCCCCATACTGCTTTCTAGAACAATCTACATTCCTGTGAACAAGGTACAAGAGTTCCCTTCTATCCACACCCTTGCCAACATTTGTTATTTTTTGACTTCTTGATAATAGTCATCTTAAATATGAAGTGATATCTCATAGTGGTTTTGATTTGCATTTCCTTGATGATGAATGATGCTGAGCACCTTTACATATGCCTGCTGGCCTTTTTATGTCTTCTTTGGTGAAGAAATGTCTATTTACATGTTTTTGCCCATATTTTAATTGAGTTATTTGTTTTTTCTTTTACTTTCTCTTATGATTGACCTAAGGGGGATTTTTTGTCTTATTTTTTTCCCAACATTTTACTGGAAAATTTTCAAATATATATAAAATTTAAAAATTGTGTAGTGAACGTCAATATACTCATTACCTAATTCTACAATTAATATTTTCTCTTTATGACTTATCAGATATCTATTTTTATTTTCCTTCAACTTTTCTGAGTATTTCTGGTGCAACCTCCTTCTCCTTAAACTTCAAAAATTCTTTTTCTCATCACCTACCAAGGCTTTGATCCATTCAGGGCTAGCGGAAAAAGAATAACACAACAAAACCAAATTCTTCTGCCCAAAATGAGGATCTTTATATGGAACATCTGTATTTGAGTGGTCAAATTTGTTGTCATCCGATTTACATTAAGCATAAGTACTTCTGTTCTGCAAATCATTTAAAATGAAGAATTATGATGTCCTTCTGTGAAACTATGAACACTTTTTTTTTTTTTTTTTTTTTTTTTTTTTTTTTTTTTTTTTTTTTTTTTTGCTAGTGAAGAACTTCAAGGAGGACAAATGCCTTTAATGCCACTCTCAACTTGGTGTGTCCTCAATAGATATAGTAATCCTTTAGGGATGTGGACATTGCTTTCCCCCTAAGACTTAGTGAGTGAGAGGTTATCTTCTCTATTGCCTTATTTTATGTCCCTGAGTTTAATAGTGCCAATTCCATGGCTGTTGAGTTTACCTGCTTTATTTGCTCTAAAGAGAAAGTTCAGCAGAATTTCAGAAGGGGCTGGAGAATTGCATGCCAAGCAGTGTCTGCCCTATATCAATTTTGTACAGCACGAGGAAAAGAGAATTGAAACCAAATTTCCCATTATGTAAAAGTAGCTATTAAAAAGATACAACTGAATTTAAGATGATTGTCAACAGAGTGGGATACAGCATTAAAGGGAGGTAGGGACACAGTTAAAGGATTTATTTGCCCTTTTCTCTCATTTTCTGTTCCTCATTTTGTCATTTACTTCAGAGGACATCAAAAAGTACTATTTTAAGACCAATCTGAATTTCTGGAACATAACCATCTGATATGCTTATTTCAACACATGAACATGAACAGATGTTTACTTTATAATGTTAAATGTGCCAGCTGTTCTCATGTCAGAATAAGCATCTAGGCATTTTGTTTAAAAGTGAAACAAAGATTTTAAACCTCTGTTCATAAACCTCCATATGAATTCAGCTTTCCTTCCTTCCTTCCTCCCTCCCTCCCTCCCTGTCTCCCTCCCTCCCTTCTTTCCTCCCTTTCTTCCTTTAGCCCTTTCTTCCTCCTCTCCTTCTTTCCTTCCTTCCTTCTCCCTCTCTTTCTTCTTCCTTCCTTCCTCCTCCCTTTCTTTCTTCTTCCTTCCTGCCTTCCTGTCTGCCTTCCTTCCTTATTTTGAAAGAATCATTGGTTTTTAGAACAATATTTGCTATTTCTGGATGTATCATAGCATGAATATCATATATATTTTATTGGCTAATATCTTCATGTCATATATTACAGGTCTATACTTGCTCAGCTTGCATATCTTCTACTTTTTAACCTCTGATCCAATAGTGATACTTTAACAATGAAGAAAGTACGAGTATCATAAAAGAAGTAGCATAAAAATCTAGGCAAAGTTTTTTATGTTCAAACACCTAGATGCTGCCTAGCTTTGTAATTAATTAAGTCAACCCTTAGCACATCGCACTTAACTACCTGGTCACCTTGTGCGATGGCTAGTTTGAATATACCATAGGCATTTGGTATATTCAAACCATTTGGCTTCTTCCCTCTAACTACTGATCTTCCCAGGCAAAGGGAGGCTTTAAGACATCATTCTGCCCAGGTCTCATCTCTTCTACCTGCATTGCAGCTGCTGAGCCCCAAAGACGATAATCATAGAAGGTCAATGCCTGATGACATCAGAGAAGTCAGTGAATGAAGATCATAATCATAGAAGGTCAATGCCTGATGACATCAGCCAAGTCAGTGAATGACACACTCTTATCATTGAGCACAGGACTAAATGGGGTTTAAAGAAAGTGTCCTAGATTTAGATATGAGTTTTTAAATTTCCATCCACAGATGTAAGAGGCTGGCTACATTCCTTTTGGCAAACATCCATGAATTTTGGTAGCTGTCACCATTCGAACAGCATTGCCTATTAGGCTTTTTATTTTTTCCTGTTGTGGCACAAAAACACAGAAGGTCAAGGATTTCCCACATTAAATTGCTTTAGTTCTGTATTCTTTATGAAGATAACATACCGGATTTAAATCTGTACTCCAAAGATTGCACTGGGAGTGGGGCGACCTAACCCACAAAGATAGAACTGGTGGCCTCAGCTTAGACTTTTCTCTATTGTTGCAAGCACAGGTGCTCCCCAGGGGGCCCGCAGAGGGGCTTTGCCATCTGGACAAGTAGATCAGCCTTGAAAAAATCATTAACACCTAAGTGAAGTGTTCTTTTTTTTCTTTCTTCTGATTTTTTAAAAGAGATTAAACAAACATAATAAAAGAGTGTTTGGACATAAGGTGTGAAACTCGTTATATCACTATTCCAGGAACATGCCAGGAACTATATCTGTTTACTTATTCCTGTCCATTGGAAGGAAAAATAGAATAGTATGCAGTCCTTAAATATGTTTATGCAGAATGTGTTATATCATAGGGAAGTGATTTTAAAATATCATTAATTGATGAGACAGAGTACTTCTTATATGTTTAATGTTATATCAACTCTTTAAAAATGTTTGCCTATGTATAAAAAGAAAAAATAATTCTGGAGGAAAAATGCCAGAATGTTTACAGCTATTTCCTGGTTACAGTGGTCTTTGCAGGAGCCTGTAAATCCTGACATCATCCGGCTGCCAGTCTCCCTACCCCCAACTTCTACCACCTCACCTCCCCCTACACCCCAGTTAAACCATGTGCTTTCTATTCCCCATCTCTCAGCTTAGCATCTTTGTGCCAGCTGATGCCACTGCCTTTCCCTGTATTCAACTGCTTAGTTAATTCCCTTACCCCTTCAAGTTTGACTAAAATACCACTTTTTCTAGGAGGCCTGTGCTCATGGAGACACTCCTATGTAGTCTTGCTGCTGCCTATTCCTTTCCCCATGCCCAATCTCCCTCAGTGTCTCCTATTTTTGCTTTTTTTCTTAGTACTTTCCACTTAATTGTGTACTTTATAATCATATTATGCAACATATATATAGTTAAATGTATACATATAGTTATGTATTACACACACACTTTTTTTAATAGAGTGTAGCGTATGTACAAGCACATGTGTCTGTGTAACTCTCCTTTCCATAATGTAAATTCCATGAGGGCAAATTACATTTGCTGTATTTAAATCCAATGCTTGGCCAGGTGAGGTGGCTCACACCTGTAATCCCAGCACTTTGGGAGGCCGAGGCAGGGGGATCACCTGAGGTCAGGAGTTCGAGACCAGCCTGGCCAACCTGATGAGACCTCGTCTCTACTAAAAATAAAATAATTAGGCGGGTGTGGTGGCATGTGCCTGTAATCCCAGCTACTAGGGAGACTGAGGCAGGAGAATTGCTTGAACCCGGGAGGCGGAGGTTGCAGTGAACCAAGATTATACCACTGCACTACAGCCTGAGTGACAGAGAGAGACTCCATCTCAAAAAAATAAAAATAATAAATAAATAAACAAATCCAATGCTTACAATAGTATCTTGCATATAGTAGGCACTTTAAATAAATGTTGAATTAATGGGGGTTGACATTATGGATGATTTATAATAAGAAGAACATAATACAATTCCATAAAACAAATGATTTTTTAATAGCAAAGAGAGTATGAATAGCATAAAAATGAGTAGCGTAAAAATCTGAGCAAAGTATTTTAGCACCATAGGAAAAGTAAAAAAAAAAAAAAATCTGAATAAAGTTTTAAGATGTTCAAATACCTAGACACTGAATGGTCTTGAAATTAATAAAGCAAACTGTTAAATTTCAGGTTAACCCTTGGTTCATCATGCTTTACCACCTGGTCACCTTGTGTGATGTTTAGTTTGAAAATAACTGTGGACATCCACTGTTTCTCCTTCACTCTAGGCCTCTGATCATCACAGGCAAAGGGAAAACCTAACAGCTCATTCTGCCCAGGTCTCATCTCTCCTACCTGAATTGCTGTTGTTGGGTCCAGAAGAAACTAATGAATCTATGCAGATTTGACCTTGGCACTAGAGAATTATGAAGTAGCAGCTCTGATTCTAGGTTACTGCTCCACACCATCTCCAGCAAAGGGACTTACCCAAAAGACGAGTGTTCCCTTTCCAAATGTTAGAAATAATTAGTTTTGTAAGGCTTGGGGTCAATGTCCATTGGTTTGAAAAGAAAAAAAAAGACAGAATTTAAAGATTTCTGCAGTGTCAACTCTTTTGTGTCTTGCAGCCACAGCTAAAGCATGATGCAAAATATTAATTCAGGGAAATTTTATTTTGGAAAATTTTACATTGATGTGAATTTCTGATAATATGTGTATTTTCTCCCAAAACATTTCTTATTAGTTCATTGCTTATTTGTCATGATTTCTGTGTCCCTCAGTGTATCCTGAGGCTGGGCATGGTGGCTCGTGCCTCTAATCCCAGAACTTTGGGAGGCCGAGGCAGGTGAATCACTTGAGGTCAGGAGTTCAAGACCAGCTTGGCCAAAGTGGTGAAACCCCATCTCTATAAAATATACAAAAATTAGCGGCTCATGGTGGTACATGCCTGTAGTCCCAGCTACTCAGGAGGCTGAGGCAGGAGAATGACTTGAACCTGGGAGGTGGAGGTTGCAGTGAGCTGAGATTATACCACTACATTCCACCCTGAGTGACAGAGTGAGACTCTGTTTCAAGAAGAAGAAGAAGAAGAAGAAGAAGAAGAAGAAGAAGAAGAAGAAGAAGGAGGAGGAGGAGGAGGAGGAGGAGGAGGAAGAGGAGGAGGGGGAGGAAGGAGGAGGAGGAGAAGGAGAAGGGGAAAGGGAAGAAGAAGAGGAAGAGGAAGAAGAAGGAGGAGGAGGAGGAGAAGAAGAAGAAGAAGAAGAAGAAGGAGGAGGAGGAGGAGGAGGAGGAGAAGAGGAAGAGTAAGAAGGAGAAGGAGAAGAGGAAGAAGAAGGAGGAGGAGGAGAAGAAGAAGAAGAAGAAGAAGGAGGAGGAGGAGGAGGAGGAGAGGAAGAGGAAGAAGAAGAAGAGGAAGAAGAAGAAGAGGAAGAAGAAGAGGAAGAAGAAGAAAGAAGAAGAAGAAGAGGAAGAAGAAGAAGAAGAAGAAGAAGAAGAAGAAGAAGAAGAAGAAGAAGAAGAAGAAGAAGAAGAATAAACAACTTGGGATCATTCACTGACACTGAGGAGAGGGCGAGAGTCCCTGCTCAGAGGTAATGCCCAGGGTCACCTGGAGGTCTGGCAAGAGAGAAAAGATGAGGCATGGACTTTGATTCCTTCAAAAATTTCCATTAGAACTTGAAATTGAGTTTTTTGTTTGTTTATTTGTGCAACTGGCATTTTCCCAAGTAAGTGGGAATAAAAATACCTCTAGAAAGTGTGGTACATTTTTTGAACTACATCACATTATTTCATTATCTAAATAAATCCAGAGTGCAATAAATGTTAATAAAGTTTTAAGGAAAAAAAATCCTTCACATACTCCACCCATCGCATCATTGTCATGTCTTAGCCATTTAAGAGATCAATATCCCAAACAAAATAATCACATTCCTCGATGGCCAGAAATTGCTAGATTAGGAGGGATTTGAAGGTGGGAGCCTGAATTCTAAGTCCAGTTCTGCAGTGGCTCAACCCATGACATCTAACAAACCTAACAC
The DNA here is from genome assembly GCF_000001405.40 of Homo sapiens. Lineage (NCBI taxonomy): Eukaryota > Metazoa > Chordata > Mammalia > Primates > Hominidae > Homo > Homo sapiens. Next base: position 124,707,712 of record NC_000002.12, read on the forward strand.
CTCTCTACCTCACTTTCTATTTCTGTAAAATGGGCATCTCTTCCTTTATTTTTCTGGATTCAAAAAGAATTGGTTGTTAAAGGAAAATTTTTGTCATCAGCCTCAAGTATCGTAAATTTCCTTTCAGTGCAAGCTGAATTACATACAATTATTATTCCAATTTGGACATCTTACAGTAAAAGTGACGACAAATAACTTCATATATACAAGCAATGCTTCCAGGATAAAACTTTTAAAAAAAATCACTATCAATGATGTAACAGAAACTGCTGAAGTGAATACAGGGAATTAATATGTCAAGTAACTAGTTGGACCTACATGATGGTGTTTTGTTCACTGTTGCTTTCTAAATCATTTGAGTATTTACAACTAGGCTTATGATGTTCTTTGAGTTTTAATTAATAGGCTAAAAACTCAAGTGAACTTTTTTTCACATTTATTACTGCATAAACCAGACTTTAACTCAAATAGTCAAAATGGAGAGGCTTTACTGATGAACTGCTTACGAAGGTGTCAGTAGGAATGGAGGTATCCACAGGCAAAATGAAGGCACCTGGATGCTAGCAAAAGTGGGAAGTCATCACTAAGCCTGGTACTGAGGAGGAAATAGAGCTGGAGCAGTGGAAGAGAAGTGCCCAGTGGAAGCTAGAGTCAATGAAGGAGCTCAATCATTGGTAGTTCTCAAAAGCAGAGAGGAATCCAGAAGGAAATGTCATGATCTCGCTGTCATCTCCATTTCCTGCTGGTGCTTCTATTGGCGGGCGGACATGGGAACCTGGCAGTGCAATCTGCAGGGACAAAGAAGCCAAACAAAGGCGGAAAATGTATCTCGGGATTGGAGGTACAAGGAAAACACTGAGCACAGAGGGATGGAAATTACAATGCCGTTTAGTGTTGTGACAGACATTGGCATTTATGTGTCTTTGCTGGAGCTGCAGTTCTGGAATTCCAGAGTAAGGATGCTACAAAGAGTTTCCTTGCTACTACCTTTATCCTAAGAATGAGTCTGACTATGTTTTTGGTGGCGGTGGATTCCCCCATCATCACTTAGTGGTCATTAATTGTGGGCACTAATTGCTGAGTTCTCTAAGCCAGAATTGCTCAGCAGTTGATAACTGTGGTGAATCAGCAATTGTTTATGTCCATGCTATCTTTGGTGAAATCTTACCTGACTACAGAGAAGCTTGAGAAATGTGTTTTTTCTCCTCTGCAACCTGGGCAGAGGGCCCAGCTTACAGCACCCTTCTGTGAACACTAAATCACAGTGCAAACTCACTCACCGTGCGCTGTGCTTCATTCCACAGAATATGGAGCAGAGCCTCTCTGGGCAAAACTGTGCAGTGGGCAGTATCTAGCACCATTTGTATTCCATATTTTTTCCTGCCTCGGGCCCATAAAAGTAGCAAGTTTCTTTGGACAATCTCTGCTGCAATCAGAACTCTCATTCAAACTGAAATGTGAGATAACAGTTGAAGAGGAACTGCAAGCTTCCTGGGGGAGGGAGGGTGTGTGTGTGTGTGCGTGTGTGTGTGTGTGTGTGTGTGTGTGCTCTTTTTAATAGACTTATAAATAAAAATGTCTATGAGGGCCAAGCAGTCACATAAATGAAGACATTATTTCTACAAAGACCCATCTTGTCTAAGCAATAAATATTAAGGAAAACTGCCTTCCTGAAAGATGTTAAATTACAAATTTTATAAAGTTGAAAAAATGAGTCTTACATAAATATAGAATGAATACAAGTAGAAAATTTGTATAACCAATTGAAGAGGGAACCATTAATGAGTTATATAAGTAAAGTTGGTTCAAATGGGAAGTAAAGTTGGTTCAAAGAATGCTTGAGGAACAGAGATTTGTGTAGTCAGTCAGGACAGCAATCTGCTCAGAGACAAAATAGTTAATATCTTATAAGACTATGAATCATAATTTTTGGAGTTAAAATTATTTTTATCCCCACTGGACAAAATCTACAAGTTAATACGTGGTCCTAATCAATAGTAAAGTGCACATCAAACAAAGATAAATCCTCTAAAGGGATAATTAATCCACCAGATAATTAAATAATCTTCTAGAAAATTAAATTAAATATTGAATAGATCTGTTCAACAATGCTTCATATGACATTGAAAGGGTATCAGTCATTCCTTTGTCCTATTCCCAATCTTCAGCTAACTTTTCTTAAGAAAATAATATAGTAGCTTCTATTTTTCTCAGAGTACACCATGGTTTTCTTAGGTTTCTCAATGTTGATAGATTTAAATGTAAAAAAGTAATTACTTTAAAAAATTTCCTACAAAATTACAAAAAAAGTGGTCCCGGGTCTTACTTTTTGCCATCTGTAGTGACTGAGTAGATGGTCATCGAAGCTGGAATTCAGAGTTTGACAATGTTGTGTTTATGCCGAGATGATGGTGAGCAGTGAAGAGAAAACCCAAGGGACCCCTTACAGGAGCAGCTGGTTAGTGGGAATGTGGGACCCAGTGTTGCCAAGACTTCTGACTTTCTAGAAAGCCCCAAGAAACTCTTTATAATAAATCTCTTGATTTTTAAATATTGACAAATTAATTCAGAAGATTAAAAGCACTGTATGGGCAACAATTTCAGGCTACCTCTGGTCAGAGAGTTTCCATCTTGCAAATTTCTTCATAAGCAAAATAAAACAAGCTTTGGTAGGGAAATTCTAGTTTCTCAGATGCTTTTGTACGCAACCTGTAATAGAAAACCAATAGATTTTCTCTATATAAATTTGGATCCTAGAGCCTAGAATGTTTAAGTCTTCTCAGTTCAACAAGAGAACCTATCATCCATTGTCGGTGAACCCATCAGTCAATCCACCACTCCATCCAGCAAATGTCTGCAGAGTGTAGACAATACACCATGTGTGGTGCTGAAGATATGGCAATTTGCTTCCATCTTTCCTGGACATTTTGCAGCCAAATTTCCCAGTCTCCAGCTTTTGATCCCAGGCTGACTCCTTAATTCACTGCAGACTGACTCCTCCCTTCAAAACTTTTCTGAAATTACTGTTTTCAGAGCAATCCAGGATCACTTCATTGTTTAATTCAGCAAACATGTCTTAATCGTTATCCAGCCTGACTTTTCTGTGACAGTGAAATCTGTTCTGATTTTCCTGAAAACCTCTCTTTGGGTGTTCTGGAAAGTTTTCCACTGCTTCTCTCCTTGCCATTACTGTGCATTCATGTTGTAGTAGATTCTTCTTTCTTCACTTCTTGATTTTTTGAATTTATCATCCCTTCATTTTACAATCTTTCTCCTATAAGCTGGGCACGGTGGCTCACGCCTGTAATCCCCGCACTTTGGGAGGCAGAGGCGGGTGGATTACGAGGTCAGGAGTTGAAGACCAGCCTGGCCAACATGGTGAAACCCCATCTCTACTCAAAATACACAAATTAGCCAGGTGTGGTGGCACGCACCTGTAATCCCAGCTATTCGGGAGGCTGAGACAGGAGAACAGCTTGAACCTGGGAGGCGGAGGTTGTGGTGAACAGAGTTCACACCACTGCACTCCAGGCTGGGCGATAGAGTGAGATCCCATCTCAAAAATAAAAAATAATAATAATAAAATTAAAAAAATATATATTTCTCCTATAAAACTCATCAGAGGGAATGGCACCCACACACACTGTTCCATCTCTCCATGCCCCCAACATCCAACTAGTCACTGACTCCTTTATATGCTACTTCCATAATAGACTTCAAATGATTTCCTTCTCCCTGTCTCTATCTGCTTTAGTTCAGGCTCTTCTTATTTTGTACTAAATGTAACAGTGAAGATGCTTTCGACCATAAGTAACAGCAAACAGGCAACATGGCTTAAGCGATATGGATATTTATTAACAAAAATAATTTGTATTTGAGGCTGAAGCAGGTGGATCATGAGGTCAGGAGATTGAGGCCATCTTGGCTAACACGGTGAAACCCCGTCTCTACTAAAAACAAACAAACAAACAAACAAAAAATTAGCCAGGCAGGGTGGCACGTGCCTGTAGTCCCAGCTACTTGGGAGGCTGAGACAGGAGAATCCCTTGAACCAGGGAGGTGGAGGTTGCAGTGAGCCAAGATAGTGTCACTGCGCTCCAGCATGGACAGCAGAGCAATACTCTGTCTCAAAAAAAACAATAACAATAATTTATATTTGGACAGTTCTAGTATTGTTTAATTCAGCACCTCATCACAGATAAGTAATTTCTATTTTTTACTATTTTCCTTAAGCCTGACCCTAGACACGTGCAGAAGATCCAGCATCTCAACAGAAAGAATTACATCCATTAGCAGAAGGAAGCCTTCTTTACAACTCACTTTAAGTTCTTGGCCTGATATCCTTTTATGTCTTATTGGCCAGGAGTGTGTGATATGTCTGTCTAAAACAATCACTGCAAGAGAAATTTAAGCACGTTCATTAATTTAGACCAGTTATGATTTACTTTTCTTCTGGGACTTACCTCCCTTCAGACTCATGTTGGGTGGATACATGAATCAATTAGTAGCAGTAGTGTAATCATAATAATAACTACAAATAAGGCTAAATCTGAGCAGGCCAGATGCTGTTCTAAGCATTTACTTGTATTGCCTCATTTAATCCTCACAACAACCATATTTGCTAGACAGCATAATTATTCTCATTTTACAGCAATGAAAATGAAAGGTTAGAATGGTTCAGGATTTTGACAAAGGTAACACAGCTGCCAGGACTCATATCCAAGCTGCCTGATTTGGAGCTCTGCTCTTGCCCACTGATGTTCTACCTAACATGGGTTTTATTAGCATGACAGAAGTATGTGGAGAAGGAGCTGCTGCTGGTGTGTCAGACAATTCAGGCTGCTACAATAAAATATCATAGATTGGATGGCTTAAAAATAACGGAAATTAATTTCTCACAGTTTTAGAGGCTGGGAAGTCCAAGATCAAGTTGTCAGAAGGTTCAATGTACAGTGAGGGCTCTCTTTCTGGTTCACTAACAGTGCCTTCTTGCTGTGTCCTCACATGGTGGAAGAGGCCAGAGCACTCTCAGCCTTTTTTTTTTTTCTTTTTAAGAGACAGGGTCTTGCTCTGTCACCCAGGCTGGAGTGCAATAATGCAATTGTAGCTCACTGAAGCCTCGAATTCCTGACTCAAAGGATCTTCCTGCCTCAGCCTCCCAAAGCTCTGGGATTAAAGGTGTGAGCTGTTGAGTCTGTCCTTCAGGCCTCTTTTATAAAGGGCACTGATCCCATTATGAAGCCTCTGTTCTCAGGACCTAATCACCTCCCAAAGGGAAACCTCCTAATACCATCATCTTGGAGGTAAGGATTTCAACATATGAATTTAGAGAAGTGGAGGTCACACACATTTAGACCACAGCATTTGGCTACCAAGCATCTGCTGAATTTCTACTACTATGGGACTGTAACAATGTCTTCCTTTCTTCCTTCCTTCCTTCCTTCCTCCCTCCCTCCCTCTCTCTTTTCCTCCTTCCTTCCTTCCTCCCTCCCTTCCTTTCTTTCTCTGTTTCTTTCTTTCTTTCTTTCTTTCTCTTTCTTTCTTTCTTTCTTTCTTTCTTTCTTTCTTTCTTTCTTTCTTTCTTTCTTTCTTCTTTCTCTTTCTTTCCTTTCTTTCTTTCTTTCTTTCTTTCTTTCTTTCTTTCTTTCTTTCTTTCTTTCTTTCTTTCTTCTCCCTCTTTTTTTGAGATAGAGTCTTGCTCTGTCACCCAGGCTACAGTGCAGTGATGCCATCTCGGCTCACTGAAACCTCCACCTCTCCGGTTCAAGTGATTCTCCTGCCTCAGCCTCCCTAGTAGTTGGGATTACAAGTGCATCACCAGGCTTTTCTAATTTTTGTATTTTTAGTAGAGACAGGGTTTCACTATGTCGGCTAGGGTGGTCTTGAACTCCTGACCTCAAGTGATCCACCCGCATTGGTTTCCTAAAGTGCTGGGATTACAGGCGTGAGCCACCACGCTGGGCCATAACGTGTTTCTTATTTCCATCCTTGCTCCTTTTCTCACCTCCCTCTCAAACCAGCTTCCATACTGCTACCAGAAGGTCCATTCCAAAACAGAAACCTGATCTTCTCTTGTGCTAATCGCCCAATGCCTCACAGTTACCTTTAGGAGCAATCCCAACTTCTTTATCAAGGAGCATGAGGCTCATCAACACCTGACTCCCCATCTCTCCTCCCTAGTTCAGCAAACATCTTTCCTTGTTCTCTGTACTTCAACGTTGCCTAATGAATTACAGCCTCCAGATAATACCATATTCCCCCATACTCTCTTGACTTTGCACATGTGGTTATTATTATTATTTGGCCAAGAATGTCTTTAGGCTCTTTTTTTCCCCCCAAACATAGTATGACATTTCCTCTAGGTTTTCTTCACTGACATCATTCTGAGTTTGCTGAGCTTCATTTTTGCTCCCATGGTGTTCCATGCATTATGAAATACTTGTTTGCCTTCTCAAGAGTCGCTTGAGTGTAAGGGCCTTGTAAGCTGCTTGAGAACAGTCATTGTGATTTTTTTCACCTCTATCTGCTCAATGAATCTTGGTATAAACACTGAAAAAATACGCAGAATGACCCTCAAGGAGCTCAGAAATTAGTGATGTAAAACAAATATTTGAAATTAGGTATTTGTAGTTCAGAAAATGTTATAATAGATAATTGGCTCAAAGAGAGACCCTCATCACAGCTAAATACAACCTCTTAATTTATGATGAGTTTTATTTGCTATGAAAACTAGCCCTTCAGTTTTGAGTATTGTAGTGGTTTTTAGGTGAGGTTCCATGTGTCTCATAGTGTTACTTCAAAGGCAAAGGCATTACCTTCAAGTTGTTATCCATTATCCACCATTCCCTAATATTTATGGAAAGCCTTTGTCTGTTCAGAGTAAGCCCAGAGTAGCTCCTAGTTAGGGAATTCTAAATGCAACACTGCTAGTGAGTTCAATAAATATATATTTTATAATAATACATAACACGTGAATTATATATTGTACTTTATACTATATATTGTATAATAATATTTATGGATATATTTATATGGAGCTACCTACATATTAAATATATAATCTATATTTTACTGGGGCCACATACATATACATTTTTTACTTGCTAAACACAACTAGGAATCCAGAGTCCAGAGATAATCTGGAAAAACCTCTGGTCTATCAAGACAGATTTGCAAAGTCATGTTTTTGACTTGTAGAAAATACTCTATTGATCTTTTCAGCAGAACTCCAGCAATTTTGTTAATTACCTCTAAGACAAATTAGAAAGTACAATTTCACATAAGGGATGAGGGAAGACAGGACTACCATGAATAAGAAAACAAGACAGTAGGACATTGCAATAAGAGGCAAAAGTAATGCTATTGCTTGGATCCCAGTAATGCGGAGTGTGTTTAATCCTTGGTTAGTTACACAAGGCAGCTGAACTGAGTGGGCATTTCACTGAAGAGAATGCCATCTGGGCACCAAGCCTTCTGCTTCAACTATTCAAGCACTTACTATGTGTCAAGCATTGGGCTAACCATTGAGGATATAGAAATAAGTAAGATATTAGACATGGCTTTCCTGACATTTAGATCTTGTTACTTAGAAAACCCATTTGACGGCTTAGAGTCAAAATAGCAACATCTTGAACACCATATATTTATGCCTCTCACATGATGTTTTTGGGTTATTTTGGTTCAGACTCCTCACTCATTGCTCTCTGTCATCCCCCCAAAGCTAAATTTATTATGATCCTGAATGTCTTACCACCATGTTCCCACTGAGGCTGGAATACCAAAGAAAAAAGGAGGGTGGAATTTTTATTTTTTTCTTTATACTTTAAGTTCTAGGGTACATGTGCACAATGTGCAGGTTTGTTACATATGTATACATGTGCCATGTTGGTATGCTGCACCCATTAACTCGTCATTTAAGAAGGGTGGTATTTTTCTTTAAGGAACATGTATCATTTCCATTTATATACCATTGATGAGAACTTAGTCACACGGCTTTAACTTGCTACAAAGAAGCCTTGGAAATGCAATCTTCATCTGGGTGACAATACTCTCCCGAAAATGCCGTTGCTATAGAAAGAAGGAGATTGGATATGGGGGAACAGCTACTAGTCTGCCACCTCGTCTAATAGAAGATGGATGCTTGAATAAATAAGCAGACAAATAAAATGACTACCAAGTCCCCTTCTCAAAATAGAGATTTTATAAGCTTAATTCTTCTCAAGGTGACCCTCCCATTGAAATATACCAAAAAGCGAGTGTACAACTCCTCTAAAACTAATTCTACTGAGGTATATGTTTACATAAGTCAGAATACAGGTGAAGCTTCAAGCCCAGGTGCACCTTGATTAAGTTACTTTTTTATTTCTTAACTTTTTAAAGCCTGGATTGCATTTTTTTCCAAATGGACAATTATCTTAAAATTATTTTTATATTTTTGCCAAGCCCCCTACAAGGCCACTATCAATATGAAAAAATGATTCGTGCAAAGTAAAACAAAAAGTTGAAATAACTCCAAATATTTAAATAAACACTGGCACATACAATTTTTCTCATGGTAATAACCCTAAATGTGTGGCACCATCATCCATTTAAGGAAGCTGAGGACTGTTTAAAAATTGCCATCAACATATATCGTTATCCTTATTTTTCTCAAAATGCATGATGAAAAATCCACATGTACTATTTGGAAGATTTATTTATAGAACACCTGCTTCTGTGAAACTGCTGGATAAATAAAGCATAGCAGTAGTAATAGTACAAGCTATAACTTATATAATACTTTTTATATAATTATATTAAAAATTCTAAATATCTTTAATAGAATATTATCAATGTTTATTGTTTTTAAACATTTTGCATTACACTGTAAACAATATAAGGGCATTGAAAAACTTTATATTTCTCTATACTCCTTCCATACTTAACAACAACCAAACACCTACCATGAGTAAAGATTCATGCTTGATATCGAGGATGCCTAAGAGAATAGAAGACAAAAACACATATTTTTAGAATAGGCAACTGCTAGATGAAGAGTAAATAGAAATTGATTAGGTGATAGATTTTTCTGGCATGGTACCTGCTTAGGATGAGAGAAAATAAAATTAGGCTGTTGTTCCCTTTGCAGTTTCCAACAACCTGTGGAAATACCCATCTCTTGGGAAATCATCCTGCCATAACATCGGGCTGGTCTGGCAAAACTTCTGTGGTATTCAATGCAAGTGATTCTTTGCCTAATTTCTTCCCATTACTCATAATTTCCCTCTGCCTAAATATCCCGGGTGCTTATCCTCTTGAATATCATTCTTAATCTCTGGATGATCATCCCCCGCACTTTATTTTCATTTGGCCATGCTCCCACTATATAATTATTTTAATCAGGAGCACCATCTTTTTTAACTGTGATAGCAAATGATGCCATTTCCAGAGTAGGGTGGAAAATTAAAATTGTTAGAATTGAATTTGATTTGCTTTGTGATGGTGATTCAGAGGTGACGGAGGAGCAGGGGAGTGTAGGCTGTGTTGGGCCATGATGAAGATCAGAGGCTGCGTGCTGCCAGATTGGCATCCTTTCCACCCTATGAACGGTTTTCATTTCAGAATGGAATTGTGGAATTTGTATCAGTTTAATGTTCAGGGAATACTTGAGAATTGAATGTTGCACTTTAGTGCATATAACCATAGCACTTTAGTGCATATAACCATAGCACCTGCCTAGAGGCATTCAATAAATATTGGTTTAAATAGATTGAAACACAGACAATTTTAAAAGCATTGACTTGACATCAGTGTTCCCCCAAACCCTGGTGTGCCTACAAGTCATTTGAAGAGTTTGCTGAAATGTTGATTTCTAAGCCCTATTTCTAGAAACTCCGATTTAGTCCATGTGACATAAGGACCTGGAATCCACAATTTAAAGAATTGAACGATGCATCACACATGATTCTGTTGCTGCTGGTATGTGGATGTCAACTAGGCAGAATATTGGGAAATCTGACATAAATGGTGTAAGCTATATTGGCCTGAACGATGTTTGAAAGTTAAGGGAATTGAGGATGGAATTTTTATGGATTGCTCTACCTTCAATAGAGGTAGTCTATTCATTTCTCATTAAATTCATATTTGTTTAACTGACAGATACAAACACAAATATATTAATAAAATGTTCAAAGGAGTCAATAAAGATGAACTTTTCCACAATAAAAACTAGATACCTATTATGGGCAAGGACACCTGAAGTCCAAATTGCTTGCTCACTCCTGAAAACAATATTAAGGTTTTATTGTAAGTTTATTCATGTCTATGTTACATTAATTACAAGATGCTATTATACTCTACCCACACCAGTTCTTACATTTCTTTCTAGAAAATAAATGAGAAGACTAACAAATGTAAAGAGGATGACTGTTTGATTGATTTTGCCTACATGTCCAACTTTCTACTCCATTCTTACCAAATGAGATGTGGGACATAAAAGCTTTGAATTATAAAAAATATAAAAATACAAAGATAAAGTATTATTATTCATTAATTACCTCCTCTTTGCTTAAGAAAGCTGTTCTATCTGGGTAGAGGGCAATGAAGAAAGATAAAGGTTCCTATTTCTGTTTCATTAGTCCACTTTTCCACCTCGTAAACAGTGTAAAAACTCAATCCAACAAACTCCATTTTTCAGTAAAGCCTATCATCAGTTAATGTCCCTGACCTTTATTTTTCCTATTTCTCTTCTGTGGCATTTTGTAAGTGTTTCGTGTTGTGTCAGGTTATAAACCATGGAAGGAAAAAATGGAAGAGCCCAAACTGCCCATTTATTGGAAAACAATCAAATAAACCCACTATTGCCTTTAAATATGCTACTGCTGTTGCTGCAACAGTGTTGGTGATTATGTATGTGGAACTGTTTCTCTTAGGTGTGATGGGTTTTAAAATCCTGTCTCTTTAGTGACCAGATACTTAGTGACCACTGGCCACATTAAGAATGGGAAGTAAGGCCGGGCCAAAGCGAGCAGATCACGAGGTCAGGAGATCAAGATCATCCTGGCCAATATGTCGAAACCCCGTCTCTACTAAAAAAACACAAAAAATTAGTCAGATGTGGTGGCGCATGCCTGTAGTCCCAGCTACTCGGGATGCTGAGGCAGGGGAATCTCTTGAACCTGGGAGGCAGTGGTTGCAGTGAGCCGGGATTATGCCACTGCACTCCAGCCTGGGCAACAGAGCAAGACTCCATCTAAAAAAAAAAAAAAGAACGGGAAATAAGACCAGTGCCTAAGTGAATGCCATAGACTCATTTAAGGTCAAGCCAAGCCAGTGACTTTACTAAATGCAGAACACTGAGTGCCTCTTCAATGGAAGAGGCAGTGCCTTGTCATGGATCAAAGTATAAGTAGTCTGTCAAGGCCAGGTTTAAATTTAACTTATTTTCCTTATACTTTGTATTAATTGTGCAACCCTCTTGGGTTTCACTCTCTCCAGCTATAAAATGGCATAATAAAACTCTCTTCATGGGATATTGAAAGGACTAAATAAAAGTGCATATCTACATCACCTCCTACAACGACCAGCAAATAATTCATGTTTAAGAAATGTTTAATTCCTCATTGTCTCTTGTAGTATGCACACAAAGATTTTTAATTCTGTGGCTGACATACTGTTTGGAAAATGAATGAAATCAAAGTTCCCGTCTCTGGCTGCTTACAATCTAAAAATAAATAAAAGGCACACAAATAAAGAACAGCTGAACCGAGTAGTAAGTTTATCACAGGATCGGGAAGGAAGAGATTATTCATTCTGAGATCTGGTGTATAAAAAAAGGGGTTTTAAAATGATGCCTACTTTTAATTTTCTTTCTGATTTTCAACTTCACCATATAAATTTGAAAACCTCCTTGCACAGAGATTTCCACTGGCTACGTAATAGTTTCTCTTGTGGTCCTGTGACTATTTTATACTTTCTCTGTTGAAGGCACTTAAACTATATCCCCATTTTTTTTAACTCTCAATAATACTGTAATTAATCTTTTTTATTATGAAATCTTAAGAAACATCTTTATAAGAGGAATTTTAAGACTTTTAATAAGGCCAAATGCCTCTCGAGAAACTTTGCCTTAACATTTGTATCAAGAGTGTAGCAGAGTGCATGGCTAATATTTTAATGTGATGTAATGAGATTGGTCTTTGAAGCAAGGGCTCAGTGGTCCTAGTCTTGGTAGTAGATGATTTATTTTGCCTAAAACAGATGATTTCCGTGGGGAAAGCCATGGAGAAAGAAAAAAGTGTGGATAATCTGGCTACCAAGATTCTCTCAGAATTGAACTAAGAATTAGGGACAGCCAAGCCAGCCAGTATGAATGAGACAGAAGCGAGACTCTGAGCTCCAGGACAGTTTTGAATGACCTTTTAGCTTAATATTGCCTTGGTCCCTCCATCATCCCAGCATCTGAATTCTCACGGTGACCCCACACTGTGAGACCATTCCCATAAACTGGGCTTCAATTCCTTCATCTATAAGAAAGGGTTTTGTATAGCCTGTATTTTTGCTGTTGACTAATTTTATTAGTTGTTTTCGGTATGTAACTGAAGTATTTGAGCTGCCAAATATTGTCATTAAAACTGTTGAAAAATCTAGTGGCTTCCCCCTTTGACTATTTTCTGAAAACATGTGTTCCCTTTTTCCCAGTTGAAGCTGTAGACACGTCTGGTTGCTTCTCTCACTTCCCATTCTGCTCTGATGAGTTTAAAGTGTACAATTGATTTAACCAGAAATAACTTAGCAGCTGATCATATTTCCAAAAAGAACCTTCTTTGCATCCCAAGAAAAAAAAATGACTCAGAAAATCACTTTTTAAATTTGATTTTAAATTTTCAGGTGACTCTACTGCGTTAAAAGCTATTTTAGTAGAGTTAGGCATGGAGTGAGAAAAGGTAGAGCCAGGAATTTCATTTCCTCTGAATGAGCCTTGCTGAGATCCTGAGAATAAAAACCACAACACTCAGAAATTAAAATGTCAACTTTGAATCAATTTGCTATAGCAAAGACAGTTGTACTTTTGAAAATTTAAAATGACAAATTGATTATTAGTGTACCTATAACCCTTTAGCTATGAAATGGAGTGCTACATTTCTTTAAAGGCTGATAATTAGTTTATATTTCATTGGATCAGACGGAGAATATAATTTATGGCCCCTTAATTTTTTTCTTCTTTAGTATACTTTAAGATGGTAAAATTGTTTTCTTTACTATGAACCTAAATAATGCTGGTCCATGCTCTTTGGCACATTCCTCTGCTTCTGTTTCCATCTTTCCCGTACCTCCTGAAGTGTGGAAAGGGCAAATCCCATTAATCAGACAGAGGAAGATAGTGTAAACCAACACTCACCTTTGCCTCTGTCCAGCTCCCTCACTACACTAGATACAGGGCAGATCTTACAGTACTCAGAACTGACCAGCAGATTTGCACCTTGTTTATTTACAAGAATTAAATGCGGCTGGGCACTGAGGCTTATGCCTGTAATCCCTACAGTTTGGGAGGCCGAGGCACGTGGATCACTTGAGTTCAGGAGTTTGTAACCAGCCTGACCAACATGGTGAAACCCCATCTCTCCAAAAATACAAAAACTAGCCAGGCGTGGTGGCACTCACATGTAATCCCAGCTACTTGGGAGGCTGAGGCAGGAGAATCAATTGCTTGAACCCGGACGGCGGAGGTTGCAGTGAGCCAAGATCATGCCACTGCACTCCAGCCTGGGTGACAGAGTGAGACTCCATCTCAAAATAAATAAATAAATAAATAAATAAATACATAAATAAATATTAAAAAAACAAAAAAGAAAAAAAATTAAATATAGGGTGTCAGAAGCAGACAAATAGACATACAAAAATCTCAGGAGACATTAAGGTCAGCAGGTTCTGAAAACAAACCAGCAAATGTATTACCCTATTTATTTTCACAAATACTACTTTTCCCCTTAATAATTAAGGGAAAGTATGGTTTTCCTTCAAAGTGTTGGGGATTTTAAAATTCAAAATTCTGATATATCAGGAGGAATCCTAAACAGTACTGATTTAGTTTGCTAGGGTTGCCATAACAAAATGCCACAGATTGAGTGGCTTAAAGAACAAAATTTTATTCTCTCACAGGTCTCCAGGCTAGCAGTGCACAAGCAAGGTGCTGGCAGAAATGTTTTTTTTCCAACACCTGTCCCCTGAGTGTGCAGATGCCTGCCTTCCTGCTGAGCCCTCACACAGCCTTTCTTCTCTGCTTGCACACCCCTAGTTTATCTTCTGAAGATGAGGCCTTATAAGGACACCAGTCTCATTGGATTTGGGCCCCACATAAACAGTCCTGTTTTACCTTCATTTTTTAAAAGACCTTATATCTTAATAGAGACACATTCTGAGGTCTTCAGGGTTAGACAGCAACATAAGAATTTGGGAAGAACACAATTCAGTTCATAACATTCTGCTCTTTGGACCCCTCAAATTGCTACACTTCTTACATGCAAAATACAATCACTCCATCCCAACAGCTCAAAAGTCTTAACCCATTTCAGCACCAACTCTAAGGCCCAAATCTCATTAAAATATCATTTAAACTAAGTGTGAGATCCAAAGTATGATTCATCCTGCTGCAGAATTTTTCTCCAGCTGTAAACCTGGGGGAGCAGACAAGCTATCTGCTTCCAAAATATAATGGCAGACAATCACCAGATAGACATTCTCCTGCCAAAAAGGAGAAATTGAGAAGAAGATGGTGTCATAGGTCCCAAGCAAGACCAAATCCTAGTATGGCAAATTTTATTAGATTTTAAGGCTCCAGACTAATTCTTTTTGGCTTCATGCTCATCCTCCAGGCCTGCTGGTAGGTATGGTGGCCTTATATTCAAGGCCCACTGAAGTGGCAGCATTACCTCCTGAGTTCCTGGGTGGTAGCCCCATCCATAGGAGTTGGGTAATGGCAGCTGGGCTGCTGAGATTAAGGGGGTAGCCTCAACCTCAGAAAATGAATTGGAGGCAGCCTTGACCCCTGAGCCTGTGTCCTCCAGGACAGTGGCCGCAGTGACAGCCCTTGCAATCTTTGAGTCACCTTTGAGTCCTTCTTCCCTTTCCTTGAATGAAAACATGTGCTTGCAGCTAGATAGCTCTATTTTCCCATCCTGCCACATCCCAGAAGTCTGACAGTCTTCCTTCCTATTGTCTTCTCTCTGTCACCTTCAGTCAAGGATGGCAGTGTGTCTCCCATTTCTCTCTATTCATAGCTTCCTGGGAGGTGGCTGATTAGATCCAGGAGCCACATCTATAATCTCTTTACCAAATAATTTTCCAGCCATACTTACTGTGTTCTCTCCAGAACCCACTTTCTACTTTTTGGCAATATGGACAGGCTGATACTTTTACAAATCATGAAGTTCTTGTTTCTTTTTGCTTGACAGTTGCTTTAATGTATCTCTTCCAATGACATTTTTCTATAAACAGTCAAAAAATCTAGGCCATAGCTTTGACAGTTTGTGTAGAATTTTCTTTGCTAAATATTCAAGTTCATCACATACAATATGCACTTTCCACAAAACACTAGAATACAATTCAGCCTCTTTTTTTTACTTTTATAACAAAGATCATGTTCCTTCAATTTCCAGTAACATGCTCCTCATCTCTGTCTGAGACCTCAAAAATCGCATTTAACATTCATTGTATTCCTACCAAAAGTCTCTTCAAGACAGTGTAAGATCTTTCTAACATGTATTTCAAAACTTGTCTAGCCTTTGCATATTACCCAATTCCAAAGCTGCTCCACATTTTTAGGTATTTGTTACAGCTGCACCACACTTCCCTGTATCAAATCTGGTTTCCTTTGCTAGGACTGCCTTAACAAAATACCATAGACTGAGTGACTTGATCAGCAGTTTATTCTCTCACAGTTCTTAAAGTTAGAGGTCCAGGATCAAGGTGTCAGCAGGGTTGGTTTTACTCTGAGGCTTCAATTTTGACTTGCAGATGGCCACCTTCTTGATATGTCCCCACAGAGTGCTTCTTCTGTGTGTTCCCATGCCCAGTTCATCTTCCATTCTTACAAGGACACGAGCCAAATTGGATTTGAACCCGCCCAAACAGCGTCATTTTAGCTTAATCACCTCTTTTAAGATCTTATCTTTAGGCCGGGTGCAGTGTCTCATGCCTGTAATCCCAGCACTTTGGGAGGCTGAGGTGGGTGGATCACAAGGGCAGGAGATTGAGGCCATCCTGGCAAAACATGGTGAAATCCCATCTCTGTTAAAAATATAAAAATTAGCTGAGTGTGATGGCACGTGCCTGTAATCCCAGCTACTCGGGAGGCTGAGCCATGAGAATCCCTTGAACCTGGGAGGTGGAGGTTGCAGTGAGCTGAGATTGCACCACTGCCCTCCAGCCTGGTGACAGAGGGAGACTCCATCTCAAATAATAATAATAATAATAATAATAATAATAATGATGATACAGATCTTATCTCTAATTCAGAGGCATTCTGAGGTGCTGCATGTTGGCACTTCAACATTTTTTTTGTTGTTTTGTTGTTTTGTTTAACCATGTGGTTGATTATAAAGAATACTGCAAAGGATACAGATTAAGAGATGTGTAGGGTGAAGTACAGGTGAAGGACCATGGAGGTTCCACACCCTCGCCAGGGGCATCACCCTCCAGGAACCTCCACGTATTCAGGTGTCTGGAAACTGGCACTTCAACATAATTGTGGTGGCAAGGCGCACAAGTCAGCCCATAGAAGATACCAAGTTAAAGATAAATATACATGTGATCAATTAATTCACCAATATTTTCTGATAGCCTATGCTCAAATCACCATAATAGTAATGTGTGTGGAGATCTAAAAGTCTGAAGACACAGTTGAGTCCAGCTTTCTCCCTCTCTCCCTGGCCCTGCTTGAATACATTGGATGGACAGCTGCATCCTTATCTCTTCTGTAAAGCATTTGACCATAATTCCAAGCAGCATCCCACATCACATGCCCTTAATGTGCTCTCTATCAAGAACTCACCCAAAGCCCAGCTCAAAAAAGTAGTATTAGTGGGAGGGAGGGTCATGGGAAGACAATGCTACTCATCTGTTCTGAATTTTAGTCTTTACATTAAGCCAGCAATTCGAAGGCAACTCCTTTACTGTGGTACATTAATCCCTCAGCTTCAATCCCTCAGCTTTTTTCAAGGGAAATTCCCTTAGCTTTTTTTTTTTTTTTTTTTTTAAAGGAGATTCCACTATATGAATTTCTCTAAGAAATTCTTCCCCATGAAATTCAACGTACTGACTTTTTGGAGGGTAGTCTATTGAGGACATTTTCCGGCAAACTGCTCTGTGTTCTTCTGTACAGGGTCTCACATACACATAAATTTATTTTCCAACTCAATGTTTAAAAAATCATTTACTTCTCACTGATTTGTAAAATCTATTTCTGTGTGTAAGAAATGTGTGATGATGATTTTTTTCTTTTATTGCCAAAATTGAATTAAAAATATTTCCATAATTTTATTTTTTGTTTTTACTAGGACAGTCTTCATTTATACTTTATAACAGATGCAGGGATTGTTATTTTTTTCCAGCTTTATTGAAGAATAATTGACAAAAATTGTATATATATGGTATACATGATGTTTTGATACAGTTATACATTATGAGATGATTACCACAATGAAGTTAACTAACATATCCATGACCTCACATAGTTTCCCTCCCTTTACTCCCCTTCCCCTTCCCCTTCCTCTTCCCCTTCCCCTTCCTCCTTCCCCCTTCCTTTCCTCTCCTCTCCTCTCCTTTCCTCTTCTCTCCTCTTGTTTCCTTCCTCTCTCTCTCACTCTTTCTTTTTCTGTGTGTGGTGAGAACACTTAAGATTTACTCTTTTGGCACATTTAAAGTATGCAGTACAGTAGTATCAACTATAGTTATCATGCCACATATTAGGTCTCCAGACCTTATTCTGCATAACTGAAACTTTGTACTCTTCGAACGACATGTCTCTACTTTCCCTACTCCCCAGCCCCTGGAAACTACCATTCTACTCTCTGCTTCTGTGAATTCAAATTTTTAGGTTCCTCATGTAAGTGAGATCATAAGGTATTTGTCTTTCTGTGTTTGGCTTTTTTCACTAGCATAATGTCCTCCAGATTCATTCATGTCATTGGAAATGGCAAGAATTACTTTTTAAAAGCTGAATAACATTTCATTATGTATTGTGTATGTGTGTGGGTGCATGGTATATATGCGTGTGTGTATATATATATGATATATGATATATATGTATGTGTATATATATGATAGTTCCATTTAAATTATTTTGTGGAACCTCCATACTGTTTTCTGTAATGACAATACCAATTTACATTCCCACCAAGAGTGTACAAGTGTTCCATTTTCTCCATGTCTTCACCAATGCTTGTTAAATTTTCCCTTTTAATTACAGCCATTCAGACAGGTCTGAGGTGATAGCTCATGTAGTTATGGTTTGCATTTTTCTGATTATTAGTGATATGGTTTGGCTCTGTGTCCCCACCCAAATTGCATCTCAAGTTGTAATCCCCGTGTGTCAAGAGAAGGACCTGGTAAGAGGTGATTGGATCATGGAGGGAGTTTCCCCTATGCTGTTGTCAAGATAGTGAGTTAGTTCTCACAATATCTAATGGTTTAAAAGTGTTTGGCAGTTCCCCCCTTTTGTTTTCTCTCCCCTGTCACCATGTAAGATGTGCCTTGCTTCCCATTTGCTTTCCCCTAAGATTGTTAGTTTCCTAAGTTCTCCCCAGCCATGAGGAACTGTGAGTCAATTAAATCTTTCTTTATAAATTATCCAGTCTCAAGTAGTTTTCTTATAGCAGTGTGAAAACAGACTAATACAATTAGTGATTTTGAATAGCTTTTCATATACTTGTTAGCCATTTGTACGTCTTCTTCAAAAAAAAGTCTATTCATTTCTTTTAAAATATTATTTATTTATTTATTGCTATTGAGTTGTTTCAGTTTCTTATGGATTTTGATGATTAACCCCTTATCAGATGTATAGTTTGCAAACATTTCCTCCCCTGTATTCCATAGGATATTTTTTCACTCTCGATTGTTGATTTTTTTTAATTTAAGCATATTTTTATTTTGATACAGTCCCTCTGGTTTATTTTTACTTTTGTTGTCTGTGCTTTTGGGGTCATGCTAAAAAAATGTTGTTCAGACTAACATCATGAAGATTTTATCCAGTGTTTTCTTCTGTTATTTTTACAGGTACAGGTCTTTTGTTTAAATTTTTAATCAATTTTTAGTTGATTTTTACATATTGCATGAGATAAGGGTCCAGTTTTATTTTTCTGCATGTGGATACACAGTTTTCTCAAACATCTTTATTGAAAAGACTGACCTTTCACCATGTTTTGTCCTTTGTACTCTTGCCAAAGGTAGTTGACTCTAAGTGCCTGGATTCATTTTGAGGTTATTTATTCTGTCCTGTTGGCCTATATGTCTGCTTTTATGATAGTACCATATTATTATGACTACTGTAGCTTTATATTTGAAATAAGGAAGTGTGATGTCTCCAGTTTTATTCTTGTTGAGGATTGATTTGACTATTCAGGGTCTTTTGTGGTTCCTTATAAATTGTAGAATCATTTTTTCCTTTTTTGTGTGAAAAATACCATTAAAATTATGATAATGATTGCATTGAACTTTGGGTAGTATGGTCATTTTAGCAATATTAACTCATTGAATCCATGAAATGGCCTATTTCTCTATTTATTTGTGTCTTTCACCATTTCGTTTATCAATGTTTTATAGTATTCAGTGTACAGGTCTTACGCTTCCATGGTTACATTTATTTCTAAGTAAATTCATTCATTTTTGTTGCTATTGTAATGAGATTGTCTTATTTATTTTTCAGACAATTCATTGTTCGTATATAGAAGCACTACTAAATTGTAAATGTTGATTTCATTTTCTGCAACTTTACCGAATTCATCTATTCTAACAGTTTTTGGCATCATCTTTAGGGTTTTCTATGTATAAGATTATGTCATCTGCAGAGACAATTTTACTTATTTTTTCCATTTTGGATGTTTTTATTTCTTTCTTTATTTTATATAATTGCTCTGGCCAGGACTTTAAGTACTATGTTGAATAGAAGTGGTCAGAATGGGCATCCTTTCCTTGTTCCTAATCTTAGAGGAAAATCTTTCAACTTTAAAGATTGAGTATGACGTTAGCTGTAGGTTAGTCATATATGACCTTTATTGTATTGAGGTACATTCCTTCTACTTAATTTGTGGAGAGTCTTTATCATGAAGCAATGTTGAATTTTGCAAATATTTTTTTCTGCATATATTTAGATGATAAAAAGGTTTTCATTCTTATTCTGCTAATGTGGTGTATCACATTTATTGATTTGTATATGTTGAACAATCCTTTTATCTCACTTGATCATGGTGTGTAATTCTCTTGATGTGCTTTTGAATTTCATTTACTAGTATTCTATCGAGGATTCTTTTACATCTGTGTTCATCAGCGATGTTGGCTGCAATTTTCTTTGCCCTTGTCTGGCTTTGATATTAGGGCAATGCTGGCCTTTTAAAATGAGTTAAGAAATGCTCCTTGCTCTTCAATTTACGGAAGTAAGAGTTTGAGAAGGATTGACACTAGTTCTTTAAATATTGCTTAGAATTCACCAGTGAAGCCACATGATGCTAGGCTTTTCTTTATTGGGTGGTTTTTGATTACTGATGCAATATTCATACTCATTATTGATCTGTTCAGATTTATTGATCATGTTCTCATTGAAAACCCCCTGAAATCAAAGAAATGAACAGACACAAGTAATGTTGTTCTTTATTTCAATGAATGTAAAATATCTTTAAATATTTTAATACATATGCATTATTTTAATGTAATACATATACATTATTTTCAAAAAAGCCTGAAGTAATAGTTATTCATAGCTGATTTGATCAAAAATGCTTCATGGGAGAGGTAATATTTGTAATAAATATGGAATGAGGCATGGAAAAATTGGCTTAAAACCTTTAATAAAATTCTGAGGATTTTTTGCCTTTTTCTGAATGACACTATTCTAAAATCTGGCAACTCCACAAATAAGATTTGAATGAGTCTTCATAATCCAATTTGTAAACTAAACTCAATTCTAATTTATAATCAAATATATAAGCTAGACTATTTTCTATTATCTGATGTGAATTTCCAAATGTGAATTTCCAAATATGCTTAAAGTCTTATAAAGGCCCTCTCACTTTGTTGGCTGGTATGCAGAGAGAGACAGTATTTTAGGCTCTCAGGATGTAATCAACAAGGGCCTTTCATGGAATTATAATCCAAGAACTACTGGACCTTACCAGGCCTTTTAGTATCCCACCTGAGAAGTCATGTAATGTCACATCAATCCTGATCTACTGGCTGCAGGAGTCAGCCCACTCAGATTCAAGAGGAGACACAAACCTTATCTCCCAATGAGAGGAATATCAGAGAATTTCAGGACCTCCTTTGAAATGATTCCATGTATATGCATTTCTTAGTTGAGAACTCTAATCTTCAAATATTTTTATTAATGTAATACAATGAAATACTTGTAATAATGTCTAATTTTTGCAAAAAAGTAGTTATTGTTCATAAGAAAATATTAATAGAATAATAATGAATTTTTTATTATTGTTTTCTTTGTTAGGCATCATTCTTTATCCTTGTCATATGTTCAATAAACAATTCTGAGCAATTTTTCTGACTAGGTAAAAAGCATTAATTTCAGATGCAATGAATTATAAGAAGTTTATATGTGTAAATACAGTCAAACGCTAATTTTGTTTTACATTTTTGATATCTCTGAAATTGAAATGAATCTTAGAATCAATGGGGTAAGATTGTTGAACTGGCAGCAGTTTTCCTTCTTAGCAATACAAAAATAATGGTACGACCAATTATCAATGATGACCTATTTTATCATCTTTGATGAAATATGATAGTTGTTACTCAAAGTTCTGGAGTAACCAGATACTCAAGATAAAATAACCACACCCTCTATTTTGAGATATTTTCTCTATAACCAGAAATGAGTCCTAAATCTTAGATACTGCTTGAATTACACTATCCAAAAAACCTGTTCACATTCATTTTTTTATAATGTGCTTATTTTTCTAATTTGATTCTAGACTTCTAAGAGAGCAGCCAACAATGCATTAACTATTTCTGTCAGCTGAAAGGCCCTTTAATTGACTTGTTCGTATTGACTGAGATCCTAGAAGGCAGCCTCTGTTAATGGTGTATCCTGATGAGAGACAAGGAATAGGTTTGCTAGCATCAGACTTGAGTGCTAATGTAGTATATCATGTTATTTCCAATCACTTAGCTTTTTCTCGTGATAGCAACAAAATGACTTCTTGAAAAATGAAGACTTGCACCATGTTATCTGAAAAAATGCATAGCTGTCTTTGACCAATATAGCTACAAGTTTTTCAATAAAAATCCTGTCTTAAATCTTAGGTAAAAAATGTGTCTTTAGGGAAACTGTATTGCAGTTATTATTAAGAGTGTTTGTATCAGTACATCTTTTAATGAGAATGGTGTTTCGTGTAGTATACAGGTGTGCGCGTGTGTGTGTGGACATGTGTACAGATATATATATATATATATCTGCAAACAGATATGTATTTATTCATTCAATTATTATTTAAAGAATTACTGAACTTATAAAATATGCTGGCATGTAATGACTACCAATCATCCCTGCCCTTAAGTAGATTACAGTCAACCTCTCATAAATTCAATTCTTCTTCTCTACCTTTTATGATGTGGAAACATAGCAACTAGTATGTTGTAAGTCTTGTGTAAACACTAGCCAATGTTTTCAGTATTTTTATTTAGAAAATAACTTTATTTTGATTTCATCTGTTTTTTGTTTTGATTTTATCTAGTTTTATAAGACACAAAGTATATTTTTAAATGGTACATTTTTGCCCAGAAACCAAAATTGCCAATTTCATATATTTTATGATTGTAGAATATCTTTCAGAATAATTAAATGACCTTTGTGGGGTATTATGGAATAGAAAATCCTCAAAGGCAAGAAATCCATAGCCTTATTTTATTTTTTGTTATATACCCTGTAAATAATCATAAACAGGAGAGTGGTTAATATTCTTCAGATATGGGGCTGTGAAATAGGAGATACAGGCATGAAATCCTATTTTTATTACTATCGTTATGCTGATGATCCTCTGGCCACTTCTTTCTAGTCTGTGTAATTGCAAAGTTCTTCATATTTTATTCATTAGAAGAGCTGCTCTGTGCCCATTCTTCTTATGTTGCTGCCTCGTGCCGTTTCCAGCACTTCCTAATGGGTGTGATCGCTGGGCTCCATCAACTTTCTGTCTATGCCTTGCTCAGACCTCTAATGAATATTAGACTTGCAGCCATCAGTCATGTTTCAAGTGCAGACATACATGAATAGAGAATTTTTGTTTGTTCATTAGCATTGTGAAAAGCAAACTCATTTTGTCTCCTTCCTGTTCTCTTTGATGTATTTGCCCACCTACTATAATGAATTTGAAGGGAAACTTGATGCATGTAGGTATTTATTTAAAAGGTTCTTGCTGGCTCTTTTCTCACCTTTTTTCACTTCTTTTTTTTTTCTTTTACCGTAAGCAGATAATGCTTATTAACCATCAACAATAAAATACTGTAGATAGGATTGTGATAAATTCTTGTCGAATCGATTGTGCTAAGGCGTTTAAAAAGGTTGCCTTTCAGGAGGGGATCAAAGGAAGGAATATGGGGAGATCAGAGGGAACAAGAAAGGTAAAAATAATTTGGGGAGAGGAGGAGGAGAAAGGGAGCAAGAAAGAAAGAAAGGAAGGAGGGAGAGAGAGACAAATGCAGAGACAGAGAGAAAAAGGAGAACCAGGAAAGAAAGAAAAAAGAAATAAGAAAGAGCAAAGGGCAATCTTGGGTAAGAAAAATCATATAGGTGTTTATGTGTAAGAATGTGTGTATGGGTGTGCATGTATTTGTGTGTGTATGTGTATATGAGTGTGTGTTTCTGGGTGTATGAGTGTGAGTGTGTTTATGAGTGTATGTGTGAGTGTGCATGTATGAGGGTGTATATGAGTGTAAGTGTGTGTATGAGTGTGAGTGTATGTGTGTGTGTGTACATGTGTGTTGAAAGGAATGCAATACTTAATTGGGTAAGACAATTCAAGAGTTTATTATATAAACACAGCATACCCTCCTTCCATTTAGGTCTCTTTGTTCATCATTTGGGTGAAAATTTATTCTTTTACTCGGAGCAAGTTTAGTTTTTCATCTTAGTATATTTTACTTAGACAAAGAAATTTTTAAAAATGTATTACAATGCAAAATAGCAGCTTGTCAGGGATCAGTGTTATAGCTTTTTTGAGTGCACTGCTGGAAATCTGATTCTTTTTTGTTTTATAATGAGTGAGCTCAAGATAAAATGTTGATAGAGACTAGATAATTTTGAAGAGAAAATACATAATTGAGTCTCAGTTGCTCAACTTATTTTATTCCATACTTCTTGTTTCTTTTCAGCAACCAGGTTCTCTTAGAAAATTTTAATGGATCAATAAAATTCTGTCATATTCCTATGGTATGAATATTTTTATTCCTCCAAAATTCATACATTGAAACGTAATCACCAGTGTGATGGCATAAGAAGGTGGAGCCTTTGGTGAGGGATCAGACCATGAGGATAAAGTTCTCACGCATAGGATTAATGCCCTTAGAAAACAGGCCCAAGGGAGACCCTAAGCCCTTCTACCTCGCAAGGACACATCAACAAGGCAGTTTCCCTGATCCAGAAAGTGAGCTCCCGGTAGACATGGGAATTGCCTTCATTTTGGACTTCCCAGCATCCAGAATTGTAAGACATCAATTTCTGTTGTTTATAAGCTATCCAGTTTATGGAATTTTGTTATAGCCGGCCAAATAGACCAAAATGCATACCAAATTTATTTTTCATAAGAAAAATGCACTGAATTTCACATTTTCAACTAAAGAGTACTTATTTCAAACTTTAATTTATAGTAAATGTGTATTAATTAGTTGATGAAGCTATAGAAAATACCGAGTTCCTTACATAAGAGTTCTCACCCTTTGTGACATGTTTTCAAACACAAAAATTCCATAAAATATGCCATCACCATGAGGGATTTCCACTTTGATTAAAAGACTCAGAATATAAACAACAGTGGATTAGTTGTTGTCTTGATAAATGAAACAGTGACTTGGAGGTGGGTCTATTCACATGAATAATTGCAATGGCATTTTGATTAGCAATGCAACATTTACTCCCTGTTCACTTTATTTAACACAAAATTATTGATTTATTGAACACCTTATTTAAGAAAAGATTAGGAGCTTTTGGGGGAAATGTTAATACCTCCATGTGTATATTCTAAACACACACACACACACATAGCACAGTAGGTAATAAATATTCTTCAAACTTTGTAAAGAAGTATCTGGAAAATGGAATATTATACATATAATTAGTCTTGATATTGTATAAAGAAATTGCAATTTGTTAAGGAATTTAAGAGAAATAGCCCGATATAAGATAGTATGCAGTCAGTCAATAATTTTCATTTTTTTTCAAAGTGCTATACAATTGAGAAGAGGAAATGCTTTCAAATAAAATTGTTAGAGAAGACTTCTTATGGGAAAAAGCATTTAAAAAGGGCTTTGAAAAAGAAGGGAAGTAGAATTTACATATGTCAAAATGTGGAAGGGTGGAAGTCAACTATTCCTGCAGGAAAGAATTATGTTAGCAGAAATTCAAACTAAACGAACAAGATTTTTTTTTTAATAAAAAAGAGTAACAACCCAATTTGATTGAGGAAGAACATCTGTCTAGGAAAGTAGACCAATATGAAAAGTAGCTTGGGGGCTAGGGAGTAGAGGTATTGAAGAGCAGATTGCTAGTTTTTTGTTTCTTTAAATTCATTTGCAAATGAGATACTATTGAATGTTTTGCTGGCAGAAAGCATTGTAATCGAATAGTTAGTTTAAGAAAACTAGTTGAGTGCATGTGTGCAGAGTAGATTGCAGTGATGTGCAGGCAGGACACAGTGAGCCCACACTGCAGATTTGGAAAGAAATCTGCAAAGAAAGCTTTGATGGGGGAGAGTGTTAATACGACATGCACAGGCTTTGCTGTCTTGATAGTTAAGAGACTAGTGTTTGTTGAATAGAGTATTAAACTTCTCAACCTAAGGCTGCAAAAAATGGGAAAACATGTGTGAAGCCTGAGTAGGAAGAAGGACACACCACATAGCAATGTGCTACTCGTTTGAGGTACTCATGGAGCAGCTCTCCATCAAACAGCTCAGAAAAGCATGCAGAGCTGGAGAACCAAGACTTTTTAGGCATTTGTGTATAAGCAATAGATAAAATATCTATGACAAAGGACAGAGAAAAACACCCCACATCTCCAAAGTCCTGGTCTGCTGAAGGGTGGTGGGATGGGAGGAAGGCTGGTAAACCCCGCTACATGGAGACACAAATGAACACAGAGAGAGAGAGAGAGAATGAAGAGAGGAAAAATGTTATCATCTTCCCATGGAAACAAATGAAAAGTGAGCATGAGAGAACGTTTGACACAGGAATTGGGACCTAGTGACTTTGTGTGTGTGTGTGAAGCAGGGTAAACAAAAATCACAAGAAATCTAACTGAACCTCACTGATATTTTCAAATGATGGAACAGAGTTTGCTGCAGAAATGAAGCAAAAGGGAATGGGAATGGGGGCTAGCGAAGAAAGAGTAACTGTGGGAGATGTTCTTTTGGGACTCTTGTAGCAAATTTGTGAGAAAAGTAGCATCATCACATGCACACTAGATTTATAGTTGACCAAGACAAAAGCAAAGCAACTGCCTGTTTTTAATTCTAATAAGAATAACCAGAAATTTGGTGACCTTCTCTCATTTCCAAGTTAACCTTTATTTTTTCTCTGTATTTTATTTGTCTCCACTTATCATCCTACCTTTCTTTAGATGGATCTGCTGTAACCTAACGCATGCGATTTGGTAAGAGTAAAACCTAAAACTAAGTAGCTCATTAGTGTTTAGCAATCCGTGGTGTCATCGAACAAGAATTCCTCATAAAAGAGAGGGGATAGAGGCCTGAAAATTTTAAATAAAGTTCAAACCTTGTAATTAGTGATTCTAAAATTTAGGTGTGTAAACTTGAGTAAAGTTTTAGTGTCACCTGATAAGTGTGAAGTAAATGAAGAATCTTGGGCTGTACTCTCCAAGTGTCTGGGAAGTTTTCAAAAACCCATATCCTGGGTAAAATGCATTAATGTATGGCTGTGTGATATCCATTTTAATGTTGTTGACAGCTTTGGGCAGAGAATTCTAGCTTTCCCCTCTCTATATATGTACCCCCTTTCCTCCACAATAATTAATTTTTAGTTGAATCAATGACTGCCCATCCAAAAAACAAACAAACAAACAAATAAAACATGTCCGTAAGACATCCCAGATCATTCTGATTCAAGTGGCCAGAGGCTATACTTTGAGAGATGCTGATATAAGACTTCTAAGGAAAAATTTCAGCTGATTCCCAGTTACATGATTAGCCTATCACTCCTAGGTAGCTACTGAGAAAAAATATAGAGGTTTAGGCCAATTAGACTTCATAGAAACCATGATACTTATTAGAACAATTATTTCTACAAGACTTTTTTTTTTTTGCTTTTCTGTTAATTTGTTTTTTAGATAAATCAATAGATAGACTAATACAGTTGGAAAGACAATATATTTGGGAATATCCCCAAGAGGGTTGAGGATACATACTCAATAATGATCTGTAGTTTTACCAATGTAATGATTATTTGATTTATACTATTTTAATATTGATTCAAGAACAAGTGCTGTGAAAATATATAGTACTCTTTTATTCCCTTCTCTAATAGGACCAGGTTTCACATAATATGTAAAAATATTGGGATTTGGAGCCATAAGATCTAAATTCAAGATCCTTTTTATTTTCTGTGTGATTTTGGGGAATTTGCTAATCCATTGTTAGCTACCATTTTTTATCTGTAAGATGAGAATGAGTATCTTCACAGCTTTGTTGAGAGGGTTGAATGAGTTATGTGATGTGAACCTCGTTTCGAATGTTAGTGTTACGGATATCCAACTTTCCTCACTGGTTTGTAAACTGAAATGGCAGGTGTATTCATAAAATAAATGACTTTATGCTGGGCACGGTGGCTCACGCCTGTAATCACAGCACTTTGGGAGGCTGAGGCGGGCAGATCACCTGAGGTCAGGAGTTCGATACCACCCTGGCCAACATGGTGAAACTCTGTCTCTACAAAAATACAAAAATTAGCTGGGCATGATGACGGGTGCCTGTAATCCCAGCTATTCGAGAGACTGAGGTGGGAGAATCACTAGAACCAGGGAGGTGGAGGTTGCAGTGAGCAGAGATCACGCCATTGCACTCCAGACTGTGCAACAGAGAAAGACTCTGTCTAAACAAAAGGAAACAAAACAAAACAAAACAAAAAATGACTTTAGATTTTTCCCCTGACACTGTACTCTCCACTAAATAGCCATTTTTCTTCCTTTTGCTTTCCACATATTGCTTAATATTGTACGTCAAATTTATTTCATTCTAAATTGAATTAAAAATAATGTTTAACATTTTCTTTCCCTTATCCTTTCATTGTGAAGAACTTGATGGCAGGATTCATAAGTGTTTTGCCTTTTATACTAACCAGGTTCAATCAGACAAGAGTCTTGACCATTGCAGATGTTTTATATCGGTTTGTTTAATCCATGAATGAACTGATATGTGAAAACCTTACTGTATGGTGGTCTCATTCTATGCCACACTTATAGGAAGCATTTATTCAAAGGCTTAATAGATGTCTCTTTTTGGAGATGTGACTAAAATGGAAAAAAAGCACTTGATTTCTTCAATGATAACCTAAAATGGCAAAGATGAATGCACCTATATAGAAGCTAAAGGCATCATAATCATATATATTTCTGCAAAACACATTTTTTAATGTCATCTATAGAAAATCTTTCTGGGTTGTTTCTTTTTTTTGGCATTTGGTCATTTGTTCATTCAGCAAATATGTAGTTAGTTCTTAGTGCAAGCAAGGCACCATTCTCTATGTTGGATATACAGTCATGAACAAGCCATAAAATGCCCTTTTCCTAATTCCAATGGGGAATACATTATACAAACAAAGAAAAATAAACAAAAATAATGATTTCAGGTTGTAGTCAGTACTCTTAAGAACAATAGGCTGGGAGCAGTGGCTCACACCTGTAATCTCAGTACTTTGGGAGGCTGAGGCAGGTAGATCATGAGGTCAGGAGTTTGAGACCAGCCTGACCAACATAGAGAAACCCTATCTCTTCTAAAAATACAAAAATTAGCCAGACGTGATTGTATGCTCTTGTAATCCCAACTACTCAGGAGGCTGAGGCAGGAGAATTGCTTGAACCTGGGAGGCGGAGGTTGCAGTGAGCTGAGATCACAATAATGCACTCCAGCCTGGGCGACAGAGCGAGACTCCATCTCAAAAAAAAAAAAAAAATTGGGAACGATAGCGTGATGTTGGAGTGCTTTGGATAGGGTTAACTGGAAATAATTAAATGGTTAATTTCAGGACCCAGTGAAAGACATCAGCCTCTATGAAGACCCATGGGAGGACGGGTTCAGGCAGAGAGCAGCAAGCATCAAAGAGCATGTGCGAGGGCTGGCAAGGAGGCCAGTACAGCTGGAGGGCAGGGCACAGGCTGGATTGTGGAATAAGACGTAAGGCTGAGAAATCTGCAGGACCACATGCACAGGGTTTCATGGGCCATGGCGAGAAGGTGGGATTTGTTTCTTGTTGCAATAGGGAACTATTGGGAAATTTCAATCAGAGGTAAATCAAGTGATCCTTACTTTAAAAGTCCCTTTTGGATGCTACAAAAATAACTTTTGGAGGATGGAACAAAAATGGAGGCAAGCATTTTACTTTTGAGTCTATTGTAATTACCCACGGAAGAGATCGTTATGGCTGTGGCTAGGGTCTGTCGTCGACTAGCTGAGTTACTAGCAGGTAATTTTACCTCTATCTATGCCTTTGTTTTCTCATCTGCAAAGGGGAAATAAAGGTATTTACCTCATAGTGTTGTTGTGGAGAGTAAATAAGCTAGAACATTAAAAAAAAGCATGAATCTGCTTGGAATATTTTAAATGCTCAATTAATTCTGGATGTTTTTATTAGTATCATGAGTCTAAATATACACAATGGCTTTAGTAGCCAGATTTATTGCAATTCTTAGTTTCTAGATTGTGTGTACATATCAGATATTTTACTTTTCCAACTCTGCTTTTCATTCATTATTTTTTTTACTGTGTGAATCGGTATAAGTTAAACTATGCTGAGGTCATGAACATGCCCCACACTAAATCTCTGAGGCTTAACACAATAGAGGTTTCTTTATTACATCACAGCTTGATGAAGAGTTGAGAGTCCTCCCTCTTTCTTTTCACTCTGCATTTGAAAACTAATGCTTTTGTCGTATCAGGGAAATTGTGTAGTAAACTGAAGATCTTACTCCAATGCTGAGTTGTTCCTTTATTGTTATCAGTTCCTAAAGATTTATAAGAGTGTCTCAAAATGTTCATTTTTATCTGTAAGTCTCGTGTTATTTCATGATGTTTCCAGCACATTGGAAAGTATCAAGGTCTGCCGGGCAAGGTGGCTCACACCTGTAATCTCAGCACTTTGGGAGGTTGAGGCAGGCAGATCAACTGAGGTCAGGAGTTCAAGACCAGGCTGGCCAACATGGTGAAACCCCGTCCTACTAAAAATAAAAAATTAGCCGGGTGTGGCGGCACACGCCTGTAGTCCCAGCTACTCTAGAGGCTGTGGCAGGAGAATCCCTTGAACCTGGCAGGCAGAGGTTGCAGTGAGCCGAGATTATGCCACTGTACTCTAGCCTGGGAGACAGAGTGAGACTCCATCAAAAAAAAAAAAAGAAAGAAAGAAAGAAAAAAGAAAGTATCAAGGTCTGGGAGTCTTTGTGAAGGTGGATGTTCAGGACAGGAGCTATGCAGGTTCTCAGATGTCTGGAGCCTGTAGCCCACATTTTGCTCAGTCATCGTGTTACTCTGTCATTTAACCTTACTGGGATCCTTCAATGAGGCACTTAGCAAAAAATTGTACAATAAACAAAAGTATTTTTATATTCTCCTACAAAAACTCACACAATGCCCAAAGAATCATTTAAGTTAATCACGTTGTCCATCTCTTTGTCTAACCATGAAGGATCCCCATAGTCCATTCTAGAGAGCTTTGCCTAGTCCAGCTTGAAATGATCCCATCAAAATGACTTTTATCATTTGTTTTGAGAGGCGGTACCATTAATCTTTTCTGTTTCCCCCTCTCTCTTTCTGGCTCACTTCAATTCAACAGGCAGGGAGAAGAGAACATTGAACAACATTATAAAAATGTTAATTCCTAATGTCACGGACTAGCCCTTAATCACACTATTAGACATATGTTCTGAATTAACGATCTTGACCAGCAAGCAGGAAGACGAAGATTGACTTTGATGAGTGCCTGCCATTATTTTCAAAGATGGATGAAGTTGTTTTTCTTTCTGACTAAATGTTTTCTCAGAAACGGTATTCTATTTAGAAAGAAAGAGCATATAAAACACTTTCTTTTGTTGGCAGAGTCTTCTTTTCTAAATCAGCATTTTGATGGTGTGTGTTTTGTTCATATAGTGAGACATGTGCTGCAATCACTGGTAATCTCTTGGCCTTATAACTTTGGTGGCCTCGTTCTCTAGATTTATTTTTTAAGCCCCCAGCGCTTAACTGCAAGCAATGAAATAAAGCATGTTTAGTATGTACAGAAATCTCATTATCCCAAACAGTCATTTCCTAAAGACGACTGCGGTGAAAATCAGATCTCCTTTTCTTTGTGATCTTTACCTGCACAAATTCTTTCTCCACGGCACACTTTGTCGAAGTCCTCCTCAACACCAAGTCTCTGAGCCTCTGCTCAAATGCCATCATTTGCATAAAACTGTTCCCACGACCCCTGGTGAGAAGTCATATTTTCTTACTCTGGGCTTTTCTAGAATTTTATTAACTGCTCTCTTTGGCACTGATCTCACTCTGACTTCCATTACTCTTAGCTGTGTGCGGGACCTCCTTCCTATAAATGTTATGAGCTCTTTTAGGGTAGCAAAAGTTCATTAAAGTTTATATCACTCACGTATTACACCATGACCTTTCACAGGATACAGTTAAACCATTGAATATAATATATGCAATTCACATCATTACATTTAATTATATAATTTTATGAATTATATATTTAATTTATATATAAATTAGTAATTTTATACAATATGAATATAATATTTAATTTACATATAATTATATATGTGTGTATACACATGCACATACACACACACAAAACTTGCAACTTTGCATCATTCTATGGGCAGAGGCTATGAGAAAACTGTACAAGATCTGGTTTCATTAGGTTACAGTTAAGTGACCAGTTGTGAGAATAGTTTCTTCAAAGTTCTATGAAGAGTTTTTAACTGAATGCATGGGTAAGTGGCATCGAGACTTAAAAAGATGAGGCAGGACCATTACTATCATGGAAAACTGCTATCTGCATTGCAGTGACAGCCAAGCACCGTGTTTGAAGGGGACAAAGGCATGGAAGTCAGGTTACACTGCCAATCATTGGGGCTGGGTTGGCACAGACTCCAGGTGAACCCAGATTGGGTTTATATAAATCACATGTGGGACGGAAGAAGGGCAGATGGGAAAGACACTAGCGGTTTCTAACCATATTGCAAACACCTTGAAATTAGAGCCATCATTGATCTTTCTATGTACTTCTTTATAACCCCTACAGAATTTATTTTCACGTGATTTATACCTAATTTGTATTTTATCAGTTATTATTGCAAAAATGCTATATAACCAGTTGCCAAAGCTCAGTGACATACAACATGCAGTCCTTATTCTCACACTCACTCATCTGTGCATCCACTGGGTAACTGTGCTTCCTGAGTTACATTCTGGGGCCGTGGCTGGAGAGGTCATGACCTGCTGGGGCATGTTCCCAGGGTCATGTCAAGGAAGCTCTGGAAGGGCAGGTGGAAACATGCATGCCTCTTGAGGTCTACACTGGAACTGAACCATCATCATTTCTGCACACATTCCATGGAGCTACACAAGTAGCAAGGCCAAGCCTCACATCAAGTGGGGCAGTGGGTTTACTCCACCCCTAAACCCACTGCCACATGTATTTGCTCATCAGTGCAGCAAATTTCTTTTACTCCTGCAACTTCAAACATTGTATGAATAAAAGAAATGAGAACTAAAACTCTTCTTGTTGGCATACTGAGTTTGCCAGAATCTAAGGCTATGAGAATACATTACATCTAAACTTAGAAAAATGTAAAGAGAAACAATAACCACAAAGGCAACAACAGCTCAACAGAGCACAGTCTGTATACATCTATGGAACTTTCTAGCTCCATTCTGATATTGTCTGGAATTTTGCTTGGACTGTTCATAGCAACGGGAAGAGGCCAGATTCTCTTGGCCGTAGCTGCAGTTATCACCAGGAAGCTGTTGTGTTTACTGTTTCCCAGTTGTCAAAACTTTAATTGAAACAATTGCAAGATTACAGAGAGATCTCCAGTTTGAATTATGTTCAACAGCTCCCAATGATTAAGCCATACAATTGTGCAACTAACCTGTTTGAATTCTCTTCAATTTCTTACAATATAAAAATCATCATTTGAACTAATCATGTACAAATTAGATTTGTGTTTAGGTCTTCTATAAAACATATATATTTTCTCTGTCTTTGAACCATTTCTCTGCATATAATATATACATATTCTACTTGAGGAAACTTTATGGTCAGGATAGTGTGGTTATTCACTCATTAGCAAAATCCCTAGACTTGATCTGCTGGAATGATTTAAATTCAAGTATAGGAGTCTATATAGGCTGAAATCTCTGATTTAACAAATGAAGATGCAATATTGTTTCCCGCTTTTACTTCCTCTCCCTCCTCCTCCTTATTCTCTCTCTTTCTTTCTCTCACACATACATTCCCTCCCCAAACTTACACTCTCTTTATAAGACATTCTAGAATATGCAACTTTATTTTTTATTTCTGTCTTTTTGTGGCTCAATTGAGATAATTCTTTTCCAAGTTTATGATGCATTATCCTGTTTAGGATAATTAGAAAAATAGAAACCTGCAGCTGGCAATCTAAATTGGAGGTAAAACACACCTAGAAATTTCTGCAGTGGAGAAACAGTGAAGATATTTGGACTTTACATCTACACTGATTAAGAGGGGAAGAGGCTCACTGTGTTGAAATGACTGGGGGAAGTTCACTGGCAAGGAGTTTTATAGGCAGACCTAAGACAACATACCCTTATGCAGTCTGCTCTGCCAAATGGGTTAAATAGTAGTTTTGCAAACTTTTTTCTTTTAATTTGTTTGTCAAATACTCTGCTTTAAAATTGGGGAAGAATTTAGGTCCATTAAAACACTTTGAGTAAAAACTCAGAAAGACACTGAACATTTGAAAAGAAGACAGCTACAGGGCTTAAACTGTGCCTCTCAGTTTGCATGTTGTCTGCAACAAAGCAAAACACACTCATGGTTATCCCCTTGAAACTTGGGGTAGGGAGATCCTGAGAAGGTTCCAGCACTCAATGCTGACATTGCGTTGTGCTATAGTATTATTATTGTGTGGCAGTGTGTAAGATCACCTTCTGTGATCACTTACTGTGTACACTCTAAAACAAATACTTTCTTAGGAGGATTTATAGATATAGATATATATTAAACATATTACACGCACAGACACACACACACACACACACACACACATATATATATATATGTAATTTGAGTTTTCCCATACCTTGTTTATATGCATGAGGTCATATGACAATAATATTTGCATGGAAGTAATGTAAACTCATGCAATTCCTCAGTCGTATTTTTTTTATACCCTGCTTACAGAGGACCTTGACAACTCCCTAAGAGCTTTGTGGCTGCTACTGGGAGTTCCTGGAGGAGTCTCCCATCAGGTCCCAGTCCTCTTGTTTTCTTAATCTTGGCTGTTTTGTGGAAGTCCTTGCGTTGCATGGCTGCTGAGGCTGTGTATGAAAACTCTGGTTTCCTAGCCAAGGAGCTGGCCTCACAAATCCCCAGAGCCCCAGGCCCCGGAAGCACAGTGCATAACGCAGACCTCTACCGCGGAGAGATATATATGTCACATGCAGGCAGCTGGGGGATAGACAGAGTTTTTCCCCATTTGCTTCTTGTCAAAGTGAAGTGCCTTCCTGGTTTTCAAAGCAAAATTGTGGAACCTCCTTAAGCCCTGCTCACCAGATTTCATAGAGTTCTTTGTTTATCAGAAGCATCAAAACAGGTTTATATTTGGTTTAATAACCCCATTTGGTGGAAGAAATAGAGATTTCAGAGATTTAAAATATTGATCCATTAAGAGATACTAAGTTTCTGCTTAGCTTTTGAATAACTCTTCTGTATTAGGGGAAAATGTGTTGTGAGTCCCGCCTCCACAGCAAAGAAGTCAGAATTTAAATCCCGAATCTCGTTTCTAGCTGGGACCCAAGTATGCAACTTGTGCTTTACCCATCAGCCCCTCCTGTGAGATGCTCTGATGGGAAGATAGCCCCAGGAAGCAGGCTCTATGTGAACCTTCTTTTTTGCAGACACAGGGTCTGCAGAAACTCATCTTTGGGGAGACAGGGGTTGCAGCTCAAGATACTTGCAGGGAGGTCATGGTGGTGCAGACAGCATGTCGACTGAATCCGTCTCTAGGCGTTCAGCATTCGGGGGCAGCCAGCTGGGCAGGGTTTTATATTTATGATTCTGTGGTAGTCCAGCATCTTCATAATAATACATTTTGGCTTGGAACAGGCAGAGTGAATTCTTAGCTTCTATTCAAGAACCTGATCAATTAAGTTCTATTTTATCTGTTTTATGCTACCCATTTTTTTTCCTGTTAAACCTTCCTATTGGAACATTTGCAACATTTTGCAAAGTGCAGTTTAAAAACCTAGCCATAGATTCTAAAAAAATGCCCTGATTTGTTCTTTATGTTGTTCATTTACTTTGTCTGCAATGAGCTTTTCCAGATGGCCACAGGTGACTTATCCGTGGCCTATGAGTTTTGTTCAGGATGTCTTTTCATCAAAGTCTTTCCTGATTGGTATGGTTTAAAATTGTAACACACCCTTCTTCATAGCACACTTGCTGTCCTTAGCCTGTTTTATATTTTCCATATATGATAGGGTTTGGCTGTGTCCCCACCCAAATCTCATCCTGAATTGTAGCTCCCATGATTCCCATGTGTTGTGGGAGGGACCAGGTGGGAGATAATTGAATCATGGGTGCAATTTGCCCCATTCTGTTCTCGTGGTAGTGAATAAGTCTTACAAGATCTGATGATTTTATAAGGGGTTTACCCTTTCACTTGGCACTCAGTTCTCTCTTATCCATGTAAGACATGTCTTTTGCCTTCCACCATGACGGTGAGGCCTCTCCAGTCAGATGGAATTGTGAGTCCATTAATCCTCTTTTTCTTTATAAATTACCCAGTCTTAGGTGTGTTTTTATCAGCAGCATGAAAATGCACTAATACAACATACCTCTTATCCCTTTCTAAATACTAAATTATATAAGCATTTTTATTGTCATTTCCTATTAATTACCATGTAACGAGCAGGAGGGCATGTTTTGTTTGTTTCTTTATTTTGGTATGTTTTCTTACGTGATTTATTCCAAGTGCCTAGAAACTTGTCTGAAATAGTATGAATCCTTAGTAAATATTTGTTGAATGAATTCATAGTTTGTAAATAAAATATTTGTAATCATGCTTTGTTCCTTCACTTTTGAAAGAAACTCCTGTCAGGAAAGAAAAAGTTCAATTTCTGCAATGGCCAAAATTTACAGCCTAGGTTGTGTTTTTTCTTCCTGACTACATGGTTAGCATCAAGACTTGAGGCGAGTCAAACCCCTGTTTGATCCTCAGTATCTTCATTTGCTATAATCTCTCCAGTACTGCACAGAGACCAAGACACAAAGATGGGACATCTAAAGGGAAAATCTAGCAATAATCCTCCGGTTTTCATATATAGATACATAATTTTTTGTTCTCTCTCTTTTTCTTCTTGCTTGTTGAGAGTCATTTGGTTAAAACGTGTTTCAACTTTTAAACTTCTCAACCTTTAAGCCAGACATTAGGAGGGAGGCACTAAGAGGCCAAAGCGGTGCAAGATGTTGATGGATTCAAAACGGAATTAAGAGTTGGGCTGCTAATGGAACTTCTAGGGAGTAAAAACACCAAATAAGAATTGGTAAATCTACTAGAAGCAACACATCCACCAGAAGTTGCACACAAACTGGCTGTTCAGAGCTTATACCATTAGTAACAATGCAATTAATGTGCTTATAGCCTTTCGGGTAGTTCATAAACAAAGTATCTCTTGCTCATTGGATTTGACTGTGTAGTCTGGATTCTAGAGTCTGAGAGTAGAGGCCTGGGCTGTTGAAAGGAGGGAGAGTTTGAGAGATTTCTTTCCATTCTTGGGCCCAAGGACAACACTGACAAATGTATTCAAATACAAAATGCTTCACCCTCATGCTGGCTGGACTCATGCTGTGATGACCCACCTAAGCTTACTCCATTCCTGAATGTGCTCCATGCTCCAAATAAGCCTGCCAGTCCTCTAGGCCAGGTGTGCTTGGCTCACCCGAGCAGGGATTTAGGAAGAAAACAATTCATGTGTAGTATTTTACAGTGATTTACAGTTATTTGAAACTAAAGAAAATGAATTCATATTGTTTATAACTATTCTTTAAAAGAACACACTGGTTAACAGACATCTCCAATTGAAACTCTAGCTTTAAAGATGACATAGGAATTGAACTTACTTTAGGCAGAGTGTGGACTGCCATGTTGGGATGACTGTAGTCCTCCAGGCCCTCTGCTTCATGAATCAGCACCCCTAAAATGCTGATGATTTTCAAAGTACCTTCTGTATGTTTTTCTCATGACCTTCAGATTAATGAAAGCTTTAGGTTGCCTGGTCTCTTCCTACTTACCTCAGTGGCTTTCATGGGGATGATAGCCTGGAGGCAAGTAAGAGAAAGTTGTTGCTCTTTGTATATAGAGATTAATTGTGATTTTTATGTTTGTACATAAGAATATGCATGTAAACTAGAATCTTGATTAGGCAAAATTTCAACCTTGTAACATCCTCAGACAATTGCTATTATTCACTGTAAAATTGCAAATGATATAAAGTGGCCCTTAATAAATATTTCTTTCATTTTTTAAATAAGCACATGTTAAGCACCTGTTGTATATCAATCACAAATAAGACAATTACCAAAGGGAGCCCAGGCCTCACATCCTTCAGCCTAATGATGTATAACACTTTCATCTGCCTGTCTTGTTTTGGATGCAGTATCACTTTAAGAATGATAATTCTAAGCTACTGAAATATTCTCAATCATAAAAAATCCAACAGATTTCACTAAACTACATTTTGTAAAGAAAAAAATTGAGAAGGACAAGACTCAAAAATGGTTTCCAGTTAGCTATAAAGACTGGAAATCACAGGTTGCATACCACCTTTATGTGGGTTAAATATAACCTTCACAAGGGTTTGTTTGGTCCACATATTATCAGCTTTAACAGTGCTTTTATTTTTTTTCCCCCAAATCTTTGAGCTTAGAACTAATGATGTCTTTTTAAAAAACAAAATCAGAGGATATGGCAACTGCAGGGCTACTATTATCCTGAGAGAAATCAATGGGAGGCCATCAGAACCAGCCCTCTTACACAGCCAACCTCTTCTTCACCTGAGTCTTTAACTTCCTCATTGTCTACCCAGAACTGAGGACAGAGGTCAGGCTAATCTTGGCCCTAGTGCTCTCATTTTCTCTTTGGTAGTTTTAAAAGAAAGTTATTATTTTTTGAAATTCATATATTAAAATATTTTGGTCTAAATTCTGACCTAACTTACTCAATCGTGCCTGATCTGGTAAGAATTCAAGTTTACGACACTGCCTCTCAGCATTGCCATTCATCAATATTTGACTATACAAACATTTTGATGAAAATGTCGTTTATATGTGTACATATATGGGCACATATAGATGTAGAAATACAAATTTAAATATATAGAAAGAGTGAGAAAGAGAGACAGAGATGGAAAAAGAAGGAACAAAAAAATGAGATAACGAAACAAAGAAATGAAGAAAGCAAGCAAAGGGAAGGGGGGATGTGAGGGAGGGAAGAAGACAGGAAGGGAAGGAGATTATCTATATACATCTATTCTCCAAGATATTTTCAGCTCAGTTTCTGTGCCATCCCCTGTGTTACTTCAGGCTTGCCCTACCCTGACTGGTGGAATATCTTGTCTTCCAGATGGAACACCATTTACCTGGTGGATTGGGCGGTCCAATGAAAGGCACCCTTACTGGGGAGGTTCCCCTCCTGGGGTCCAGCAGTGTGAGTGTGGCCTAGACGAGAGCTGCCTGGACATTCAGCACTTTTGCAATTGCGACGCTGACAAGGATGAATGGTAATGAGAATCTCCATCTTTCTGCAATTGTAGAGAAAGCACATTAATTGATGCATAAAATTCCCCAAGACAGAAGGACATGGATGAGAAATTCAATACAAACTGGAGCTCCCCCGATGGTGACTTTTGTTTTTTAACCTTAAAAATGGTAAATTCTAGTGTTTTCAGTATGACAACTTATGTTTGGTACATATAAGCATGTGGTCATACCATCAGCTGCTGCTTCTTCTTTTTTTTTTTTTTTTTTTTTTTTGAGACAGAGTCTCACTCTGTCACCAGGCTGGAGTGCAGTGTCGCGATCTTGGCTCACTGCAACCTCCGCCTGCCAGGTTCAAGCAATTTTCCTGCCTCAGCCTCCTGAGTAGCTGGGAGCAAAAGCACATGCCACCACTCCTAACTCTTCTTTTTTTTTTTTTTTTTTTTTTTTTTTTTAGTTGAGACAAGAGTTTCACCATGTTGGCCAGGATGGTCTTGATATCTTGACCTCGTGATCCACCTGCCTCGGCTTCCCAAAGTGCTGGGATTACAGGCATGAGCCACCGCACTTGGCCCCCACCAGCTTCTTATATTCAGAACTTCCCATTTCAAACAAGGAATGGCATGCAATATTGAGCTTTGCGATTGAGTCAGGGTATTTATGATATGTGGACTATATGTTTTGGGGGGAGAGAGTGAGAGAGATAGGGATGTGGGGTTATATAGGCTGTTTCTTCATGCTCCCATTGATGTTTCAGTCACCAGCCTTCCCTTTTGCTACCAATAAACACATAGCAAAGGAAATGTATATTTATTAAGCATCTATTAAATTTCATATAATTATCTTACTTTTGCTTCTTAATGTTGAGTAGTATCTATTGCAGAGATGTTAAATAATTTTCCCAGTGTCAAACATGTCTGTCAAGTGATAGATACAGAATCAGAAATCAGCCATTTCTGCAGCCAGAGTTTCTTAGTCTCCTACACCAACTTACTTCTGTAAAATCAATTTAGTTTGAAGCTTCCATGCCCATTACATTTACTCTTCTTTTATCCTCCAGGTGAACTGCTAGTTTTTTACTGTATTGATTGTGAAAATATGTACAGATCATTTCCAAATATACTTTTGTTTTGACTGAATTTAAAGCATTCTTTGGTTTTGGCTTAGCAATTTTGCTTACTTCATCAAATGCTACTTAATTTTAATTAAAAATTCTTATGTTAAGCTAGTCTCAATCCCCAAATTTCCCTTTAGTGTTTTTACTCACTCCTCAAACTGTTAACAGCAAGGACTATTTCACATAAAATATAAAGTTAAGTCAAAATCTCAGTTCAGCAAGGAAAGGACCAGGCATCTGTCTTCATTGGGTCCTAGGAGATGTGTATTATCACTTCAGAACACCCTAGGGCTGCTTGGGCACCAGGGCAGGTTACCCGAGTGCCTTCTCCTAAACTCAAGCTGGCCGAAGTTATAGGGTAATGAATTTTGCCTCTTCATGTGGGTAAAATCAGATATAGTTAACCACAGGTAGAATGGGCTTCTGCATTCTGTGAGCCCCCACTTTATCCTGCAGCGAATTCTATCTCATTATTGCGGATGCCTACAAACCAACTATGATTTGTAGCCTGGGTGGAGGCCATGTCTCTTTAAACATTATACCTCTCAAGACCTACAGAAGACATTCAGTGGTAATTAGTTGAACAGATTAATTTAGACAATCTTTAAAGAAGAGAATTATCGCAAGATGGCACCTATGAGCTTGGGAGGTGTGTTGAAGTGTTAGATGGTTGTGCTGCCGTAAAACATATTCAAACATCTGCTCCCAATCGCTTGGATTCACTCATTCCTTTGATTTATAGGTTTACTCTCACAGTGCATATTAGACACTATGTGTATAGTCAAAGAAACAGATATAGGAGCTAGAATAGGTAGAAGTGCTTCCCCCTAGTTACTCTTGACTCTGACCCCTCCCCTCCCCTCCCTCCTCCTTCCCTCTCTCCGTCCTTCCCTCTCTCCCTTCCTTCCTTCCTTCCTTCCTTCTTTCCTTCCTTCCTTTCTCTCTCTCTCTTTCTTTCTTCCTTAGACGGAGTCTTGCTCTGTCGCCCAGGCTGGGGTGCAATGATG
Source organism: Homo sapiens (assembly GCF_000001405.40). Taxonomy (NCBI): domain Eukaryota; kingdom Metazoa; phylum Chordata; class Mammalia; order Primates; family Hominidae; genus Homo; species Homo sapiens. The sequence goes on from NC_000002.12 coordinate 124,749,487, forward strand.
CAATCTCTGCTCACTGCAACCTCTGCTTCCAGGGTTCAAGCGATTCTCCTGCCTCAGGCTCCTGAGTAGCTGGTATTACAGGGCACACCACCACGCCTAGCTAAGGTTTAGTACAGACGGGGTTTCTCCATATTGGTCAGGCTGGTCTCGAGCTCCTGACCTCATGATTCTCCTGCCTCGACCTCCCAAAGTGCTGGGATTACAGGCGTGAGCCAACGCTCCCGGCAGACTCTGAGTCCTTTCTTAGCTGCCTTCTTGATCTTTGCTCACTGTTTCTTTTCCTTTACCCCTTTCTTTATAGGACATTTGCCTACTGAACACTACCTCAGTGTCTCCTCTTACTTGGGAACAACTGACCCAGGCTTAAATTACTGCACACTGAGGGGCAGGGAAAAGCGTGGCCTTATATCCCTTAATTGGGCTGAAGGGCTCTGTGTCTCCTTTCCTAAAACTTTCCACTGATCTCTTCCATTCCGCTCCCAGCCTCTCCCTCCTTTGACTTGCTCAATGTTTCACTCTGAACCCCTCATCTGATAATTTCACTTCATCATCTAGAGTGAGCCCAGAGGGATTCTTCATAATGTCTTCTCTCACCTTGATCATTCCAGAAGTTATTACATATTTCATGACCCTTTCCATTTCCTTTAGAGCCAGGGACTATTTTCCATCCAGTGCCATTTTCTGTGGCAAGAGACCTCGCTCAGGGCACCAGAATTTATTATTAGATAAGGTCCTGTTCAACAATCAGCCTATCAAAGGTCAAGAGAAAAGGACTGAACTTCCCCTCTTAAGGATGCCTGACTCACTCCTGGATGTCCCATAGCAGCACGTTGACCATCTTTGGGCAAAGTCTAGGTGAGAACAGATCAGAAAGTTTCTTCTGTCATTCTCAAGAGGGAGTAGAGACTGATATTCTGATTCAACACTTCTGAGCTTCATTCATTGTCTTAGTGCAAGTCATAGCTTGTGATAAAGGGTTTTTATAAATACTTTATTATAGAAGCATTTATATGTATTACTTTATCAGATATTTACTGATTTATCACTTACTTAGTGCCTACTGTGTGCCAGACGGATAGTCTGCTGTGCAGAGAAAGTCAGGGGCATTACGGTCCCTGCCCTTGAGGAACCCTCAGAACACTGGAAAGAAAATGCTATTTAGTTATTAGGTGGGTACAAAAGTAATGGTGGTTTTTGTCATTTAAAAGTAGTGGCAAGGTCGGACATAGTGGCTCACACCTGTAATCCCAGCACTTTGGGAGGCCGAGGTGGGCGGATCACGAGGTCAGGAGCTCGAGACCAACCTGGCCAACACGGTGAAACCCCATCTCTACTAAAAATACAAAAATTAGCTGGGCATGGTGGTGCGTGCCTGTAGTTTCAGCTACTCAGGAGGCTGAGGCAGAAGAATCACTTGAACCCAGAAGGTGGAGGTTGCAGTGAGCCGAGATCGCGCCACTGCACTCCAGCCTAGTGACAGATTGAGACTCCATCTCAAAAAAAAAAAAAAAAAAAAAAAGTAGTGGCAAAAACTGCCATGAGTTTTGCACCAACCTAATAGAAATACATGGGTTTAAAAAATCTGGCGAGAGAAATAAGCACAGATGTGCCTGAACCTGGGGTAGAAATGAGCTGGGAAATTTAGATTGTGAAGAGAAGCAGCAGTTACGTTTTGAAGGAGCAGAAGCAGCTAGTTAAATAAATAAACAAACTGGTGTACTACAAGTAGGGGTTGGGGGTAGGGGGAACATCTGTGTGCAGTGGGGAAATTTAAAATAATATAAAAATCACCGGCCTCTTAAACCACAAATATATTGGTGTGGTTGTTGCACAGTCGTCATTTGAGAAATGTACAGAAGATAAAGGAAAGGAGGAAGGTCAAATTCAGGTTATGAAGCTCCTTGTATGGAAATAACAGTGAGCTAGCTTTGTCTGTACAAGGATTATGGGCATACAATAAGTATTCACACATGACACCAGGCATATCTTTGTGAAAATGCATTTATTATTTATCTATCAAACTCTACTATTTACTGCAGAAAGGAAAAATACAAAAGCTAACACACTTGTGAAATAGTTAATCAAGTTCAACATACATGCAACTTATTTCTTGACAACTGACTTTCCACACGTTTCAAATTTTTGTTTTAGACCACCACACCTCTTTTTATATCAGTGGTGCTCTGTGTGCCTCAGAGAAACTTTGGATATTCTTGCCTTGTAAAATTCCCTCAAGCTTTTGCTCTTGTGAAATTAATCAGAAAACTGACTTGGCCTTGTATAGCACGCAGTGGATAGCGGTTGAATATGTTACAACTCCTAGATAGTATTGTCACTTAAATGTTACCTATCATATCCTGAATTGTTCTTAATATTTTATATACTGTACCTCATATTAACATCTCAATAACTCTTGAGGTTGGTTTTATTATTTCTTTTCCCCAGAAAAAAGAAACTGAGTCTCAGAGATGATAAATGGTTCGGTTAAGGTCGCTTGACTAAGGGGCAGAGTAGGCATTTTAGCTGAATCTAAGGATGCCCTTAATGATTATGTCAAAGGAGCTGCTAATGTTGGAGTTTTGAATAATAGCCAGTCAGTAAGGATGCTAGAGAGAACTCTCCTACAATCTCTCAAATCACATCACCGCAGCATGCATGTTTCTTTTTGCTAAGCCAGGGTGCTTAGGGAAACTGGGGCATCTTCTAAGCCTCTGGTGATTGATAATTTTTTGTTTTGTTTTATTATTTTTTTGAGTAAGCTTCTCACTTTGTTGCCCAGGCTGTTCTTGAACTCCTGGGTTCAAGCAATCCTCCCATCTCAGCCTCCCAAAGCATTGGGACTATAGGTGCATTCAACCATGGCCGTCTTGTTCTATTTTAATAAGCCACTGTAACTGAATAACATACATTTCAATAAGACCCAAGTAAATGAAGATAATGAGTGCATGTTGTAGGGCTGAGTGAAAGTGACACAGCTCACAAGGTTGAGGTGGGTGGGGAGAGAAAAAAAAGTCATTCAGTGAACCTCAAAAGCACATTTCCTTCTTAGAGTAAGAGGAAAGCTTTAACTACCCGTCGGAATTAGCTGATTTCCTAGGGGTTTTTCTATCTCAGCCAAATCACTAAATTGTAATGAAAAAGGAATAAATGAAGGAACATATAAAGAATAATAATTTTACTGATTAATGACTGTCTGCAAAGGAACTTCTCTCAACATAATCATTCAATCTCTAGGAGTCCTCCCAACTAGATGGTTTCTGAACCAGCTACTTTATAGTGCTGGCTTGTTGAGAGTAAGAAAGGAAACTCTGGTGACAGCTCTGGGTTGCAGACCCTGGAGACAGCACAGGAGAGTGTTGGGCTGTGTGGAAGGTGGAAAAACAGTCATCCAGCAAGAGGCGTCAAAGGCTGGTGGAGCAGCATGTTGGAGAAGGCAGAGAGAATACACAATGTCCCTCATGATGATGACCCGTGGCCCAAATGAAGAGTCTTCTCATCCAAACAACCAGGTTGCCCTAAAGTGAAGCTCTTTTACTTGGCAGTAGAACATTCTTTTATTTATTTTAGAAGAAAGTACAGAAGTTTTCATTTGATTTTTAGTAACTCTGTTCTTTGCCTCTCGCCCTTAGTGTACCCTTGTATAAAGTGATATGGCAAAAATAGGAAGAGAAAATGATGTAAGGTGTAAATTCCGGTCATCTGATAATCCAAAAAAGAAAATATTTTATTCTTTTCCATAAAGAATAGAATATTTTTATGGGATGTTATCTTTTTAGCACATGGAATCCTGGAGCTTTAAGCTACTACTTACTCTTTGGTTCTACTTTTCTGTTACAGAGAAATTATTTAATAAATGTTGCTAAATTCATGAATGAATGATGGATGAATGATTTCTGTTAGACAGATTTTTACCAATGTATTTTTAGATAGGTCAGGCCATAGCCATGATAGAATTAGTTGAAATTTACTTCCTTGTTAGCCATTACTCCTGTTTCACAATCTCACAATAAATGCTTACCAAATTTTAACCTACATGCCTTTTGCTACAGATTGATTTTCTTCTGGCTATCAAAAGTAGTTATTTCTCTTTCTATGCCCGGATTATTTCATTTACCATCATATATTCCAGGTTTATTCATGTTATTGAAAAGGGCAGGGTTTTCTTAATTTGCCAAGCTTGAACAGTAGTTCATTGGTTATATACACATTTTCGTTATTCATTTATTCACTGATGGACGCTGAGATTGTTTCCATGTGAGGGGATAGATATGTCAGGTAGCTTGATTTAGCCATTCCACAATTTATACATATGTCAACACATCACGTTATACCCTATAAATATATACAATTTTTGTTGTTCAATTAAATGATTAATTTTTTAAAAAGTAGTTACAAGTGAACTTCCTGTTCCAAAAGTTATCTTTGTATACATTTGCCTTCAAAATAAGCTTTTGTTTTGGTGAATGCATGTCTAATCCAGGCCCCAGGACATTGCCCTCCCCAAGGGCCCTGCATTCCCTTCCCATGAGATGCAGAATGAGATGATGCTGGATGCCTCCTAGTGGTGTCGAATTTTGCTGTTTCCTCACCTGGGTCATTATTTGATCTTTCAGAACTCTTTCGGTTTCCTCAAAACCTTCACCTCTGAGATTCCCAGGCTCCATGCATTAAGGGCGCCTTAGACCACATAGTATCTTGAGAAGGGGCCCCAATCCTGAATTCTGAGAGAAATAACAATTCACCTCAGGGCACACTAACGTTCTATCCCTTATTTAAAAATAATAATAAATTAGGCAATCTCTATTGGTTGAATTTTATTATTCATTAATCTGTTTATGAGCTACTCTACTGCTTATTGAGTTTTGAAAGTGCTTGTTCTCTAGGCAGACAGGAATTAGGAAGGGTTTATGTGGGTTTTTGCTCACTCGGTCCCTGAATTCCCAGACACATCTTGCAAACTAATCAGCGCCAGCCTCTTGTGTTGGAGAGGAGTGTGCTTGGCATGCGGTGGGTCCTCCATGCCTTAACTGCTGAATGAGAGGATGCATGAATGAAGAGATGGGACATTTTCTCTCTCCCCATCCACACTTTCTAGTTATTTTCTGCTGTTTCAGTCATTGAATATACTCTTAAAGTATACATTCTGGAGTAACTTGATACTGGCTTCCTTATGCTAATGTTCCCATGACTGGGTTTCAATTTTTTTTTATTTTGTTTTTAAGGCAGAATCTCACTCTGTCACCCAGGCTCAAGTGCAGTGGTGTGATCTTGGCTCACCGCAGCCTCAAACTCCTGACCTCAAGCAATCCTCACGCGTCGAACTCTCAAAGTTATGGGATTACAGGCGTGAACCATTGTGCCCAGCCTACATTTTTTTTTTTAGGCAGAATGTTTTGTGAGGTACTTCAATGGAAAGAATAAAAAGGCATTGCCCAATTAAGAGATAAAGAAAAAATATGAAAATAGAAAAAAAGAACTTGTAATAACAGGTTGAAAATTCAAAACCAAAATATCGCATCATTACTTTGTAGAATTCTAAATGAGGTAAATAGCTGATATTTTGCCTGGCGTAGCATTAAAGCAGGTTTTTTTTTTCTTTCTTTTTATTTAATGATGCCACCATCCTATCCAACTTTTAGGGAAAAATATCTAATATGAACAGCCTATCATCCATGAGTTCTGGAAAACAAAACATAGCTATGAAATACTTTTTTTTTTATCTTGTGGAAAACAAAACATACCCTGAGGTTTCTATTACATCAGTTATCTGTCAAGCCTTATAAATATACTATCACTAAATTGTCTGTAAAGTCTCATTATTTGAGCAATTGCAAAATTGTATCAGAAATAAAACTCAAAGTCATTATAGGGATTATTATTTTGCATTTACATGAAATGATCCTCTCCCTGAGGAGGTGGCTTTACCACAGGGATATTCAGAACTCACCAGTCAGAACACAGATACACAAGGAGACATTCCTTACAACTTCTTCTTGATCAGAATTTACTGGAACTCTTGGCCAAGTATGTCTGAAGGGGACAGCTCTGACAGAATGGGAAGCTGGTGATGCTGTTCTCATGTTCCTTTCATTCTCTCTGTCTTTGTCATTTCTACTCTGCCTGGGGCTGCTTCCGTGGTCCATGGCAATGCTCTCTGTGAACTACAAATAAATCCCAATGTCTGCATTTTTTAAAAGTGTAGTGCCTTCATCATGTAGCAGAAGGAGAAATAATTCCATCTCCTTTGCACATCTGTCTTATAGGTATTTTGTGAAAGTGTCATGAGCTAATTCATGTAATAACACTTAGAATACACCCAATTGTAGCTATTTTTGCTGGTATCATTGTCATTTTCTGGATATAAAATGTAATGAATCTCTCAGTAATATTTTATTATGTAATGGAAAGAACAAATTGTGGATTTGTCACTTATTAACTAGAAAGCCTAAGTCATTTAGCGTCTCTGAGCTTCTGGTTTCTAATTTATTTTTTAAAAGTGGGGGAATATCTATCTCTGGGAAATACTGGCTGAGTTAGCAATAATTTGTGCACCCAGCAGATGTGGCATGGAGTCAGAGCTCAAAGATTTATCAACCATCTTTTTATTATTATTTTCTCCATTTTCAGCCGATCTTAAATAAGCTATAAAAGGCAACATTGATTTATAGAAGTTAAATGGATGTCTAAGAAAAGTCTGTATGCATGTATTGCAAATCAAAACCACAATGAGATACCATCTTATACCAGTCAGAATGGCTATTAAAAAGCCATGAAAACAACAGATGCTAGAGAGGTTGTGGAGAAATAGGAACACGTTTACACTGTGGGTGGGAGTGTAAATTAGTTCAATCATTTTTGAACACAGTGTGGCGATTCCTCAAAGACTTAGACAGAACTATCATTTGACTGAGCAATTCCATTACTGGGCGTATACCCAAAGGAATAGAAACCATTTTATGATAAAGATACATGCACATGTCTGTTCATTGCAGCACTATTCTCTATAGCAAAGGCATGAAATCCACCTAAGTGCCCATCAATGATAGACTGGATAAAGAAAATGTGGTACATATATACCATGAAATACTATGCAGTCATAAAAGTGAATGAGATCATGTGCTTTGCAGGGACATGGATGGAGCTGAAAGCCTTTATTCTCAGTAAATTAACACAGGAGGAGGAAACCAAATACTGCATCTTCTCACTTAAAAGTGGGGGTCGACTGATGAGAACACATGAACATATCGGGGTGGGGAACAACACACACTGGGGCCTGTAGGAGGGTTGGGAGTGGGAGGAGGGAGAGCATCAGGAAGAATAGCTACTGGATGCTGGGCTTAAAAACTAAGTGATGGGATGATCTGTGCAGCAAACCACCATGGCACATGTTTACCTATGTAATAAACTTGCACATCTTGCACATGTACCCCTGAAATTAAAAGTTGGAAATAAAAAGAAAAGAAACTAAAGGGGAAAGAAAGAAAAGTATAAATGCATGTATGCAATGAACAAAAACAAAACAGAAGTAATAGCATGCCAGCACAAATTTCATTCAACCACCAAACTTCGAGTGGAGTAAGGAAATAGCACTGAGGTTCCTTCTCCCCAAAATAGGGCTGCTGTCTGAAAGTTTATTCTTAAAATTCACCATGTAACTGATGGATCTGCCCTGTGTGTAAATAAACCAAGAGATTCCTTGTGAATGTGGAACAGAAGAGCTCATGGACTCCCAGAAATCCTGTCAAGGTGATCCATGGGTAATCTCAGGGAATGCAGGGCTGGAAAATGATTGCAAATTAGTAAACTAAAACCTAGTCAATTGAGCTGTGTCTTATGTGGAGAAAGCCTGTGTGCACAGAATGGGGATGGTCACCCTGAGACCTAAGGAGGACAGTGTGAGGACTCAGGGCCTGGCTCTGTGATTCCAGCACAGTCCAGAGGCGGCACAGACTAATGTGAGAAACACCAGCTTCCACTCTTGAGAGAGCTGCTGTCGGCAGGTGGGAGACCCGTGTTGGAGCACAGGAGACATTGGTGGTTATAGGCAAATGCTTTGGCATCTAAATCTGTGTGCAAATCCTGGCCTTTCCATTTGCAAATGATAAACCTTGAGAAGTTTCATCACCTTCCTGAATCTCAGTTATTGCTCCTGTACAATGCAGGAAATGTCACAATATTTTCCTAGCGTTATTCTCAGGATTAAGTGAGCTCATGAGTGAAACTCTACTTCAATGCTCCCATGGCCAGGGAAGGCATCCACGGATATAAGTTGCTCATCTGAGTCCCCAAACCACCAGTACATAATAAAGCAGCAACCTCAAACTCTAGCAGTGCCTCTAATTTAGGGATCTTATTTTTTAAAAAATAGTTTATCTCTGGAAAAGGCAACAGTGATTTAAAATAGAATTTTATTGTCCACTTTATAAATATTTTGGTATTGGGACTTTGCCTGTGAGAGGTAGAGACCTCTTAAAAGGTTTTAAGCAATAAAGTATGAATCATGGTACATATTATGTAAACATGTTTCTTGGAATAATAAGAAGAATGATAGGAATTAAGAGAGTGGATAGATTAGAAGCAGGGATCCAGTTTATGTCACCAGCCCCAAAGCCTAGGCAGAACCATGAGATCTCAAAATAAAACTGAGTCCGGCAGCATGAGGATAAAGCAGTTGAATGGAGAGATATGAAGAAGGTGAAATTGGTGGAAATTGTTAATTAAGAGTGAGGGAGGAAGTAAGAAAGAAATGAAGACTCTTATGCTTATGATCTCAGCAACTGAGTGTACAGGACAAGTCATTCACAGAGTTGAGTGACAGACAGGTGGGAAAGTTGACCCCTGAGAAAATGACTAGTGAAGGAGGTTGAACATCTTAGTTTAAGGTGCCTGATGACATCCAAGGGAAGGATTTAGTAGACAGTCAAATAAATATATATTCATGAAGGAACATGTGTGTGTGTGTCTGTGTGTCTGTGTGTAGCAGCAAAGAAGGCAAAAGTAAAATGTAAAATGGTGCAACAAAGTGAAGGACATTAGGGGCCGACATGTTCCATGGAAACTAGCAATTTAATAAGAGAAGTCTCAGTGGACTGAAGGGGAAAAAGGCCAATTGTCGTAGGTTGAGGAGGAAAAGGGTGCAGAGGAAGATGAGATGACAGAATGCAGGCAATTATCTGAAGAAAATTTGGCTCTGAAGAGAAAAGAAGGGAAGTAACTAGATTGAGAGATAGGGTTGAGGATGACTACAGCATGCAAGCAGAAAGAGTGGGAGAAGTTGAAGGTACAACATAAAGAGAGAGCTTAATTGAAGGAGAAAGTGCCCTGAGAAGTCAGAAGATGAGATTCAGGATAAAATACTAGCCATGGACAAGGGGAGGATTGCTCAAGCCAAGAGAAAGCAAATCACAGTGGGTTCGATGGTCTGACTTTGCAGATACCTTTGCTAGATTGCTATTTAATGTCGAGCTTATTCTCTACAAAACATTAAATCATTTTCCAACAGGGAAAACAAGAATTACACACACATACACAAGTCAATATATAAATCAATGTCACAAAATATTTTATGCAAGAAATTAAAATTAGAATAGAGAGGGAAAAGAGAATACAGAACATTTGGGAACATTTTTGAGAGGAAACTGGAGTTGAGTCTTGAGAAATTTGAAGAGTTGGAGAAGACAAACAGTTGGTGTGTTCCAGAGAGAGATATATATTTTGGAATCATCAAGATCTAAGTGGTGTTGAATCACAAGTATGGTGTATAGTCTAATAGTTTTGACTTTTAATCTACTTGCTTCCTGAATAAGACCAAAGGCAATCTAGAAATGTATAAATATATTTCTAGAAAAATATATATATACATTATATATATATTCATTATATATATTTATTATATATATATAAATTATATATATATCTATATATACACATTATATATATATATATAATGGCACCACTAATTGTTTCTTTCTTTGTATTGAGGGAATGTTCTACAAATTATGACTCCCAAAATCTTCATCTGTGGTATTTTTAAAATCAGTTTTACATCTCTAACGTCTTGAGGGTCATTTTAATTTCTTAGCAGTAAAGTGACATTGAGTAAACCTTGGCTGATTCATATACCAAGACCTGCTTTTGTTTTCTTGTATCTGTTTGTGAAAAGTCCTATGGTTTCAGATTTCTGGAGCATTTATAGAAAATAAAATAGTTTCTGAACATTTTAAATACATACTTTATTTGCCTTCACCCCTTGTTTCTTATGTTAGGAAATAAAAACAAGATTGCAGATGTGGTCCAGTCCCTCCCACCCACCCCTGTGTGGAGCACAGGGAGATGGATATTATCCTGGGGTAGACTGTATATTTGACCACTCAATGCCTGCATTTGCTTTGGTTGGCAGCCAAATGACCTTTAAGCTCATTTAAAGCTTCTTGTTACCTAAACTCCTCGGTCTTTTTTTTTTTTTTTTTTTTTTTTTTTAAATCTGGAAGCCTTGAGAAAGAAAGCAAAAGAGAAATAATTGCTCCTTAAACAAAGCTAAGACAGAATTATCAGCAAGCATCAGTGCAGCATTGCAGACTTGAAGAGTTGCTTGCAGGCATCTTACTGGCCATTCCTCCTTTGCAGCCATAAGAAATGTAAAACATCATGTACCCCACTCAGGAGAAGGGGGTGTGGGGTCTCTTGAGGTTGATCCACTCAGATTCACATAAGGACTTCAAAGGGAACTGAGTTCTTGAATTCTTCCTATAATTTTCTGTTTGTCTGCCATATATATAACGTTTTATTTGCTGCTTCTGAGTGACTGAAAGAGGAAAGGACACAAAAGAGGGGAAAAAAACCCACTGTAATTTTTAATAGTTAAGTCACCCAAATTATATACTAAAATAAGCTTACCAAGCAGCAGTTAACCAAAATTCGTTGATGAAAATGAATGGCAGTCTGTGACATTTCATCAAACCTGAATGATACCCCGCCCCCACCACTCTGCCACTCTAAATTTGGTGAAATACCAAAATTCAGATATTTAAACTTAGAGAAGACCACATTGACTAATTCTGTACCATACCCTTGCTCTTGAGAATATTTAATTTTTTTCTTGCCACATGCGTTTTATTATTTTTGGTCATACTAAAGTATTTTTTAAGGATCATATGCCTATTCCATGTGCCCTTGTAGACTCCATAAATGGGAATGTCTGGCTGCTCTGCTCATGCATTCCTGGTGTGGGGTGCCGTTTCTTGTTCTCCTTTTATATATTGTTTGTATGTCATATTTTTATTTCAAACTTCAGTGAGAATTTCCATAAGTATGTATTGAGTTTCTACTATGTACAAGTTGGTGTGTTCATTGTTTTGTATGCATTATTCCCTTTGATTAATACAACAATATTGAATTATTGTTATTATTATAACCATTTAAAACATAAGAAAGCTGATCCCCAGAGTGACCTCACTGATGTTATACAACTAGGGTGTTGAGGTACATGGATTCAACTCATGTCGTCTGATCCCAGCGACAGGCTTTCTTACTACATACAACACAATCATCTCTCAACTGTACTTAGGAAGGGCCTTGTGCATTGTTCCAAAGGAAGTGAAAGTTTGCAGAATCCTTACCCTTGGCATGAAGAAAGCAAATCTACAGCTGTAGACTCCTTGCCTATCAATAGGTACCACCATCATTTGCATCATTTTATTGTGACTAAAACCCACCATGACGATCACCACTACCATCACCACCAATTGTCCTACCCATTGTTTTGAAGTGCTGGAATGGTACCTGTCACTCACAAATTTAATTAAATCCGATCATATTCCTAATATGACCTTAAAAGCAGGAATAAATACACAAATTCCCCTTGATGGTTCCATTGCCTATAGGCTCAACACAGCCTTCATCTGCAGTTTATTGGTCCAGTCAGTGTGGGTTCCCATTATAATTTTTTAAAGAAATTTAAAATTCACTGCCAATATTCAAAAACTGAAAATTTTTACATTAAGATTCTAGCCTGGCTCTTTGGTCTCATATTACAGAATAGCATAATTTCCTGTTGCTAGTGAGTACTACAGGCCTGTTTTAGTTGGGACAGCTATTTTATACTTATCTCTCTTTCCCCCTGACAAGAGATTGTGTGTCAATTTCCATTTATTACTAACACAAAGCTGGATTCGCATGCTTTTTGACTTGCTTGGCCCCTGTAGGCATTTAAATTTGTGTCTGTTTCTGTTGCATTAAACAGCTTTAGAGAGCAATTTACTTTAAGTTTTCAGGTAAAAATATTCTTAGTAATGTGCTTTGCATCATCAAACTAAATACAATTTCTTTCCTCTGTTATTTGGAAGATAATTTTATTCTTAGAGTGCTATTTTTAGATCCCAACACTTTGACACAAAAACATCAAACTTTTGTGGAAAAGATGCCAGAATGTGTATGAAAGGCAGTCGTTGGCATTGATGGGCAGACTTTAGAAACTACCATTTTCACCTTGAAAATGGAAATGGAGAGACATACAATTCTATTGCAGTACAGAATTTCTTCAGGAGAGGATATGGGTTTGGTCTTCATTCCACTTCGGCTGTTTGGAATTTGCTTTGAAATCTCTGCCTGAAAAGATACCGGAATGTGGAGATTGAAATTCATCCCTGTGTCTATGCAACATTCATAGATGTACTTTCAAGCTGAGACAAAAGCCTTATTCTATATCCTTTGAATGGCCTCTAAGTACAGGTATTCGAATTGTAGATATTGTATGGTATATTTCTTTACATTTTCCTTTTGATCTGTAGGAATATATGTACAGGTGAATATTTGACTTATTCATAATCAAGATGAATTAATATGTTTTTCTCCGTTTTCATGAGTTGGATAATAAATCTGAAAATTTAATTTTCTACATGTGGTGTGTAATATAAGCTCTCCAATACAAAATCATAGGTGGATGCATAAAAAGATAAATTGACTTGCCTGGGGCCACAGAGTAGTTCAGGAACAAAGATTAGAACTAAAATAAGTGTCACTGCCACCATTTTTGAGCATTTACCGTAGATCAGGCACCATGCTAAGTGACTACATAATCTCTTTTAAACCCATCAGTCACTGTGATGTAGATATTATCTCCATTTTAAAATTGAGCACACTGAAGATCTCAGAAATGAAATTATTTGCCCAGTCTAACACAGCTAGGACCTGGGGACTGAGATTCCAGAGCACAGCTGTATACTTCTAAAACTATGTCCTTAAAGACCTGGGGTAGATACTGGGGATACCAAGAATGTGGCATTGTCCCTGTCTCTTCTGTGGTGTGAGGTGTGACTTTAGGCCAGCTATCTAATATCTCTGAGCCTCAGTTTCCTCATTTGAAATGGGCATAATGACACCTACAGCATAGGAATTTTTTTGGGGGAAAAATACCTATCCCCTAGTTTATTTCTGCTCAAAACCATTGTACACTCAATGCTAGTTTCCTACATCCAATTTTTCCTTCTCAGCCAAATGATGTGGCCCTTACCATGAGTCCAAAAACACCACCTTAAACAAAAGGGGAAAATATCCAATGGCTTATCCTATTCTTTCTAAACTTTATCCAAAGGTGATTAGTCAATATTTTATTTGCATGGTTAACAAAAACAAAGCCAGAGTCACTAGCTACCGAGATCTTTAAGAACAAAATGAAAAGCAACGAAGCAGTAACTATAAAGCACCTCGAGTTAAAAGGTGGTTAAAAAAAAATCTAAACTTGATTAAAACCTGTTGGCAGGTGGCTGAAACAAGTCCTTGGAGTGATTTTTGAGTGGAATTTGTGATGGCTGTTTCAAGTTAGTTGCTGAGATAGCCGATCTCTTTATGGGAATGAGAGGTGAGGTTTAATGTCACATTAGCACACATTGAGCTGGTGGGCTGCTCTTAGCCACCAAAAGCAGCATCTTTGTAAACTATCCATTTCTACAAGCACACGTGGGGAAGATGTAAAATTCACTTGTTTTTGGAAGCCAGTCATGGGTTTTGTAATTAACATTCCTTCCCTTCACATACACTTAGGCGATGAAAGGCCTTCTGTTTTCCCCCTCTCTGCCCCTACCCTGCTGCAACTGGCCAAATCACTTCTGAAAAGAGGGGTCATGGAAAAGAGTCCCTAGATTATCCACATTTTGTCCTCTTTTTTTCTTAAATTTATGTTTTGCAGGACAAATGATACTGGCTTTCTTTCCTTCAAAGACCACTTGCCTGTCACTCAGATAGTTATCACTGATACCGACAGATCAAACTCAGAAGCCGCTTGGAGAATTGGTCCCTTGCGTTGCTATGGTGACCGTGAGTACAAAATCGAAAGAAGCTTTCTCTCTGCATTACATGAGCACAAGATGTTCTTACTCCCTTATCCCTTTTCCCTGCAGTGTGCCCTAGTCTTGAAAATTATCCACATGTCCAGTGCTTTCCCATACCCCACTGAAAACGATAAACCATGTTGAAGGATTTTCTCATTTGCAGGACGCTTCTGGAACGCCGTCTCATTTTATACAGAAGCCTCTTACCTCCACTTTCCTACCTTCCATGCGGAATTCAGTGCCGATATTTCCTTCTTTTTTAAAACCACAGCATTATCCGGAGTTTTCCTAGAAAATCTTGGCATTAAAGACTTCATTCGACTCGAAATAAGCTGTAAGTGCCCTCAATTATGAATTTAATGTAACTGATCAACAAACAAGTTTTAGTCTTGTTTTTGCCACCAGTCACTAGTGGGCATTTGTACCAGCAAATTAATCTCACTGGACATCTGTAAAATTAGCAGTGATAATGTCTAGTTCCTTCTGATGCTTTATGATTTTTTATGACCTGTCAGTATTTAATCAGTCATTCTCTTATCAAAACATGGATATTCCGAAAATTCCCATAGACACCTATTACAGTTTCCAAAGGTATTTCTTACCTGTGACTTTAATCTTCCACACTACAGGACTTTATTCATGACACTTTCCATGCAAAGCTGAAAAGAGGATTATTATGCATTCTATTCATATTTAGGGTCTACTTTTTTGCTTTGCCTTTGTTCCAAAAGTAATTTCCTGACTTATTTCCCACACTAGGAGCGTGTGACTATCCAATCAGAATTCCCATGGTTTCTCTGCCACTTCCCCATGGACAGTGGCGTATCTAATAAACTTGATGCCAGGATGTGGATCACCTTTTAGCACTGCATATCCTACATATAAACTATATTCAGTAATAATCATGATATGTGAAGAAAAATAATGGGAATACAGATGGTGACATTTCCTATAATTAAACATTTTGTATATAATCATACTAATGAAACAATATTCCAATACTAATAAAATACAATTTAAAAAAATTACATCAAGTGGTATTTTTAATAAAAAGGGAAAAAGCATACCTATATATTGCTCTGTTGCGATCATAGTAACATTAAAATTTATGTTTCTGAGTCTCTACTTCTCGAAATTTGACAGTGACTTCATAAAATTTAAGTTTTTTCATATGTTCATGTTCAAAAGAGAGTGTGCTCATGTCCATTTATCTTATATTGAGAAAATAATACTTTCTATTAATTTTAGTTTGTTTCATATGAAGCAAGAGCTATACAAATAGATAAGGTTTTAAACTTCCTATTTGTTAAAAATTCATAAAAATTTCATTTTATACTAAATTATGTAAATTCTGGTACTGTTAATGTTTTTACTTCAGGATTGATTCTAGAAACTTCTACATGTCTCTGCAAGCAAAAAAATTCTACTACAATAATTTCAACAGAAAATTAATGATAAATTTCTATTTTATTAGGTAAAAAGTTACCATATTCCTAAGAATTTGAAGTTGCTTGGGTTCTAGTAGGATGCAAATTTTGTCTCAAACCTCTGTGGTTCCATACATTCATGTATTCAACATTAGATTTGAGTCAAACAAAGCTAGCACAGTAATTATACAGATGAAAAATGAGAACTTGAGTTCTTATTCTTAAAAATAAACAATTAGATTTGAGTCTGTATTTTTAGAAGACAATGGTAAATCTAGAGTTCTATGTATTAACTTTCCCTCAGAATATAATATTTATTAAGTGGAAAGAGAGAAAACATACTAATTTGAAGTTTATATATACATTGTTAAAAATTAACAGTAGTGTCATACAAACAAAATATATTTGTTTATTTTTAAGAGTAAGAACTTAAGTCAAGGCGCAGTGGCTCACACCTGTAATCCTAGCACTTTGGGAGGCCTAAGCAGGAGGATTACTTGAGGTCAGGAGTTCGAGACCAGCATGCCCAATATGGTGAAACCCCGTCGCCACTAAAAATACAAAAATTATCCACGTGTGGTGCCAGGTGCCTGTAATCCCAGCTGCTCAGGAGGCTGAGGCAGGAGAATCTCTTGAACCCCACTGGCAGAGGTTGCAGTAAGCCAAGATTGCACTACTGCACCCCAGCCTGGGTAACAAGAGTGAAACTTTGTCTCAGAAAAAAAAAATAGGTTAAAAAAAATAAAAATAAACAGTAGCTTCAGCATCTATTGAAACAGACCAACAAACGATTTGTTTGGTGAAGGGATGTTTTATCACTAACATTGCTTAGAATTACTTGTGTATGGTAATAATTTTTAAAAAGATGTATTTTTAGTGACGTTTGCTATTTTTTTGGTTCTCTGCATGCAGCACACTTTTTATTGCTTATAGATGGGGTAGGCTGTACCCACCACCTTGCCCTTGTTATTACCATGACCATAAAGACTCAGGCTTGTCATTAGGTGCCCTATGTATGTGTGTCTAAATGAATGTTTTTCTGTAGTTTGATTGAGGCAATTGACCATATCACTATAATGATGTGACTGCATGAAATACCCTTGAAAGCATAAGTCATGTCTTAGCAACAGAAATTGGAAACTTGAGAGCTCCAGAAAAGGAGACAAAAAAAAAAAAATGACTGGAGGAGATGACAGAGGTGTTTAAGTCTCCTGCAAATTACCAAGCAGCTAAGTGTTTCTTTTGCAGTTACCACACAATACATACAAGGAAAAAGATCTTCTTAATTGGTAGTTTTAACCTCCTTTTGCTCCAACTATTGAGACTATTAATGGGAGGAAGCTCTTGTGGCTTTGGTGTGAAACAAGATCCCTCATACCTAACATGGCCAGTCTCTAAAAATGTTGAGTTGAATGCCAACAATTTCATAATATGGATATAATAACTTCAATGTAAATTTAATAAAAATCAGGCCCCATGGCCTTTTGATTCATTAAAGCAGCAGCAAACGTATATTATTACAAAGTAATGACTGATGATTTAGTGTTAATTACGTATCAATGTCCAGTTTGTTTGCACTTTGTGGTACTGTATTTTAGAATTACATTTGACAAAAATCAAAACCCACTGAAGTAATTGCTTGGTATATAATATATCACCAGATTGGAGAACATATACTCTCCAAGACAAGATTTTATATAAAAACATTGAAAAGTTCAAGATCTTATACTCTCAAATATTTGTTATTATTAATATTTAAAAGGGGAAAAGACCAAAGTGGGATGGAAACATCTTGTATTCTTTATTTACAGCTACACTCATATTACGCATTTTAGGCAGATGGAATTTTTACCCTAAAGGGTTCATGGCAAGAAACCTCTATAGACCAGGCACTTGGAAAGGAAATGGCCTTTTAACAGATGCAGTGGCTCAGAATAGATTTCCCTCTCATCCGCAAGGAGTGTTCCTCTAAAACTATCTGAGCAGCAGTTTCCAAGGTTGATATATCCGAATTATTGGACAGGGAACAGTAGATTCCCATGAAATTTTCAGTCCATTTCCTTCCAGCCTGCTTTCAAAGATATTTGAATTTCGTAGCCCATACTCTATGAAAAAGAAGACACGCCACTATGTTCACAAGTCTTAGTGAATGTGTTTTAGTGGGCCTGTGAAAACGATAACTATTTTGATACCTATCTCACAATGGCTGTACAGGTAGAAATTGATATTTTAGAGTAGATGAGATCAGAAGGAAATGGCTTTTGAGAGTCAGTCTGGCATAGTGGAAAGAAGCTAGACTAGAACCCAATGTGGATTTGAACTTTTGTTCTTCCAAGTGGGTTTGTGAGCTGCCTTGAGCAAGTTCTTCTCCCTTCCTATGCTTATTTATGCAACATGGGGTTGGTGACATCCATATGCCACCCAGATGCCTTTGGCTGCAAATAACAGAAAATTCAATCTGAACTGGCAACCACAAGAATGGGAATTCACTGGTACTGGAGCATGTGACTAAGCCCAGAGGAGGTAGGACTGGCTTCGTTTATGGTTGTTTTCAGTAGTTTAACAAAGTTGTCAGTCATCTGATGGTTTTCTCTCTCTGTTATGAATGTTGAATGTCTACTTCGGTCTAAGGCTGGCTCTCCATCATGGTGGAGCTGCATCCCAGCTGGTGAAGAATCCCTGCTTTCCAGCCTTACGAGCAATCCTCCTGAGAGGCCACTCACTTGGCCCCCAAGAACCAATGTGTGTGACTGGGAACGTATACATTGCAGATTGATTTATACCAGGGCCTACCCCCACACCAGAGAGTGGGCTAGCTTCCCCTGAAGCCCATGGGAATGGGAAAGAGGGAAGAGTCTCCCAAAGTGAACTCAGTATTATTAGAAAGAAGGTAGTCGTCAGGGAGACAATCAATGAGGATTCTTCTAAGGCAGTTGTCAGAACTGAAATGTGTAATTTATTTTTAAAAATACCTTGCAGAAATTTGCTGAGCTGCTCAGGGGAAAAACTGTACATATATATACTGTATGTATGTGTGTGTGTGTGTGTGTGTGTGTGTGTGTGTGTGTGTATATGTATGTTTATGTATATATTTACTGTATAAATATGAGAGAAAAGAAAGAGAGAAAGATTTAACTTTATGATTTCAGAAGTATCATACTGAGAATATTACAAAATATGATGTTAACTTGGACACACTATAGTTAGAACCTCAGAAAATAGTACAAATGAATACTACTAATAATTACACTTTTGTTGAATTGTTGAGCAATTATTCTGATTAGACACTATACAATTCTTTACATTCCTGATTTCATTTTCTTTCCAAGCACTCCCATCGATGACGATCACTGTGTTGTACTGTGATTACCACCACACAGTGCACGGGTAGGCAGGATGAACCTAGAGAGGGGAAGTGGCAAGCCCTGATCGCACAGCTGGGAAGGTTAGAATCGAGGACCCACCCAGCTCTGTCTGACTCCTTGCAGCAACCCCGACTCTGCTTTGCACCAGTCCACAGGATTGACAATGTTAGAACTTAAGAGAACATACAATTATTTACCTCCAGGTTTTGAGGCACAGGACATAAAGGAAGCCCCTGCAATTTTGTGCAATACCACAGGTACTATTTTTCTAGAGATAGAAAATGTGGCTGCCATCAGATCCTTGAAGAGATTATGTCCCTGAAAAGTTTTAACAGTATTTTATTTAGTTCATATTTCTCATTTTACACATGGACACGTAGAAGGCCAGAGAGATTAACTCACTATGTTAAGGCCTTATGAATTATTTATTCCATAAATCGACCCTGAAATCTCTCTCATGCCAACCTGGGGTGGGGATTGAGGACACAGAAATGGAGTGTGGTTCCGTCTTCATGGAGCTCAGGACTGAGTGCTGGGAGAAGTGCAGAGTGTGTCCTAAGGATATTCTCTAATGGGCTTGGTGGTCAGTCCTGGAAGAACATCATGCAGGAGTCTTCTTAGCAGCTTCTTCTCATCTCCTAGGAGCACTTGGTAGAAACTCTGTTACAGCCCTAAACATGCCCTTTCTTTTTTTTATCAGTCTTCTCAAAAGTAAATCATGAACTCATCTTGTTTCATTTGTCTCAGAATTCTCAGTGCCTAGCACAGGGTCTGGCTTGAAAAAAAAATGCCCTGAAAGGCTAAGACTCCTTAGTTTTGCCTTGAACCATAAAGAAGTAGCTGGTGAGAGAAGGCATTCGTCAGAAGGTTGGGGGAAGTTGAACTTAGAGGGTAAGTTCATGATAGAGCTAATGCTGTCATTGGTCTTCTCCCTTCCTATTCAGGGCCAGTGGGCTATGTCCACCTCTTCAGCAAGTGAGAGCCAGCTTGAGTTTGCCTTAAGGGCCCTGTTATACTGGGCCACAGTGGGATGTATCATTCATTCTCTCACATTGTTTTCAGGCATCTTTATTATCTATTCTAGCTTTGACTAGCCAGGGCAACTGCACAGGTTTCCAGGTGTGGAGGTTTTATCGCAGGAATAATAATTTAAAAATTGAGCCCTGGGAAACACCATCTGGATTCACATCCAGACTCTGCCCCACCCACACTGGGTCAGCTTACTTAGGTACAGCTTACTACCTGTACCTTACTTCCCTCATCTGTAAAAGATTCCCTGTCTCATAAAGTTGTAGCAAGTCTTAGTGAGTCAATTAATGAAAAATGAGTAGTAAGGTATTTGGCTCACAGTAAGTACTCAATAAATATTAACTATTTTTATTGAATTTTACTGATTTTATTGAATTTTACTGATTCTAGGAGGTGCAGCTTAAACATAGTATGTCTTTAACAGTTGCTTTAATAAAGTTAAATAATAATAATTTTAAAGACTTTGCAAGGACCCTAATAACTTGGTATAAAACTGTAAAGGTATAAAGAAAATTGCAGAATGGCATTTAGTATGTGCAGTGTAATGATGTTTCAGTGAATAAAATGAGAACTTCCTGTATACAAGGCACAGTGCTAGGTGCTGGGTATACGATAAATCAGATGTTCTTCTAGAGTTGCAGACTCGGGGGAGACAATAAACAGATTATTATACAGCAGGGGGCTGCAGTTTGGAGCAGAGGTAAGCACAGATGGGAAACCTATTATGGAGGTTGTGGTCAGGGGGCAAGGCTAGTCACAGCCAGCGAAACAGCAAGCCCTCCCCAAACATGTGTTGTCTCAGTGGAATTTATTATCCACAAGACTAGCCTTGCAGGAAAGCTTTTAGCAAAATCTTTAACATTCCTCACCCAAATTCTCACCAATCTTATTCTGTGTTTTATAGAAAAATGTAAATGTGGGGTCCAGTCATCTCTCAGTTAAGTGTTTTTAAATTTGGGGATGTGCAGGGCTGCCAGGTGGCACTGGTGATCTGAATAAGAAACAGAGAAAGACTCAAGGGGCCACCTTCACTCTTATTTAGTCTAACTGCTCATCACTCAATCTGTTCCCTTCAATTCTGTTTCCTTTAAGGCATGAATTTGTCACCTGAAGCCAATTTGCCTAGGTTGAAAAATCACAGATCACAGTAATAATAACAACAGCCATCACCTGTTGAACATGCAGTATGTGCCAGGCACAGTTCTAATAACTTTATCAGGATTCGTGTCTAAATAATCTGATGATTTAAGTATTGTTTTTATTCCCATTTTACAGACAAGAAAATTAAGGCATGGTGACATTGAAAACTCGCCTTAGATCACAGTAGCTGCAGAGTCTAAGCTCTTAAATCCCATTCTTACTGCTTCCACCTTACTACCTTTCCTTTAGGCCAGGGCTCGGTAGAAAGCAAAAGAATTCGAGCTCTCAGATACTCAAAATTCTGTGTAATGCGGACTTTGATGGAGGCTGCTTTCAGTTAAGGTTTAAAGGCTGGGAAGAAAGTGCTCTGAGGTGGAGTTTGTCTTTTGGCATTTCCGATAATTTAAATCTGGCAGTTGATGACTTCATCAAATAAATACCCATTTCCTATTTTAGGGGGTAGAGGAGAGGGAGCAATTGTGAAGGTGCCTAGAAAAAAAGGAATGCCTAGCATATGAAAGTTCCAGTCCTCTCCTCATCCTCAATTTGTAAATTACAATTAGCCTCTCCATTTCCTTTACATTTAGAACATTGTTATGTGATAATGGAAAACACAAGACAATATACTCAACAGAGCAACATCGTGAAGAACCCTGCCTGTGGAGTCAGATTCTGCTAACCACTTAAGACACTTGCAGCAAATTATTTATATTTCTGTGCACTTTAGTTTTCTCACTCATAAAATGCTAATAATGGTACATTTCTCATAGGGTGGTTTTGTGTATTAAAATGAGATAATCCATGGTCAGTGCTTAGCATGGTGCCTGGCATAGAGTTTGTTGTTCCCACTGTGCTACCCCTTCCAATTCTCTCTCTTAATGGTTATCCACCATTGCCACTATCATCACCACCACCATCACTGGCGCCATCACCATCACCTTCATCACCACCATCACCACCACCGTTACCACCATCACCATTAACCACCACCAGCACTGCCACCATCACCATCACTGTCACCATTACCATCACCATCGCCATCACCACCACTGCCACCACCACTATCAACACCACCACTGCCAGTGCCATCACTACCATCACCATTACCACCATCAGCACTGCCACTATCACTATCACCATTACCCCCCTCACCACCACCACTATCACCACAACCATTATCACCACCATTGCCACGACCACCACCATCATCATCACCACCACCACCATCACCATCATCATCACCTCCATCACCACCACCCCCATCAGCACCACCATCACCATCAGCATTAACATTATGCCCACCACCACCATCAATACCACCACTACCACAGCACTACCACCACCACCATCACTGCTGCCATCACCATTGTCATTTCACCATCATCAGTATGCTTACTTCTGACTGGGTGCCATCTGGCTTCCATTATACAAAGATTGTTATAGAGAGGCAGAAAGAATAATGGAAGGAGTCCCATGTGATGACAGGAGGCTTGGGTTTGATTGCAGGTACCGCCACCTGCAGCAGTGTCTCCTTGGACAAGGCGATACAACTTTCTGAGCTTTTTTCATTATGGAAATAGCACAAATGCTTATATAACATGCATTAGTAAAATAAGGAGGAAGCACTGGACTTCCCAAGGCCTAAGTCTCCTCCCTGCAGGAGTGGAGCTGCCTTGCTAACCTCATGTCTGCAGATATCCTGGAGGACACAGCTGAAGCCACAATAGATCCAGAAAATCCAGGGCCTCGGCATTCATGCAGGTATATCAGATGAGCATGAATGGTCCAGGTGCCTATCCTGTTTCCTGAATTTGCAAACGTAGCAGGAAAAAAACAACTTGGAACAAGTATACACATTTAATTTGGTAGCTGTTACTATTAATGGTGATTTCAGTGCTGCAGGGATTTCAAAAGAAGTCTTCTCTATATTGATACTGACTTACAATCGTTTCTCCCACTCAAGCCTGTGCCTTGAATGAGCTAACAACTCCCTCTATCCTTCCTGTTTTCCTTTCCGGTTTCAGCTCCTTCAGAGATCACCTTTGCCATCGATGTTGGGAATGGTCCTGTGGAGCTTGTAGTCCAGTCTCCTTCTCTTCTGAATGACAACCAATGGCACTATGTCCGGGCTGAGAGGAACCTCAAGGAGACCTCCCTGCAGGTGGACAACCTTCCAAGGAGCACCAGGGAGACGTCGGAGGAGGGCCATTTTCGACTGCAGCTGAACAGCCAGTTGTTTGTAGGTAGGGGACATCTTAAGGCTCCTTTTGTGCTAAACCCTGCAAGATCACTGTGTGACCATGCCCAAGAAAAAATTCTCTTTTATCTGAGATCTGGGATATGATCAAAATGTCATAAATCATTTCTAATGGTAAATTTCATTCTATACATTCTTTTATTCTGGCTTCATTGGCTACATCGAGTTAAGATAATGCTAACCTTTAGCAAATTTTGAGGTTGTCCAGATTCTGTACATTTTCTTTTTGTAATATTGTCTTCAGATGCCCAGGGACCCCTTTTGTTCTACATCATTGTAATATAAATCTACTCCAAGGGACAGGACATGTCAACTCTTTACAACTTAGTGGGTGTAGACTGTAAGTCATGGGCTGCCCTTCCAAGTGCTGCCCCAGTCCTGATAATTACAGATATCCATGCAATGATATAGTTGAACCATTTTAAAGGGATTTTCGTCAACAGTAACATGGTTGAGAAAGGAATGATCCCTTTCTAAATCAGGGGGCTCTTTGATAGTACCTGAAATCATAGCACTGGGGATCAACCTGCCACAGGCTGTTCATCTGAACTGGCAACTGCTGCTGGTGGGGGCCTGGAAAGATCCAGGCATCCTTCTTTAGTCATTCCTCACTACTTTCATTCCACTCATAGTCACTGAGCATCTACAACTGGTCAGGTATCTTGTTAGATAGTGGGTATTGAAAGATGAATTGAGCACTACCACTGCTTTTCAAGGAGTTTATAATCCTCTGGTGTGTGTGTGTGTGTGTGTTTCACAGAGAAGAGAGCATGGGGTTTTGGAAGTCTCTCTTCAGTGCCTGAGCCTTAACTACATTTATGTTGGCATTTTGTTTCCCTTGACATAATTCTTACATTTTGTTAAACATAAGGGAGTGCGTGTGTGTGTGTGTGTGTGTGTGTGTGTGTGTGTGTGTGAGAGAGAGAGAGAGAGAGAGAGACTAATACAGGGTGAGCCTTATAGCTGTAGTTAAAAAAAATTAACATAGGTTGAGGAGGGCTTGTAAAGCTTTAAAGTACAAAATCGAGCTCTTAAAGTTAAGAAATATTGTCAATACTACCAAAACAAAGAGTGTGCTTTTATATAAAACTTGGAGTTCAGATGTTTAGAACAGTGATGTAAATAAGTGACAGAATTTGTCAGTCTACCCAGATTTAACTTTGTTTCCTTTTTTGTTTATTTATTTTTTTTTTGCCAACTCCCACACTACATAGCTTTACTGCTAGTGATGAAATGCCACCAGCATTCAATGGAAGTTTCCTTACTTGCTTCCTTTAAATTTAGGTTTGTGCAACTTTTAGCTCTGAGGAAAGCAGTCACTAAAATCACACCAGCTAAAAGAAAGCAAGTAATAGAGTGTGAGGATATCATATTCTCTCTTCTCAACAGGAACCATATTTCTTTCTTTGTCTGTTATGTTCCCCAGATCCAGCAGAAGCTAAGATATAAATTATCAAAACAGTTTTGTGATTGCAAGTCATTTGTTTAATTAATAACTCATATATGTGATATGATTCACTATTAAAATATTTTAAAAATTTATATTGCTGTTTTAATTCTATTTAAACATCACATTTTGATGGGTGACTTCTGAGGAAGGTTGCTAGTCATCAAAATCTAATATATTTTTTGGTGGAATCAAGTCAAGTGTTTCACAATTTTCATAAATTATATTCCATGCCAAAGTTTAATTTATCTTCAGGCAGTATTTATGAATCTTTCTGGCTGAAAGGTATATATAAAGACGGAATAATTTTTTACCCTTTCATGCAAAATTTATGTAGCTACAAAATTATCATACAGGCTGGATATGTGATAAAGTTTGCGCAAGTCAAAAGGGAAAGGCGGCAGCTGTGTTTCATGGCAGATTTCTATCTGCAGACGTTTCGGTTAAATTGATCACAAATGCAATGAGCTGTAAGAGCATGTCGATGGGTCTGGAGGAGATATCTTGCTGGAGCTGGAGCCAAGGTCAGCTGTGGCAAGAGCACCTGCTTCTGCTATGTTTCTCTCCAATAAGTCCCATCTCAGATGTTACTCTGCTTTATTGAATTTGTCTTAATGTACTTGAAGAAGAATAAAATGCTGTTGGAGGTCACTTTAATGGTCTTTCAGTTTGAATTTTCCTATTTAGAGTTCAGTGATATGCCCATTTAGAAATGTCAGGTAGCCAACAAAGCTGAAGTCTCAACATTTCCATCTTGCACAATTCAGTTGTTCAATAAATATATAGATAAATAAATAAGCATTTTGGTGCTTAGTTATAGTCACCAAAATGAACAATTGCATTCTGTATTATTCAGAAATTGAGAGGCCCTGGATATTTATATTTGCTAGGGAGGAAAAGATATCATTGGCGTGTGCTTCTTTACTGGAATAGATTGAGTGTAGCATTACTTAAATATTAATTTGGATATGTCTGTCTAGATATCTTTGGCCGCTGAAGGATCTTTCAATCAAAATGGAGCATCCTTCAGCATTGTAATCACTGACACAGCTGCCGTGGTCATGAGTGTTTCCTGAGTACCAGAAATAGGCTGCGTTTTTACAATAGGATGTTCCTCTCAGCACTGCCCCTGTCATTGGAATGTGACAGGTTGAAGTGCTGATACATGAGTCAATGCATACTGGATTTCCAGAATCAATATTTTAACTTCAGGCTGTTATATCACCATGATGGTTAGGGACATTTGCAACCATGTCATTTCACCAGTCACATTTCTTTAACAGAGCAGGAGACTCTTCACAACATGCAGCTTCTGAAATGTAAGCTGCAAGCGTGTGGCATTCTCACCTTTGGAATGCTCAATAGTACCGCCCCTTCTGCTTTGTTATTCCCCCCTAATGTGTCCATCAATGTGAGGATGAGGCAAGAAAAATCGAAGATCCAATGGAGAGATCTGAGTATGCATTCCTGGTCAGATGCCAACAAGCCATAGGCCCTGGGTAGAAAACTAACTAGCATGAGTGTACTATTGTCTTTATCTGCAGAATGAAAATGAAGAGACTGTAACTGATCTTCTAAGGCTTGAAGATCTGCTATCTGCATGTACAAATTAGGAACGACTGTCACACCTACAGTCATGCCCATGTGTACGTAACAGTAAAGAAAATGTCTCATTCCCTCCAAACTTAACGCAAGATCTTTCAAAATATGCGGCAATTATAGAGTGGAAATCTTGTGAAGATGGGGCCTGTGAGTCTCATTTTATGACTCTATTTCCTTCTACTTTTTATTTTTCCCATGGGCCTATTTTTTTTTTCTTGGCCCAACTGCTCTATTTGTGTCAAAATAAACTGAAGCTACTCCAAACTTACAATCCCCTGGGGAAAATACTACACTGACTTGATAAGTCATAACATTTGGAGAGATCCCCCAAAATTGCTGTTCTTGCTTCCAGGCTGGAAGGGAATTATTACTCCTATTTCAGGTGAAGCGTGTCAAACTCAGTGAGGTCAAGGGTGAAGCCAGGCAGGCTTGGCGTGCACATGTTTATTTTGTGCTCTGGCACTTCCTAAACTCTTGATTTGTGGCATAATGCAACACTTAGGTAACTGGCCTCAGTCTCCTCTTGGAATAGTAACTTATATTTTATGCTTGTGAGTGCCTCATGAAGATAGCCTTCCTGAAGCACGCCTGTAGTGCTTTCCATTAGGCATGATGTCATGTGTCTCACAGTATAGGAAGAGATCTATATTCTCTTCACATTGAGAAATAATTGGAAAATTATCTGTTAGCATATTTTTACATAAAGCTGTATTTGCATGGAGGATAATAATTATCATGACATCAACGGTGAAACAAAAAGTGAAGAAATAATTGTTTTTTTAACATTATATAAATCTCTGATTATGTCTACTATTCCCCCATAAAAGTGTATTTTTTTCAAAGTTAAATAATATATTAAGTATACTTCAATTTTTTTAGGAAACATTAATGTATGACTTTCAATGTCCCCTTACCAATTACATAAGGGAAATTGTTTTGGTTGGTTTAAGAAGAGGGTAAGAGACCTCTGAGCGCTAGCGGGCAGGTCCTGGGACTGCCTCAGTAGCCACATAAGAAACACTAGAAGAGCACCCAGTGGCCACTCAAAAATGCTTCTTTAGTGGGGAAAAAAAAAAAAAAGATGAAGAACACCTGGGTTTGTCCCTAGCACCAGTGATCCACAAAATCAGGTTCTTGTAGCTTGAAAATGTTTGAAAAAACATTGGTTCTGTTTTTATATTCAGGAAAAGTGAGTGATTAAATCATCCTTTCAGCAAAATTTTGTCTCTTCTTGAAGATGTTGAGAATTGGATACATTTAACCCATCCCAACACCCATTTTAGTGTTTTCTACTCGCTATTATATATTTTTTGAAACAGAGTCTCTCTCCATCGCCCAGGCTGGAGTGCAGTGGTACGATCTCAGGATCTCAGCTCACTGAAACCCCTGCTTCCCGGGTACAAGCAATTCTCTTTCCTCAGCCTCCTGAGTAGCTGGGGTTACAGGTTCATGCTGGCACATCTGGCTAATTTTTGTATTTTTAATAGAGATAGGGTTTCACCTTGTTGCCCAGGCTGGTCTCCAATTCCTGGGCTCAAACAATCTGCCCACCTTGGCCGCCCAGATTGCTCCCTACTATTTCAGACACACTTTTGAAAGGTTTGTCTACAACTTCTTCTGCTTTAATTGAGCTCATATTGTGATCTTTTGGTCTCTGTTGGATTGACAATGGACAATTGAAGCAGAATGGAGGGATGTGTGTGTGTGTGTGTGTGTGTGTGTGTGTGTGTGTGTGTGTGTGTGTCAGGATTCATACTGTCTTTTTTAAAGGAGAATGCAGCATGGTATCATCTTCTCATGCAGCTCAGAAAGAGAGGACCCGGGCTTCAGACCTCACAAAAACTCAAAGTTAGAAGCAGTAATTTGATTCTCTTGGCACTTCCACTTGTCAACATTTATAACTCAGTAAAGAAAGAAATCATTAGAAGAGCATCATTTATGTGAAACTGGCATTCTAATTGTAAAAAGAAACTTAAGGCAGATCTTTCTGGACAATAAAACAGTTCTCCCTGGACATTCAAGGACCCAATCTGAGGGGCAATTGCAGGAAAGAAATCAGGCTGCCCTGGAGCTAATGTGACTGCCACATGCTGAGTAGCCACAAGGGAAGCCCCAGTTGGAAAAGAGCAAACCAGAGAGGTGGCTGAGGCTGTAACACTGCCTAGAGCTTAGTGAGCTGGTTTCCATTTCTCTGAGTCTGCCCAGAGGAAGCAGATGACTCAGAGGAGGTGAGAAAGCCCTTGGGCAGAGTAGGGGATGGGAAGTGTGTCGAAAACCTCCAGTAAGTCCTACTGGCCAAGTTATACTCTTCTCATTTTGTTATGAAGTTTTTTTTGAACACATGCACAAGTGGTGTCTCAGCCAAAGCTTCGTCTACCTTTTCCATGCACAGTGTGTCATCATCTCCTTTAAGGGTGGCCTTGCTTCAGTTTCAGCAGCGCTGGCATCATTAGCTTCATCAATACCCAGACCGAGTTTGATCATCCTGTCAATCCTGTTAGCACATGTCTGGGGATCTTCCACACTCAAGCCAGAAGACAGGAACACATTTTCATAAACCAGGAAGCAACTTAATGGAAGAAACTCTCCAAAAGGGGCTTGTTTTCCAAAGAAAAGTATAGTTCAGAGGAGGGAAATTATAAGCCTACCTAGGCGTGTTGTAAAGCCATTCAAAAATAGCTCAGAGAGAGGATTCTGAATGGTAATGTAGTGTCCGACTCACATTCTGCTTAAAAGGATTGTAACAAATAGAGACAAGTTAAAAAGAAAAAAAAAAAAGAGTTTCTTCTGAACCTGGAAGAAAGGGATGTGGATTCAAAGCTGCTTCAGTAGGGAAGGTGATTTTGTAGAAGAGGAGGTAAGAAGTGCCATGCTCCAATTCGGCTTCCAGTGTTATCGTCCCTGTTTCAAGGTAAATAAGGATCTGCTCTCAGGCTCATCTTCCGTGTGTAGAGGGGCTTAGGGATCTGTGGTAGGACCTTGTAATCTGCTGTCCAGGTCTCCCTTCAAAGAAGGACTTGCTCTGTGGCTGGGAGTGCTGTTGGTGGACAGTCTTCATCTGTCTGCACCTTCAGAAGCTGCCTCAGCTGCAGAGAAAGCCTTGACCAAGGTCATGTCCTTTCCAGGGGGATTCACATCCAGTGACTGAGCCAGAGTGCAAAGGCACAACTGTTGGGCCCAAGAAGGAACATCTCTGGTTATTCGTTCTGGCTTCAGCACTCCCGGTGGGACTGTGCTGGGCTGATGTTGGGCCTTTACCATAGTTCACTTTTCTGCCCATTCATACTTTCTTTTTCTTCTGTCCAACCATAAGTATGGTTTCCAAGGTTTCCCCTAAAAATATCCTGTACCCTTAACTCCATCACAGAACTTGCTTTCTGGTGAACCCAACCTGAGAATCAGGTATATTTTTCGTGCAACTTACACACATGTGTGCATGCTCACACACATACACACACACACATGCTTCTTTTAAATCAAATTAATTTTCTTAAGTGAAATTTATTTTTCGTTTCTCCTGAGAATTAGCTATAAAATAATGCCTCTTCCTCTCCTACTTTCTTTTTCCAAAGCACTGTTTCATGCTAATAGGTTATTAAGACCAAGTTTGCATGGTTTTGCTTCATTACCCTTTGAAGGTCCTGGTACTCAAACTAAAATGGACCTGCCCCTACCCTGATCTACCTGACAGACTCCTCTTCATGGATAATGCAGACTTTGATGAGTCAGATGAACTATCTCCTCTCAAGGGAGTCTATCCTGGTACACCCCCCTATCTCTGTGAGCACACACAATACGCCTGATTATACTGACCTGATTGTTTCATCTCCCCTTTCTAGGAGTTTCTTTGTGGGAAGACGTAGTGTCTAATTTATCTTCACATCTCTGGGACCAGTAAAGGTTTTCTAATATATTTAGTGTTCAATAAAAATCTAATGGATTAATGAAAGTGAATGAAGGCAGAGCTCCCCGTGCCGTCCATTCCACTAGTGGCTTTATGGTATTAGGCAAGCCACTTACTCTCTCTGAGCCTCAGTTATTCCATCTGCCCACTGGGCTTAATAATAATCAATAGCTTGCAAATCAGTTTCAAACATTGAATGCAGCAATGGATGTCCCTGTTCCACTTGGGATTTTCTTTTAAGGGTTCTTAAATAAGAATGGCAAGCAAAAGACTGTTTCAAATGGGAAATGATTTGTGCCTTCACCCCATTGGAATAATGAGACACTCCTTTTGGAAACTGAGGGGTTTTGACATTTAAAGGACACACTCAATTGGTGTAATGGCTCCAGGGGGAAAGATCCCTCCCTACGCTGGATTTTACTTCTTCTCACAAATCAACAGAAATGTCTCCACACACTAGTGTACTTGGAGTGTGAGTGCCTCAAAAGCTGAATGCAGGTCCTTATAAAGGGGAAAGTTTCTTGCCATTTTCTTGGCCATCGACTTTAAAGATAAAGGGATTTCAAAACCACATTTTCAAATTACTATATGGTTCACATACGCCTGCTTCAAAATTGTTATTGGTAAATTACATTCTCACTGCTATTATTTTCCCCCTGATCTGTTCAATAAGACAGCCTTTTTTTGGGTTGTTTGTCCAAATCAGAGTTGTGTCCAATCTGGTAGTGAGAGGATGTGCCCAGACCAGAAATGGGACCTTTACTTGTGATTTAAGCATACCAGAAATAAACTGAAAGCTGACCACACTCCTAACACATTTGCAATGCCTTCTGGGCAGTCAGGATTTGGCCTCAGCCACTGACCTTCTCTTGGTCTGGACTGAGAATAAAGTGCAGCAAAAAGCCAGACTATATGATTGTTTTAAATTGAAATGACTTTCTTTAGCAGAATTTATTCTTCATTCTCCCAGGGATCAACCTCCTCTTTTCCTACTATCTCACCCAAAAGAGTTTTTAAAAGCCTGTGGGTGCTTCGGTGGAGTTTGGAGCATTTTGCAGGATGGGGAGTGAGGGACAGTGGTCTGATTCTGCACTGCCACTTGCTTTTCTTTGTCCTTCATCCTTTTTTCCCCACTCACATTCTTTTCCTTCCATAATTCACTGAGCAAATATTTTCCAAGTGCATGCTCAGTCAGCCCTGGGCTGGGCAATGGGGTCATGGAGATAAATAAGATCCATTCACTCTTTGGGAGGTACAGGCTCAGGGAAGAGGTGAGCTGGATTTTCTAGTAAGTCCTTCATGCTGTGGTATGTGGTATGTACTCAAGGCGGTATGAGCAGGGAAAACTGGATGCAGCTCCCAACTCCATGCGGAGGCAGGCCCCAGGCTCTATTTCTCTTACGTTGTGTAAGTGTTTATTTCCTGCCTCTCTCTTTCTTATATTGGTGAAATAAGATTAATTTGCAGTTAGTACAATGTCTAGGGAAATTTGCCCTTGGAAGGCAGCCTGAGACTTGTGTGCCCACTCAGTGTGTAGGAAGCAGATCTCTTACATTGCTAAGCCAGTTGCTCACTTATTCAGGTATCTGGGAGGACACCTGGAGCCCAAACGCCTCAGGGCCTAAGACTGACCATCCTTCCAGATCTTGCTGTCTATTTGGGGTACTCAACGTGGACACTGCATTCCCCGCCGCCATCTACACTGCACTGGAGCCCTGCTTTGGACTCGGGTTCGTCTTAAAATAGTGAGATGGTACTTCTATCAATGACAGAGTCAGGTGCCCTTTTGCTCCATATTCTCTGCCATTTTCCCACAAACTCTTATCCTCAAGGACCGTTCTTTTCTACCTTTTATCTCCCATCCTTTCACAGATAAATTAATTCATCAAAAACATGGGGGTGGGGGTTACTGTCAGGATGAGGTTGTTGCCCTGAAGGGCAGATTCAGGCTGACAAGGTCTTACCCAATAATAAGAAACAGTCCTTGCCCAGAGGAGTGTGCTCCAAAAGCAGTAATGGAGGGCAGTGGAGCAGTTATATATGTATATATGTGTGCATATGTAGATGAGGTTCATTTCTTTTTTATAATACCTCCACTCTCTTAGAGTTTCTGAAGCCTGCAGTTTTCCCCTTTCCGTCAGAGCATATTGTGTTATGCGTTTCCTCTGATTCCATCATTTTTTATCCTTTTGTTTATTTGCCCTCATTTTTCTCCTCTTTTATCTTCTGCAAAGCCACCTTGCTTCCTTCCATTTATTCCTGAAGGCCACGTAACCTCTGATGGTGCCTGCATGCCCAGCAGGAAAATATGGATGATAATGTGTCCTGCTTGCTTTGTGTTCACAAAAGACTAAAAGCCTCTAGATATTTCAGTATTTTATCCTTGTTATTATTGTTATTCTAACTTGTCCCCATCATTATGTATTGTGAAATTGATACCTTTTTCTGTACTAGAAGGTCATGTGGACCTTAAACAGTAGGAAAGATCTAGCTTGAACCCAGTATAGGGGAGGCTTCAGACCAACCACAAGCCATAGGTAGAAATGGAAAGTGTAAATCAGATTTCCAATAAGTATCCCAGGACTGGGAGAATTTTAGTTCAATTGCTCACATTTTTTTTTCATCTGTAGTTTGTAAAATAATCACTGGCATTTAGCATATTGACCAAAGAACTTTAAAAGAAAAAAAAGCATCATTCTGAGAATGCAAACAATTAAAATTTAATTTATTGCTGGTGGGAGTATAAATCGAAACAGTTAAGAAGACTGTTTTGCATTATCTACTGAAGTCAAACATATGCATACCCTATGACCAACAGTTCTACTCCTAGGTATACATCAACAGAAATATGAACCATAATAAATACAGAATATTACTTATGGCAGCACTATTCAAAATAGCCAAAACCTATACTATGCCCATTGAGAGTAGAAAGAAAGATGATTTATGAAATGTTTCTCACACCAGAATGCTGTACAGCTTCCTTTATTAATATGGACAAATGTCATCAATACAATGCTAGGCAAAAGAAGCCAGGGTCAAAATAGTACATGCAATGTGATTCCATTTAAATCATATTCGACCTCTGATTTCAGAAACGGGTTAGTGGTATTCTTAGAAGGGGTGGTTGGTGACTGGAGGGAAGCTTCTGGCGTGCTGGTAAAATTCTGTCTTTTGTTCTGGTTGCTAGTTACTTTGGTGTGTTCAGTTTGTGAAAAATTATCAAGTCATATATTCCTGTGCACTTTTGCATTTGTTCTTGAACACAAGAAACAATAAAACACAGTACTAAAAACAGCCTCAATCATTGAAATATTTTCTCATCATCATAAGTTTTAATGGTTTTATAAGTAGTTCCCCATATAGAATTACCATGACTTATTTATCATTCTCTTTTGTCAGACATTTCCCTCCCCCAGTCTGTAACAACTATTTCAAAAGATCAATTAAATATTAATATTTCTGCTTGTAATCCTCCTCCAAGCTCCATTTTCAGCTTTTTTCTTTAAAAAGTGCAATAAAGCCAGTAATAACAATGCTTTAATGGCTCTTGATATGGATTGATGAATTATTATTCACAAGTCTTTCACAACATTTATTTCTACCAAACAAATAAGGAAATTATTTTAATCTGTTAACCAAATTCAAGTTATCACTAAACTCTTTTCCAGTTTCCTGAGGGGGTTTGGCATTTGGTTTGAGGTGTCAAAATTTGTAGTGAGGATTAAATCAATGAAGCATGTAGAAGGTTTGATATTAAATAAATTCTTCGTTCTGATCACTATTATTATTTTACCTTTTGGGCATCCAGTTAATACTACCAGTATTATTAAATAGTGTATGTTTAGTGATTCCTGAGCAAGAAATCTCTCTATCTGGCAAAACTCAACCAGATACATGCCTTATCCTTAAGGAAATCACATTTTGAAATTAAAGTCTACAGTAGGATTTCCTCCTGGTACCAAGATTCTGCCAATTGGAGAACCAGGACTTAAAGAAGAACATAATTGATAGTTAGTGTACTTGTTTTTATTCATCATGTATATGTTAAACCTTCTGCCACTTTAGTCAAAAAGTCTGCCACTTTTTGAAATCTAGGTGGTAAATGCAGCTGAACTTCAGTAGAAAACAAACTGCTCCATGTTCAAGGGCATAAAAATAAAGTAAGGCAGGAAGAAAGGTGGGAGGGAAGAAGGGAGGATGGAAAGGTGGCACTGTACTAATTTTTATGAAATAAGAGCCTGACCTGATGCAGTCTGTGTTTTTCCAGGGGCTTCTCTGAAAATCAGTTTTGCTGGAGCATGTGCAGGAAAGAGCAGATACACATGAGAGAAATAGAGGCTCCGCGTTTGTGCTCAAGGAGGGTAAAAGGAACTGAGATGCTTCTCTGAAAGCAATGAGCATTTGTCCAACTGACACATGGAGGTTTTCAAAGACAGTCTTAGAATGATGATAGTGAAGTTTTTAAGAGTTGATTCATACTCAGTCCAAGGAAACATCATCATAATGAACCCACTTGATACCAAGGGCCAACTGAAGAGTATCATACAAAATTGCTTCTAGCTAGGCCAGCCAACTAATGGTCTAAGTTGTCAAAAAGACTGATAGAGAATCCCAGAGAATAAATGCATGCTGGTATATTATTTGGTGAAAGAAAACATGTAAGAGGTAAGAGGAAGAAACTGGAAGAATCACTTAGTTGTGGTATTGACCCAAATCGTCTAATATTTGTCTTAGAATTTTAGGGCAAGGAGCTACATGCAGGCTTTGAAGGTCGCCATGTCCAGTGTGACTCCAGGCTTTGCCACATAAAATCTGTTTAATTCCCCACTCTGGCCAAAGCAATCTCTGATGTTAAGTTTTCTTAGGCAATGTGGATGTTAAATTTTCTTAGGGAATGTGAATGATATGAAGAATACCTTCTTTCCCATTGACAATTTAATGAGTTTAGTATAAAGTTTCTAGCCTACAACTAGTATGACTAGTATCTTTAAATATTGTTTTTAGAACCAGAGGCATTGCTCTGGTCCTCAAAGAGCTCAGAGATTAAGGCTGAGAAAAAAAAAAAAAAAACAAAAGAAAAAGAAAAAGAAAAAAAACCCTTAAGCATCTCTAAGTAAAAAGCTACATGTTTTTTGTTCTTCTAAAATTACAGTGAACTGTATACAAGAAACAAACAAGTAAAAATGAAAGTATATTAGAGCAATAGGGGAAAAATTAAATACTTGCAGTGGCCAGGAAGGCAACATGAATGAATGAAATCATCCTGGTGGGTTCTGTGGTCAAGTGGAGAGTGCATGCCCTATCTTAAAGGAGCTGACCCCAGTGCAGTTGAGAATTGCCATGCAAGAAAGCAGGTTCATTGTTAAGAGATGTTCTGATTTTTCAATGAGGAACTAACTAGAATTTTTAGAAGTATTTTTTGTGTTTTAAAAAATTGACAAATAATTAAAATGAGGAAATGATCGGTGGGTAGAAAGATAAATGACTAATAAGTTTATATGAGTTCAGGTGTGCATGTCTGCGACTACAGGGGTAGTGTAGGACAAACAGTGGAGTGCATGGGGATGGATAACATACTAGTAAATACAACATATGTGAAGAGGTGCAAAGTCTAGATAGGCCATGTGGCATGAGAGCCACAAGTGGTTCGGAATGCTTGGTGCACTGAAGTCAGTGCAGGAAGTGTGGGAGAAAGAAGCTGGTGGGGTAAGGGGAGGCCAGATCTCCCTTGCTGTGTCAATTGTGATCAGGAATTTCAGCTTGATCCCTAGGACAATGACTAGTTTCCAAAGGGTATCAAACACGTACAGCAGAATCACATTTTCAAATTTGCATTAATTCTAGCCACAAAATGCTGAATGGAAAGGAAGAGCAGGGGCTGAAGGTAGCATGTTTTTGCAGGGATTCAGGTTAGGGTGACAGAGAATATACTGAAAGCAGTCTCCAGGCATAGAAAGAAGCAGACAAGCTGGCCGTTGTGGTTCACACCTGTAATCCCAGCACTTGGAGAGGCCAAGGCAGGAGGATTGCTCGAGCTCAGCGTTTTGAGATAGCCTGGGCAACATAGTAAGACCTCATTTCTAGTAAAATTAAATAAACAAATAATAAAAATAAATTTTAACGAATTAGCTGGTCGTGGTGGTGTGTGCTTTTGGTCCCAGCTACTCGGTAGGCTGAGGCAGGAGGATCGCTTGAACTTTGGGAGATGGAGGCTGCAGTGCGCTATGATCACACCACCGCACTCCAGCCTGGATGATAGAATATGACTCTGTCTCAAAAATAAAACAAATAGGCAGGCAGGAAGGAAGAAAAGAAAGAGAAAGAAGAAAGAAAGGAAGAAAGAAAGAGAAAGAAAGAAAGAAAGGAAGAAAGAAAGAAAGAAAGAAAGAAAGAAAGAAAGAAAGAAAGAAAGAAGGAAGGAAGGAAGGAAGGAAGGAAGGAAGGAAGGAAGGAAGGAAGGAAAGAAAGAAAGAAAGAAAGGAAGGAAGGAAGGAAGGAGGGAAGGAAGGGAGGGAAAGAAAAAGAAAGAAAGAAAGAGAAAGAAAGGAAAGAAAGAGAAAGGAAAGAAAGAAAGAAGACAGAGAGAAAGAAAGAAAAAAGAAAGAGAAAGAAAGGTAGGAAGGAAGCAGGAAAGAGAAAGAAGAGAGAGAGAGAAGCAAATGGATTCAGAAACAGATTTCTGGGAGAGGGAGAGAAAATCCACAGGGCTGGCGTAGGGGAGGAGGACAGTGAGAGAGGAGGATGAGGGAAGATTACTGTTGCCTTTCTGTTTCTGTACAATAAGTTTTACAGAAGATTCATGCCTCCAATAACTCTCTACACATAGTAGGTAAAAAGGGCCGCTTTTAAAAAATTATTCTCTTTATAAAGAAAAAGCAAACTTACTCCTAGTTTTCTCCTTTGTAAAGACTAAAACAGCCAGGTAAAAATGGAAATTTAGTTCACTGTGCAATTGAGTTCATAACTCACTGTGTCATTACGGTTTGTCAGCATCTGTAATTGAAATAATCCCCCAGATTTGTGTCACTATCACCAGGTTCTGTAAGTCTCAAACCTTAAGGAGTGCATTTTTGCCCGAGAAACCACCAACCCCAGTCATCTTCTTCTCCATTAAAAAAGTTGTTGACTAAGTCACACGCAAGAAAATGTGCAATAGATCTTGCATTCTTCACTTCTGTTAAAGAAAAATGACACTAACAAGATATATGAATAGTTATTCAAATCCACCATGGGGAGTGACAACAAAATGAGAAAAACAAAACCAAACAAAACATTTGACTACATATATCCTCTCCTCTTTATTCTACACACTCTCTAGGAAAGAAATAATGAACCTTCCTCTATGATCTGCTTGTGTTTATAATTGATTTATCTTGTGGTTAAAGAGATTTACTTACCAAAATTGAGACAGACAGGAGAATGTAATTGGGGTTTGGCCTCCTGGCCTGCTTGGGTATCACTTACGGGAACTGAAAATAAAATAATTGAACACATATTGTATTCTATAAATCATTACTTCAGAATGCAAGACGAGATCTATCCCTTAGGATAAATTTCTATGGATGTAGCAAGTGAATGTCATACATATATTTATGAGTCTGCTGACCTGGTGGGATTTAGGAAAAACAGCCCTTCTCTCCCCACTCTCCCCTGCCCCATGTCCCCCTCACATCCTCCCCATTTCTAATTATTTCCTTGCTTTCCTCAAAGCCATTGACCCACCATTGGGCCAGTCTGACTAATGCCAGGAATTCTTTAAATTATCTATTCATTCCTTTAACTTACAGCTTTGTTTCTCACTTAACATCTCTATTCCCTGTCTAAGATTATGCATTTCAATTTCTCATCTGATCCACTTTGATAAGGACACATTTGTATCTGGTCATTTGTCAGACAAAGATTTAATAAAGTTGTAGAATAATTTCTAGAATGAGGCTCAGATGAGAGATCCTAAGGGTACAGAAAACGAATGACAAGTTGGTCCTGACCTTGGTATTTTCCCTTCCACCTTTTCCTCCTCTCCATTAGTACATCTGGTAGACCTCAAAGGCCTGTGTGTGGCTTTCACTCATCCATATGTGTAGACTTGAGCCTGAAGATTTGAAACAAATGTTGTGTTCTTTAAGGCCAGGCTGTACCTCCACCTCCCCTGGGTTCTCCCAGGAGTTTCAGCACCAAATAAATACCTTCTAATGGGACTTAGCTTAATTTGCCGGCTTGTCTTTCAACACACGTTTTTCTGATATCAGAGGGGTAGGCTGGTGGAAAACTGGATTTCTGATGGGAACAAAACACTCTGAAATATTAAATCTGCCTGATTCTTGAATAATTTTCAAGAAACATATAAAATCTCTCTGAAATCTTCAAGATATATCCTCAGCAGAAAGTTACAAGCCTATTGTGTATTCCACAAAAAAGAAATCTGTCTTCTAAATCATAATGTAATAATAAGCTCATTATTAATCAGCTTAATTTAAGGATTAATCAGCACATATATATTAAGTAACTGGTTCTAGCCATTGTGAAGGTGCAAAAGAAGGCATAAGAGAGCAGCAGTGATTGAACAGGTATTGTATTCTATGTTATTTTTTTTCTTTCTTTTTCTTTCTTTCTTTCTTTTTTTTTTTTTTTGAGACAGAGTCTCGCCCTGTGGCCCAGGCTGGAATGCAATGGCATGATCTCGGCTCACTGTAGCCTCCGCCTCCCCGGTTCAAGCTATTTTTCTGCCTCAGCCTCCTGGGTTCAAGCAATTCTCCTGCCTCAGCCTCCCGAGTAGCTGGAATTATAGATGCCTACCACCATACCTGACTAATTTTTGTATTTTTAGTAGAAATGGAGTTTCACCATGTTGGCCAGGCGGGTCTTGAACTCCTGACCTCAAATGATCAGCCCGTCTTGGCCTCCCAAAATGCTAGGATTACAGGCATGTACCACCATGCCTGGCCTATTGTATGATCTTAGTGAAGCCTCACCACACACCCACACAATAGATTGATTTTTATTTTATAGATGAAGTAGCTGAGGCTTAGGTAATTCCATGGTCAATATGGCTAATCAGCAAGTGACATGCGTTTGACTCCATGTCTATCTGGCTCTGGTCTATCCACCTTCCACTCCACTGCACTGCACTGTGCAAGCATTAGGAAGTCTACTGAAGTTTTCTAAGTTGGTGTACCTAACAGCTTCTGTCTAACTTTGCCAGAAAGGACAGTCCCACTCTGTGCCTTCCACTTCAGATGAAAGTGTGCTGTGGACTGTGTGAGAACTTTTTTTTTCACAAGAAACATGGCCATCTGAAGTTTTACTCTTAAACTTGTAAAATACAGGAACTACAATCTTTCACTTTTTTTGTATGTATACGGAAAGAGCTTGAGGGAGGGGGTTCCCAGCCTAGAAGGACATGTATTTTTTTCTTAACTAACTTTTATTTTAGGTTCAGGGCTAGATTTGCAGGTTTATTATGTGGGTAAACTTGTATAACATGGATTTGTCGTATAGA
The DNA here is from genome assembly GCF_000001405.40 of Homo sapiens. NCBI lineage: Eukaryota > Metazoa > Chordata > Mammalia > Primates > Hominidae > Homo > Homo sapiens. Next base: position 124,789,487 of record NC_000002.12, read on the forward strand.
TTATTTTGTCACCCAGGTACTAAGCTTAGTACCCAATAGTTATTTTTCTCTTATCTTCTCCCTCTTCCCACCCGACACCCTCAAGTAGGACCCAGTGTCTGTTGCTCCCCTCTTTGCGTCCAAGTGTTCTCATCATTTACCTCCCACTTATAAATGAGAATATGGGGTATTTGGTTTTCTGTTCCTGCCTTAGTTTGCTAAAGATAGTGGCCTCTAGCTCCACCATTGTTTCTAGGACATGCATTTATTTGAGGCTCTTTGGAATTCCAACTCTCACTGAAACTTTAATAAAAAAATTAATTTAGACCTTCATGACAACAGAGAACTACTTAACTCTTACCCATGCCAACATTAAACCTAAATGTATTGAGCCCTATAATACCTTACATTTGTTTCCTTTTATTTAACCTCTTAGGGGGAACGTCATCCAGACAGAAAGGCTTCCTAGGATGCATTCGCTCCTTACACTTGAATGGACAGAAAATGGACCTGGAAGAGAGGGCAAAGGTCACATCTGGAGTCAGGCCAGGCTGCCCCGGCCACTGCAGCAGCTACGGCAGCATCTGCCACAACGGGGGCAAGTGTGTGGAGAAGCACAATGGCTACCTGTGTGATTGCACCAATTCACCTTATGAAGGGCCCTTTTGCAAAAAAGGTACCTTAGGCGCTCCTGTTTCTCCTGAGTGCAGTGCTGTATCACCTATACGCTATGGTCAGGCCATGTGATACTCACACTCTGAGACAGTCTTTATCATCTACTCTCCCGCTGTTTAGAGAGTCTGCATAGTTCTTCAACGTAATTGCATATACTTATTGGTATTACATGTGTTCACTGGCAATGTAACTGAACTGGATGGATAATTACAGGAAAACACCCTGCCCACGGCCAAAAAGTCAGTTAAGTAGAGAAAGAGGTGGACCCACATTTCTGTTGTTAGCTAGATTGTTAGTGAACACATTAATATTTCCACTTCCAATCCCTCAGCCCGCAAATGTAATCAAAGAATTGTAGAATCTAGCCCTGGGGGAGCCTTAGAGATACTTAAGCCATCTTAAATTATTTTTTACAACAAAGAGAATATCAGTAAATTAGTAAACACAGTACCGTGTATTTGGTGAAATCTCTCTATTCCGCAGGTGACTTGAGCGAATGTCTGAGGCTTTAAAAGCCCTGTCTGAAAGTTCATATTTAGTTCATTGGTGGGCTGGGACTGAAACACACATGAAAGTCAAATTTTCTGCTCCAGGACTTTTCCTATACCCCTTCACAATCTCCTGAGTTCATTACATTGACACAAATTAATAATCACGGATATACACCTTGGACAAGGAATGAGGATCATTGCTTAAATTCTCTAGATAAATTCAAGATACCTCAAGAAACTAGAAAATCTCAATATTCAGTATAAATACGTAGGATTTTTCAAACATAAGGAAAAAGATTTGGTGTACTCATAATTTTTGCAATATTTTAAAGACGGAAAAAGTTTGTTCAGTAAATAATGTAAACAATATTTTAAGAGCAGCATTTAAATTATTAAAATAAAATGCTTGAATCACTTTGAGACACCATTTGCAAACAAACAATCAGAGCAATGATAAATAATTCTTCTCAATTCATTAAAGCATATCTTCGAAGCACCTTTACAAAGCAATGGTTTATTTAGTCCAGCTTGCTACTGTTGGAACTTAGAAACAAAAGGGAAAAAAAGCACTCACTGTTTTATTTGAAGGATACTATAGTTTGAGCCCTCCGTTCATTCATACAGGGGCCTTCTCCTGAATTAGTTTGAATTACTTACTTATTATTCCTGAAGAGCATGTCATGCTTCTTGGGAGAAAATTAATGGTAAAAATTTTCGGGCTAACCGCATGGAAGCTTAAAATAAAACAGTTTCCATTCCAGGGGCTCATATTATGAGCTAAACAAGTAAAGTGCTGCTAGGTATTCACACTGGCGGAGGTCTCTGAACAACTTCCCCTGAGAAGTGTGAATGCTTCCCTTTGAGCCATCCCACATGCTAGGAGGAGCACGAACAGAATAAATACTATGAGACCCTGGCACTGAAATGCACAAGCATTCTTCTCAGCATCTCTAACCAAGTCTTTTGTTTGGAAGAACATGGACAGTAGACCTCTCTGCATTTCTCTGGGGACATTATTCAAAGATCTCGTAGATCATATTGTTCTAAATGTAGCCTAATTTCTTTTTTTTTTTTTTTTTTTGGCTCCTTTCTCCAAAACCATTCATACTAATTTTCTTCTGTCCACGGCCCTGTATCTTTTCCCTGCATATGTTGCAACATCTCTGTGCTCCCTCCCACTTTTAATTATGATCTGCAAGTTACATAGGCAAGTGTGTGCCTAGCCTTTTCATATGCTTCGTATTTTACTATTTCCAAACTGTTCATTCTTTCTGATAATTCTAAGAAAATTATTTCCTCTATATTTAGTCCTCGCAATGTAAGTAAGATGGCCTTTTTAGTCACATCTTTGAGCCCTGCCAACTGCCTCTGGGGAATGTGGCCGGAACTGAAATGGGAAGCCAGTGGCTACAAGATGGTTCTGAACAGAGGGTGGTCTGTTTGGTGATTGGGGCAGCCTTCCATGCTATTTACTATGGCGCAGTATATTTCAAGGAGATGGTGTGTAAATACTGAATATATCTTGGATAGAATTAGGGTCTTTTTTTCATTACCAATTCCTAGGTCAGAACTGTGTTTCATTGGCGATTTTTCCGTTTCTCATAATGATACGAAGAAGCAATCATCATAAAAAATAAACTAGTAATTAACTGCAACATATATTCCTCATCCAAACAAATAGAGCAGGTATTAAAATCTAAATTTAACTTATTGGGGCTCATAAAGGTGGACTGACTTGCTAAATGTCAGATTTGGAGGTCCATCTAGCTTGTTTTTGGTTCATTTTTTCTTTATGACCCTAATTTCATTCTATACATGAACATGGTAATAGGATTCCATCGTTTCAAATACAGAGCTTTTGTTTTGTGTATTTTTTCTCTCTCTTTCTATTATCGAGATGTAATTTATATACCATAAAACCCACCCTTTTAAGGTGTATAATTCAGTGATGTTTAGGATATTCACACAGTTGTATAACAATCACCACCATCAGTTTCAGAATATTTTCATCATCTCAAAAAGAAATTCCATGTCATTAGCAGCCACTTCCCAGTTACCTCTTCCCGTGTCCCTGGAAACCACTAATCTACTTTCTTTTTCTGTAGATTTGCCCATCCTGAGCCTTTCATATAAATAGAACCATATAGTATGTGATCTTTTTGTGTCTGATTTCTTTTACTTCGCATAATATTGTCCCAGTTCATCCATGTTATAACATTCATCATTACTTTATTCCTTTTTAATTGCCAAAGAGTGTTGCGCAGTGTGAAAGCACCACAGTTTGTTTATCCATTCATCCATTGGTCAGTTAATGGATGTTGGGATGGTTTCATTTCTTTGGCTATTATACATAACACTGCTATAAATATGTACAATTTTTGTGCAAACATATGTTGTCTATCCTCTTGGATATATACCTAGAAGTGAGATTGTTGTGTCAAACGGTAACTATAGGTTTAATCTTTTTGAGGAACTTCCTAACTTTTTCAAATCGGCTGTTCCATTTTACATTCTCACCGGCAGTGAATGAGGGATCCAATTTCTTCATCTTCTTGCCAACACTTTTTATTGTCTGATTTTTTGATGATAGACATCTTACTGAATATGAAATGCTATCGCATTGTGGTTTTGACTTGCATTCCCTAATGACTAATGATATTGGATATCTTTTTCCTGTGCTTATTGTCCATTTGTATACATAAATTTTTTGGAGAAATGTCTAACATCTTTTGTAGATTTTAAATTTTTCTTCTTTTTACTAGTCAGTTGTAATAATTTGTCGTATGTTTGGAATATAATTCCCTTATGAGATATATGATTTGCAAATGTTTTCTCCAGTTCTATGGGCTGTATTTTGTCTTCTTCATAGTATCTTTTGAAACACTAAATTTTAAATTCTGATCAAGTTCATTTTCTCTAGTCTCCTATCTTTTTTATTTATACATTTAGGATCATAGATAAGGAAGCCTTACTTAATCCAAGATCATGGTTTCTCCTAAGAGTTTTATAGTTTTAGCTCTCACAGTTAGGTCTTTGATGCATTATGAGTGAATTTTCATATTTGTTGTGAGGTAGGGGGTCCAGCTTTAGTCTTTGGCATGTGGATATATCCTTGTCTCAACACCATTTGTTGATGTGTGTTTGTTGTTAGCTCTCTTATCCCCCCTACACACACACCATTAATAAAGAACTTGGGTACCACTGTCATAGTGTTTTAATTTAAATGTTTTTTCTTCTTAATTAAAATGTAACATAATTATTTATAAAATTTATTTGAAAATTTATTTAGAAATCTAGAAAAGTTAAAACCCAATCTAAGTACTCAAAAATAATCATTAATAGGGAATTGCACTTCCTTCTAGTTTTTTATCCCCTTGCACTTAATATAACTAAGATAATTTTGCCCATTACATTTTATATTCTGGATTTTCTTTATTTCCTTTCAAAAGCATTTCTATGTAAGTCACCAATATTTGTAAGCATCCATCTTAATGATTGCAATATGTTCCATCTGGTGCTACTACCTTCTCTTGTTTAATCCATCCTATTACCAGAGCATTACTGCTCACAGATAAATCGTGGAGCTCTGGCACCACCCCTGCTCAAGTTGAGGTTCTGGTTCATCTACAGTCCACGTTGTATGACACTGGTTGTGTACCTCAACCTCAAGATTCCGTGGTTTCCTCATCTACGAGATGTGGGAAGCGCAGGACTCTTTCACAGGGAGTCGTGTTTAACATTCGATGAGCACTCTACAAAGAACATGGGACAGCCCACAGCATGTAAAGTCTCACTAAATGCTGACTCTTCTTATTGATTGAAATTTTTCATTATCTAAAATTTTGGTGTAAATAATGCTACAATAAACACATATATTGATTATTTTCTTAATAACAGAATTTCAGTGAAAAAAATAAAAGTATGTACATTTGGGTGCTCTTTACATATTGCCAAAAACCTGTCCAGAAATCATTTAATACTTATATTCATTTTAATTTATACCATTTATTTTTACTTTTTATTATGGAAAAATGGCAAACATATGCTGTAGGACAGGGAAGAGTTTAAGAACTCCCATTCACCGGTTATCTAACTTCAACAGTTACAAACTCATGATCATTTTTATTTCATCGGTACACTCACCTCCTATCCTCCTCCTTTATTATTTTGAAGAAAATCTCAGATATAATACTATTTCATCTACAAATATTACATCGTATATTGCTAAAAGATAAGCACTCATGATAAACACGTAGCCACAGGATCATTATTATAATAAAAGTATAATAATTTTTGAAATAATTGCTCAGTGTTCAAATTTCCAGTTGTTTTATTTTTATTTAATTTGTTTGATTTTATCTAAATTAATTACAGCTTGGATGATTTCTGGATAATTTCTAGACTATTCATTACCCAGGACTGGTCTTTCTGTTTGTTCTAATTCCAAATCTAATTCTACTACTATTATTAAAACCAGCTACTGTTCATTGAGTTCCTACTATGTGCTGTGCTTTTACGTACTTTCTTCCAATCCTTTCACCCATCCCAAGACTGAATTCATCCTGATTTATATTTGAGTAATGTGAGATTGAATGGGATCCTGTGATTGCAGGACATGTGTAGATTCAGGTTTTATCTCCAAGTCTACAGGCCCCATGGAGGCTCAGAGACGCACCTTCCAGTACCATCCCATTTCCAGCTCCTTCTCCTACTTCATGTCACCCATCAATGCCCTGTCAATACGGAGATCCTCTTGCAGGTCTCAGGAGGCTCTGCTCTCAGAGACATCCAGCTCTGGAAAATATTGTCTCTGTCGCTAACACATCAAGCCCAAGGTTAACTTCCATTGGTCCACTGGCAATTTGTTTTGTTTTGTTTTTGTTTGTTGTTTTGTTTTGTTTTGTTTGACAGAGTCTCACTCTGTCACCCAGGCTGGAGTGCAATGGCGCAATCTCAGCTCACTGCAACTCACGCCTCCTGGGTTCAAGTGATTCTCCTGTCTTGGCCTCCCCAGTAGCTGGTATTACAAGCACCTGCCAACACACCCAGCTAATTTTTGTATTTTTAGTAGAAATGGGGTTTTGCCATGTTGGTCAGGCTGGCCCGAACTCCTGACCTCGGGTGATCCACCTACCTCGGCCTCCCAATGTGTTGGGATTACAGGTGTGAGCCACTGTGCCTGGCCCAGGTGTTTGTTTTTTTTAAAATATGTGTCTTACCATCTCAGAATCTAGTTAGCATAGGTTCTTCCACCAAGTGGATGCTCAAGGGGTGTTGTTGATAGTGGCTCGGTGGCCTTGGAGAATCATCATGGTCACTAGAAATCACTTGCAAGTTAAATATCTTTATCCTTTTTGGCCAGTGGTTTTAGATGCTCAGATAACTCAACCCATCTGATCAAAAGCTTAAACTCTTAGATTATAAAGTACAAGAAACTGAAAGAATAATAGAGTCCAGCTGTATTGCTGAATTTAGCTTTATGATAAAACAGACAATATTTAAATATTAAAAATAACTAGAACTGGGGCTGGAGGAAGAGTGACAACAGAAATTTGGTTTGACATTTCTAATTACAAAATGCTTTTCATTTTCAATTTATTGTCTTAAGTATAAAGAAAAAAGTAATATCCTGTATATGCCCATATCTATGTTATTCCTAACAGAATGCTCTGAATTTTACTTCCATTTAAGCACACACACAAATATCAAATAAAAGTCCTTTATTTTGTTAACTAGGAGGCAGTAGCTCAAAATGCAGACCAAATATCCCTGAGTAAATTTACTCAAGGAAAATTCTTGAATCAAGCTGATGATAACCAGAATTCTCACTGTCACAGATGTCTGCTGCATATTTTTATAAACAGGAGTACCAAGGTTGTAACCTGCATGATAAATGCAAAACACTTTCTCTGAACCTTTAGTAAAAATGAACTAGTATTCTCAATCTGCTAGGCAATATGCATAAATATGCAACTTTAATTTTTTGGCACTATTACAGACTGTTACAGAATTTTCACAAGGTGGAACACATTTGCAATAGAATTAGGAAGAAAAAGCCAGGTATTATTATATTGTAGGTGCCACTAACTCAATCAGAGACTTTCATGGGGAATTTGGAACATTCCATATGCCATTTAGGGCAAAGGGAAATTAATCATGCCAATATGGGTTTATGTTTACTGTGCAGTTTTTATGGCAGAGGTTTGCTGCCTGATCTAAGGTGTGCTGCCCTATGAAAGAGCCTTCCCCACACACTCTGTTACTGTATAGAGATAAAATTTAAAGTGAACTCAAGAGCAGCCTTGATCTAAGGAGAGTATCTCAGCATTTGGACAGATGAACATTTAATAAATGAATATATTGTATAAAGTCTATTGGGATGGATTCAGGTTAATTTCTCTTCTAACACTCTGTAAGTTCAAACTGTACTTGGCAACTCTCTTAAGTGCTTTACATACATCAGATCATATACATCAGAGAAATACTGATGAGGTAGGTGTTATGATTCCCATTCATCAGATAAGAAAACATTCTCCACAAAGTTCATTATCTTGCCTGGGACCACATGGCCGGCATGAAACCAAGTGAGACTCAGATCCAGTGCTGAGTCACTCAGTGCTAGTTCCACTACACTAACATGGTAACAGTTGGTGTGCTAGAGCATTCTTCAAGGAGGCTGGGTGATTTACATATCCCACTAAATGAATTTTATCAGTTTTTAGATCCCGTATTTCTTCCTGGTGGTGGCAGATCTCCATTCAGTGTGTTATGCTAGAGGGATTGTTTCCCATAGGAAAGCCTATTTACCCAAGTCTTGGCTATATTTTGGAACTGAGTACCAATGCCTACACAGCTAAAAAAATGAGTTTAAGAGTTGGAGACCTATGTCTTTTCTACTTTGTCCATAAATTTCTTATTTGCTGTTTTCGTTGTTCTTCATGATTTACCAACATCATAGAGAATTACTGCTGCTCACCCCAATGTCTTGCTCTGTATTTAGAGACCATCCACAATCTCCCTGAGATACCAGAGAAGAACACAAACTAGAACTGTCAGGTTCTCAGTTTTGGGAGTAAGATGGTGCCAGTGTATTTCTCTATGCACTATGCTGGAGGCAGAGACATGTTATCTTTGCTTCTCAGGAAATTAGCCAGGCAAGTGGTCATTATTTTGCAGATGTATGTAGAGCTGGACTTAAACCACAGGAGGAAAACCTGAGCTTTCTTTTCTGGCTATGCAACCCTGTTCAAGGTTTGTAACCTATGAGAGCATTAAGTTTTTCATTTGTAAATTAAGAATAGTGACTTCTGCCACTTCAAAATTATTGTGGGGAACATGTTGTCTGATGCATGTATTACTCCTCACACAGTGCCCAGTGCATAGGAAACGAGAAAGCAGCTAAGGTTAGCTTGAACAATGGATCTAAAGGTTTCAATGTGTGCTCTCCCCTCTTATATTTTGCAGAGGTTTCTGCTGTTTTTGAGGCTGGCACGTCGGTTACTTACATGTTTCAAGAACCCTATCCTGTGACCAAGAATATAAGCCTCTCATCCTCAGCTATTTACACAGATTCAGCTCCATCCAAGGAAAACATTGCACTTAGCTTTGTGACAACCCAGGCACCCAGTCTTTTGCTCTTTATCAATTCTTCTTCTCAGGACTTCGTGGTTGTTCTGCTCTGCAAGAATGGTGAGTGTGATGGCATGATACCCAGCGGAGTCTCAGCCTGGGCTGGAGGGACGGTGCATGCCCTCCAGAACTCTGCATAATTTCAACCTCAAGTTGGTCCCATCTGGGAAGCTTATTTCCAGACTTCCAGCCAAATCCTTGATTATTCTTTACCTTTATGAGATGCAATTGGTATTCAGGGCCAGTGTCAATTCACTGCTGAAGTCTCAAATGCATTGACTTTAATTTGCCTCAACTGAATAGCAGTAATTCTTTATTATTTATTCTGTGCTGGAATCCATTAAGTGCAAAGGAGAACATCATAAGCATATCCGAATTTCAGAAGGACACTTGCCACATGTATTTTGTCATCTTTGCTTCAGTCTTCTTTACTGAGGGCTGTTAAAACAATGAGCATACATGCAGGCTGTATTAATAGAAGGCAATTGTCCAGGTCTTAGAGAGAAGTAGTTAGTATATGAGTCATAACCTTGGGGAATAGGTGGCTTGCTTCTGGGAATCAAATTTCTTTTTTTCAGGCTTTTTTTTTAAAGATAATGACAAATTGTGGCATTTGCTATTTTGAAACAGAAAGATTTGGGGCATTTTATTTGACAAAACTATAGTACTATTGTTTCACAAATCAAAATGCTATCACTTCCTTTATTTTTATAATTACTCCTACTTGATACAAAATTCACAAAAATACAGGGCAATATTTTCCTAATGCTAAATAAAAGGATTATTTTTTAAATTTTATTTATTATTTAAGCTTCAAGACTAGTGATAAGGTCAATATCATAGTATCTGAGGAAGGGATCATTTTTCAATTTGCATGGTATCTAATAGGTTCTAGTGCCTAAATTGCCCATTATTAATTTAAGCAGTAGGTGAGAATCAGATTTTTGGAAAGCATTTGGACAAAATGTAATACGAGAAGTTGAGAGTGATAAGCAAGGTGGAATACACTTCATGCAAGGAATGGTGAACGACACCACTTAGGATGGCTACTGCGAGTTAAAATTTTCTTCTGATACTGCTTAATTCCACCCTGCAAGGATGACTATTCTTGATATAGTCATGGCAGGAACACTATTAGATCAAAAACTTATGGGGTAGAACATACAACAGTATGATATAAAAAACACTGTCCTGTGATCAAGAATACAACTTTCTTCCCTTTGTCATCTGCTGGTATCATAAGATGGGGCTGGGCCTTGGCAGATTCTGCCCAAGCCATGCCACTGAGTTTCTGCACGGACAGTGGTGGAACCTAGCAGAAAGGAAGCCTGGAGTGTGCCCCATACACAGAGTCCTCTCCAGGCCTTATGAGGAAACTCTAAATTATTATCTTGCTTTATTTTTTCTTTGGTTTATTCCTCTTTGATTCATCTTGCTTTCCAGCTATTTACAGCATCAAAAACCATGAATGATGAATGGGTGTAAAGAAATGATCAAATGCTGAATCAGGCATGAAGTGAAATAATGATGATGGACCACATGATGTTAACAGGTGTCCTTCTTTCTAAGATAAAAATAGAAGGGAAGGAAAATAGACAGAAATAGAGACTAGGATGACAATGGCTCATTCTAAGCCCATCTGGACTTGAAGAATCCACAAGAGAGAGGGGGAAACACTATGGGTAATTAGATCTGTTTATCAATAGCCCTTTATGTGATTATGATTAGGACCATTCTATCAACATAGCAGGTCTTAGACTCTGCCCATCAGGGCTTTGTGAGGGTGATAAAGCTGACTGAGGACACTGAGGCATGGAGAAGTTCAGTAGGTGGGCGTGCCAACGAGGTAATCTATGGCACAGTGGGGACCAGAATGCAGGTTTCCCAATAGTCAGCCAGCAGCCTCCGTTCTAAACAATATCATCCTCTAATGATGTCATTGGACCATAGTAAGATGGTTGGTTACAACCAATGCGAGATTTTTTCCAAAGCATCTTTTGGGTATAGTTCCATAGGCACAATTGTACCTGTCAGGCCATGCCTAGGGAAATACAGCTGCCATGAAGACAGACAGTGCATAATGAATATAATTGTATCAAATTGCACACACATATACACACACACACACACAAATATATATAACTCTATACTGAGCACTATTTTAATTAATCCACACAACATTTACTTCTCATCACAACCCTGTTTGATTGATTTATTGTAGAAACTGAGGCACTTCAAAATCTCACAGCAAGTAAGAAGCAGAGCTGGATTCACCCTCCCTTCCTCAGTCTGGTGGCATATTCTGTATTCTTAACCACAAGGGCTAAACTAAGAGTGTTTTTAAAATGCACAATGTTTTAAATAATGTGAATCTATTTCATTGAGAAAGCATTCTTGAATTCTACCCTGCCCCTATCTTTTTACATCCTGAGGTCTTACTCTATTAAAAGCTGCCTGATCCCATAGGCATCTGCATGTTTTAAAGTCCTGGCTACATGCAGGAATCAAGAAGGTACTTGTGCCTTGTTTGTATGATTGTTTAAGTTTAGGTCTCAGGGCATGTGTGAAAGTTCAGGTATGAGTCCTGAGCCAAATATGAGTGACCATGGCCTGTGACACAGTCCTCAGGAGGTCCTGAGAACATGCGCCCAAGGTGGTCAAGGTACAGCTTGGTTTTATATATTTTATATATTTTAGTTAGCTCAGGCTAACTCATGGGAGATGGATGTCCAGGACATTGTTGTTAATAGAGTGTCCGCCTTCCCCACTCCAGCTTGGAACACCCCCACCACACCTTGCTCCAGGGAACCCATAGCAGTAGGTAGTGGGAAAGATACCCTGATTTAGAATCCTGGACATCTCTTGCCATCTCCTTATACTGCAGAGATACAACTAAGATATGTGCTCAATCATTCATTTTTTATTAACTCTGTGGGTAATTACTAGTCAAACTGCACAGTATCAGGAACTGTGAAGATAAGAAAAGAAATGCAGGACTAAGTGCTGTCTAAAGGAGATAAGGAATGAGAGACTAAAAAATCTGCCTTCAACTTTTTGAAAGGCAATCTAGATAGAGGAAGCAGTCATGTTTCCCACATTTCTACAGCAATCTAACTAGAAGGGAGACTTTGACTAAATTTTAAAATGAATCTTCTAAAAATTCAGGGATTATAACAGTGGAATAAAGTACCTTGAGTGGTAGTGAATTCTTTGCCATTGGAGGTCCTCAAATAATAATGCATGACTATTTGTTGGAGAAACCATAATAACTATCACAGGAGTAGATGAGAGGAAAAAATAATAACCTCTGAGTTTCTTCCCAAGTCTTAGATTTTGTGATTCTTTATTCCCTTCTTGTGTAGTCTTACATTAATATTTCTTTCTGTTAAGGCTTCATTTGCAGACTTTGAAATGCTGCTTTGAGGAATAAAGAATCGATATTCTTACAGCTTGTTCCCAGTATGTTTGTTCTATTAGGCCATTGACCTAATTACCAGAGAATCATGGGGGGTGAGAATTGCATTATAAAGAACTGGGAATATTTTAATGTGACTTTGATACACTGTCGTGAAAAAAAAATACCTGTGAAAATACTAGTGGGAGTTAAGGTTTATTAGAGGTTGCAAAAAGATCAGAAAACCACAGGGTTTAAAGGGGGAGGTTATTTATTATCTGTGAGAGTTTTTATGATAAGATTGATTCAAACCTCCCTGAGAAGAACTGAGAGTCTTCTGTTAGTCTAGCTGTCTTAACCTTTGTGACTGAAGATAGCCTTGGGAATCTGGTGGAAATTATAAGAGGGCCACTCTTACAGGGAGCCCATTTTGCTTTCTCCAAATAAAATCAAGTATCCGCCTCCAGGTTGTGCACAATGGCTCTAATTTTAGCACTCTGGGTTAAGAAGTCAGCAGGTGGAGTAAGGTGGATGAGTTGCATAAACACTGCACACAATTCTCAGCTTGCAAATTTATTTAATATAGTTGAACGGGCCAGAGGAAAGAAGATCAACGTGATTCAAAGTCATGGTTATAAGTCTCTCCCTGGCAGGGGTTTGATTTTCCAGGGTTGGAATTCTTCTGTGCCCTTTATCATTATTCTTGAAATTTCTCCAACTAGAGAATCATTCTGGTTAAACTGCTGCTATCTTTTCAAAGGAAAACAGGTACTTCTTCCTAAACAAAAAGAAATTAGTTTAATTTCTGGAATGGAAGAACAGAGGCAGAAAGAGAGACATTTTGAGGTCACAGAGTTGTTAGGAAAGAGAAGGCAGTTTTAGTTCTATAACCTAGGGCTGTGGCCACAGACAACTTCTCTGAGTCTGGACGGTTGGAGGAGAAAGGGTCTTGAAGACAGGAAAAGGGTACAGAAAGGGAGATGAGCTCATTCTCAAGATACACAGGACTTTCACAGAATTTTATTTAGTGATGGCTTTGCCTTCTCCACAGTAGTGGGGATTTCTCTTTCAAATTTGCAACTCAGAAAATATTCATGGGGCACTTACCATGTGGCAGATACTAGCTCATGTACTGAAGAGACAAAGACAGATAGAAAGGATCCTTCCCTGGCTTTAAGAAATCTAACTGGCCAGGCGCGGTGGCTCACACCTGTAATCCCAGCACTTTGGGAGGCCGAGGCTGGCAGATCACGAGGTCAGGAGATCGAGATCATCCTGGCTAACACGGTGAAAACTCATCTCTACAAAAAATTAGCCAGGCATGGTGGCGGGTGCCTTTAGTCCCAGCTACTCGGGAGGCTGAGGCAGGAGAATGATGTGAACCCGGGAGGTGGAGCTTGCAGTGAGCCGAGATCACGCCACTGCACTCCAGGCTGGGCGACAGAGCAAGACTCCTTCAAAAAAAAAAAAAAAGAAGTCTAGTTATGGGACAGAAACATAGTTAAAAAAACGAATGTCATCGATGCTAGGTAGAAGTCTGTTCTAGGTAGAATGAGTTAAAGATGATCAATTCTCTCTGGGAGAGAAGGTCAGAAAAGGCTTCCTAGAGAGGGTGATGCTTGAGTTGGTCATGAAAGATAAATTAGTGTTCTCCAGCAGACATTATATTTTTTCACGAAAATAAAGATTATTTTTGATTGTTCCTCATTTTCTCCATTTTATTCACATTGCAGTTGAAATCTATATATGTGTTATGATCAATTTCTGTTTCTATTCTTCCATCATCTTCTTTGTTGATAGAAATGCAAAGTCAAATTTAGAATATGCACTAACTCTAGGGCTATCCATCTATGGTGAAATCCTTTGGGTACACAATCCAAATATGGTTCCCAGATCACCTTCTGGGGAGGCTGTGCAGCTGCCCTCCAGCACCAAATGGTTTGTCTGACTTTGCTTCAGGATTTCCTTTTTATCAATCTTTTTTTAAGCATATGCATTCAAAAGATGCACTGTCTGCATTTGTGATTGCACACACCTTGGAAGGAATAATGATGAACTGCGACATTTTATATTTTGAGCACACTAACTCAAGGGAGGCAAGAATAAGAAGGAAGCCAGGGAGGGAGCATTTTCAAAACACAAAACTCGGCAGTGGCTAGCCAGGGCTGGGTTGACCTTAGAACATCCCCTGCCATTCCTGCTATCTTATGGAAGCCCTTCAAAGTGTAATGCTGCCTCCACATAGCCCCTCCCTGACACCAGCATATGCTTGATTTCCTCAGAGCAGCAAGAATCCTGATAAACAGAAGGGGAAAAGCAAGCCTTGGAAGGATTATTTTGACAGCATAACTAAGCCCTGACCACTTCAGTCTCTGGGCTTGTGTCAAGTAACACTTTGCTGATTTTGAATTTAAAATTCCCAGTAGTCTTTTGCTATCTCCCAGACTTTGTTTTAGTTGTTTCATTCCCTACATTTCTGTGCTTTCCAACAATCTCTTGTACTTTCATCATCCATTTCACAGTAATGAGGTTATGAGACACTGTGACCTCTAGAGGGCGATAAAGAGTCCTCCTGGTCACTTTCTCCTAGGGAAGGTCAATGGATGATAAGGGCAGGACAGAGGGCACTTCCATTATCACAGGGTTAGACTTGGGTGGTAAGGGTGGGCCTGACTGGAGAAACAGTGGCATGCTTAGTAGCACTGGATCTGGTTAATCTTTCTTGTTTCTCTTCTCTTTGTTGTTGTTTATGCTTTATTTTCTGATATGCTCCTAAGTCCCAAGAAGATTGCTATGAACTGAGTTGTGAACCACCCCCTTCCCAAAATCCATGACCCTCAGTGTAGCTGTATTTGGAGTAACAGGGTAATTAGGTTAAATGAAATTATAAGATCGGAGCCCTAATCCGACAGGATTAGTGTCCTTAAAGCAGGAGACACTAGAGAACTCTGTCTCCTGCTCTCTCTTTGAATGCCATGTGAGGACACTGAGAAGGCGGCCATCCACAAGCCAGGAAAAGAGCCCTCAACAGGGACCGAGTCAGCCAGCACTTGTGTTTGTATTTCCCAGCCTCCAGAAGTTTGAGAAAATAAATTGTGTTGTCTGAGTCACTCACTCAGTCTATGACATTTTATTGTAGCCAACTGAGCCAACTTTGCAACTCATTGACAAAGGTCAAATGAGATGATGCAAGTAACTATGCTGTGTAGATTGTAAACTATAAAACACACTTTATTTCCTTATTGGTAAAAGTAATAATATGAATGATCTGCATCCTGGGGTTATCAGAGCATGAATGTGAAGGCTAGAATTTGGGGAATTTGGGGTTAAAAATTAATACTCCTCTTTGTATGAAATACTCTTTGTATGAAATACTCTTAAAAATTAATACTCCTCTTTGTATGAAATACTCCTCTTTGTAATGAAAATGTGCAGTGCGTAGAGGCAGAACACTTGGGCCTGGAAGGGACATTACCCTGAAGAAGGAGAAAGATAAGGTACAGGGTGTCCTCTTGAAAACCGGCTGTCTCTAGTCACAGGAAACAGATTTTAATATACACAAGCATGAAAACGAAACCTTTTAAGAATGACTTTCTCAATTGCCCCCTGACACAGACCTTCAGGGAACTTCCCTGATGTCTCTAAAATAGAGAGGGGTGTGTGTGTGTGTATATAGAGAGAGAGCTATAATAACTAAGAAACAGAGTTATGTGTAGAACTAACTAACAAAGACTTCTGCTCACTGCAGTGCTAGTCCTTGCACAATACACCTGGGGCAACATAGTCAAACACAAGGAAACTCCCCACCTCAACCCCAACAACTTTGGCTGTGGAGCTAGCTGGGCAGCATGTGCCAGCATCAAAGAAAATCAAAATAGAGACAATAGCAGCTTCTAAGTCAGTCCTCTAAGACCCTCAGAAAAGAGCTAGTATGGAAATAAAGCCAACAAATATGTCAAAATACAATCAACTCTACAAACATCTGTTTAATACCTACTGTCTCAGTTTGCCAGGGCTGCCAAAACAAAATACCACAGACTGAATGACATAAACAACAACAATTTATTTTCTAACAGTTCTAGAGACTGGAAGTCCAAGTTCAAGGTACTGGCAGTGTTGGCGTCTGTTGAGGACCCTGCCTTTGTGTTGGCCACCTTTCCCTGTGTGCTCACATGATCTTTCCTCGTGAATGAGGAGAAAGGGAGAGAGAGACAGAGGGGCTTTGCTGGTGTCTCTTCTTATAAGGACACTAATCCTATAGGATGAGAGGCCCACCCTAATAACTTCATTTACCCTGAATTACTTTGTTAGAGGCCTCCTTTCCGAATACAGCCACACTAGAGTTAGTCTTCAACATATGAATCTTGTGGAGACACAAACATTTATTCTATAATACCTGCCATGTGCTAGATGCTGTTCCATGTGCTCATGGTAGAAAAATAAGTATGGTGTAGTTGGCTTCAGAAAGATTCTTGGGGTTAAGATTAATATACAATTCATCTTTGTAACGTCAGTGTGAGGCAGAGTAACTTAGCACATAGTTCACCTCTGATTATTCTTGGATTTAATTAATGTATTTTGAATCTAGTAGGAGGAGAAGTTACATATACAGTGAGAGGGGAAATGCCCTATAGAATCCATAAGATGTTATAGGATGACAGTGGGGCCATATTGGGGAAAGGGGGTAGCTCTTCCTGGTGCATTTCAAAAGTCTTCTAGTATAAATAGGCATGAATATACATTGCATTAATTGAGTTCTTAATCATATTCTTTTTGAGATTCTGTCCTGCCACCTGTGATGTATGTGTGGGAGGCAGGGTTGCTTGGGGAGTGGGTCTCTGTAGAGCTGGCATTCTGTGGCTCTACGTTCTCACAGCCTCTGGGTCTTCTCACTTTGTACTTTCCCAGTTTAAACGACTCTTCAGAAATTTTCCAATAATTGAGCAACTGCTGGTTTTTTCAGCAATGCTGGTTGCTTACAGCTGTACTGTGAGAATCAGAATAATTATTATTTGCCCTTATGATGCTTCATTGTTTATAGAAAGAAAAAAGGAGTGCACAAAGTGCCTTGGTTCTTCATCTGTAAATGTGGGATAATCTTGTTGGTCAAGGGTCTCACAGCCGTGTGGTGGGGCATTAATGAGATCCTGTCTGTAAAGGGCTTGGAGAAACTCACTTGAAAGATGTGGCATAAATACAAAGAAGGGTTATTACAAAACAGACCAAAGAACAGGCTAGTTACTGAACTACCTTTATTTTACTTTTTTTTTTTTTTTAAGCCAGGGATAAAGAAAATGGGAGATTGAATGTTTAGCTTTTGGACTGGAACTCTAATTAGAGGTTTAAGGATTAAGAAAATAGTTGGAGTCAGTGTGAAGAAGCTTTTCTCAGAGAAAAGACATGTTTTTATTCTTCTTAGAGCACTTGACCTGTAAATACTTACATCTTGAGATGTGAAACAAATTCAATGAAAGGCCTGAGCTCAGGGCTTATTCGGTTCTCTGTGCAGTTAATTACCTTTTGTCCAGCAAGGAGGCCTTGAATTATCATTATTTCTCCTAATTCAAAGTCATTGAAGATATGTCTCCACTGTAATAAGTAGTTTGACCTCTCGATGTTAAGAAATAAGGACTCTGACTGTCGGATGCCCTGTTCTAAATCTGCAGTGGAAAGATGGGTCGGGGGATAGTTTCCAGCCTTAAGAATCCAGTTCAAATTCCTAACACCAGCCATATGCCACTGTCTTTGATCTTTCAGCTAGAAAATATTTCCTAGCAGCTAATACCTATCAAGTGCTGAGTATGTGCCAAGGCATAGTTTTCGTAGTTTGCAAACATTAATTCATCTCATTCTCACACAATGACTATGGAGTCGGTACTAGTATTTCCCTATTTTACAGACAAGGAAATTTTGGCCTAGAAAGGTTAAATGACTTGTCCAAGAAGACACAGCAAGGGATCAGTGGGGCTGGAAATCAAAGCCCATTATATTTACTTTTTAACTTATAAACTCTTCTGCTTTGTTCTCTGACGTTTCATGGTACTGTGTGTACTTCTCTCAAGGAACCTGCCATGTTTTTCTGGATGCTTGCTCAAGCCCCCATCCAGGTTGTATTCTTGTCTAGGAATGCCACATTTACTTCCTGTGCACCCCACCACCACGTCTTGCTTGTAGATCTTCATTCAAGAGAGGGGCCAGGCAGAAATAATGGGGTAATATATCAGGAGTGCTAAAACACCACTGGAAGATTTAGAAACACAATGCCAGTGAAGGAACTTGCCACAGATCTCCTGATATTTAGCAATTTGTACTTTGATGCACAAGGAAGCACACAGGACTAACAAGTCAAGAAAAAAATACCATGCCTTTATTGGTGTCAGTTTCTGTAATGCAAGTTTCAGGATGCAGCAAGAGCCTCCAGCTCCGATACCCACCAGCCAAATCCCACAGCCACTGTCAACTGAAATGCTGTAGTGGAATAGCACACAGGGGAGTGCTACTTTCTTGGAACAAGTGATTTTAAAGTATTAATAGGGCTCCCCAGGATTTTTTATTTTTTGGTCAGAAAAATTACATGTGATAAATGTATGTTCTCATTTAAACATGAAGAATGAATGTGCAGATTTATTATCTCTCCCTTCTTAAACTCCTTCAAAATGACATAAAGCAGGCCAGGCACGGTGGCTCATGCTTGTAATCTCAGTACTTCAGGAGGCCGAGGTCAGGAGTTCGAGACCAGCCTGGCCAACATGGTGAAACTCCGTCTCTACTAAAAATACAAGAATTTGTCGGGCGTGATGGTGCATGCCTGTAGTCCCAGCTACTCAGAAGGCTGAGGCAGAGTAATGGCTTGAACCTGGGAGGCAGACGTTGCAGCGAGCCAAGATTGCACCAGGGCACTCCAGCCTGGGTGACAGAGAGAGACTTGGTCCAAAAAAAAAAAAAAAGACAAAGCAATCAAATAACTTTTTATTTTATTTTAGAAGTAGGAAACTGAAAAGACAAAGACAACAGAAGGGAATTTAGTATGAGTGAAAAATATGAACTCACTGTGGGAAATTGGAGAGCAGATAAAGGAGGAAGGCTGCCTCTGCCCCAATGTTTGCTGAACAGTTTTCCTGTTCAGGCTAATATGCAAGTTCTTTTTCACTTCCATCCCAGGCTTATTCTTTAGCATATAGAAGTTGAACCAAAGATTGTCCAAAGCTGAAGGCAAGGTGAAGATACTGGGCTAAATACGGAAATAAAGGACTGTCTGCACACTGGGCTATGGGATCCCTAGCCTTATTTTGTGGCCCTGTTCCCAGAGCTCTTATGGTAAGACTTTTTTTTTTTCTCTATACTGGAGATAAGAGTCCTTGACCATGGAAGAACTGAACAGCCCCATGAAAAACATGTGTGATAACTGGAATTATAGAAATGTCCCCTCATTGAAAAAAATACTTTACCCATATGATCACCAGACAGTAAAGCCCATCTACTGGCCTGCGTAGCTCCTTCACTTGGGAACTTCAGTCCAATTTGTAGTGCCTCAGTCATAAGTGTGAACAAATAACCAAGGCTACTCAGTACTTTCACCAGCCTTCCAAGACAAAAGATGACAATGAAAGCATACAAATAAAGGTAATGGAGAAACAGAGGTGATGCAAGAGACACAAGAAACATCAACAACATAATATCTTCAGCTAGATAGGATAATATATAAACCCATAAAACAATAATATGGTATTTATTTATTTATTTATTTATTTATTTATTTATTTATTTATTAAGAAACGGAGTCTCTCTCTCGCCCAGGCTGCAGTGCAGTGCCATGATCATAGCTCACTGCAGCCTCAAACTCCTGGACTCAAGGGATCCTCCTGCTTCAGCCTCCTGCGTGTCTGGGAATATAGCTGCAAGCCACTCTGCCCGGCTGGGAACATGATCTTTAAAAAAAAACCTGGCAAACAATGAGAAATAACTTTTGGAAATGTGATAGAGAAATTTGTTAAAAAATCTAGAAAGATGGGAGATAAAATCTGAGAAATCTCCTAGCAAGTTGAATAAAAATTAAAAAAGTGGGCAATCAAAAACAAAGAAGAAAATCAGAGGGTCAAAATGTAATGTCCAATATCTAATAGTATTTACAGAAAGAGAGAATAAATGTGGAGGAGGTGTTAGCAAAGATATAATTGAAAATATTTTATAGAATAAAACTGATGTAAAAGTTTGTTCTCTTACCCAGCACAGTGCATAGAAAACGGCACACACAAAGGCAAAGGCAAAATCCTAAATCTCCTAAAGATAGATGAATCAGGAGTCAGACAGATATGGAACTTCTGAAGAAAAACACTGGCCATTTGCAGATAGTGGAAAAACACCACAGTTCTAAGCGGAAATGGTTTGCGAACTGGAATCCTATGTTTAGTCAA
This sequence comes from Homo sapiens, assembly GCF_000001405.40. Classification (NCBI taxonomy): domain Eukaryota; kingdom Metazoa; phylum Chordata; class Mammalia; order Primates; family Hominidae; genus Homo; species Homo sapiens. The sequence goes on from NC_000002.12 coordinate 124,810,069, forward strand.
ATTATCAGTCATGTGTAATGTCGTTATTGAAGACTTCCTAAATATCTTTCCTGGGACTCTACTTGATATGCATGCATTCATTATCTGATATTGCATAAAAACTACCACCAAACTTAGCACCTTAACGCAACACACATTTATCACCTTATATAGTTCTGGGAGAGGTCAGGAATCTCAGCCTGGTTTAACTGGATGATTCCAGCTCTTGGTGTCTCCGAGGTCAAACTGTTGTCCTGGGCAAAGAGCTTGATAATCTGCTTCCAAGCTCCCTCGTGTGGCTGTTGACAGGAGATTTCAGGTTCTTGACAGGCTGGTTTTTTAATAGCGCTGCTTAAACAGCATGTCATCTGGCTTCCCCAGATACAGTGGAGGGCAGGGGGAAAGGGTATAGAGGGAGGACACAGGAGGACAGTTAAAACAGAAATTAAAGTCTTTTAGAACCTTAACTGGAGAAGGGATGCCTAGTCCAACCTGGGAGAGAATTACACAAGGGTGTGAATACCAGGAGGCAGGGATTATTGGATGCCATCATGAAGATTGCCTGTCACAACGTGGTTCACCCAATTAAAGAAGTATATAAAAAAGAAAGACATGAGATCCAGGAAACAGAGAACCCACCACAGAACAGGCCAGGTATTTCGGGATAGCAGCTATGCAGAAGGCACAGAGAAAAACCAGTCTGGGTCAATGGTTCTCAGCTGGGCATGCTATTGCCCTCCCAGATCCTCTGGGAGGGTGCATTTAACAATACACAGAGACATTTTTCATTGTCAAGATGGGACTGCTACAGGTATGCAGTGAGTGGGAGTGAGGGATGCGGCAAAACATCTGTAAAACCAGGATAGCCCCCCGATGAAGAATTATTTGGTCCAGAATGTTAAGAATTTTAAAGTTGAGGAAACCAAATCTATAGGCGTAGAATGAGATACAAGAAAACAGGCCATTTGGAAGGAGGATCCTAGAAAAGTCTGCAAGTAACAAATACCAGCTTTATCACTTGCATGCATATATCAGACAAACAATAAGGACTTTGAAAACCAACCTCACCAAAATGGTGATAGACCTATACAGAAAGCATGACAGGGAATCTTATGTGACTGGGTCTCAGAAAGACAGCTCCTTATTTACAAATGTGGGTGGGCAAAAGATTATATCTAAAATGGATAAATCAAGAAATAACAACATATTTAGTAAAATAGAGTTAAAAATAAGAAGAGTAATGGAACTAAAATAACTGCATGTGAGGAGGAAGGCGAGAGGGTGGGGCAACAGCTGCTTTCTTATGTTCAGTTATTCTATACTATTTGACTTTATAAATGTATTACTTCGATAAAAAATTGAATGCTTCAAATAAATCTATTGTTAGATTATAAAGAAAGTTGTTTACAGTTTTGTTAAAAGAAAATTAGTTTTTTTCCCTACCAATAAATATGTATAAATATCTAAAGGATATTGGCTGAAGACACATAAGATGACTATGTGGACAGTGGCACACATGCCCCTTTTTGATGTTTTCAGTTAATGTAGTTATTCAATGAGTGAATGAAGGAATGAATGAACAATGCATGATGAAATAATTAAATTGAAAACAGGTCAGGCGCGGTGGCTCATGCCTGTAATCCCATCACTTTAGGAGGCGGGGGGGGTGGATCACCTGAAATCAGGAGTTCGAGACCAGCCTGGCCAACATGGAAAAACCCCATCTGTACTAAAAATACAAAAAGTTAGCTGGGCGTGGTGTCAGGCACCTGTAATCCCAGCTACTCAGGAGGCTGAGGCAGGAGAATCGCTTGAACCCGGGAGGCAGAGGTTGCAGAGAGTCAAAATTGTGCCACCGCACTCCAGCCTGGGCAAAAAGACCAAACCTCCATCTCAAAAAATATATATATATATATTTTTTATAATATATATAAAATTTATATTTATATATTATATAATATATAATTTATATTTATATATTATATAATATATAATTTATATTTATATATTATATAATATATAATTTATATTTATATATTATATAATATATAATTTATATTTATATATTATATAATATATAATTTATATTTATATATTATATAATATATAAATAATATATGTATTTATAATACATAAGTATATATAAAACAAATGATTCTACCCTTTTTTTAATGGTAAAGCACATTTTATTTAAATAGTTCATGCTAAGGCTAGTAAGAAGCTCCTCATTGCCAGATCTGGTTCAGGCCTTAATCTCCATGAGCTACCTAGAGCACACATATGGAAACCAAAAATAAAATTTGAAGTCCCCCAACCCCCCAGTGATCAGAGTGGAATCCCTCCTTTATGGCAGAGCACTCCAAAGTTAACTTCAAGAACTGGTTTAGGCCATGACAGGAAAGGGGCGGTTGGACATACTGCATTATACCCTCCCCACTTTTGGAATTCAGGAAAAGTCAACTAGCATTTGACATCAACCCAGACCTTAAATCTCATAAGAAATATTTGCAATCTATTCTCTCTAAATCCAGCCACCTGGAGGCTTCATCTGCATGATAAAGCTTTGGTTTCCACAACGTCTTATCATAACTCAGACATTCCTTTCTATTGATATTAACTCTTTCAAACAGTCTGAAAAATTGTAGATCTACCTATAACCTGGAAGCCCCATCTTTGAGTTGTCTTGCCTTTCTGGACCAAACCAATGGTTATCTTAAATGTATATGATTGATGTCCCATATCTCCCTAAAATGTATAAAACCAAGTTGCACCCCAATCACCTTGGGCCCATGTTCTCAGGGTCTCCTGAGGGCTGTGCTGTGTCGTGATCTATGATCACTCATATTTCACTCAGAATAAATCTCTTCAAATATTTTACAGAGTTTGACTTTTCATTGACACATGCCCTTACAAGAGCATTGGAGCTTTCTTGGCCACTTCTCAGTCTTCTGGATGAACACCTTGTCCTGAGCCTACCCTTTAAATGTTGACTTTTTGTGTCAGCTCTGGGTTTTTTTTGCTTTTTTTGTTTTTGTTTTTGTTTTTTTGTGATGGAGTCTTGCTCTGTCGCCCAGGCTGGAGTGCAGTGGTGTGATCTCGGCTCACTGCAAGCTCCACCTCCTGGGTTCACGCCATTTTCCTGCCTCAGCCTCCCGAGTAGCTGGGACTATAGGTGCCCGCCACCATGTCCGGTTAATTTTTTTGTATTTTTAGTAGAGACAGGGTTTCACCATTTTAGCCAGGATGGTCTCGATCTCCTGACCTCGTGATCCACCCACCTTGGCCTCCCAAAATGCTGGGATTACAGGCATGAGCCACCGTGCCTGGCCTGTTTTTTTTTTCTTTTTTTTTCTTTTTTTGAAGAAAAGATATACCCTCACTGAGCTAACTCATCCATTCCCATTTCCAAAACTTCAGCTGGTTACTGTATCCTGATGAACCCAAATCTATATGCCTAGCTTGGGTAGATCTATTTGGCCTTAAAAGAATTGTCTCAATTACTTACAGGGGCAACTTTACTTGGTTGTCCCCTAGGCCTCTAAAACTCAACACTTCACAAAATGAACTCAAGCTCTACCTCAACACCTCCCCACCACTCCAACTCCTCAGCTAGATCTGCTTCTGCTTGATTTTTTCTTTTTTCAGGGAAATGTTCTACATTCACCAAAATGTCCATGTCAGAAACAAGCATCACTCTTCTTTTCCTCTTTCTCACCCCTCTGGAGTCCATCAAACACCACACTTTACTGAATATACTTATATTGCATGTGGCATAGCTGCTTCCACAGTCTCTTTAAATCTATTCAATTCTTTATACAAAGATAGCTTTGGCTATCTTTGTTCTGGCCACCCTAATCTTGGAATTAGATTACTGCCACGGAGTTCAAATTCTTCTCCCAACCTCTAGGCCTGTACCCTTTTAATTCATTCTCCATTCTGACCAGGGTGATCTTTTAAAAATTCAAATATATTCATGTCACTTATTTTTTGATAGCTTCCCATTGCCTGCAGGTTCACCTCTAAACTCTCCTCAATCCCAGGCTCTTGTTATTCTCTGAAGTTTCCTTTTTTTTTTATGATTCTTACACCCCACTATACTCTCTGTCTATATTAAGTTGTGCTCAGATGATTGGATGCATCATGTTCTGTCCTTCCTCTAGGTCTTTGCACATTTTCTTACCTTTGCTCGAATCCTCTTTTTTTTTTTTTCCTGCCTCCATTCCCTCCTTGCTGGAAATTCTAATTTCTCCAAGTTTTGGTTCCATGTCACTTTCTCTGGGAAGCTTTCCTGGTCCCCTCCCAAAGACTGCATTAAGAGCCCTTCAACTGAGCTTTCTGTATCAGTCTATTACAGAAATTGTCACAAGCACTGTTCACTTGTATCCACTGCTATGATCTGAATTCCAGGACTCAGCACTCCTGGCCTAGCACAATGTGGGGGCCCAGTGTCTACAGGCGATAAATACTCCACCATTGTGGACAACTTTTCTTAGTGAAATTGCTTAAGAGCTTCTTTTAAAAATAGGGCATTTTTTTTTCAAGCAAAAGATCCTTTTTTACAAGCATATACTAATGGTTCATCTTCAAAAGAGTTCACTGGCATATCTTTGTTGTGCACTAAAGCACAGTGAAGAAAGAAAAAGAAGAAATTAAATTGGCTAACAACCTTGCTTAAAAGCACAGAAATAAAATGAGAGTAAAACTTAAAAAAGTTGCAGATAATAAAAATGGATTGCACTCTTCTTCTTATTTCTAATTTTGATAGATATTTTTCTTCTCAAAGGGTCTGAGAGAAAAATATCTTAAAAGGGAGGCAATTTAAAACAGGCAAAATATTGCATTAAAACAAAGAGAGGGGAAAAACGTGATCAAGTCATCAGCTCCGTAATGCTAATACTGTTGGTTTTCAGGTGTTTGAATTGCCCACCTTAGGTGGGGCCTCTAAAAAGACAAATGAGATTAGAGATGAAGTGCCTGCTAGTCTAAATGAAAGCACAACAATGAAAATCAAAGAAACAGCACACTTAATTCCCCTCTGACGTTCCTGATTTCCAGCTCTCCGTAGCAATAACTAAGTAAGCCTGGGTGTCCAGCAACATAGGCCATCGACATTTGTCAGAATTTTCAATAAACTGGCAATGAAAGACTAAATCCATGCAAGGTGGGAGATGAATTAGCACATAGCCAAAGGTACTGGAGGAATAAGCACTGGTTTCATAGCTGAAATATTTTTTGATAAAGTAATAATCCTCGGTAATCTCTCTCCAGCTTTAAATAACAGCCAGTCTTTGTGCCGGCAGTTTAATTTTGTTGGCTGCCCTTGTCTTACAAATATATTTAGTGGAGTCTGGAATATCATTTTGTGCTGAAAGCTGAAGGCTTTGTCATGCTGAAGCCAGGCAGAGGCAATAAATCAAGGACAAAGTGAAAAGGAATAGAAATGGGCTATCGGAAACTTATTTCCCCAGAGCGGCCGAGCTTTCGTCTCATGCTAGCAGGTGTATTGCATCAGTCATGTCTTCCTGTTAAGTGCCTATGTTGTAATGATATTGACTTACAACTACATTGCACCCTGGTTGGCATTGCTCCGAAGTGCTTAAGATGCATCTATGGGAAATACATGCTGAAAATAGCGTCATGAAAATATACAACTCCAGTTTTCTTTTCTTTCTTTTTTTTTTCTTTTCCTCCTCTAAGATCATTCTTCCCAGGAAATGGGATTTAGGTAACTTCCCCAAGTCACACCATTTGTACATGGAAAGGTGTATAACTGAATAATTTTATCCTCCAGTAAGAACTGTGCTGGGACACGATATTCAACTTCAGCTTCTTCCACTAATTTCCTCATTTGTGTCTAATCAATTAATAAATGACGTTTTAAAGGTAAGGGACCACTATAAACTTAAAATGATGAAACCAGGACTAATGTTCTTCAAGATCTGTGTTTGCCAAATTGGTCATTACTGAGAATGGATTGTGGAGAAAGAATATTTAAGTGTTTATAGGGGTCTGTGTCTTACCGTTAGCAATATAAATGAATAAAAATCACTATACTAGGAAGCCGGGGAGCTGGGTTCTTGTATTAGTTTTCTATTGTTGAGTAATACTTCTACAAATGTGCTGGATTAGAAGAGCAAACGTTTCTTATCTCACAGTTCCCTTGGGTCAAGAGTCCAATCACCATTTGTCTGTGTGCTCTATTCAGGGGCTCACAGGCTACAATCAAGGTATCAGCTGGGATGTGGTCTCATCAGAGGCTCCCCTGGGAAAAGTTCTGTTTCCAAGCTCCATTAGGTTGTTGGAAGAACTCAGTTTCTTGTAGTTTTGGTTCCTATTTTCTTTCTGGGCTGCCATCCAGTCTCTGTTCCCACCTCCCAAAGGCCACGAAAGTTCCTTGTGGCACTCCCTATTGGCCTTGCAGCTTACTTTTTTTTTTTTTTTTTTTTTGAGACAGAGTCTCGCTTTTGTTGCCCAGGCTGGAGTGCAATGGCACAACCTCAGCTCACTGCAACCTCCATCTCTGGGGTTCAAGTGATTCTTCTGCCTCAGCCTGCTGAGTAGCTGGGATTACAGGTGCCCACTGCCACACCTGGCTAATTTTTGTATTTTTAATAGAGAAGAGGTTTCACCATGTTGGTCAGGCTGGTCTTGAACTCCTGACCTCAGGTGATCCACCCGCCTCAGCCTCCCAAAGTGCCAGGATTACAAGCATGAGCCACCGTGCATGGCTGCAGCTTGCTTTTTTAAGCCAGCAAAAGAAAGCAAATATATGTATGTATGGATGAGTCTTTTAATGTAATTACAGAGAGGATATTCTATCACTTTTGCAATGTAATGTAACCTAATCATGCGAATGATATCACATCATCGTTGCCATATTCTATGTGTTTAAAGCAAGTCACAAGTCTCAACTACACTCAGAAGTTGGGGTTCTATGTGGGGTGTAAACATGAGGGCCACCCTAGGGTGTTTCTCCCACATAAGTAGTCCTTATTATTATTAAAAACTAGATACTCATATATTTGCTGTAAGCAGCAAGAATGAATGACTTATATTAACACTAAACAAAATTGATAAATCTCACAAAGTTAATGTTGAAAAAAACAGACTTAAGAAAGGCACATTCTCTATACATTCATTTTATATAAATTTTTAAAACATGCTAAATTAATCTGTGCTCTTAGAATAATGTTAACTTTGGAGGTAGGGAGAATGAGGGAATGCAAGGGGATTTATACGGTGATAGAATGTTCTGTCTCCTAAAGTAGATGCATTCCATTTGTAAAAGCATATGGAGCATGGAGTATTATATTTATTTGCACTTTTATAGACATAAGTACAATTATTCCTTATACTTCAAAAAAAAAGTAAAACAACACAACACACAAAAAAAAACAAAAGCCCTGAGTTAACTTAGAATAGATGCTTAATTTCTCTGGCTCTCAGTTTTCTAATCTATACCATGAGGTTGGTCTTGATGATGTTTAAGTCTATTCTAACAGATTATAGCTAGAGTTGTATAAAGTCTTGAGAGGCTATAAAACTCATTGGATGATTCTGAAGAGCTCAGGAGTCATCGTGTCCCAGCACAGTTCTTACTGGAGGATAAAATTATTCAGTTACACGTCTTTCCATGTACAAATAGTGTGACTTGAGGAAGTTACCTAACCCCCAATGCACTTTTGTTTTCTTGAGGCCTTATTCAGCTCAAAACATATCTATACTCTACTAATTTGGCAACACCTTCTGACTAGGCACCTATGTTATAACCAGGGTGGAGAGCAGGCAGTGGTGGGTGAATCTGGCCTGGGGGTAAATAAAAAGGAGGTGCATTGCAGATAATTTTAAAACAATAATAAAACTGAGTGCAAATGGGCCGGTCTTGTGTTACCACCATGTAACTGCCTTTCTAGACAACGTTAGCCACCGACACATTCTCACACACTGCAGCGGACAGTTCCACCACTGCCCCGTGTTTTCACTTGGCAATTGTGCTAAACTCATATAAAGCACTGGCTGCAGATATAGCTAAGATGTGACACTCTATGCTGGGATATATGACATGGAAGCTGAGGGATATGTGCACACCCACCTAACAGTGCGTTCACACCAAGACCCTCTTCAAAGAGAGGTCTGGATATTCAGAAACATACTATATTTTAGCCTCACTTGTCCCTCAGCTTCCTCCTCCAAGCCCCACTGAGCAACCATGATCCCTGGAAGTATTAGGTAACTGGCTCCCAGAATTGCTTGCTTGAGGCCAAGAGTTCAAGACCAGCCTGGGAAACAAAGAGAGACCCCCGCCTTTACAAAAATAAAAATAAAATAAGCTTGGCATGGTGACATGTGACTGTAGGTTGTCCCAGCTACTTGGGAGGCAGAGGTGAGAGGATGACTTGAGCCCAAGGGGGGTTTGCATGGCTACAGTGAGGTACAATTGCACTACTGCACTCCATTCTGGACAACAGTATGAGAACCTGTCTCTTAAAAAAAATACATCTCCAATTTAGTACCTCTTGATTATCCCTTCACTTATAGCTTCAAGACAAATTCTGAATCCAAGCACTGCTGACCACCTCACCCCTGCAGGCTGCCATCTCCTCCCCCACTTTCCACTCCATCCGCTCCTGTAGCCACAAGCCTCTTCCCAGGCCCCCTGCCCTCTCCTCTGGACTGCAGTAGTCTCTTCTCCATAGGGCACCCAGAGCTATCCATTCACAGCATGAGAGACCAACTGCATTTCTCCTCTCAAACCTGGATCTAGCAGGCAGTACACAATCTGGCCCTTAAAGTTGATCCCAGACTTTTTTCACCTACTGTCATAGGCCTGGCTCATCGACCTTCTCATTATTTCTAGGATGTGCCCAGCAGGCCACTGTTTTGGGTTTTACACTAACTTTCTCTATGTGCAAACCCATTTAGCTCAGTTTCATGTAGATCCCTTGTCTGGGCCCTACATGTCACCTTGTCTGGCAGTCTTTCCCTGACCACAGGCTGCCATTTGAGGAACCCAAGGAGTGGGGCTTATAGAGACCATGCCATCTCCAAATCAGCCCCAACCTTCACTCTCTGCCTTCTACTTGGCTTGGTGTTTCTTCATCAGCTTGTTATCTGGAATTATATTCTTAATTTATTTGTTTGTTGCCTGTCATCCAAACCTTAATGTAAGCTTTGGAGGGCACAGATGTTGTCCTTTGTAGCTAGGATGGAGTTTAGCACAGAGTAGATATTCACTACAGTATTCAGTTGACTGAATGATTGAAAGTCTGGTTTAGCTTTTACATTAGTCATATTGAATTTTCACTACCACTTAGGACTCCTATTTCTGTTTGGTAAAATTTTTCCAGCAAATAACATGGCAGTATGGGTCGGTTTGACCCCATGACCTGAGCTTTGTTGGGAATTTTAATCATCTGTCATCATAATTTCATCAAAATTTTCTTATAAAAAATGAGTAAACAACTGGTGATGCTGTTAATGGAGCACCTACATGAAAGCAACGTTCAGGCCACTGTGAAATTAACATTATCTTCAAATAATAGTTGGTCAGTGGAGCCTGCTGGGCTGAGATGTGTTTGAATGATTTCATCCTTTAGCTTCAGGGCTGAAATTAAGAACCAGGTTAGACCACTCAAAGTTAAAGGAAAGAAACAAGAGCAGAAGGGAAAGGAGGTCCAGGAAGCCAGAACACCAAAAACTGTAAGAAAAAACAGACATTGAGAAATAGAGAGTCTGGGACAAAAGAATAAAAGCAGAGAAAATATCCAGGCCTCGATGCCATATGTCCCTCAGGCTTTCCCATCAGCTGCTCAGTTACTGTGTGTCTCTTTCTTAAAGTTTCTTCCCTTGGACCCCATGCTTTCTCCATGTAGGCTCTGCCTTACTTCCTGTTGCAGCATTTTAGCCTGGTTGGTGAAATTGCATATCAACTTAAGGCTCTAGAGCCACACAGCTATTTGATTTGCAGAACAACATGTAAGGGAGAAGATTCTCTCCCTTGCAGAAATGGGCCAGACCTGGACAAACAAATAGAACTTCCATGAGTGTGCATTGTTTTTTCTTTCCTTACTCTGGTCTTACTACACACCCAGAGTCAAGCTGTTATCTATTGTAAGTTATATTAAGCCTTTAGTCTGTTTTTTTGTTTGCCGGGAAGGTAGATGTGATGTCAAACATTTGAGGCATTTTGAAAGTCTCAGAATATTAGGAGATTTTATCATCATAATAATTGGGGATTGAATCCATTTACAGTAAATGTCCCAGTACTACTGGCCCATTCTATCACACATTGAGAGAATGATGGTTTTCCACTCCATAATGATATCTAAACCACAATTTGATCTGTGACCCAGAAGAAGGGACCTGCTCTCCCTCACCAGTTGCTTCCTAATCCCTCTCCTCAGGTGAGGTGGAAAGGAAGGGGAAAAAAAAAACAATAAAAATGCAGCGAATTTAGGAGAAATAGAAGAAGGAAATGACACAAAGGAAAGGGGGGGGAGAAAGAAAGCAAAAGAGAAGCAAACATTAAATAGGTACAATCCAAAAATCCTATCAGTGGAGTTCTTGTATCAGTGGAGTTCTTGAGTTGATGGGCTTCTAGTTTCAATTATTTGTAATCTTCTCTTAAATATGGTAGTCCCTCATATTTATTCAACAAGTCATTATGCGCATTATCTCTTTGGATCTGTATACCATGCCTGTATTAATCTGATTTGCTGTCATAGCTGACAAATCCCAAATCTCAGTAGCTTGTAATAATATTATATGCCACTTACTTTCACATTATATCTCACTGGCTGTGGGTTAGCTTCTGTGATTTTGTTCCATGCAGTTTTTCATTCAAAGCCCCCGGTTGAAGCAATAACTCTATTTAGGATTTTCTATTTCTCAAGATAGAAGAAAAGAGTGAACAAACTTGTGGAAATATGCAGTGGTTCTCACAGTTTGTGCTCACAGGCTCTTTGTCAAAGGAAGTTGGAGGGTTATTCCCAACATCGCCAGGCAGGAAACCATGCAGTTCCCACAAGGTATGGCCGGTCTCATGGCCATAAGCCAGGGTGTGTAATTACCTTTTATAGGAAAAGTAAATATGTATCTGGGAACAATAATACAACCTACATTAATACCAGAGTAAGTTAATAAGGCTTGTGGGCCCACTCCACTTACCGATAAGAAAAGAGAGGGACAGAAAACTAAGGAGAAAAAGAGCCTGACCTAGATCTCAGGTTATGTAATTTCCAGATAATTGATATGGCCTTTCTATCCACTTTCTTTCCCTCCCCTACTTGCATTTTCTTTTACACTAAGGTAGCACTGCTCAAACGGCAGCAGGCACCAGAATCACCTGAAAGACTCCTTGAAACACAGATGACTGGAACTCACTTTCAGAATTTCTGATTTGTTATGTCTGGCATAGGGCTTTTTAAAAAAGTTTTCTTTTTAAGCAAGTTCCTAGCTAGTGTTGAGGATGTTGATCCTGGGACCACACTTTGAAAACCACCGCTTTAAGGTCCATCTCCAGAGTAGAGTGCAATGTACAACTGTTCCAATTACCTATTTTTTTTAGCCTTTTTGTAGAATAAGTGAACAGCGACTTCAGTGAATTGGTTCTGTAACTTTAACAGCTCCACTCGATCTTAGGAGAGGCTATAGCAGCCCCACAGTAGTAGCTCTCCAAGTGTGATCCCTGGACCTACAGTACCAGCATTGCCTGGGTATGTGTTGGAAATGCACATCATTGACTCTGCTCCAGAACTACTGACTCCCAATTTCTGGGGATGGGGCAAAGCCCTCTGTGTTTTACGCAGTCCTCCAGATGATTCTGATGTATGCTCAATTTTGAGAAATGTGGTTTGGTCCTACAGCTAGACTGCAACACCATGGTGAGGTCTTCAGGACTTGTTTGCTACATGCCTGCTGCTTGCTAGAAATGAAAGCTCTCAGGTCCCATCCTATATTTACTGACTGATCTTCATGTTGTGGGGTTTCTTCTTGCAGAGCCCCTAGTCTCTGCCACATTACCCAGCCATTTAGTCCATTTATTACAACTGACTGTCTGCTTGACTTTCAGTTATAATTTTACCCCTGAATGATCCTTGGTTCTGTGCTCTGTAGCCTCAGGACTTATATTCCTGCTCATTTCCCTGGCCAATATTAGAACCTTACTCCAGGTGTAGCTTATCAGCCCTCTTGGAAGGGGGTTGGTGTGAGGATGCTTAGACAGGGTTGATGTGAGAGCCTCTATTTCTCATGATTTGTATTTTTCCATTAAAATTCTTCACCTTCCTTCATTACAACCTTGTCTTAACTCTTGCCCTCATTCTTTGAGACTAGCTTTATGGACAATTTTAACCAGTGTATTAAAAACATAATTACAGTCATACTATTGTGTATTTATGAAACACAAATCATCTAATCAGCTGATTGCCTTTGCATGAGTTGTTCATGAGAAAACATGATGCAATTACCAGTCCCCTTCCAACGAGATGTACTATTGCCATTTTAAAAAAGCATTTCTACATCCAGAAGTCATTTAGTCTTTTCTTTAAATAAAGTAAAAAAACAAGGCTGCAGACAATGAAATGAGAGAAACAGATCGACATCTCTAATGATTCTAGGCAAACTCTGAGTCATTTCACTTCAGATCTGTGATGTTTATACAGCAAATGCAGATGTTATGTTTACTCACTGCAGAGCATTTCCTGAAAGTCTTGGCTTGCATGGAAAACTTTCATGGGGTATTCTTTTAGACAGTGTATGTCTTGCTAGCTGAGAAAAATTTTAAAGAAAAAAAACTTGACCTCAGAGGATATTGACGTAGAGGTATCTGAGGTTAAAATGTCAGAAGGAAGACCTTTGGGAACATGTGAATATTTCCCGAGTCCCAACTCTACCAATGTGTGACCATCATCACTGAAATTTGGTCATATGGAGGTGCATAAGGCATGTTTCTTGTCTTCAACGAGCTCATAGTCTTGCAAAATACAAACAACACAGAGAAAAAATGAAATGTTTTATCATAAATGCTGTGATTAGTGCAACCAATAATTTATCACCAAAGCAGGCATTCACACAACAGGTATACTTTGTAGCTGTTCCTGGCACACCGCTTATATGGTCACTCTAGTTACAGTTGATAAGTGCAGATATGAAGTAGGCTTAGAACGGACATTTCCTTGTGGGATGATTCTGGGAAAGCTACCTAAGACACCAGATCTAGTGCTTATTGAACTAATATTTCATTGTCCTGTTGATCTTTAGAGCCATTCACTATATATTTACAAACTATCGTGTTGGATGTCGAGATCTCTTTCTAAAGCCAAACCATTATCAAATGCTTTGTCTCCTTTTCTTACCATTCACACATTTCACCTTTCAAAGACCGTCACCACACCAGCTCCATGCCCTACTGGTTACGTACAGAAAGAGTAACAGACTAAGGTTGACAAGCATCTGTTTAACCTTGATTTTATTGCAAACCAGCCATGACACATTCTACTAATCAGTAAACATCTACAAACATGAGAAGGACATCATCAGTGTCCCTGCTCACATTGTTCTTTGGTGCCCTTATCACACTAAAGAGTTGTACAGGCAGACCTATGGATGAGTCACCACTCTGACACCTCACCAGTTAGGTGACCTTAGAGAAGTCCCTGAACACTTCTGAACCACAGGATGCCCATTTGTAATAGCCACAGAACCATGGAGGGCATTGTATAGACTGAGCACAGTATATGTGAAATGCCAAGCAAGTTTCTGCTGCCAAGTAGGTATCTGGTGCATGGTGATGAGTTGCTGTCATTATTCTCACTGATGCAGTTGCTAACTGCAACATAGGGCTGGCCATGAGTGACAGTTCTGATTTTTTTTTTCTTTTTTTTTTTTTGAGACGGAGTTTTACTCTTGTTTCCCAGGCTGAAGTGCAATGGCGGGATCTCGGCTCACTTCAGCCTCTGCCTCCTGGTTCAAGCGATTCTCCTTCCTCAGCCTCCCAAGTAGCTGGGATTACAGATGCATACCACCATGCCAGGCTAATTTTTGTATTTTTAGTAGAGATGGGTTTTCGTCATGTTGGCCAGGCTGGTCTTGAACTCTTGACCTTAGGTGATCTGCCCTCCTCGGCTTCCCAAAATTCTGGGATTACAGGCATGAGCTACCATGCCTGGCCCTTATGTTCTTTTAGATGAGTGACCATGCTCTTTCCCAAAGCCATCTGGGGAGTCATCCTCCCTTTTTACCATCTTCGCATGTTATTTTCAATTTTCATACTAACATGTCAGAACCAGTTTGCTGCTTATTCCTCTGCTGTACTTTCAAACAGAAAATAGCATGTTGTTGGCAGGTTCTGACTGTTTGATTAAAAGAAATAAACAAAAATCTGTGATGAAACAGTTCACTATGATGTTTAATCCATCGTGTCCATGGAAAGGGGTTCATTAGCCAGAATCTCACTCTGAAGGATGCCCAAAGCTAAGAGATCAGGGGAGGCTTCACTCAGTAATGGCATCTGGTGAAGGTTAGCATGAAAAAAAATCCATGGTTTGTCAATTACTTAAGTAATATCTTGTCCCAGCATGGTGATGCTCATGGCAACTCCCATTGATTGGTTTTGACTGCTCTTGGAATAATACTGGAGCCACTTTGCTCCCAGCTGGAAGCAGAGCACGATCAGTAGTGTCTGCCTGGGGTAGTAAAACAAGAAACAGAAGGCTTCTCTTAATGTCCTACCAGTCCTAATCTGTAAACTAATTGCAGGACTAATTCCTACAGGACTGTCACACAAGCAAAGATTTTATGCCTTATTTATTAATTTATACACGTTCCAATCCATCTTGTACTCCTGGATTTAGCATACTCTTACAAGCTTTCAGAAATGAAACAAAGATTAGTTGACATTCATATTCTTTTCAGTCCACCCTTTTATTCCTCCTAAAAACGGTAGACTTCTATTCATATTACAAATATTTCAACTACTTACATATTCTTAACTATTGTAAAAATAAGAGAATGGTCAATGAAGAGGACAATAGAAAAACCTGATAATTATTAGATAAATTGAGATAACTATTTTAACTATATATACTGAGAGTGTTTGGTAAATATACCGCATTCTGCTATGGTCTATCTACACTCTATTTTCTTGTATACAAGGCATAGTGTATGTATGCCTCTTACCTTTAATAAGGATAACAAATTTACTTTCTTAAAGTAATTGAAGAACAGTAATTTACCTGTTTCCAATAGTATTTATTTTTTAGATTTTTATCATCTCCAATGAATACTTGCTTGTGCCCAGGGATAAGTGTGATAACACAGGGGATGTTTCTATGTAATTATTTATCTCAAAGTCCCATTTAAACTGACTCTCCCTCAAGAAGGTCCCTTACAATAACAAGACAAAGCTATGAACAGCACCTTAGACAGTTGACCTTAACTATAGAACACCTCTTATACTGTGGGTGGAGTGAGAGTGAGTCCCTCACAAGGCAGGAAGCAGAATCTTCAGGGTGAGAAATGAATGCATCCTAATGGCACTTTCCTGCTTGGATAGGAACTCATTCTTAATCAGAACAGCTTTTGAAATGGGAAACACTTGTGGGAGGGGAGGATTATACTTTAGGGCCTGGAAGGGGCTGCTGATCAAAAGTCTCTTTTTATTCTGGAATCTGGGGAGAAGGCAGAAATCATATACTTTATTTTTGTGGAAGACCTGCTGCTGTACTACACCAAGCATTCTTGGGATCGGGGCATGACGATGATCCCATCCAGGATATCCAGGAACCCCTGAATTACATCCCATGCTTTGTATCTGTTGGAATTTCCTATGAACAGCACCCATAGCTTGTATTAGAAGCTCACAAGTGTCTGTAACTGTAGAAGATTAAGAAGGCTCAGGAGTTATTGTAACTCATTTTGGCTTACTTAATAAAAGTAAATTATAGAGACTGAAATATTTCTACTGGATATGCTTGCATTTTAGTATGCTCTGTTTTTTATATAACAAACATAATTGCATAATGAAATTAATATATTAGCCTCAAGTAGTTTTTAAAAAAAAAACTGAATCATTTGGATCTTGAGATCTTACTGAGTTATTACTACATTAATTATTAAATATCAAAAGAAGTACCTTAGTTTAAGAAACTTTATAACCATATTTCTACCATATTTGAAACCTTTCCAAAGTATTTGTCTTGCTGTTTTAATTCTAATTTCCTGGGTTCCTTGTGAAGGTGAAAGTCTTTGGTAAGTTTCACAGCCTTTCTTAGTGTCAGATTGGGCCCATAGAGGTTCAAATTTTGATTGAGTAGGCTTACCATTGGGAGAGTGGGATGTTAAGAAAACTCAGGGATGAGTGGGAGGTAAAGAGAGAAGGTGGGGAATTAGATGAAGTGTGGAGCTTCCAGGCCAGATTCCCAGCCCCTCCCTGGCCCCTGATCACTTTATTCTGGGATGAAGCCCAGAATAAGTTTCCCTCTTCTCCCCTGTCTTTTGCTCCAGGGCTACACAGGGTTTGCAAAGTGTGGTCTCTGGACCAACAGAAGGAGCTTCACTTGTGGACTCATTAGAAATGCAAATTCTGATGCTCCCCTCCAACCCCTACCCTCTCACATCTGCAAAACTGGAAGCTATGGGGTAGGGCCCACCTTTCAGTATTTTAACAAACCCTCTAGGTGATCCTCCTATTTGAAAATCTGCTATTATAGCCAGACACTATTTCTGAAACACCCCTGAGATAGCGCTCACCTGAGCAGCAGGTAAATGTGTACCTTCCCAGACCTCTTCCTGAAGATCCTGTTTGATTGCATCTGTGATGAGCCCCAGAAAGGCTGGTTGTCAATAAGTAAGTATCTACGAAAATTTTTTTCTTTTCTTTCTTTTTTTTCTTGAGACAGGGTCTTGTTCTGCCACCCAGGCTGGAGAATACCAGTGCAATCAGAGCTTACTGCAGCTTTAACCTCCCAAGCCCAAGCGATCCTTCCATTTCAGTCTCTTGAGTCGCTAGGGCCACAGGCCTGCAACACCACACCCACCTAATATTTTTTATTATTTCCTTAGAGACAGGATCTCCCTGTGTTGCTCAGGCTGGTCTCAAACTCCTGGGTTCAAGTGATCATCTTGTCTCGGCCTCCCAAAGTACTGAGATTATAGATATGAGCCACCGCACCTGGCCTACAAAGATTCTTCCCGCTAGAAAACATTGGCATTACCAAGCAAGCTTCCCCACCACATCCTGTGGCACACTGTGTGCTGGTGGCGAGTCACAGGGGTTTTCAGGATGGATTCCCCTCAAATCTCACTGACCAGGTGGGTCTGGGTCAGTTAAAGTCCTTGTACTGGTCCTCTCTGAGCAGCCAAGTCAGTGCACTCCAGTGTCTCTGCAGATGTGATGAAAAAAGTCATGAGATCTTCTAAATCTGATGTTTTGTCCTCCAGCATAACCCACGTGAACTGAGACATCCTTCTTCTGTCATGTTCCTTGATGAGACTTAACCCACATGACAGACAGCAGCGCCTCCATCTTGAACCCTGGTGTCACAGTATCTGAGGTTAGAGGAAGGAAGTGAAGACGAACATAGTCCACTTACATATTTTTTTGATTTGTAAATAAAATACTACTAGTTCAGTGTTTGTTTCGTATAATACATTTTCCTTTTTTATCGTAATTACCAACTAAATATGATGTAGCTTTTCATAAGTAGCTCTATGTTAGGCTCATAAACATTAATGCTTATTGTATGCCATAATAGAGTAATACTTAAGGCAGGTGAGTTCTTTTGTCTGTGTTCTGTAGTTTCTGTGTTTTCTTCCCCCACTTCCCTTGTTGTCTGTTTTCTTGGACCAAGGCTCTTCGTATCCTAGAAACTCTTCAACTTGCTGCCTCTGATTTTTCCTGTTCTGGGTAAACTGGTAGAGTAAATTGTTTCCAATTCAGCTCCAAGCTGCTCTTCCTTTGAGTTGCTCCCACTTGCACCCAGTGTGCCATGGACAGGGATGTCAGCCTTGAGTGACAGGAAAAATGTTGTAGTTTGACAGCTGAGTCCACTACTGCTGTAATCTTGCAAGAACTATTTAATCTCTCAAAGACTTTTTCAAAGGTTGTAAAGTTTGATAATAATGTCTACTTGTTATTTAAAAAATATGGTATTGGCCAGACGCGTTGGCTCACACCTCTAATCTCAGCACTTTGCGAGGCCGAGACGGGCGGATCACGAGGTCAGGAGATCAAGACCATCCTGGTTAACATGGTGAAATCTCATCTCTACTAAATATAAGAAAAATTAGCCTGGCTTGGTGGCAGGCACCTGTAGTCCCAGTTACTTGGGAGGCTGAGGCAGGAGAATGGCGTGAACCTAGGAGGTGGAGCTTGCAGCAAGCTGAGATCGTGCCACTGCACTCCAGCCTGGGTGACAGAGTGAGACTCCATCTCAAAAAACAAAAAACAAAAATAAAAATACATAAGTTATTAAGGATGAATGCACAGAATAACTAAAACCATGCTTTGCCATATCGTAGGTTTTCAAAATATTTGAATTCCCTTCTCTTCTTAGTCCTATCTAAGCTGTGTTTGAATAGTTGGATTAGCCTGAGAAATGGCTTCTCTATAAGTATAAGGCAAATATTTGCTTAACAAATGTTTACCAAGGACCTACTATATGCCTTGCAGACCAATGCAAGTGTTGGCAAAAAAAAAAAAAAAAAAAAAAAAAAAAAAAAAAAAATCAATCACTTAAATCATTAAAGTAAGTTTTGTTCAAAAGTCTTACTGAAGACTATAGAATGAGGACTATAGCCCCAGAGTGGTCCTTCAGAGAAGCTGTCAGACTTCTCTGACACAGTGTTTCAGCCCACAGCTTACATATGGGGGTGGGGGTTCAGTAAATGCAAAATCACATCAAAATTGCTCACAAGTGACATCAAACCAGAATCACACCAAGGTTTTGGTGTAAGAGTACCTCTGGTCATAGATTACAAAGGCACAATCATTAACCCTATCAGATGTCATCTTATGTGCAAGAAAAGGCAAGGGCTAGGGTCATTCATACTTTAAGGAATATAGTGACTCGGGCAAGAGATGTGGGGGGCCATGTGCCCTATCCTGTTTTGTCTTCAAAGTGTCTGGAGAGCTATACATCATTCCAGAGTCAGGGGCTTGTGAAATTATGCTGGCAAGCTGAAAAGGGCCAAAAGGGCTTCTTCCCTTTGCCATTTTGTCTCACAAGATCCCCCCTTTGATCATAAATCAACTGTCTGGTTGCATTTACAGAACCAGTATGGATTGTTCCACATAGCTAGGAAGACTCTTTCCTTAGGAAGGTCGGTGATCTTCATTTGTATTTGTAAGGAATTGGGCAGCATGCTTACTTTCCTATTTGTTGGAAAGCATATTTTGAATATCTTCTATTTTTTAACTAGCATAATCTGATTTTCTTTCCTGACATTTCCCTGCACCTAACATAACATCTCAACAGGACTATACAAGGATACTAGAGATTATACATAGTGGTATATACATAATAGCATCACTATCAGTTACAAATTAGAAATTAAAAAAAAAAATTGATAATCATGCAACAAAATTGGAACATGCATTTGCATATTTTTTCATTAATTGTACTATGTTTTTTCCTTTTTAGTATCCATATTTATTATTATTTATGAAAAAATTTGACCTAGAGCTTATTATAAATGTTTTTAGAGAATACTTCAAAATAATACTGTGGATGATGAAAACTTTGAATAGCCATGATTAAAATATGATGAAAGTTCCCAGTTGACAAGAACATCTAGTTATTTCTATTATATGCAGTATACTAAGATAATTAGAATCATGACTGACAGTGCCACATCAGAAAAATCAAACTTTTATAAAGTTTATGTAGTCTTTAGAATACTCACATTAATAACATTTATAAAAATATAATTTTAGAAAAGATTTAACATAATCAAAATTATAGCTGATACCATATTAGATTTCTATGAATTTATATATTTTATGTGATTTATAGCAATAACATACCCATAAATATAATGGAAAGAGGATCTAGATTATTTATCATTTGATAATATTTTCTATACAATCTACCTAATAAGTCTAATATTTTAATCAAAAAGACTTAATTTAGAATTTTGATCTTTGGGAAAACTGCAAAAGATGTCAAAATGTTTAAAATACTTGATCAAAACAGATTCACAGATTATTATAAAATAATAATTATTCATTTCACTAGAGTCATAACATGGATGTAAAATACTTAACCCTTTTAAGCTCAGTTTTCCTAGTTAATCAAAAACTGAATAAAGACAACACAGGAATTATCTTAATAGAGTGTAAAATCTTTATTGTGTAGGCCAGCTACTAAAAACATAAAGAAAAACCTCCCATAGTGTCATTGCCTTTTTTTATGAAAAGCCCATTCAGATAACTGTCAAATCTGATGAAAAGAGCCCTTGAATTCAATCAGACACAGGAAGAGTGCGTCCAGGGTCATGAATGTACACTATATAATAGAGGAATGTAAACACAAAACTAGTACCTTGAGCAGAGGGAATACATGGCTTTTAGTAACAATATAGGAAATTTCCTGGTTACATTGAACAATTCAGACATATCAAGAAAAGCCAAGGCACAGAATCAAGTTATACTTGAGAAAAAAATTGTTTTTCTGGACCTTCAAGATAAACATTTCAGCCTCAGGTCACAACAGCAGAGTTAGAACTGGAGAAAAAAAGTTACAAGAACTGATGAAAAAGTTGAAAGAGAGAGTTATCATCTCAGCTAAGCAAAAAGTTATATCTTCTCAAGGAGAAAAGGAACTGAAGGCAATTATGTATAATTCACAAATCAGGTGCAGTGAAATAGGCAAAAGTTAAACTTTTGAGACATAAATCTGAAAAGCTTCAAAAAGAAACTGATTTCAGAATTAAAAATCAAAACCTCTTGCAATTGCAGTAAGAGCAAATCAGTATTTTTAGATAACCTTATTTTTCTAACATAACTGACAAAATTTTGTTTTGTTTTAATATATTTTAATATCAAAGCTCAATCTTTAGAAAGACAATTATGAATAATGTTATTTCTATTATAGCCAACTTGATCATATAAAACATATCTTTCATACATTCTCTTTTCACAACTATATCATGACTTACCCAGACCATTTATGACATGCTTGCACTTTCTGGTTTGTCCAATACCTTCTCTTTTTTAAATAACCGCTCATTTTACTTTAAGACAACAATTTATGTAAGCTTCTTTCTCATACAAGATTAATATCTTTCCTCTTACCTTCCTTACCAAGAATACATCATCATATCCATTCCATTCATATACATTCTTCATATCTTTCTTTCCTACTTACTGGTTCCTTTCTATCTTGTTTCATGAATAACCACTGAATTAGATAAAATTGTCCTTTTTCTCAAAATGATGCATTTTTATGCTTTTCTTATATTTTTCCATCAAAAAACCATATTTTTGCATACTTTGTATATATAATTATATATTAAAATATTTTAAATTCTTAGTAACCTTAAATTTTAGTCAAAATCTAGGAAGCAAGATCTTGAATTGTCTTTCATATATCAGTATTTTATATACTAAAATAATTTCCTAATTTTTAGAAACATATTTCCTTATAACAAAATTTTTCTCTCAATTGAAAATGACCCAAGTATTGAATGATTATCTATTATTTAATTTAACATAACTTTAATATTTAAAATTACATGAAAAGTTTATTTACAAGTATTTACCTAATTTATTATTTTTAACAGATTGCCTAGATTACTTATGAAAACTGACATATTGGACAAAGCTAGTCATCATTTAAATTTATTTCCAAGTTGACCATTTTTACAGCCTGTGAATATCAAGTGTTTACCTAAGTAAGAACTTTAAAATTAAATACATGAGTATTTTGATGATAGCTCAGAAAATTCGGTTGTTTTCATTAAACCAACAATATTAAATTAGTCTTACTTATAAAAAGAATACACACAGATCTTTCTGTTTTGGGCTGAGTTTGTAGTTTTATGACATTCTAAAACCTGCCACCTTAAAATATCTAGCAGAGGCAAATATAGAACTGTCTCTTCAGTAAATCCAGGCAAAAATGTATGCTGATGATTCTGAAGACAATTTTATTTTTATTTTATCCATAATTTTTAAACAAGCTTATTTATTAAGGATTTTCTTAAGTCACATGAACTGGAAAATATTTAAACTTACTAATTCATGAGTGCTCGTTTATTTATGCATCTACTTAGTACCATATGACACAACATACAGAATAATACACATACATATGCAAACACTTCTCAACATATATACACACATAGAAATAAAAATATTATAGTTTTCATTTCAGAAATTTAGTTATGAGATAGTAATATAAACTCACTAATTTAAACAAGACAATTAGACCTAAATTATTTCCAACAAAATTGGAACCTTTTTCCATGACTAAACTTTATTTGACCCAATAGGTAATCTAATGGAGGCTGTGGACCAAAATTTTGGGTAAAGCATTTTCCATGAAAGTTTTTATTTTTAGAAACTTCTTTTACCTTTTTTTTCCTTCAATTCCAAGTGAGTTAAAGGATAATACTTCAATGATTACATTTTAGGGAGAACTTGCCAAGTTGTGTAAGATAAACAAAATCTCCAGTTACTAATACAGCCTTGAAGTAATAATGCCGTAAACAATGAGTTTTATCTCAACACCAGTAGAATAGACAACAGATTCAAGTAGGCAGAAAAAATAATAGAGAACTTAAAAGACTCTGCAGGTTAACTCTATAGTTGCGAATTTTTTGAGTAATGATCATTTAAGCTCTGAACTTTCTTTTTCTTTTTTTTTCTTTTCCTTTTTTTTTTTGAGACAGGGTCTGCCTCTGTCCCCCAGGCTGGAGAGTGGCACAATCTCAGTTCACTGCAACATCCACCTCTCAGGATCACACCATCCTCCCACATCAGTCTCTCAAATAGCTGGGATTACAGATGGACACCACCACTCCCAGCTAATTTTTGAAGTATTTGTAAAGATGAGGTTTTGCCATGTTGCCCAGGCTGGTCTCAAACTCCTGAGCTCAAGAGATCTGCCTTCCTTGGCCTCCCAAAGTGTTGAGATTGCAGGCATGAACCACGGAACCTGGACAAAAATTTCCCTTCCTAAGAAACAAAAGATCTCATGGAAGAACTTACCCTTTTGTCAAGGAGTGTAAATAACTAGCTGAATAAAACTCAGCATTGGCAACAAAGTATGAGATCTGAGACTCAGGAGAGACCCACCTAGTCATCTGCAAATGTGGAGGAGATGCAGGGGCTTTAAGGGCCATGCTGGTACCAAGGCTCTGGGTCCCCACAATGTTCCAAATGGTCCTTATCTGTATACTATGGGTTTCTTCTGGGACACCATGATTGTTGACTAAAGAAAATAGAATTAAGCTGTTTAGAAAGTTAAAGTTAGTTTTATTCAGAAGTCTTACTGAAGACTAAAGATTATGGAATGAGGACCTCACCTAGGAGCAATCCTTCAGAGAGGTTATCAGATGGCTCTGTAACAGTGTTTCAACCCACTGCTTACATAGAGGTGGTGAGGGTTCAGTACTTCAGTACATGCAAAAATCACATCAAACTTGCTCAGAAGTTACATCAAAGCAGAATCACATCAGGGTTTCAATTCAAGTGTAGATCTGGTTTTAGATTACAGAGGCACAATCATTAACTTCATCAGATACTGTCTTATGTGTAGGAAAAGGCAAGAGCTAAGGTCATTCATATTTTAAGGAATATATTGACTCAGGTAAGAGATGTGGTGGGGGGCATGTGCCCTGTCCTGTTTTATTTTCAAAGCCTCTTTCTGAGGAGCTGCACATCATCACAGAGTTAGGGACTTTGTGAAATTACTCTGGCATGCAGAAATGAGTGAACACTGCTTCTTATGTTTGCTACTTTGTCTCACATGAGAAATAGAAGATAATAACAAAGGAAGAAATGTAAGCAATCTACTACATTCCAGGCACCATGTATAATCCTTTATGATAGTTACTATTAGTATTATTCCACATCATGAAATTGAGGAAGAGCAGTTTTAAATAAATTGCTGATAAATTGGCAGAACCAAGATTCGCACCAGATACCCTGCTCTTAAATTTGTTTTCTTGACCACTAATTCACAAACTTCAAATTTGAGTGGTTCATTCTAAAGCTGATGTCTAGTATCTTTAATAATAAAAAACCCTCTTTGCCCCAACTTACATATGCACAAATGATATTTTCCTTAAAAACAATGCTTTAGACAATTGATTCTGTTATTTCATCTTACCAGCTGTACTCTCTGAAAAGTGAATTTACTGAGCACAAATACCCAGGGAGAAATGGCTAATTGTGCCACCACGTTTCCTAGCCAGCTGTTCCACACAGAGAGAAGTAGTTCATGTTTAAATATCCAGGCTGTAATGGGGGGTATTGCAGCAGAAGGCCTCTGCAAGCTGCCAGAACACATTTCTTGTTTAATGGCAATGGAGACAGGGGCTGGTGTGGTGTGATCTGTAAGTAACAGGACAGTGAGCTCTTTTAAATCATGCTAAGGGAGCTCTAGGCAAATCATACTAAGGGAGCTCTATAGTCAAGTGCACTGTGGCACTGAGGGTGCTGCTTACCTGTCTGCAGCTGCATCCTCAACACCTTCCTCTATAGTGTACTTGCTTTAAAGATACCTTTAAAATATTTCACAGTATATATATATATATATACTTATCAAAGGAAGTTTAAAAACAAGTACATGCAAAAAGAAGAAATAACAAATCACCTTTAACCCCATCACTAAGATAGATAGGCTAAGATTTCATTTTGTATCCAGTTCTCTAGTGACCTTGGTAAAGTCATAAAATGTATTGACCCTTGGTTTACTCATCTATAAAATATAAATAATAATATATATTTTGAAAGGCTATTATGAGGATTAAATAAGATAATGTAAAGCACATATCACAATGCTTAAAACAGGGATCATAATTAATAATGACTTTTATCTAACTACCAATAGATACTTAAATGCAAATGTAATCAAACTACACAGTTTTAGAATTATCTTCATTTAATAATATCGTGTAATATTTCCACATTGCTACATATTGGCAAACAAATTGTATTAGATTATGTAGTTTGTTTTCATCTTTCTCATTGTTGGACACTCAGGTTAATTTAAAATTTTGCTACTTCCCTTTTCCCCAAATGTTATGATCATTTGCTTACTGCTCAGTCCTTTGGGTCTCAATTATTGCCCTGTGTAAATTCCTGGACCTGAACGACTAGATTTAAGTGTATAAAAAAATCCTTTTAAAATCTTAGATATCCATTTCAAACTGCCAGGATTGCTGCAGAACTTGGGAAAGGTCCATCCTGACAGCCTCTGGCCAAGACCCAAGAATGCAGGGGCAGTTGCTTGGAAGTTAGGACCCTCCAGAGTGGCGACATCCAGGTCCATGCCAGAGAGTTTGACGTGGTATTAATGAAGTCTGAAGCATAAAATCCAACCCTGGAATGGCATTTGACATTACCCCGTCCCCAGGCATGATGTTAAGTGTCAGGCTTCTGGACAATTACTGTTTGTAGGATATCTGTTATATGGTGTGCAAGCCTGGAAAATTACATTATTTTTTCTAAATCTAACAAATTATCTGTGAAGTAGACATTAGTATCCTTATTTTGCAGCCACGGAGCAGAGAGGTTAGATGACTTGTCAAAACTCACGCAGTAAAGAATGACCACCTCACTTGCTCTCTTCTGACTTACTAAAAACAATACAAAAAGATTCACAGAGGGCCTGTATCTCTTGTCCTAGATCACACATACTGTTATCAACAAGAAGGGCACCAATACCCTGGCAAACATATTGCCTGTTCCAGTCTTTTAGTTAGATTATTCAGAAAATATCAGAGAGAGAGAGAAAAGGAGATGGGCATGCTATTAGTAGACCATGGTAAGAAACTGCACCTTTATTCTGTGGCCAATGGTAAGTGGCAGAAGGATTTAAAAGGCAGAGAAGGTAGAAGGGAGAAAGATCAGACACTGGAGAAAAGATAGGATTTCCGAGGGGATAGTTTTAGGAAAAAAAATGGCTAAACACAGATTTTAGAAAGTTATTTACCTTGGAAAGCTCATGAAAGATTCTGAAGTTAATGAATGGTTTCCAAAATGCTTTGTAAAACTCCACACAAATACAGTTGCATATTATTAGTAGTATTAGTCAGAAGCTAATATGTTAGGACAGATATTGATATCATAATGTCATCTAAAAATATAAGTGGTCTCTAAAATGAAATTGTTCCTGCCACAGACAGCTTATCCTCTTACAGGCTTTCATTGTCAAATATTCATGTCAGTTTTGTAGACTGTTTATAGAGGGAGGAATTGGGAATGGTGATTTGGTTTTCTGTTTTGCTTTTGATTTTCTAGGAGAGGATTCCTGGGACACTTACTCATAGTGGCTATCATGCTCCCTCCTGCCCGTCCTCAAGAAAGCATAGTAACCTCCCAGCTCTATGTGAATGTGTGCTGTGGTCTATGGGGGTGCAAGTGGATTGCAGTGTGCTGTATCTGTAATAGGTTCCATCTGTGCTCTTGAGTGTTCTGCTGATGAATTCTCACTACATCCATGGGTAATATGCCCCGGGTTGTTTTAAGATTATTTAACTATCTTCGTGAGTGTCAGTATATAAATATGCTCTTGCCCAGAGAGGTCATAATCCCCACTGAACAGTGATTAATTATACACATACCTCGTGTTTGTATTGCAGCTTCCCCCAGGGAGCTCAAAGCACTTTGCAAATATGAATTGCGAATAATAAATAATGCCTTTGATTTCTAAGACACCTATCTCTAAGGTCTTAAGTTTATGCCTCTCTCAGCATTCTACTAGGAGCAAAGCCCTCACAACCCAAGGGCAAGAGTCAGCACCTCTCATCTTCCCCTGTGAGAGGGGATCGTGAACTATTCACAGGCCTGATTTTACCAGAGTGGAACTGAGTATGTGAGGGACAGGAATGTATAAAGGCAGGGAAAGTAGAAGGGAGAGAAACCAGACACTGGAGAAAAGATAGGATTTTCCAGAGTATGACTATCAAAAAAAAAAAAAGGTTAAATGCAGATTTTAGAAAGTTACTTACCTCAAAACACTCAGGGAAAATTCCAAAGTTAAAACAATACAGGGTAGGTGGGGCATGTGACACTAAGTGCCATTTAGAAGGAAAAATGTGGCTTTCTACTAAATCTTGACTATGAGAAATCCTCATTAATCAACAAAAAGATGAGGTAGGAGGGAAGGTTCAAAACATGGACTACAACTATAATTCTCAGTTAATTTGAAGCACCTTAGTGAGTAAATTCCAACATTGGCGAAAATAATTCATTTCTTTTGCTACCGAAGATAGTTATCCAGATAAAATGTATGTAGATCAGATGGCCCTATTTGTTTCACAGTTTACTCTATTTTTAGTCCCTCTTTTATCCAGGGAAAGGGGTGGGAGAGTTATTTGGGTCATTTTTTGCTTGAGCACAGAACTCAACAGCAATTAAATTATCATCGAGCAAAAGTGATATTTTAGGCACAGTTGTTTACAAAACAGTAAATAAATAAGAACCACTGGTTCCTTTCTATATAAACACGCTTCTCCTAGGAATTCATCCATTTCAGAATTTCCCCTTCACTAGGCAGAAATTTGAACTTGAGATGAGGATTAGGCCTTTCAGAATTCTTTGGCTGCTGCCTACATAGCAAATTGTACACATTCAATTGATATCAATTGGTAATGAGACTAGCACTCCAGGCCACTGTTTTCAGTGTTCAAAACCACACTGACTTCCTTCTAATTTCCTGTTGTGCAAATGGAGCTCTTAAATGTGGTGCTGCATTAATAGAACTCTTTTCAGAATCATTTTAACAATGACAAAAATAATGACACAGAGGATCAAGCCTAAGCTGACTAGTGATGATGATGATAATGATGATTCATTACCTTGATTCTTTGTAGAATGTCTGCAAATGTAGCTTCAGAGGGATTAAAAAATAATAATCAAGATAATAATTGCAAGAATAGTTAACATTTAGGAATATTATGTGCCAGATACTCTTAAAGTGCTTAATTCAGCTTCAACCTTCACAATTTAATGAAGTAGAAGTAGATACTATGATTATATACATTTTGCACATAGGGAGGTGAAACACTAGAAGACCATTAGATTTTTCCAGGCTTTCACAGGTGATATCTAGAGGCCTTGAGATCTGATCCAGATTGCTTAGCTCTTAAACACGATTCTGGCCTGCCTCTCAAAAAACATGTTGATGGGCACACAGGCTTAAGATTTGAACTGGGCCACTATGTCATGGAGCTCTACCAGGATTCTATCTTTGAAAGGGGTGTCTTATGAAAGAACATAGTTTTTATTATTATGCGTTTTGACTAGTCTTTCAGCTGGTGATCTGGGAAGAAGTAATCTGAAGGCAACATTCCTAACTTACTATAAAGCAATGTCTTATCTCATGCAGCTGGCTGCGAATCAAATAGGGTCACAGTCTACACAAACCCCCTATTCATAACTCTTAGATCTCCATTTCCGCTCTTCACTTCTCTCCAAAATTCTGGTTCCACATTTGCTGCTGTTGGTTTGCCAACTGTAGCAAATAATATTTCACAAAAAAATAGTGGTTAAATTGATTCTTCCCCTGTTGTGAAACTTGCATTTTTTTTCTTCCTCTATTCTTACTTAAAACACTTAGTAAATTCCTTATTTCCTTAATGAGATTAGTATTTATTAACTACCATCTGCCATATATCTTTCTTTGATAGGTACTGAAGATACAAAGATGAATCAAACAGAATCTCTGTCTTCCCAGAGCTCACATTTGATTAGAAGAGTCATACATTAATAAAATATCCATACTAGTAGAAATATAATTATGAACTGTTTCATGTGACAAAATTTAGGGTACTACGGAAGCTCATATCAAAATGAGGGACAATGGGGATCAAA
Organism: Homo sapiens; assembly: GCF_000001405.40. Classification (NCBI taxonomy): domain Eukaryota; kingdom Metazoa; phylum Chordata; class Mammalia; order Primates; family Hominidae; genus Homo; species Homo sapiens. The sequence goes on from NC_000002.12 coordinate 124,839,089, forward strand.
GAAGGCTCCCCTGGTGAGCTGACCTCTGAGAGTGGGCTGGGTTGGCTGAGATGGGTGGTGCTCCTTCCAGTAGAGTGTATGGTTTGTGCAGAGGTTCTCCTATGAGGGAAGATGGGGTAAGGAGGAACTGAAGGAAAGTCTGGCTGGTATAAAGGGGATAAAGTATAAAGAGAGTATATTTTATACAGAGTATAAAAGGGAATGACGTGAGAGGGGCTGTGAGCAGACTGGGTCCAGATCACTCTTGGACCTGGAATCCTAGGCTCATGGCTCTTCTCTTTGCCTTAACGCCTCAATGCACACAATCTGCCACCAAATCCTGTCAAAAATGACACACACTCTCTCTCTCTCTCTCTCTCCCTTTCCCCCTCTCTCTTTACTCTCCTATGGCCTCAGAGCTAGATTTCCCTTTTTAAATCCAATCTTGCCTGAACTCTACCTCCAGCCCTCCAGCCTTTTAGATGATTTTCCACCTCCAATCCTTCTTTACCCTGGGGCATCCCTTCATTGAGAGCTGCAGTTTTTCCTTTTGATTTTTCTAAAATACATTTTAGACTACTCTGTTCTTAAGAACATTTACTGATTCCTGAAACTTCTGCCTTATAAACCAAAACACAGTGGGACAGAGTGAAAAGCCCTTTAGCATCTGACCCAGCCCGGCTGTACGTGGTGCACTGAACTTCCCATCAGAAGTTCCCATCAACCCTTTTGTCTGAACTAGAATGTACTGTCAATTGTGAAGGGCTTCTTGGAGAGCTCCGGAGATCTTTGCTAAATGTGAGGGAACTCAAACTCAATTACATTTTATTTTTCTTTCAAGGAAAACACACTTGTCTCTTTTTCAACCTTGCCATAAGTGAACAAATACATGTGACAAGGTAAAAAAGTGACACAGTTTTCTTTCTATGCATAGGTTTTCTGAATCACATTTATGGCTTCATTTAGCAGGTATTTAGGCAGCACTTAATACGTGTAAGGAAGTGAGGAGGGGGAATAATAAAGCTTGAGAGGATGTGAGTCTCTTTAGCATGAAGTATAGGACATCAGGAGGAGATTCCTGGAGAGATGACTGACAGGTTGAGATAAGTTTAGAACATAGGGCAGGTATTGGACTTTACTGTGTTGATAGCTAAGGATGTTTATTCACTGTGAAGCAACACTATCAGGTATGGTGGAGGAAGACAACTTTGCTGCTGATATAGGGGATATTCTAGAGAAAGGATGGCCAGTGGGAAGGCTTGGGCATTACAGAATACAAGGGAGATCCTCTTGAATAAGCTGGCCCTCTCTCTCGCCATTGCATACTGCCTCAGAGCCTGGAATATTTTCTCTGGGTCATGACATTTGTTTTGTTTGTAGATGTGAGCTCCATGAAAGCAGAGGCATTGGCTATGTAGTCTCAGAATCCAGCAAACGAAAGGTGGACAGTATGCATTTAGTAAGACATGCTGGCTGGCTGCAACTAACAACCTTATCACATCACAGAACAGGTGGACTCAGAGGCAGAACATGGAGCCCTGCCCCCTCACAATCCAGAAAAGCTTTCCACCTGATTGTCTTTATGCCGGTAAACAGGATTCTCTGCTTATGTCTTGACAACTTAACGTTGTGAAAACAGACCAAAGTTATTCATGAGCTAGTTACACGATTTGTTAATGATTTTAGAAAATGGTTTAGGAAATCATCTCTAATTGACCATCATTTATACTTTCATTTATGAAAGTGCCTGGAGCCAGCACTAACTAGTCTGTCTTCCCTGCACTTAGCAGGCTGCATGGGGCTGACAGAAGCAAGGAAAACATGAGGACCAAGCAATGTGCAGACCATTCTGACCAAGTTACATCATTGACATCTTTAAACTTTAAAAATTATCATTCTGAGCTCAACATACATTTTTTGAATGCATATTGAGTGGTGCACATGAGATGAGATGCTGAGGATGTGTTGTGGAGTTGGTTATTAAATGCAGTGTGGCTCAGCTTCCTGTTATGTGATGCATTTGTGCTGTGGGTCAAGTTGCCACCTACCCCACTCCCTGGAATGACATCATTGGAAAATGTATCTAAGCCACCATTCACAGTAGTGCTTCTTTTGAAATTACCCCCATAAATAACATTGGGAAAAAGCAAATGATGGGTTGGTTAAAAAAAAGTCATAGCTCAAAAGAAGTAATGCCTCCCTTCAGGATCGGAGTTTGGTTTCACCTCTCAAATTGCTCAGCAAGTACTTTCTTCTACTTCTTCCAAGCTTACACGCCCACCTTCCACCCAACCATAGATATGCACTCCATCTTTTTTTTTTTTTAATCCCTTTGCTTTGGACATGCTCTTTCATTTAGTAAGATCCTCTGTTTTCTTCTCCTTCTCATGGCTAATTTTTAGGGTCTTCAAGACCCTTCAAGACCCATGGCTAATAATTAAGGTCTTCAAGACCCTAATTCCGGGTTTATCTTTCCTTCCAAGCCTTCTCTGATTTCCCAACTCTCCTGCCTGTGGATGTTCCCTCGCAGCATTCCTCTTCACAGTATTATAATAGTCTGCTTATTGTTATGAGTAACTCATCACTAGATTTGAGTGTCATGGGAGAAAGTCTGTGTCTCCTTCTGTAGCCAGTGTCCACACCGTTGTCCCTGGTACATGACAGGTGTTGACTATCTGCCTGTTGTATGTGGATGGAAGGTTTGCTTCCCAGCTGAGCCCTGCACTGGGATCACAGAGATGTTAATAATGTGAGCATGAGCTCCTTGTTAGACAGAAGTGTCACTGTCAGTGGCATTTCAACCAACCAGGTAACAAACCACAAATCGTGACCCAATATTTCTGTAAAATTGCATCTCTTTATACTGTCAGTATCTGTAGTTACCAAAACTTAAAAAAAAACCTTCAGAAACACAGAATGGCTGACATTAGTTCCAAATATTAAAAAGTTTTAAGTGTCATGCTCAAAAGCATCTATATTTAAAAGCAATTGGATCATAAAAAGTGAACATAAAATTTACACAGCTGCCTCATCCTGAATACTTTAAAGACTAATTACTCTGTTGAGTCCTAATGACTATTGCCTTCAAGCCCTGTAAATTATATATAAATAAGAGAAGAGAGTTTGTAAATGTAAGTGACTCTAATTGGGTCTCAGAAGAAAGAAAAACAGATCTTTAGTAGCTCGATGAAATCTCTAAGCCCATAAAACATCGGTCAGTTTCTCCCATGGAGTTTTGTGGAGTGTACCTTTTATACATGCAACAGAGACTGAATTCAAAGGGCAGGCCTGAACCAAGGAACCTGTTTGATTTTGCTTGTATATATGAACTGAAAAATATAAATTAAAGAAACTCCTGATTTCATAATTCAATGTATTTTTATTTCCTTGAAAAAGGGCTGCCATTCAGTGAAGCATACAGTAAGGAAACCTGTCAGAACAGAGTCCCATGGAAGAGTAGCAGTTGGTCTGTATTCATTCCCAGTAATGGGACTCTTTTTCTATGCAAATGCATTTTGAGTTAAAGGTAAGACAGGTTGTAGAATATTTTGTGCAAACGTAAACAGAAGCACTGAAATAGAAGAAGATAATTGTTGCTTATTAAAGTGCTTAGAATAGAGCTGAATCAAGTAAACCAGAACCCATCACTGAATAGTTTGGGGATTTGGTACCTGTTTACTACTTCCTTTGAGAGTTTTCAAGGTTGTTTTTGAATAAGAAATGAATCGAGCCCTAGAAAACCATCATAGTTGAGTGGATCTGAAAATGCTCAGTGCAGTGCAGTTACTGCCTCATGAGAAATTCTCAAAAAGCTGAGAATATTCTCTCTCTTTTTAATTTTTTTTTTAATTTCAGTAGGTTTTGGGGGAACAGGTGGTGTTTGGTTACATGAATAATTTCTTTAGTGGTGATTTCCGAGATTTTGGTGCACACATCACACAAGCATTGTACATGGTACCCAATATGTAACATTTTATTCCTCACTATGCCCCCACCCTTTCCTGAGTCCCCAAAGTCCATTGTATCATTCTTATGCCTTTGCATCATCATAGCTTAGCTCCCACTTATAAGTGAGAACATACAATGTTTGGTTTTTCATTCCAGAGTTACTTCACTTATAATAATAGTTTCCAATTCCATCCAGGCATTTAGGTTGCTGTAAATATCATTAATTTGTTCCTTTTTATGGCTGAGTAGTATTCCTTATCCACTCGTTGATCGATGAGCATTTGGGCTGGTTCTGTATTTTTGCAATTGCAAATTTTGCTACTATAAACATGCATGTGCAAGTATCTTTTTCATATAATGACTTTTTATGGCTGAGTAATATCCCTTATCCACTCGTTGATTGATGAGCATTTGGGCTGGTTCCATATTTTTGCAATTGCAAATTTTGCTGCTATAAACATGCATGTGCAAGTATCTTTTTCATATAATGAATTCTTTTCCTCTGTGTAGATACTGGGATTGCTGAATCTAACCGTAGATCTACTTTTAGTTCTTTAAGGAATCTCTACATTGTTTTTCATAGCGGTTGCACTGGTTTACATTCCTACCAACAGTGTAGGAGTGTTCCCTGTTCACTGCATCCATGCTAACAGCTATAATTTTTTGATGTTTTGATTATGGCTATTGCAGGAGTGAGGTGATATCTCATTGTGGTTTTGATTTACATTTCCCTGATAATTAGTTATGTTGAGTAGTTTTCTATATGCTTTTTGTCTATTTGTATATTTTCTTTTGAGAATTGCCTAATCATGTCCTTAGCCCACTTTTTGATGAGATTGTCTGTTCTTTCATTGCTAATTTGTTTGAGTTCCTTGTAGATTCTGGATATTAGTCCTTTTTCAGATGTATAGATTGTGAATATTTTCTCCCACTCTGGGTTTTCTGTTAACTCTGCTGATTATTTCTTTTGCTCTGCAGAAGCTTTTTAGTTTAATTAAGTCCTGTTTGCATATTTATATTTGCTTTTCTTGCATTTGCTTTGGGGTTCTTGGTCATGAAGTCTTTGTCTAAGCTAATGTCTAGAAGAGTTTTTTTCAATGTTATCTTCTAGAATCTTTATGGCTTTAGGTCTTAGATTTAAGTCTTTGATCCATCTTGAGTTAATTTTTGTATAAGATGAGAGATGGAGGATCCAGTTTCATTCTTTTACATGGGGCTTGACAATTATCCCAATACAATTTGTTGAATAGGGTGTCCTTTCCCCACTTTATGTTTTTGTTTGCTTTGTTGAAGATCAGTTGGCCGTAAATATTTGGCTTTATTTCCAGGTTCTCTATTCTGTTCCATTAGTCTATGTGCCTATTTCTGTACTAGTACAAAGCTGTTTTGGTGACTATGGCCTAATAGTATAATTTTAAGTCAGGTAATGCGATGCCTCCATATTTGTTCTTTTTGCTTAGTCTTGCTTTGCCTATGTGGGCTATTTTTTGGTTCCATCTGAATTTTAGGATTGTTTTTTATAATGATGGTGGTGTTTTGATGGGAATTGTATTGAATTTGTACATTGTTTTTGGCACTATGGTCATTTTCACAATATTGATTCTACCCATCCATGAGCATGGGATGTGTTTCCATTTGTTTCTGTTGTCTATGACTTCTTTCAGCAGTGTTTTGTAGTTTTCCTTGTAGTGGTTTTTAAAATTTTTTTTTCCACCAATGTGAAATGGGTTGAGATTTTGATTTGATTTTCAGCTTCTGTTGGTCTACAGCAGAGTAGCAGAGCTACTGATTTGTGTACATTAATTTTGTATCCTGAAACTTTGCTGAATTTATTTACCAATTATGGGAGCTTTTTGGATGAGTCTTTAGAGTTTTCTAGGTATACAACCATATCATCAGCAAATAGTGACAGTGACAGTTTGATTTCCTCTTACCAATTTGGATGCCCTTTATTTCTTTCTCTTGTCTGATTGCTGTGGCTAGGACTTCCATTACTATGTTAAATAGAAGTGGTAAAAGTGGGCATCCTTGTCTTGTTCCAGTTCTCAGGGGGAATACTTTCAATTTTTCCTCATTCATTATAATATTGGCTGTGGCTTTGTCATAGATGGCTTTTATTATGTAAAGGTATGTCTCCTTTATGCCCATTTTGCTGAGGGTTTTAATCATAAAGTGATACTGGTTTTTTTCTAATACTTTTTTTCTGCATCTATTGAGATCATCATGTGATTTTTGTTTTTAATTTTGTTTAGGTGTTGTATCACATTTATTGACTTATGTCTGTTAAACCATCCCTGCATTCCTGGTATGAAATCTACTTGATCATGGTGGATTATCTTTTTGATATGTTGTTGAATTTGGTTGGCTGGTATTTTGTTAAAAATTTTTGCATCTATGTTCATTGGGGATATTGGTCTGTAGTATTTTTTTTTTTTTTTGCTATTTCCTTCCCTGGTTTTTGTATTAGGGTGATAATGGCTTCATAGAGTGATTTAGGAAGGATGCCTTCTTTCTCTATCTTTTGGAATAGTGTCTATAGGATTGGTACCAATTCTTCTTTGAATTAATGATAGAATTAAACTGTGAATCCACCTGGTCCTGGCCTTTTATTTTGGTGGCTATCTTTGTATTACCATTTCAATCTCACTGCTTGTTATTGGTCTGTTCAGAGATTTTATACCTTTCTCATTTAATCTAGGACGGTTGTGTATTTCCAGGAATGTATCCATCTCCTCTAGGTTCTCTAGTTTATGTGCATAAAGGTGTTCATAATAACCTTTAATAATCTTTTGTATTTTTGTGTTATCAGTAGTAATACCTCCTGTTTCATTTCTAATTGAGCTTATTTGGATCTTCTCTCTTCCTTTCTTGGTTAATCTTGCTAATGGTCTATCAATTTTATTTATCTTTTCAAAGAACCAGCTTTTTTTTTTCATCTATCTTCTGTATTTTGTCATTTTTGTTGTTGTTGTTGTTGTTTCAATTTCATTCAGTTCTACTCTGATCTTTGTTATTTCTTTTCTTCTGCTGGCTTTGGGCTTAGATTGTTCTTGTTTTATCAGTTCCATGAGGTGTGACCTTAGATTGCCTATTTTTGCTCCTTTGGACTTTTTAATGTAGACATTTAATGCCATAAACTTTCCTCTTAGCACCACTTTTGCTGTATCCCAGAGGTTTTGATAGATATTGTCACTATTATGGTTCAGTTCAAAGAATTTTTAGAATTTTCATCTTGATTTCATTGGTGGCTTTGTTCATTTTAAAAAAAATTTTTTTGTCTTTGTTGAATTGGGTTAATTTCACAGCCTTGTCTGTGAGCTGTGAAGATCTTTCTCCCGCTTGTTTGATTGGACTGCTGAGACTTTCCGGTGCATTTCTCTAAGTGTGTCCTTCATTTCCAGGAGTTGTAATTGTTTTTATTTTACTGTCTATTTCACTGAGGAATTTCTCTTTCATATCCTGTATCAGGTTTTTGATTTCTTTAATTTGGACCTCACCTTTCTCTGATGCCTCCTTGATTAGCTTAAAAATTGACCTTCTGAGTTCTTTTTGTGGCAATTCAGAGATTCCCTCTTGGTTTGGATCCATTGCTGGTGAGCTGGTATGATCTTTTGGGGGTGTTAAAGAAACTTGTTGTATCATAATGCCTTAATTGTTTTACTGATTCCTTCTCATTTGGGTAGACTATGTCAGAGGGAAGATATGGGATTCAAGGGCTAGTGTTAAGATTTTTTCATTCATGGGGTTCTCCTTTGATGGGGTGTTCTCCCCCTTCCCCTAGGAATGGGGCTTACTGAGAGCCAAACTGTAGTGGTTGTTTTTGCTCTTCTGGGTCTAGCCACGCAGTAGAGCTACTGGGCTCTGCATTGGTATTGGAGAGCTTCTGCAAAGAGTCCTGTGATATGATTTGCCTTCTGATCTTGCAGCTGTGGATAACAGCAACTGCTGCAGTGGAGGTAGCAGGGGAATGAAGTGGACTCTGTGAGGGTCTTTGGTTGTGTTTTTGTTTAGAGTGCTGGTTGCATGTTGGTTGGCCTCCAGCCAGGAGAGGGCACTTTTAAGAATGCATCACATGTGGCCCTATAAGGAGGATGCATTCTTGCCTTAGGAACACCTGGCTGAGTATTCAGGATTTTCAGGTGGGGAGCAGGGCCATAGAGCTCCCAAAAGCTTCTGACCTTTGTCTTTCACTACAAGGATGGGCACAGAAAGACCACCAGGTAGGGGCAGGGCTTTCTGAGTTCAGCCTCTCTTTGGGCAGGGCTTGCTGCAGCTGCTGTGGAGGATGTGGGTGTGACTTCGAGTCCAATGGAGTTATATTCCCAGGGGGATTATGGCTACCTCTGCTGAATCATACAGGTCACCAGGGAAGTGGGGGAAAGCAGGCAGTCACAGGCCTCACCCCACTCCCATGTAGTCCATAGTCCTGAAGGCTGGTCTAACTTTCATTGTGCCCCTCCAACAGCATCGAGTCTATATCCAGGCAGCCAGAGACCAGGGCTGAGAACTTGCCCCAAACTATGAGTTTCCTAGCAGAGAAAGCAAGCCGACTTACAGGCTTTTGGTATCTCAGGGACCCTGCAGTGGTGATCCAGTTCCTTCAAAGGGTCTGTGGGTTCTCTTAGCTTTCCTGGTACGTTCCTGTGGTAGTTCTTGGAGCAAAAGTTTACGACGTGAGTCTCCACACACTGCTCTGTCCATCCAAGTGGCGGCTGCAAGCTAGTCCTGCCTGCTATCTGACATCTTAATTCTCGAGAATATTCTCTTGAGGATATCTAATTCTTTTCTGTTCTAATCTTTTCTTACCTTGCTTAAGATGGAAATTATGGAAAATAACCTTAATGTTTACTTTTGTCATAAAAATTGGCTTTATTTTCCATAGAATTTATAATTTTTAAGCATAAAGTGTCTCTTTTTCCAAAAAGCTTAAAAATATTTATTTTTAAAAAAACTTGGAGTCATATCATTGCATTTAAAAAAATGTTTACTTGACTAATAAGGATTGAATACATTCAAGATGTACAATGTGATGGGTCGATACATATAAACACTGTGTAATGGTTACCACAATCAAAAAAACACATCTATCACCACCCATGCTTTACATTAGATTGCCTGAACTTGTTCACTTTGTAATTGAAAATTTGACCAACATCCTCTCGTTTCCCCAAACCCCAGTCCCTGGAAACCGCTATTCTACCTTCTGCTTCTATGATTTCTACCTTTTTGGATTCCACATATAAGTAAGAACATACAGTGTCTGTCTCTCTGTGTCTGGCTTATTTCACTTTGCATTATGTCTTCCAATATCATCCATGTTATTGAGAATTAAAGTATTTTTATTATTTCCTGTGGCTAAATAATGTACCACTTTTTCTTTACTCACTAATCTCTCAATGAACACTCTGGTTATTTCTATATCTTGGCTACTCTGAATAATGTTGAAATATACATGAGGTGCAAATATCTCTTTGAGGTACTGATTTCTGGATATATATCCAGAAGTAGGATTGATGGATCATATAGTAGTTCTCTTTTTAATTTGTTGAAGAGTCTTCAAACTGTTTTCCATAAGTGCCATACCAGTATATGTTCCCACCAACAGTGTACAAGGGTTCGCTTTTCTCCACACCCTTGCCAACACTTGCTACCTATTGTCTTTTTGATAATAACCATCCTAACAGGTGTGAGGTGATATCTTATTGTGGTCTTGATCTGCATTTCTCTGATGAGTAGCGATATTGAGCACCATTTTGTAGATCTGTTGGTCATTGTATGTTTTCTTTGGAAAATATCTATCCAGAACTTTTGCTCACTTTTGTCATTGTTTATTCTTTGCTATTGAGTTGAGTTCTTTATATATTTTGGATATTAAATCCCTGCCAGATCTGTAGTGCAAATATTTTTTCCCATTCTCTAGGTCACGTTTTCATTTTTTCAACTGTTTCTTATATTGTGCAGAAACTTCTTAGTGTGATGTGGTCTCATTTATTTATTTTGGATTTTGCTGTGTATTCTTTTGGTGTCATATAAAGAACAAATATTGCCAAGACTAATATTAAGGAGTTTTTCCTCCATGTTTTCTTCTAGGAGTTTTATGGTTTCAGATCTTATATTTAACTCTTTATTTTCAAGTAAATTTTTGTATGTGGATCCAACTTAATACATGTGTATGTGTGTATCTATCTTTTCCAACACCATTTATTAAAGAGGTTGTCCTTTTTTACATTGTGTATTCTTGCTGTTCTTATCAAAGTTTAGTTGATCACAAATGTATAGGTTTATTTCTGGGATCTCTCCTCTATTACTTTAGTCTATGTGTCTGTTTTGATGCCAGTACCATACTATTTTTTTGTTTTGTTTTGTTTTTGTTTCTAATTAGGAATTCAGCATGGATAACATAAGCTTTTGATCACTATAGTTTTGTAATATAGCTAGAAATTATGAAGTGTGATGCCTCCAGCCTTGTTCTTCTTTCTCAAAATTCCTTTTGCTATTTGGGATCTTTTTTGATTCCATATGAACTCTAGAATTGTTTTTCTATTGCTTTGAAATATACAATTGGAATTTTAATAAGAACTGCATTGAATTTGTAGCTCATTTGGGGGTGGTATGGACATTTTAACAATAATGATTCTTCTAATCTATGAATGTGGGCTATCTATTAATTTATTTGTGTCTTCTACAATTTCTTTCATCAGCGTCATACACATTTAACATTTGATTGTACATGCAATGGTTCCAGGACAAGTTCTTAACAATGAAGCTTGGCCTCAGAATGGTCACAAATTGTATTTTAGTCTTTTGCTCTGGGACGCCTAACTGAGTGGGATTATCTATGTCTTTATTTAAATAATTTTCATTAAATGTTTTTATTTTCTATGATGGGGGCTAAGGAAGGATGTCAAGTATGGCTGCTAACCTTCAGGAAAATTGTAGGCCACAGCCAAATTAGAGGGAAGAACTGTGTGAAATGGCCCATATTTAAATGTCCAACCCAATTAAACAGACCTACAGTTGTCCCATATGTAAAATTAGCGTAAAGTTAATTATAAGTAGGCCATATTTTTCAGATTGAAGGATGAAATATATGAAATACATTTGAGATAGTTCCTAGAACAAAATGGGCAACCAATGATATTTTAACGATATTGGTAATAACAGTAAAAATAGGTCACTAATTTTGTTTCCCCCAAATTCATGCCCACCTGGAACTGAGGATTTTATTTATTTGTAAAATAAGGTCTTAACAGATGTAATAAATTAAGTTAAAATGAAGTCATACTGGATAAAATGGGTTCTAAATCCAATGACTGGTGTCTTTTTAAGGAAAATGAGATGTGGATAGAGAGACACAGAGACAAATAGGGACACACAGAGGGAAGAGGGCCATGTGACATGAGGATAGAAGCAGAGATTGGAGCAATGCACACCAAAGAACAATAAGGATTGTCAGGAGCTACCAGAAGCTGAAAAGAGACAAGAAAGCATCCTCCCCTTGAACCATTAGAGGACAAGTGGACCTGCTGATATTTCTGTTTCAAACTTCCAGCCTCCAAATTTCTATTATTACAGTTGCCCAGGAGACAAAACAGATGGTAAATGGAACCACAGCACTGGATGAGATTGTGAAAGCAGTGAGTATTGATAGAGAAGTTCCTAGACCGAGCCCGGGGACTTTAACATGAAGAAAGCAAGGTGACATCGAGAAATCAGCATGGAGAGAGAGAATGAATGACCAGTCAAGTAGGAAGGAAACTAGGAGAGAAAAATATTAGGAAATTGAAGCATTTTAGAAAGAAAAGAATGTGACTGTATTGAATACTAATAAAAATAAGATACTGATTATGAAAGGAAAATTCGATTTATCAACATACAGTTCATTGGTGAATTAATAATAAAATGAAAGTTTTGGTGGTAGCTTAGGGTTAAAATCTGACTGGAATAAGTTTCAAAAGTAAATTAAAAAGAGGCATTAGAGAAAGTATAGATAACGCCTTAAAAGTTTTACTGTAAACCATCAGGGAGCAGAGAAATGTGACATTAGCTAACATTAAAAGAGTTGCAGGCCGGGCGCAATGGCTCATGCCTGGAATTCCAACACTTTGGGAGGCCGAGGCAGGTGGGCCACCTGAGGTCAGGAGTTCAAGACCAGCCTGGCCAACATGGTGAAACCCCATCTCTACAAAAATCAGCTGAGTGTGGTGACAGGTGCCTGTAATCCCAGCTACTAGGGAGGCTGAGGCAGGAGAATAGCTTGAACCCTGGAGGCAGAGGCTACAGTAAGCCAAGACCTTGCCACTGCACTCCAGCCTGGGCAACAAAAGAGAAACTCCATCCAAAAAAAGAAAGAAAGTTGCAGAAGTTTCCTTTTAGATACAAAAAATGCTAATGGGAATTATATAGCAGAAGGAATCAAATTTTAAAGAGAATTGTAAAGGAATGGGGTGTTGCCTCAGTAGTGTCTTTACAAGGTGATAACGATGAGAAGGAAAGAATACGTTGGCATCAGATAAAAAATGAGGATAATTCATCTAAATTAATGAAAGGAAAGTCAGCACATAGGGGTTCAGCTATTGACACGTCAGTAAATGTGGGGGCGGGACTTTGTGGTTCTTTTACAAATGTTTCAGTTGTCTTCGAGAAGATGGAGACAAGATTATTAGCTGAGAGTGAGGAAGGAGAAGGCAGAAATGAAGAGAAGGCATTATATGGTCGCCTTAGCCAATAGGTGAATGGATAGGAGAAAGAAGCTGAGATTAAGAGGAGGGGGAAGGCCCACATGAAGTTGGCAGTCCTGGATATAAAGTGGCTTATAAACAGTGTGCATGGTTTGTGTTTTCTTCCACCAGATAAACCATTCAAAAGTAGGGTAAGCAGGCATTGTTCGGACAAACAAATATCCACTTTCAAGAAGCAAGAATGGGCCAAGGGACTTGAGGCTGTAAATGAGAGGATAGTGATGGACCAGACAATATGAGCTGGGAAAGGAGAGAGGAGAGGACACAAAGGAGTTAAGAGCTCTGAGTAGATGGTGAGATTAACCCTTACACTAAGTATTGGAGAAGTCCAGGCATTAGAGGAAGGGAATTAGAAAGGGAAGAGATTGTAGTCAGAAAACAAAATTCCTACAGTTGCAATTACGGAGGGTTTGCAATTATTAGTACTAACAAATACTGAAGTCTGATATTGAGTCCATGATGCACTAATCAATTATGACTGACAGCTTGAAAAACAGTTAGATGGAGGTGCTGAAGTGGGTGTGCATGGATATGGAGACATTATTGTGTGGCTCTCATGGGACCTAAGATGTGAATAAGGAGGGGCTTCCTGGCACAGATCTGTATCAGGAGCATTCTAGGTGCAGAGAAAAGCAGGAATAAAGTCTCCAAAGAAGGAGTGAGCTAGCACATTAGGGGAACATAAAGTAGGTCAGTAGTAGTTGGAGCTTAGTGGGTGAGGGCAAGTGTGGAATGAAATGAGACCAAAGAGGTACAAGGGAATATGATATAGTTTCTTGCAGACCATGTCAAAGAATTTGGATTTTATTCTAAGTGCACTGGAGAATCATTAAACATTTTAAGTAGTGGCATCTGGTTTATAGTGTAAATGCTTATTTTGACTGCTGTGTAGGGAATGGATGGGTGTGGGAGAATGAGGAGGTGAGGCTGGAATCTGGGAGACAAGTTCAGATGTGTTGTAGTTGTTCAAGTGAGAGCTGGTGATGGACTGCCTTGCGGCATGGTGAAGACCTGGAAAGAAGTGCAAAGATGCACAATGTATTTAGTAGAGACCAGAGGGCTGTCGATGACTTGGTGTGGGGCACATGTATAGGGGTTCTGGTCAAGAAAATGAAACAAAAGAAACAAGTATGGCTCCTAGAATTTTAACCTGAGCAGCCAGCACAGAGGGGTGCCATTATGTGAGGTGGTAAAAACTAAAAGGGGAGCTTTTTGGTGAGGACAATCTGGTTAGCAGAAACTGAAAGATGCATAGGAAGCTGTCTAAGTCTAGGATTGACATGAACTGATGTGGAATAGAAAAGAATCAACATGGAGAAGAGCCTGCTCTTTCAAAGTGAAATGGTAAAGCAAGAAACTAGCAATGCCGTAGTAAAGGGAGAATGAGAGCGAACTCTTATCCCTCAGTGGTGGTCCAGAGTCTGGATCAGTCATCCCTTTGATGATGTGAGGGCCATAGTGCTTTGTGTCTTTCCCTTTAGATCTTATATGTACATTGTGGCACCCAGGCTAACATTCTTAAATATCACTTTGTGTCACACATGTGTTTGCTGCTCCTAATGGAATCCCCCTTTACAGAAACAGGTAAAATTTCCTTGGCATTCCTTGCCAGTGTGGTCTCTTTCTTTAACATTTCATTCCAAGTTCCCATTCCTTTTGTGGGGTCACAGTTTCCCTACTTTTCAAAATGATGAGGTTGGTTGTGCAAATGGCTGCTAAGGTTCTCATCCGCTCCACTGTCCTACAGTTCTACAGCTTCAGGTACGGTGAGATCCAGCTACATCACTCTGTTTACATCATAGTTAATAGTATATCACTTTTTGTTTTCCAAACTAAGTTCTATCTTGCTTCTACAAAACTTCTTCCCAGACAAACTCTTTCTAATTACCTCCACGCATTTTTTTTAACTTTTATTTTAGATTCAGGGGTACATGTTGAGGTTTGTTACACAGTTCAACTCATGTCACAGAGGTTTGTTGTACAGATTATTTTGTCACCCAGGTACTAAGCCTAGTATCCAATAGTTGTTTTCTTGATCCTCTCCCTCCTCTTAACCTCCATCCTCACGTAGGCCCTGGCATCTTTTGTTCCCCTCTTTGTGTCCATGAGTTCTCATCATTTAGCTCCTACTTACAAGTGAGAACATGAGGTATTTGGTTTTCTGTTCCTGCATTCGTTTGCTAGGGATAATGGCTTCCAGCTCCATCCCTGTTCCCACAAAAGACATGATCTCATTCTTTTTTATGACTGCATAGTATTTCATGGTGTCTATATACCATATCTACTTTATCCAATCTGTCATTGATGGGCATTTGTGATGATTCCATGTCTTTGCTATTGCGAATAGTACTGCAGTGAACTTTCATGTGGATGTACTTCAACCCTTATAACCACTTATTGATTTTGAATTCACAAAACATGTATTCCGTAGCACTGATCAAATCTTCTCCCTTTCCCTCTGCTTATACGTCCATTCCTCTATCCATCCACTCATCCTTCTATGCTGCCACACATCTCTTTTGAGGTAGCATGACATAGTGGAAAGGGCACATACTTTATATACATCTGCACTCCTTGGTTTAAATCCCATTTCATTATGAATATTCTCATTACAGTTTTACTTGTGGAGTTTTTATACCTCTGTAAAATTCCATTTTTTAATCTGAGGATTTAATGAAAAACCTATCTTTAGTACCAGGTTAGGTGCCTAATACAGAGTAGGCACATCAGATCAGCCAGTGTGACTGTTGCTTTTGTCTCCTTCAACTAGATTATAAGGTCTTTGAAGATAGAACTGTAGCATTATAGCCATTTGTTTCTCTAGTGTCTTACACCAGCAGGCATTGAATAAATGTTAGTTTATAATTTGGGGGAAGTGTTGATAACATTCTCCATAGTGGCTATTTTATTCAACAAATGTCTTCTGGAGATTTAAGATAGCATGTCCCATGTTATTCTCTTTAGACACAAAGATGAATAAGCAACAATTCCTCCTAGGGGAGCTTAGATTCAAGAGGATGAGAAAGACAAAAGAGTCTTGATAAATTGAGATTTGTATTCTACGTGACCAGAGTGGCAATATGGTGAAAAGAAAGATGTTATTAGTCTTTGGGGCAAGTGGGGACCTGGGTCACATGGACTGGGTCTTAAATAATGAGGAGGAGCTTGCCAGACATATTAGGAGGCAAGTAGGTGTTTTCAGCTAAGGGGAAAAGAGAAACAAAATAAAACAAAAACATAACAATGTGCAGAGGCAAGGAAAAGCATTTGGAGGGATACTGCGTGTTCAGGTGTGTGACTAAGATATAATAATACATACATAATAAAGTTGGAAAGGTAAGAAAGGACATTGAATGTCATGGTAAGAAGTTGGACTTTCTCATATAGAATTAGAAAGCCTTGGGCTTTTGCTTTTTTTTTTTTTTTTTTTTTTTTTTTTTGACAGAGTTTTGCTCTTGTTGACCAAGCTGGAGTGCAATGGCACAATCTTGGCTCACTGCAACCTCCACCTCCCAGGTTCAAGCAATTGTCCTGTCTCAGCCTTCCAAGTAGCTGAGATTACAGGCATGTGCCACCACGCTCGGCTAATTTTTATATTTTCAGTAGAGGCAGGGTTTCGCCATGTTGGTCAGGCTCGAACTCCTGACCTCAAGTGATCCGCCCACCTCAGCCTCCCAAAGTGCTGGGATTGCAGGCATGAGCCATTGTGCCCAGCCACCTCGGAGTTTTTTAGGCACTAGAGTCATATGGCCACATATGTGTTATAATATTCATATTAATAAAAGTGTGGAAAACAGATTAGAGTAGGAAGAGTAGAATGGTGAGAAAAGGTAAAACAGAAAAATTATGTTCTTGTACAACCAATGTACGAGAGTATTTACCCTAAGTCCCAGCTCAAGATACTGAATTAGATATTTGAACTTTTAAATTTAATTAATGTAATTTTATTTTATTTTTCAAAATGTTTATTTTCATAGGTTTTTGGGGAACAGTTGGTATTTGGTTACATGAATAAGTTCTTTAGTGGTGATTTCTGAAATTTTGCTGCACCCATCACCCAAGCAGTGTACACTGAACCCAATTTATAGTCTTTTATCCCTCATCCCCCTTTCACCCTTACCCTTGAGTCCCCAAAGTCCATTGTATCATTCTTATGCCTTTGCATCCTCATAGCTTAGCTCCCACTTATGAGTGAGAACTTACAATGTTTGGTTTTCCATGACTGAGTTACTTCACTTAGAATAAGGGTCTCCAGTTCCATCCACGTTGCTGCGAATGCCATTTATTTGTTCCTTCTTATGGCTGAGTAATAGTCCATGGTGTGTGTGTGTGTGTGTGTGTGTGTGTGTGTGTGTGTATAAAAAAATAAAGAAATTGTGTGTGGGGGTGTGTGTATATATACAATTTCTTTATCTACTAGTTGATAAAGAATATATACCTATACACATGCACACATACCACAATTTCTTAATCTGCTAGTTGATTGATGGGCATTTGGGCTGGTTCCATATTTTTGCAATTGCAAATGTCACTGCTATAAACATGCGTGTGCAAGTATCTTTCTTGTATAATGACTTACTTTCCTGTGTAGATACCCAGTAGTGGGATTGCTGGATCAAACGGTAGTTCTACTTTTAGTTCTTTAAGGAATCTCCACACTATTTTCTACAATGGTTGTACTAGTTTACATTCCCACCAGCATTGTAGAAGTTTTCCCTTTTCACTGCATCCATGCCATTATCTATTATTTTTTGATTTTTTGATTTTGGCCATTCTTGCAGGAGTAAGGTAATATCGCAATGTTGTTTTAACTTGCATTTCCCTGATCATGAGTGATGTTGAGCATTTTATTTGGACTTTTAGACCCTGAGTTCCTGGTCCGTCATCCCCTTGTCATGTGTAGCTGAATTTCAAGTAGGATATAAATAATAATAAAATGCCTTGCTACAAGGTACTGGGTGATCCTTGGCTGAGTATTAGAGGTGCTTTGAAATAGATCCAACATATCCTACTTCAGGAGGAGTGTAGTATCTCTTCCATGCGAGGTTCTTTCTTGAAGCTAGTTATGTCTACTTAGACGTATACAGAGTCTAACATTGATCAACTTAAAGCCTGGCCAAATATCCATGGCAAGCTTGTCAGATCTGACCTCTGGATACTTAGAGCATGAGGTCCTGGGGGTCAAACCTGCAGGGAGGCACTGGTTTCTGGGCTGTGGCTCATGGGGCTCACAGGAGTGATACAAAAAGCTGTCCTGGGGATCTGTGACCAAATCCCAGTAGGCTGAGCTCTCTCTGAAGGGGCAAATGGTTTCCACTGTATTCCTTGGAGACCAAGGCATTGTGTTGGCCAAATGAAGTTGTGGGGTGGAGATGGGGTGACGAGGAAGAGACAGTGAGCCTCCCCATAAGTACCCCTCCCACTTCAACTCGTGCAGCTCTACATTTTTTTTTCTTTTCTGTACTAGCCTTCACTGTCCGCATCATTTGAATACAGTGTTGCAATTGGAAACAAATTTGAAAACTACTGGACTCGGCATATAAGGCAATCTCAGATGCATGCAAAAGAGATGGAACCCTAAACACAGGCAATAGTCAGCAGGTTCCAGGCAGTTGGTGGGAGCCCAAACCTGAGTAAATTTTCTGAGGTGTTACAGCCTCAGATGCAGGTGAGAAGGAGGCTAAACCAGTGCAGAGACTGCTCAACTCCAACAGGACCACCAGATTCTAGCAAGCTCCTTTGGCATGCCACCCTTGGGATTTTCAAGATACGTATACACCCAACTCAGGCCAGGCAGGGGAGCTCATGCCTGTAATCCCAGCACTTTGGGAGGCCGAGGCGGGTGGATCAACTGAGGTCAGGATTTCAAGTCCAGCCTGACCAACATGATGAAACCCTGTCTCCACTAAAAAAAAAAGAAAAAAAAATGAATAGTTAGCTGGGCACGGTGGCAAGCACCTGCAATAAGGAGGCTGAGGCAGAATTGCTTGAACCTGGGAGGCAGAGGTTGCAGTGAGCTGAGATCGCACCACTGTACTCCAGCCTGGGCAACAAGAGTGACACTTCATGAAAAAAAAACACCACAAAAACAAAAACATATACACCCAATTCAAGGATAACACACTCTAGGCGAGACAGTGTATAAGAACAAGTCAAGTGAATTGGTCTCTGGACTTAATAAAAATAAGTACTATGAGAGTTGTCCTGTTCCAGAGAAATTATTTTTTAGATATTAAAAATTTCAACAGCCCTTGATGCTAAAAACTCTCAATAAATTAGGTATTGATGGGACATATCTCAAAATAATAAGAGCTATTTATGACAAACCCACAGCCAATATCATACTGAATGGGCAAAAACTGGAAGGATTCCCTTTGAAAACTGGCACAAGACTGGGATGCCCTCTCTCACCACTCCTATTCAACACAGTGTTGGAAGTTCTGGCCAGGGCAATCAGGCAGGAGAAGGAAATAAAGGGTATTCAATTAGGAAAAGAGGAAGTCAAATTGTACCTGTTTGCAGATGGCATGACTGTATATCTAAAACACCCCATCATCTCAGCCCAAAATCTCCTTAAGCTGATAAGCAACTTCAGCAAAGTCTCAGGATACAAAATCAATGTGCAAAAATCACAAACATTCTTATACACCAATAACAGACAGACAGAACCAAATCATGAGTTAACTCCCATCCACAATTGCTTCAAAGAGAATAAAATACCTAGGAATCCAACTTATAAGGGATGTGAAGGACCTCTTCAAGGAGAACAAGCCACTGCTCAGTGAAATAAGAGGACACAAACAAATAGAAGAATATTCCATTCTCATGGATAGGAAGAATCAATATCGTGAAAATCAAGTTAAATAATGGGTTATACTTAAAGTAATGGGTTATAAGTTAGTATTTGCAAGCCTCATGGAAACATTGAGTCAAAAAGCATACAATGGATACACAAAAAATAAAAAGAAACTAAATCATATCACCAGAGAAAACTTCAAATAAACTATCTAACAATGCATTTTAAAGAAGCAGCAAAGTAAGAGCAAATCAAAGCCAAAATTAGTAGAAGAAAAGAAATAATAAAAACTGGCTAGACATATGAAGAAAGATGAAACTGGATCTCTTCCTTACACCTTACATAAAAATTAATTCAAGATGAATTAAAGACATAAATGTTAGACCTAAAACCATGAAAACCCTAGAAGAAAACCGAGGCAATACCATTCAGGACATAGGCATGGGCAAGGGCTTCATGTCTAAAACACCAAAAGCAATGGCAACAAAAGCCAAAATTGACAAATGGGATCTAATTAAACTAAAGAGCTTCTGCACAGCAAAAGAAACTACCATCAGAGTGAACAGGCAACCTACAGAATGGGAGAAAATTTTTGCAATCTACTCATCTGACAAAGGGCTAATATCCAGAATCTACAATGAACTCAAACAAATTTACAAGAAAAAAACAAACAACCCCATCAACAAGTGGGCAAAGGATATGAACAGACACTTCTCAAAAGAAGACATTTATGCAGCCAAAAAACACATGAAAAAATGCTCACCATCACTGGCCATCAGAGAAATGCAAATCAAAACCACAATGAGATACCATCTCATACCAGTTAGAATGGCAATCATTAAAAAGTCAGGGAACAACAGGTGCTGGAGAGGATGTGGAGAAATAGGAACACTTTTACACTGTTGGTGGGACTATAAACTAGTTCAACCATTGTGGAAGTCATTGTGGCGATTCCTCAGGGATCTAGAACTAGAAATACCATTTGACCCAGCCGTCCCATTACTGGGTATATACCCAAAGGATTATAAATCATGCTGCTATAAAGACACATGAACACGTATGTTTATTGCAGCACTATTCACAATAGCAAAGACTGAGAACCAACCCAAATGTCCATCAATGATAGACTGGATTAAGAAAGTGTGGCACATATACACCATGGAATACTATGCAGCCATAAAAAAGGATGAGTTCATGTCCTTTGTAGGGACATGGATGAAGCTGGAAACCATCATTCTCAGCAAACTATCGCAAGGACAAAAAACCAAACACCACATGTTCTCACTCATAGGTGGGAATTGAACAATGAGAACACTTGGACACAGGAAGGGGAACATCATACACTGGGGCCTGTGGTGGGGTGAGGGGAGCAGGGAGGGATAGCATTAGGGGATATACTTAATGTAAATGATGAGTTAATGAGTGCAGCACACCAACATGGCACGTGTATACATATGTAACAAACCTGTACATTGTGCACATGTATCCTAGAACTTAAAGTATAAAAAAAAAAAATAGGCCTGGTGTGGTGACTCACGCCTGTAATCCCAGCACCTTGGGAGGCCAAAGTGGGTGGATCATGAGGTCAGGAGATCGAGACCATCCTGGCTAACATGGTGAAACCCATCTCTACTAAAAATACAAAAAAATAGCCGTGCATGGTGGTGGGCGCCTGTAGTCCCAGCTACTCAGGAGGCTAAGGCAGGAGAATGGTGTGAACCCGGGAGGCGGAGCTTGCAGTGAGCCGAGATAGTGCCATTGCACTCCAGTCTGGGCGACAGAGCGAGATTCTGTCTCAAAAAAAAAAAAATTTCTAAGACCCACCAAATTATTCAATTATTTCCTCCCTGCCTCCCTCTCTCCCTTCCTTCCTTCCTTCCTTCCTTCCTTCCTTCCTTCTTTCCTTCCTTCCTTCCTTCCTTCCTTCCTTCCTTCCTTCCTTCCTTCCTTCTTTCCTTCCTTCCTTCCTTCCTTCCTTCCTTCCTTCCTTCCTTCTCTCCTTTCTTTCTCCCTTTCTTCCGTTGTTTCTTTCTTTCTTTTCCCTTCTTTCCAAATTTACTGGGTACTTACCATGGGCCAGACACTAGAAACCCAAGAACCAATGAGATATGTCCTGGCTCCCAAGGATTTTATTGATTTGTGCGAGTTAGGCAAGTAAGTAGACAACACAACACAGTACATGTTAGAATAAAGGAGATGGTAGGGCCTATTGGATCAGTTATGGGCAGTTTACAGAGGCCAGGGAGGGCTTCTTATGAGAGGGAAACTTATGATGAATTCTGAAGTATGGGAGAGTCAACCTAATGAGAAGGGCATTCTGGGCAGCGGTGATCACCATGGGCTGTTGTGGCCCTTGGGAAACTCATGCTCTTTGGAACCGGCTGAATTTAGTTTTTAAATCTGACCTCATCATTTACTGAGAACAGGAAAAGTTATTTACTTCCCAGCAGCTCTATTTTTTCCGCAGTAAAGTGAAG
This sequence comes from Homo sapiens, assembly GCF_000001405.40. Taxonomy (NCBI): domain Eukaryota; kingdom Metazoa; phylum Chordata; class Mammalia; order Primates; family Hominidae; genus Homo; species Homo sapiens. Next base: position 124,861,030 of record NC_000002.12, read on the forward strand.
AAAATTAAAGAGAAAAAGCATTCTAGATGAAAGTGGAGTATTGAGTAGGTGCTCAATCATGATGGAATACCTGTGCTAAGCCAAGGAGTGTAACGATGTCTAGTAAGTGAAAAGGGATCTTATCAGGGTGTGATAAACCATCGGTTCTTTTAAGAGGATTCCTTATCATGTGTTTAAGTACTTTTTTAAATATAGATTTTCAATTTTTTAGAAAAACAGCATTTATAATATCTGTTGTTTATTTCTAAAAATAATGATGCTGGCCAGGCGTGGTGGCTCATGTCTGTAGTCTTAGCACTTTGGGAGGCTGAGACGGGTGGATCACCTGAGGTCAGGAGATCAAGAGCAGCCTCGCCAAGATGGTGAAACTGCAAGTCTACTAAAAATACAAAAATAAATAAATAAATAAATAGCTGGGTGTAGTGGTGCAAGCCTGTAATCCCAGCTACTTGAGAAGCTGAGGCAGGAGAATCACTTGAACCCAGGAGATGGAGGTTGCAGTGAGCCGAGATCACGCCACTGCACTCCAGCCAGGGTGGCAGAGTGAGACTCCATCTCAAAAACAAATAAATAAATAAATATAAAAATAATGATGATGATTTTGCCTGAATACGGGGAAGAAGAAGAAGAAGAAGCAGCTAGATTTAACTTGAGTGCTCCAACATGGATAGGACCTTTAAAACTTCGAGAGTAGTTGCTAGTGACAAAAGTTTATTTCTTTTTATACATATTTATTCCAGAAGCAACTAAGGCTCAAATTAGTTTTATTTTTATTTATTTTATTCTATTATTATTAGTTTTTGAGACAGAATCTTGCTCTATCGCCCACGCTGGAGTGCAGTGGCACAATCTCCACTCACTGCAACCTCTACCTCCCAGGTTGAAGCGATTCTCCTGCCTCAGTCTCCTGAGTAGCTGGGATTACAGGCATGTGCCACCATGCCCAGCTAATTTTTGTATTTTTTGTAGAGATGGGGTTTCACCATATTGGCCAGGCTGGTCTCGAACTCCTGACCTCAGGTGATCTGCCTGCCTTGGCCTCCCAAAGTGCTGGGATTACAGGCGTGAGCCATCACACCTAGCCCAGTTTTATTTTTAAACTAAGTTTTATTTTAAGCTAAGGCTCAAATCTCTTTTATTGTTAATTTCCACATTGTGAACATCTTATCTCTGTTTATATGAACAAAAAATGATGTGTGTCCTTTATAGTGTAGCAATGTTAATATATAAACAACAAGAAAATGATACCAAATAGACAATAAATGCATTACAGCATGTCAGAGAAATTGCATCGCATTCATGGCCAGAATATTCAATTCATTCTTTGCTTTATTAGACTTAGGGACAACACCTTCCCTCTGACAATTCACTGTCTGTGGAATTATAAACTTGCAATGTCTATCATTGCTGTCAACCTAATGAAAGGGGATGGGGACAGAAAACTCCAGGGAGGAAATGGAAGCTCACAGATGAAGCAAGCCGAGGGGGTAGAGGAAGGCCTGAGGATAGCGGGAATAACTCTGGGCCCAGGATTCTCCAGAGACAAATAGACATGGCAATGCCAGGCAAGAAGCTGATGGTGATCTGAACCACTGGAGTGCACAGCTGAAGAGGTGGAAATGTCTCTTAGCTCCCTAACAAAGCCACTGAAGAAGACGCTCAGGGAGGTGATTAATGAGCCCCCAGCTCTGACCCACATCCCTTCTGGAAGTTAGCCTTTCATGGGGTCAAACTTACTTTGAAAAGTCATGGAGTGAATTTGCTTCCCCAAGAGTCATGTGAAATGAGTTAGTGGGAGGTTTCAGAACATCACATTCGCGGGTGGAGGGATACTTTAAGAGGCACTGATTGCATCAAAGCTCCTAAGAAGGCGAGTGAAGTATTTGTATGGCTTTGGAAGAACTAGCTGAGGTGTTTTTTTGTATCACGAACTTGGATATTGGGGGAAGCTTCAGAATACTTTAGCAGATAGGAACTCTGCTGAGATTACTAGGTCCTAAGAGGAATGGTGGCAAGAGGGATGCCAGCAAACATGTATAAAATGAAAGTGTTTTCAAAAATGGAAAAATATGTAAAGAATATGTGTGTGAATATGAATTACCAGAACAGTAAGATGTTAAGAGAGTTCAACAGCCTTAAGGAATGTGGGGGTCGATCACTATGTCTGGCACGTAATTATCACACACTGGTTTATTTTATGAGGTTGAATTAAATGTTAAGACACACAGATTCTTAGAAAAGTGTGGAAGGGCATATTGCCCAGCAACCCACCAGTGCACGAGATGGGCCTTTCCCTGCCAGGGGCAGGAGGGGTACCTTGCCCGTGATCTGCACAGTGACTCGCCCCTACCAGCTCCTGTCTGCACAAAATATGCTGCTCTTGGGAGCAGCCATTACTTTTTAAGTAGTAAAATAACAAAAATAATAATATCCGGAAATCTGCGTGGTCAGAACCACAGAAAGAGAATGAACCAGGAAAACCAGGACCAGGTATAGAGAGCTTCTCCTTCTGGCCTCAGAAGTGTTAGGCAATGGCCTCATAGCTCCAAACTACATTTTTCTATTCTTAATTTATTGTTTCACATGCATGTATTCTGAAATTCTATGAGTAGCAACTTATATTTGAAATGGTCTCTGCCCTCTCCCCGCAAAAGTATTCAAATACTTGGGTGAGGACTGGGGATCAGTCAGGGACACGGTGGTTACTCACAACCCTCTTGCCTTACTGGATTGGCAGTCTGGGAAAGATGGGCAGGCTGAGAGAGTTCAGGGAGTTTTTCTTTGGGATGAGGGAATATGAGAAACTTTGAGGGGATGAGAAAGAGTTACTTTAGTTGTTCTCAGCTCAAATTTGAGCAGATACTCCTTTCTCCCCAATGGCCATCAGCTTATGACATCGCTCCTCAATTCCAATTATTTTCCATTCCCACATATGTCCAAGGGAAGAGCTCCTGCCATTTTGTGTGTGGGACTCCAGTGACTCCAGACCAGATGACCCCTACAGACAGAAAAGGACAGCAAGCAGCATGCAGTTGGGCTGCTTGGCTCAACTCTCACAGCCAGTGACGCTGGGGAAAGGATCAGATGAGGAAAAGTGCCTGTCACAGTGTCTGAGATAAAGTAGCATCTCAACAACTTATTACCCCATGGCAATTTTTAAATATAGAATGTCTTTCAAACATTTTTTTAAATTTTATTTTTAATTGACATATAATACTTGTATATATTTATAAGGTACATAGAGATGTTTCAATACATATATGTATAGTGATCAGATAAGGGTAGTTAGCACAACCATTATCTCACACATTTATCACTTGTTTTGGAAACATTCAGTATTCTCCTTCTAGCTACCTGAAACAACATACAATATACTTTTGTTAACTCTAGTCATCCTACAGTGCTATAGAACACTAGAACTTATTCCTCCCATCTAGCTTAATCTTATTTCCCTTAACAAATCTCTCTGAAGTGGCCATTTTGCATTGTGAGCTAATATTCTCTCTCTCTCTCTCTGTCTCTCTCTCTCTGTCTCTCTGTGTCTCACACACACACACACACACACACACAGAATTGATACACTTCTATTTTTAATATGTCTCCTGGGAGTCTCATATGTCTAAATTCTGTTTCATTTTGTAAGAAATGCTGACTGAGACCCAGTAAATTGATTTCCTAACCAACAAGGAATAGCTAACAGCTGTTTGAAAAACGCAGTCCTAATAAAATTTGAATGTTCCAGTGGGCTGTAAAGGGTTAAAAGGGTTAATGGACCCTAAAGGGTTAAAGTGAGGCACTGTGCCCTAATCTGGCCACATTCCCATCATGGGCATTATATATCAACGGGTGATAACAGGACTGAGTTCTCTTTCCAGTCCTTAGATATAAAAGGGAGACAGCAATTAGGAAGAAAGAGAGTTATAGGAAGTGGTAGGAATTGAAGAGAAAGTAGAAAAGATCTTAACTCTACCTTATTAAAGTTTCATGATCCAATTACAAAATAGATGTTTTATTTTCTAAACTGGCATTTTGGTTTGTGATAACACCACACACACACACACACTCTCTCTCTCTCTCTCTGTCTCTCTATTTTTGCAGCTCTCTTCAGAATTTTCTTTAGGGACCCTGATAAATATACGTGATATATTTTTAAAAATTGAATAATGGAAGGATTAAGACCTGGGGCCCTAATAATCAATTAAAAGATAATCTGATCATGTCTTTGCATTTTATAGGTGCTGCTTTATATTCTAATTTCTAATATTTTTCTTTCAAGGAAGCTTACAGGTTCGCTATCACCTAAACAAGGAAGAAACCCATGTATTCACCATTGATGCAGATAACTTTGCTAACAGAAGGATGCACCACTTGAAGATTAACCGAGAGGGAAGAGAGCTTACCATTCAGGTACCTTCCTTACTTTCTCCTGCTTCAGCCAATGTGCCTTGGCTACTCTATCAAACTTTTCTAAGCTTCTACCCCATGCCAGTGTAGTGCCTAGTGCTGGAAACATAGTTACAAATCACACTTGCCCCCAGACTTGGAAGAACTAGGATAGTGGTTCTCAAGATGTGCTTCCCATGTCCCACCAGTATCAGCATCACTTGGGACCCTGTTAGAAATGCAGATTCTTGGGCCAAGTGTGGTGGCTCACACCTGCAATCCCAGCACTTTGGGAGTCTGAGGCGGGCAGATCAAGAGGTCAGGAGTTCGAGACCAGCCTGGCCAAAATAGTGAAACCCCATCTCTACTAAAAATACAAAAATTAGCCAGGTGTGGTGGCACACACTTGTAGTCCCATGTACTCAGGAGGCTGAGGCAGGAGAATCGCTTAAACCTGAAAGGCAGAGGTTGCAGTGAGCAGAAATCACGCCATTGAACTCCAGCCTGGGAGACAGAGCAAGACTTCATTAAAAAAAAAAATTAAAAGAAAAAAAGAAATACAGATTATTGGCTAGGTGCAGTGGCTCATGCCTGTAATCCCAACACTTTGGGAGGCTGAGGCAGGTGGATCACAAAGTCAGGAGTTCGAGACTAGCCTGGCCAACATGGCAAAACCCCATCAATACTAAAAAATACAAAAATTAGCCAGGTGTGGTGGCACGCACCTATAATCCCAGCTACTGGGGAAGCTGAGGTAGGAGCACTTGAAACTGGGAGGCGGAGGTTGCAGTGAGCAGAGATCCCACCACTGCACTCCAGCCTGGGAGACAGAGTGACTCCATCTCAAAAAACAAACAAACAAACAAAAAGAAATGCAGATTCTTGGGTTCCACAGCAGATCTATTAAATTGGAGGCTATGGAAGGGGGAAAGCAGCAGGTGATACTAATGTCTGCTCAGGTTTGCCAACCGCTGGGCTGCATTAAAGTGAGGAAGACGCATGGGCAAAGAGGAAATCATAATAGGCTGTGGGAAGGCATGTGGTGGAAGCAGGCACAGGTGATACTGAAGAGGGTGCTGATCCCACCTGGGCATCAGTACTTACTTCCTGGAAGAAGTTAGGAGTAAGCTGAGTCTTGAAGATGAGTAGGAGTTGGCCACAGGGAGGAGGAGAGTGCTCAGGAAGAGGGTCCATGTGAGCGCAGGCTAAAGCTGTCTGAAAGCATGTTGTGTGGGAGGCACCCCATGAGATCTCAGTGGGCTCCATATAAAGGGCCAGCAGCAGATGATGGCAGAGCCCAACAGAGAATAGACAGAGTCCAGATCATCCCCTTTAAAATCATGACCCTCAGCAAGCCCTTGCATCTGCCTATCAATCACTCCATGTTTTTTAATCTGTTCTCCTGTTCTCCTGGTTGACCATTTTACACTCTCTCCTCTTTACTTATACTGCTAACAATTGCCAGTTTGTCTTAACTCTGAGCAGATGACTTTGCTTTCTTATTTCTTGTAAGAATTTACACTCTTACATTCAGAAGAGAATATCCGCACATTCTCAAGAGCACATTACCTACCTACCACATGTGTGTTTGCACTCTCTCTCCCTCCTGAATAGTTCATGGTTCTAGCTAAGGCCTGACCTTGCTACCTGTGGGTCAGATCTGATACCCTACTGAAGAAAATCACTCTAGCATTCTCCTTCCTCCCTCCCTTTCATCATTTATTCCAGCTCTACTGAATGGCTCCCCAAAGCCTAAAACAAATAATTATTACATGCATTAAGAACTAATATACAGACAACAATAGCTAAACAAGCAAACAAGCCAGCATATCTCTGGGTAAAGAGAGGAAACCTTTCTCTTATCTGACTTCTTACAGTGTTCCATTCTCTTTGTCCTTTTCTTGCCCGAATTTTTGGAAATGTTGTTTATATGCTTGTTCTTCATATTTTCCCTACCTTTTTCTTATACCCATACCGAAAAGGTATTGCCTCTGCACTGCAGCAAAATTGTACTTCTCAAGGCATCATTGTGCTTACCTGGCAAAATCCAGTGGTCATGTCTCAGTGTTATCTTTCCTTGTCCTCTCATTGACAACTGACATAGGGATTCCTTCCTGTTCTTGCAACTTGACCTAAGTCTTTATTGCTTGCCCAATACAACTCTCGCCTGTTGATCCTTCTGCCTGTGTTAGTTGCTCACTCTTGTCTCTTTTGTTGGTTTCCCATCATCTCTCAAAACTCTACCCCAAGGAACTCTCAGAACGCCCAAGGACTCCAGCTTCTGCTTTTGATCTACACTCACTCCATACTCATCTCATTCGATCTCACATCTTTAAATTTCATGTACATGCTGATGAATCAATCCTGAATGTGTATCTAACACTAATCCTGTCCCTGGATTCCAGACCTTATACCAACTACCTACTGGGCATATCTATATGAATATCCGTTAGGCATTGGAATATTTAAGTAAATAGTTAAAATTGACTTATTAGGAAGTTCTCCTGAAACAATGACCTCATCCCCTGCAAGCATGTCCCAGTTAGTGGCAGCTTCATTTTTCAAGTCCATAGTTTCAAAATTGTGGTATTCTCCTTTTATCTCTCCTTCTCTTACATGCAGCATCTCGTGGATCAACAGCATCTACCTTTCCCCAAGCCACCCTTGCCCTTTGCTTGGATTATCACTGTTTACAGTTGCCTTTTGATTGACATCTCCCTGCTCCTCTTTAGGTTCCCTGGCTGTCTATCCTCAACATAGCAGTCAGAGTGATCCTGGTGAAGGAATAGATCCTGGCATTCTTTTGTCCAAACCCTGTCAATGATTTCCTTTCTCGTACAGAGAAAAAGTCAAAGGTCTTCCAGTGGCTTATAAGGATCTCCATTATCTGACACCCCTGCTCATTTCTGGTTGCTTCTCTAACCTCATCTGATTATATGCCCTCTGGAACTCTAGTTGTGCCACTCTGGCCTCTTTGCTATTTGCAGAGCCCTTGGACTCACTGCTTTGCCTAGGATGCTATTCTTTATATATACTCATGTCCAGTTCTTGTACTTCCTTCTGCACTCAAATGATTCAAAAGGTCATTCTCATTGAGGCCATCTCTGATCAGCTTATTTAATAGAGCAACCTATTTCCTTGACGTCAACCCTACACCCCCCCTTATTCTTGCCTGCATTATTTTTTTCTCTCAGCACTTAACTTCCAATACAATGTATTTACTTATCAAATTTTCTGTCCTGTCTCCCTCCTCTAGAATGTAAGTTGCCTGAGAACAGAGGAGGGTCGTTCTGAGCAGACGTGCCAAAGGAAAATCATGGCAGGGGAGATGGGAGGACTATGTATGAGTCCCTGGTGGATTGCACTCAAGCTGTGCAAAGTCAGGCACATGGCTAATGGGATCTTAGTCTCCTCTTCTTACAGGTGAACTGTAAAATAATGAGGACTCTTTCTGGGAATAGCACCATATGCATAGTCAGAGTAGAGCCTGGAAGAAACCAGTAGGATATGGCTAGCCTGAAAAAGTGAGAATGAATGGGGAGGGCTCCCTAGGAATGGGAAGGGGACTGAACAAATGGAGCTGGAATTAGCCATGGGTGAAGTAAGGAGGGATCTCTAAAGGATGGTCATAGAAATAAAGTCCTACTGAAGTCCCAGTGTTGGCTTTTGCTCACCCCTGCAAGATGGGATTATCAATCGTCCATGTTGGTTGCAGCTAACTGTTCAGCTGCCCTCTCCTCCCCAGGACCACATGTTTTGTCAGACTGCAATCCTTGCCCAGGAAAAGCTCTCTGCCCACAACTAAATGAGACCAGGTCAGAATTATGGGACAATGGGGACAGTGGTGGCCCTAAGGACAAACAGAGAGAAAGGGGGAGAAATGGAAAATGAGTTCCTGCTTCCTATTAATGTTAATCTTGCACAGCAAGTTCCTGAGCAGGTTTCATTTGTTTGCTTGTTTGCAGCAAAGAATTTGGTGAGAAAATCTCTGTGGGGAGATAAATACCTATAAAACGCTGTATACAGTTTCCCAGGGAGAAGACTTGTGTGAAAACCCTTATTTCACAAAGAAGAAAGAAAGGGGTATTTTATGTGCGTTGTGGGCAAATTAGCGAGACCTGTCTAATCTCTCCTGAGAGAAAATCTCAGAGGGGGGTCTGCTATCTGTATGCATTTTTTCAAGCTATTTCCAGATGGGATCGTTTTATGCTTCTTACCTGCAGACCTCTGCTGATGTGCCTTTGTTTTCTGTTTTCCTGCAGATGGACCAGCAACTTCGACTCAGTTATAACTTCTCTCCGGAAGTAGAGTTCAGGGTTATAAGGTCACTCACCTTGGGCAAAGTCACAGGTATGTTGTTCTAGTTCATACCTTTCCAGTGGGCTTTATTAAAATAAATGAATGCATAATTTTCATTAGGGTGTTTAAGGATTCAGGTCTGGAGCCTTTTGCTCCCATAATATCTGAGATCTGAAACCAAGATTTCTTATTCAGAAAATGCCAAGATGTATCTGTGGCAGAAATAGGCAATGCATTTCTATCTACTTTATAAAAACTTGCAAGAGGTAAAATACTAAAATAATTTAGCAGAATACTTAAATTTTTACTTAATTTTCAAATATATTTTTAAGTTTTACTTAATTTTAACTTAAATGTATGAGTGCATACATTAAGGATTTGAGCAACTCAATAGTTCATCAAAAATTTTAAAGGCATTGTAATTTCCTATTATAATAGTGAATCTTTTTTTTTTTCTATTGGAAGTTCTGTCAATTTTCACTTTATATATGATGACAGTATTCATTACATGCATACAAGATAGAAATTTTTTATCTACTTGATGAAGTGAACATTTTATCACACTTAAGTGACCTTTTTAAACTTTAGTAATGTCTTTTTATGCTTAAATTTATTTTGCCTATTATTAATATGCCTATTACAACTTTGCTTAACTTAGTGTTTGCCTGGCCTCTTTTCTCATTCTTTTTCTTTCAATTTTTCCTTTTCTTTCAGCTTTGTAGGTGATCTTGTGAAGAACATACTGCTAGATTTTATTTTTTATACTCAACTGTCCATCCATTTTTTTATAATGGCAAATGTAGGTCCTTCTACATTGTGGGGCTACTTGTAAAGTTGGATTTTGTTTCTGCTACCCGATTTCCTATGTATCCAGCTCTTCCTGTGATTCTATCATATTCTTTCTGACTCTCTCTCTATCACAGTACAATGCAGAAAACATTAATAACTCAATGCATGGTAAGCAGAAATACATTTAACACGTAAGTTAGTTGCTTACAAGATTGTTGTAGTACTTACAGTGTGGGTTCTTTTTGGGGTCTTTTGGAATGACTTCCTCGTGCCCCATACTGTATGCAAATTCACAGGTAGAAGGAGGAGGTATCTGAAAAATGGCTGTGGAAAAAGCATCACGGGCCCCTGCTTTTGCTTGCCAGTAGAAAGAGCTGAAAAGGCATAAAAATGATTCTTGCTACAGCCCTCAAGCTTCATAAAGGGTTTATAATTTCCAGATGTAATGTTGATCCAGAAACCTAGCTGAAGTAGGGTCAAAAAAATGTCCATTTTAGTTCCCCAAATAGCAGTTGGAAGAACCAATCAACACTGATCCCTGATTGAGTTTATTTCTGATTCCATTCACAGTCCTAATAATAATCATTTTTATATTTTTCAGATACTGCTTATTTTTGATTTATTAATATAGACACTAGTTTATACATTCCTCATTTCTTCCTGTATCTCAGACTTTTCTATCTTCTGCCAGGCTTTATTTCCTTCTTTTTAACTAAATTCTTTTGAATTATTTTCTGTTTAAGGTTCCCTTCATTATACATACATATACATATTTACTTACTTATTTATTTATTTTCCTGAACAAAAGTTTTATTTTACCTTTAATCTTGGAAGATAATTTTGCTAGATCTTCAATGCAATATTGAAGAATATTTTCTCTCAGGTACTGAGAAATCAGTCAGAGGTGTAACGGAGCCAGTGGCACTGGCCTTTAAGAACCAGGTATACATGTCTCTCCCCAACTCTGCATCCTTCAGTGGTGGCAGGATGCCAGCTTGAAATCAGCTGTAGTAGGAGGGTTTACACTGTGGATATCAGAAATGCTAAAAGCCAGGACTTTCCCTACCTCTTCCTACTGAAGAGCCAGTTTCAAAGACTCACTGGCACATCAGTGTCCTCTTGTTTTCTGGCTTCCCCGGTTGCTACCAAGAAGTCCGCTGTCCATCTGTCCTGCTATTGAAGGTGCTCTGACCACCTCCATACCTACTACTTACAAGTTGATTTAAAGTCATCCTTTTTTCTTTGATGTTTTGCAGTTTTGTCATCACGTATCTGCTTGTAGATTTCTTTTTAAAATATCTTACTTGATATTTTTATGTTTCCTGTTCGCTATGTCATATGTATCTATGTATCCAGTTCCTATTTATTATTCATATGTATCTGTTCATCAGTTCTTAAAAATTCTCAACATATCAAATCTTGCTTCCTCCTATTCTATCTACTCAATTCTTCTAGATCTAAATTATATGAACTTAGACTTGCTAATTCTATCATCATATTTCTTACCCTCTTTTTATAGCTTTCATTCTTTGATATAACATCTTGCATTCTGGGCAATTCATTTGGCTTTAGCATCACATTCACTAGTCCTCTCCTTATTTAGGCCTAATCCCATTCAATGAATCATTTCTTATTGATTTCATCTTTCATTTCTAAAAATAATATTTTGTTCTTTTTGAAGCATGGCTATTAATAAAGATAATTTGTTGTCTCTGTTCTTTTGTTTGTTTCCATCTTTTTATGTATTTAGGCATTTCATTAATAGTTATTAAACATTTTGTCTCTGATAATTCCAACATCTGAAGTCTGTGAGGGTCCCAGTCTGTTACTAGCTGTTTTCTAAATTTTTCCTGTGGTAACTTGTTTCCTTATGCTGTGTGTGTGTGTGTGTGTGTGTGTGTGTGTGTGTGTGTGTGCGTGCATGTGCGTTTGTTCATATTGATTACAATTAATTTGTGACAACTCTAAGGATCAAAAATTAAGACACTCTCCTCAAAATAAGATTTTTTTTTTTTTAACTTCTGCCAGGTGCCAGGAGGTACTACCAATTTAGGACAATTTTAATTTCTCACTTTTTTTTTCTGAACAGAGAAGAAATATAAATTTGAGCTCCATACCTGAATGAGATCAGTCTTCTGGTTGAAGTCTTAGCGGAAATGTTGTTACTATTAATATCATTAACCAAATTAAAACACCCTTAGAAAGAGGGAAAATGTGGGCTTACGGACCACAAAGCCCAGACCTTTTTCATGGCCCCTGCTCTGTGTAATGGAAGTTCCAATAATACCCTCTTGTTAAAAATGAAAAAAAAAATCCTCATTAAATCTTACCACTGTGTATAGCATTCATATGACCCTTCACACTTTTAGCTAAGCCAACAATAAGGCTGGTGAATTGAAACTTTACAGCAAGGTACTACAGACAACTTGTTATTTTATTTCTGGTGCTTTGTAATTATCAGGTAGAAAAGAACTGTTAAGATTGAGGAGGAATACTGTATTAGTCCATTTTGGCATTGCCATAAATACTTGAGACTGGGTAATTTATAAAGAAAAAATGTTTAATTGACTTATGGTTCTACAAGCTGTATAAGAAGGATGATGCTGTCATCTGCTCAGCTTCTGGAAAGCCTCAAGAATCTTAAAGTAATGGCAGGAGACAAAGGAGGAGCAGGCATGTCACATGGTCAGAGCAGGAAGAAGAGCGAGGAGGAAGGTGCCACACAATTTTAAACAATTATATCTCACCAACTTACTCACCATTGCAAGGACATCAACAAGAGGATGGTAGTAAACCATTCAGGAGAAATCCTCCCTCATGAGCCAATCACCACCCACCAGGTCCTACCTCCAACATTAGGGATTACAATTCAACATGAGATTTGAGTGAGGACACAGATACAAACCATATCAAATACCCAATAAAATGTCTTCATTGTTCTAAGAATGGGAGACATCTGCTCACTGGGCTGCCTTCCCATTTGAACTGCCGTTGAACAGATGGAAGGATTTTGACCAACACTTAACCTTAACACTCTGGTCTATGAAAGTTCCCTAGCAGAAGGTAAAGGGAGACAATATGAACATTCAGGCTTATTATTTAGAAAGGACGCTAATCCTGGGGGACCTTTGGAACAAGGAAACCAAACCCTATGTATCAGAAATAGAGTAAAGTAGGGATGGAGAAAACAGGAAGAGATGGTATTAAAATGGCTACATGGAATTAATGATAAATGCAACTGAACTTCACAATTTTAGAAAAGATTGCTTTGTAGGACATTTCCAACTGTAAATCAAACACTAGAAAGCATTTTTCATGGTAGATATGAAAAGAAAACATACGTAGTAAATCTAGTGTCTCAGTTTTCTTCAGTACCATCAATAGCATTTCATTGCAAAGCAAAAGCAAGTTTGTTCATTTTCTTTTTGTCTGAGAAAGGAAAAATTCCTTACTAAAGAGGACTGTGGTTTAGTACATACTCTATACCAGCCACGGTGCTACAGATACTGTTATAAATAAAGCAGTTTTTTGTTTGTTTGTTTGTTTGTTTCCTGAAGGTCCCCATGATGTAGATACTGGCCCATGAAAAATAGCAGATTTAATTGTGTACATTAAAACTTCACTGTTGGTTCTCTAAGAATGTTGATGCTCAAATCCATCAAGTTACGGGATATTGCAAGGTTTATTCTTTGGTTTACTGACATTTCTTAACTTTCAAGAGAGATTACTTGGTTCTGGCCTATTGCATCAGTGAATTTAAGAAAAATAACATTAAAAGAGAGAGAGAGCACATATTTAGGGAAGTAATCCATTTGGAAGAGATAATGTTTCTGGAAACTTGCTTATTTCATTTGAAAGTATAGATGTGTATGCCTCAGATTCAAACATAGTGTGCTTTATCACTGTTATTTCTAAGTCTCTGTTTAACTTGGCCCTGTCACAAGAGCGTAGACAGCCAGGCAGACATAGGAATTGAAAAAACTTGAAACTTCTGAAAGAAACTCTGCCTTTTTTGTTTTTAATTTATTTTTTTTCTGGTCCTGTTGTCCCCTTCTTTACTCTTCTAAAATATATCAAGAAAATTTGATTTCAAAACAAAAACTACTATTGTTTGGTGAAATTAAGAATTAAGTTATTATTATTATCTCTTCTTAAAGAAGACTTCTTGCCAATCTGCAGAATTAAGAAGTAGCTACTTTTTAAACATATGGAAACAGGTTAAAGTTTAGGTGGAAAAGAATTATAGTACTGCCTTTAAACTATTGCTACCAAATTCTGAAGAGACATTAAAATGGAATTTGCACTCATGGCATGCTGATAGCATTATTTTTTTATGCAGCCAACGTTTGTTAATCTCCTACTTGCCAGTTTGATAGGCCTAAGCTCACACCTGACAGAGGCATTATTCTTCTGCTCCAATGGCTGTTTGCCCATCTAGATTTCAATATTTACTTGCCTCAAAAAAAATACAGAAATTGAAAGAATTTCTTCTCAAGATGCATAAAATTTACAGCTAATCTGTAAATTGCAGAGCTATCTGTGAGCACTTACACATGATTTTGACATGTTAAAATGAGTTCTGATTGCATCTATAGAACAGGGTTCTTTAATTCTCCCCAATCCCTCAGGTTTAAACTTTGAGCCTACTGTGTCTTGTCCAACATTACAGTATCATTGAATGAAAACCCTGAATGCTTTCACATAAAATCACTTTACAAGCATCTTGCAGAGGTTGAATTATGGCTGCCATTTATAGAAAGCACAGAAGAATTTATGCATATAAATAAAAGGTGTGTACTTCAAAATGCTCACTTTGGAAGACTGAACTCTAATTCCTTTTTGATTTTGGACACAGAGCCTTCTTATGATTCAAATCTGGGAGTCAATGCTAAACCAGGAAGCAAAATTCTACAGTGGAAGATGCTCAGCTTTTTGGAGACAAATTGACCCATGTTTGCATCTCTCATGTAGTTAACCATTGTGTGACCTTGGTGAATTTATCTAACCTGTTTATGGTTCCTTATTGGTAAAATGAGGATAGTAATACTTAATTCATTTAATTAATTCACAGAGCTGTGTAAGTATTTCTTGAAGCTTTATATGCAAATTACTTGGTATTTAGCATATACTCAAGAAATGTTGGCTTATTTTTTTCTTTACTTTCAAGGTTGTAGAAACGTAAAAGAGAACCATGAGGGTTTTTTTTTTTTTTTTTCTGTTTTCTTTTTTGTTAATGTGTCTGTCAAGGTGACTGTAAGTGTAACTTCCAGGGAGGTGCTCAACTGTGCTCCAAAAGAGCAATTCTGAACCATGGTGAGTCATACAGAATCTAGTGTGACTCATTATCAATTAGCACTGTTTCAAGGGTGTATCAAACTCATACCAGCTTCAACAATAACAACAAAAGAGAAAACAATAGTTGGTGAAAATAGAAGTTTCAAGGTGTAAGATCTGCTTCAGGTACAGCTGGCTTCAGAATCTCAAATATTATGATTCGGGTTTTTCCAGTCTGTCTGTTTCTCACTCCACATTTGACTGCTTACCGCTTGGAGGTGCTTCATTTGCAGGCAAGATTTCAGTGGTAATGAAGGTGAAATCATCAACTCCAGGTTTAAGTAGCAGCAGTTCAACATTCCATGTGGAAAGAAAACCTCCCACTTTTAAAGTTCCAGAAAACTTTCCTTATGTTAAGTCATGGGATTGAGTTTTCAAGGACCAATCCCAGACCATGGCAGTGTTCAGGTGATTGGGATCTACTGCATGGCCATGGCCAAATTATTCACCCAGCTATGGCTGTGAAGAGAGTGGAGATAGTTCAGCGTTAATTGCATGGGTTGAAAACAGGGAAAGGCTACTTCTCAGAAGCAAGTTGAGCTGTTCTTACCAGAGAAAGAGAAAGATCAACAATGATCTAGTAATGCCACCTCTTCTTCTCTTTTGCATTTTGCTCTCCCTTTTTTAAGAGGAGAGAAGAGGGTGCAGTTATAGCCATGGGCTAGGAATTGTGGCTCATTTGGGGAAAGGATTGTGCCGGTGTGCATCAACAGTTCAAATATGTTGCGGTATGAAAAATAATAGTTGAGCTATGCTCTTTTAATAAATAAATGCATGTAATCTTCTTTAGAACAAGTTTATAGCTTCCAAAGTGACTCCTCTAAAAGATTATTTCATTTTAAATGCATAGGCTTCTCAAATTATATTTCATTTTGTTTATGGTCATACATAGTTCTTTAGTAAATACTAAATCTCCAAACCACAGCCTTTTTCAGACTCAAATCCTCACATTGTGTGTAATTGCTTTATATTTTGTCCAGATAATTTTTAATGATACTGTCTGTTTGGGTAATAAAGTATTTTAGATTCGTTAATCTAATTTGACCTTCCGCATCATGAAATAAATGGTGTGTTTTAGAGCATCCTGAAATATCAGATGTCAGTAATCATCCTAACTTCCCAAACACGCATGTCTTATATTTTCTACTTTGTAGATAACCAGCACTGAATTGCAACTGGGTTAGATGGGATTTTTGTTATTTTTTTCCTTTAACAATAACAAGTTACATTTTTTCCCCACAGAGAAATTCAGTAGATGATTTAGTTTCTCCTCATGCAACAGGAATGTGTGTTATCTTCTGATTTAAGATGCAATTTTATTTCTGTGTGTTAAATGAATCACCTCATGATAGCAGTGCCAGCGTGCTCCATGCTCTGCACTGCTCTGTAGAAGTTGTCTGTTTTTTCTAAGAGTGAAACCACTCTATGAATAGCATGCCCTTGAGTTACTCATTTTATATCGTCACTTGCCTGCTCTGTCTATACTAGTGACTAAAAAAATGAATGAAGTAAAAATATCAATGATATGTTGTTTCCAAATGCAGACTGTCTTCAGCTGGGAGGAGCTGT
Organism: Homo sapiens; assembly: GCF_000001405.40. Lineage (NCBI taxonomy): Eukaryota > Metazoa > Chordata > Mammalia > Primates > Hominidae > Homo > Homo sapiens. The sequence goes on from NC_000002.12 coordinate 124,877,404, forward strand.
TAGTAATCTCCTTCTAAGAGGGGTGGCCTTCACGGATTTGCCAGACATTACACATCTTTGCCTGACTGTGATAGTGAAGGATGTTTTGTGTGGTGGCCCAGAAGTCACATGACATGACTCTCATTGATATAAACTTCAAATTCGTTCTCAAGCAAAAACTATTGAGCATTACTATGGCCACACAATGTGTGAAACAAACAAATATAACAGCAAAAAAACTGTCCTTGTTCTAAAGATCTTGCTTATCTTAAAAATTAATTCTTTCAAAGGAAAGTTATTTGGGTGGGATCTGTTGGTAGTATTAAAGTTTTTCAAGGTTTTGAAGTATCCCGTGTAGGCTATGCTAAATATTAGATTTTCTTCACTGTTACAAAATAATAGTACTAAAAATGGTATAATATTTATAGCATGCTAATACCAATAGTATCATAAAACTAGTAGTTACTGTTAGTATTATTATTTCATAATATCTTTCTGTATGCTAAATCTAAACTCGTTCCTTATGCTAATTTATTTTTCCCCTGGTCATTACCCAGGGAGATAAGTACCATTCTTATTTCTATTTTTATAGATGAGAAAATTGAGTCACAGAGGTTCAGTGACTTTCTCAATATCACATAACCAGTAAGTGTCTGGATTCCAAGCTCCTAATAAATCCTGCCACAGTTTGGTTTTTAAGGAATGATATGAAAATTTCACACAATGCACAGTTCATTTTTCTGCTGAGAAGCTCTGCATCAAAAGTTTGTCTTTTTAGACTTAATGGGCTTAAAAGTAGAGGTAGAGTGAGGGAGTCTTTAATCATGGAGAGAGGATGACACATTTCTTGTAAGTCAGGCTTTGGAATCAGCTCTGGGTTCAAATTATGACTTCACCACTGACTAATGTGACCTGGACAAATTACTAAATATTCCAAACTTCAGTCGTCTCAATTAGAACACAGGTATATGTTATTATGACAATTATAATTCCAAAAATCTGGTGGTAATGCAAATGATGTGCCTAGGATGATGCCTGCCATTTAATAACAGCTCAGTAAGGTTTGTAACACCAGTATAATAATAATATAAGAAGCCACTTCATCCAACCTAGCATTTTCCCTTTTGGACTCTAATTGCCTTCCAGCTAAAGGTATCCTAGTCTTTATGTAACAAAGCTTAAATTTTACTCTTCTCTCCCACTCTAGGGGAATGAATGGATAAGGCAAGGTGTTAACATGACTTTAATTGATGATTGGTAAACAGTGGAGGTGGTAGTGTGGACAATATATTTTTATTTTTTTATTTGTTGTTCTTTTCTTTTTTTTTTTTGGAGATGGAGTCTCACTCTGTCACCCAGGTGCAATCTCCACTCACTGCAACCTCTGCCTCCTGAGTTCAAGCTATTCTCCTGTCCCAGCCTCCCAAGTAGCTGGGATTACAGGTGTGTGCCACCTCGCCCGGCCAATTTTTGTATTTTTAGTAGAGATGGGGTTTCACCATGTTGGCCAGGCTGATCTCAAACTCCTGACCTCCAGTAATCTGCCCATCTCGGCCTCCCAAAATGCTGGGATTACAGGCATGAGCCACCACACCTGGCCAATAATACTTTTGATAAAATCATCTGAAAAGAGTTAACTAGACCAAAACCCACCTGAAATTATTTAAACTTATTTCCTCAGGAGTCAAGCTGCCTCTGATGGGTTATAATCATGTTATACTTTGTGAGTCAGTCAAGCTTAAAATCATCAAATCCAGTCCGATGCTTAAACACCCCAGACATTACCACTGTCCCTCTCCACTTCTCAGCATGGGGTAGTCATGAGGTTCCAAAGACAAGACCCCAGCCTCATTTACGGTTTTATCTTCCCTGCTACTGTATTGGCAGACACATATTACATGTTCTATAATGTATGTTGAAGGAAAACACACACAGGCACATGCATGCACACACATATATGTATAATGTATAAATATTAGAACTGTGGTTACCTGAAAGGTTATCACACTACCCATGACTGGGCCCAATGTTGTGCAGCTAGCTGCCTCCCAGACTTGGATGAGTATCTCCAGCTTCCTCTTACAATGTATTTTTCTCACGAATGTGTGTGGTAGTGAGATGGGAAATGAATGGGTTGGGAGTCAGACAGTGCTGAGCTCAAACCATAGAAAGGTTGCTTCTTAGCTCTGTCATGACTAACATCACCTCTCTGAGCCTTGGTTTCCTCATCTGTAAAGTAGGAGTAGTAATACTTGCTTTATTTATTTGTTTTGAAGATATGAGATAATGCCTGTGAAGTGTCTGGCGCTTAGTGGTATTTGAAAACAGCAGCTACTGTTAATAAGATCATACAACCATGCTGCCTATTGATTTTCTTTGCCTGATATCCCTCTTCCTTGCCGATGGCTCTGCTATTGATTTGTTTGCCCTTTGCCTGGGGAATCTGGGCCAGTGTTATAAATGTCAATGTTGACAAGGTAATGAAGTAAAAAGGATCCAAGCTAAGAGTAATGAACTCCCTGCGGCGGCCTTATAGGGACCCCTCTGAAGCTTGGTGAGAATGGAAGCACTGTATTGGCCAGAAGCTGAAAGAAACAAGTGGAACAAGCACAGATTAGAATTCTAGGTGCTTTCCCACACAGAAGGAGAGGGAATTGAGGCTCGAGGAGTGTTGTGTGGCCACTGGTTACTCATTTAGTCTACCAAGATTTTATTTTTGCAGGATGCCATTAATGATAATAAATTGAGTTTTAAAACAGATTAACATAACGTAAAGCTCACTGTCACTTAGGAATGATTGTATATGCCATTTATCCATTTCTAAGAATGATTTGACCTGAATCTGTGTATTTTTCCTTTACACTTGCACAATTATCATTGCCAGTGATCAGTGTCAGAGCTAGGGTCTTGTGGTTAATATTCTAAAGTTCTCTGCCTTTTTCTTGATAAAGAATCACATGGCCTGCTTCTTAGTGAGGAAAATAAATAAGTAAATCATTCTACCTAGGAAATTCTAGTTTTAGTTAATTCCCTTAAAATCAACTGCTGCCTACTCTAATCAACTCTAATCAATCATATATAAGACTTGAATATATGCCTTATCTTTCTCACTTATTTTCTTACCTTTTTCTTCAAAATGATTCCATAGAATATAAGCCTTGCACAGAGCATGCCTCCCATAAAAGATAAACATTATATAAATATTTGGAATCAGTAAATTGCTCCCTAACATTGTTTGTAGATAATTCATTGAATGCATTATTGAATACCTATTATATACAAGGTGATATAATAAGAGAAAATATGAAAACTTTAAAGAAGTAAAGCCTATGGATCTTTGTTCCCAAAGTGATAAAACAAGTATCTGTGAGGATAAGACATTTATTTAATTAGGATATAAATAGTTTTGATAAGTGCTTTACAGATGGAGTGTGCTTAATATTCATAAAAAGAAGAGATCATTTCTAGCTGAGATGACCCAGAATGTTATTGTGTGGAAGATCACCTTGACTTTAGTCCTGAAGCACAGGTTTGACCTCAATAGATGGAGTACATTCCAGGAAGGAGGAATGGTGTGAACCAGGTAAGACTGTAGGAAAACAAAGATAGTAGGATAGAAACAGTAAATAGGCCATCTGAGAGGGTTTCATACATGCAGCAGAGTAGAGGGAGACAAGGGAAACAAGAACAGTCCATTGGGAGAATATTACAGAGGACATCCAGTGCTCTGCAAAGGCATTCAGAATCTATTGTGTAGAGAGGAGAGAGCATGGAAAGGAGCTCTCGTGGTCAGAGCTGCTGTTATCAGACTCTCTTGTTAGTAACAAGCAAGATAGAGGAAAGAGAGACTGGTATGCAGGCTATGCTAATGCCTAACCTTTGGATACGAAAGAGATAGCAATGGAACAGGGGAGCAGGTGCAGGTGCAGTTTGTAAAATAAGAATTGGAAGATTTGGGTAATTCACTGGGTAGGTGGGTGGCAGAGTACCCAGGGAAGGAATGGAGAGGACAAGAGGAAAGGAAATTACAGCAGATTTTTCCAGTCATTACAGAGGGAAATAAATTCGTTCTGGTCTGGCCTGAGCCCGAGTTTACTGACTTGGGGCATAAGTTACAATGGATTATAAAGCTGATACCTTACCCTCTTCCTTTGAGCCAGCTCTCCAGTCCTGCTCAGCTGCTTCTGGATTTGAGAAATCCCTGTCATCAAGAACAGGGGGAAGAGAAGTGGATTGGATTGCTGTGAGGAGAGTCCAGTTGGGGGCCTTCACTGTGGCGATGTCCACAGTAGTCCACAGCTGCATGGGACAGATCTCTCCCAGCCTTGAATTTTTTACCATTGCCTGACTTGTATTTCTTATCTGTGTATGTAGCTGCTTCCTTGGGAAAAGTGTGGTCCTTGAAGGCAGGAACATTTTGTTGTCAATATTCTTATCACTCCCACTTTGAAACATGGGCCTTTGTGCTTTGTCTATGCTTCTATGTGTTTCATAATACACTTCTTCTGATTAGTAATGCATCACAGGTGGTAGACATGTTTTCAATTCAAGGGGGAAATGCTTGCACTCCTATTCCTGATTTTAGGATCCCTACTAGTGTGACCAGTCATGCTAGTCTACTCAAGACTGCGGGATTCCCAGGGATGTGGGATTATAGGTCCTAAAACTGAAGCAGTCTTAGGAAAACCAGCACAGCCTGTCGCCTAAGCCACACTCAGTTCAGGGGTTTTGAATAGTTTAATGGAACTGGACCCAGGGCTTTGAATGCCAGATGAACAACTGAGTTTCATGCTTTGCCTAGCCACAGCTGAGTTCAGGGGCCAACATCCCTGAGGATATGCTGTGGTTTGAATAGGTGAGGTTAGAAAGGAGCGAGAATGAACCACTCAGCCCACTGACCAGCACTCACTGAGTCTCTGCCGGGGTGCAGCATAGAGCACCAGGTGTGCTGAGATGACAGGAGGGGGGTGTGGGATTGTTTATTCCCTTAAATATTCAGTGCCCTGGGTGGAAACCCAAAATTGTGTGCAAGCAGTAATTACAGAACAATTGATCTTTAAAGCATGGAACTTGTATTCAAAGGGCATCATTAAAAGACTAGAGAAAGGAGAAATCAGAAGTAAAACTATGTGTAACCAAGGTCCTGTTTCCCTACTGATTTTGGGTGGAAGGCCAGATCTTCTCTATGAAGGATGACACACTCTGTCTAGCGTATGCAGAGATGCTGTCTTCATCAGAGAGAAGTCCTGCAAATATGCACATTTCAGATGCAGATCACATCAGCTGCTTTAGGTCTGTGAACAGGAAGTTCCATATGTGTACGTCTGTTTTCACACTGCTAATAAAGATATACTTGAGATTGGGTAATTTATAAAGAAAAAGAGGTTTAGAAGACTCACAGTTCCACGTGGCTGGGGAGGCCTCACAATCATAGCAGAAGGTGAAGGAGGAGCAAAGGCACATCTTACATGGAGGCAGGCATGCAGTGCAGAAGGGGAAAAAGCCCCTTATAAAGCAATCAGATCTCATGTGAACTAACTCACTATCACAAGAACAGGATGGGAGAAACTACCTCCATGATTCAATTCTCTCCCTCCCAAAATACATGGGGATTATGGGAACTACAGTTTAAGATGAGGTTTGGTTGGGGACGGAGCCTAACCATATCAATATATATCATCCATTCTCTTTTTTTTTTTTTTTTTTGAGACTATCTCCTTCTCTTGGCCAGACTAGAGTGCAGTGGCATGATTTTAGTAACCTGTGCCTCCCAGGCTTAAGCAGTCCTCCCACCTCAGCCTCTCAAGTAGCTGGGAAGACAAGGTCATACTGCCAAGTACAGCTAATTTTTGTATTTTGTATAGAGATGGGCTTTCACCATGTTGCCCGGGCTGGTCTTGAACTCATGGGCTCAAGCAATCTATGTGTCTCAGTCTCCCAAAATGCTGGGATTACAGGTGTGAGCCACTGTGCCCAGCCTGTATGTGCCAATTCTAACAAGAGCTTACTTTATATTGGGAGCTGCAGAGGTTACTTTGGCTTGAGGTGGGAGATAGGGGCTTTGGTCATGTGTGTGGGTAGAGTGCTTCTCAAAACATGAGTGAAACTTTTATACACGGAGACACCAAGCTAAGCTTTCAGAGTTTAATATGGAATTTCCAGTTTAAATTATCTTCTTTATAACTCTGGGTATAGCAATGTTTTTTTGTGTGTATACATGTATATGTATGTCCATGTGTGGTGATGTACATCCTGGTACAGGTATGTATGTGTACGCATATGTGTATGTTTGCATTTGTCCATGTGTGTACACATATTGGTACATGTACACATATATTCGTGCGTGGGTTTGTACATGCATGTATATGCATATGGGTGCATGCTTGCATATGTCCATGTGTCCACATGCATAAACACGTGTGGGCAACTGTGTGCTATAACTGTATTGTATATATGTATATCTGGATATCTATGTTTCTGCGTAGTTGTGTATATACATATGTCTGTGTGTGTACAGGCACATGTATATGTGTGTGTGTAAATGTATGTCTGTGCTTGCAAATGTACATGTACACATATGTTTCTTTCTGTATAGTGTCTGTGAATACATGTACATGCATGCCCATGCACGTGCATATGTGTATGCATGTGTGCATGCATGTTCCACTCTGTGTGTATATGTGTATGTGCATATCTGTCATGTATGTCTGTGTGCATGTACATGTGTGTACCTATATGTGCATATTTCTATGTATATGTGTATTTGAATATCTGTACATGCATGTCTGTATGCATGCACATGTGTAGTCCTGTACACATGTATGTCAGTGTTTTGCATGCATATGTATGTGTGCATTCATGTTTCTCTCTGTGTGTATGTGTATGGGAATACTTGTACATGCATGTCTCTGTGTGTGCATTTGTTTGTATGTGTATGTGCATATTCCTTTCTGTGTGTATGTATGTATTCATATCTGGACATGCATGTCCATGTGTGTGCCCATGTGTTTTGCTTCTTTTCTGAGTAGTCACATTTCCCAATTTGCTTTTTCTCTGTTATATCATGTGATCTCTCATTCTTGCTAGAGGCTTTACTCATGCTTCTGATGATCTTGGACTGTGCTCATGTTTCAAAAGGAAGTGTCTGGAATGCATTGCCTTGGAGCCACCCTGAAGAGTAGGGCTGGGCCTTTAGTTAGATAACTCCAATGTCTTTATCTTTAGCTCATTTATCTTGGGACAGGCACATTTCCTATAAAAAAAACTTTCCCATCGCTTGCTTAGAGAGAAAGAGGTTCTGAAAGTCGTAGTGCAGACAAGAGCTGGTGGATGTCAGGGTCTACTAGGTAAAAGTCCCTTTATGTCTCATTTTTTGGTGAGCACCCTTGCCTCATCTATCAACATTACTCTCACCTACCTGTAATAACCCCTCAGTCTCATAGCACTTCTTTATTCATTTTCCAAGCAGTATAGTTATTTGGGGGATATAAAGGGTACTTTTTCGAACTATTTTCTGTTTCTCTAAGATTGCTTTACTTGCGAGAGAATTGCTGTGAAGCTGGCTGGGAAAGAACAAAAGACTTTTGGATGCTAAGTCTTCTAAATGTAGAACCCACTCATATCAGTCAGGGTTCAACCAATGGAGCATGACTAGTAGGAGATAATATATTGAGATTTATTGCACAGAATTGGTTCATGCAGTTATGGAGGCCAGGTATGATGTCTGAAATCCACTGGGTAGGCCATCAGGAAGTGCAGCTGGAACTCTCAGGCATGAGTGGAAGTTGCTGCCCCTAGGTGGAATTTCTTCTTCTTTGGGAAGTCTTAAAAGCCATTCTGCTCATAAGGTCTTGCAATTGATTGAATGAGACCCACACAGATTATCTAGGATAATTTCCCTTACTTAAAGTCAACTGATTGTGGATGTCATTCACGTTTACAACATACCTTTACAGCAGTACTTGGATGAGGGCTTGATTGAATAAGTAGGGACTATAGCCTGCTCAATTTGACACATCCTCAGACCATTATAATACCCTCTCTTTATTTTTTATTGAAGTGAAACGCACATAAAATTAACCATTTTAAAGAATACAATTCAGAGGCATTTAGTATATCCACAATATTTTGCAACAATTGTTTCTATCTAGCTCCAAAACATTTTCATCACACACACACACACACACACACACACACACACACACACAACTCAGTACCCATTAAACAGTCACATCTCATCTTCACCCCTCCTCTTAGCTCCTGGAAACCACTAAGCTGCTTTCTGTCTGTATTGATTTACCTATTTGAGATATTTCCTATAAATGGAACCATACAATTTGTCACATTTTGTATCTCACTTCTTTCACTTAGCATAGTTTTGATATTTATAATATTGCAGCATGTAACAGTACTACATTCCTTTGTATGGTTGAATAATATGTTGTATGCATATGTCAGGGTGTTTTTTAAAAAATCTATTGTCCTTTGATGAACATTTGAATTGTTTCCATATTTTGGCTGTTGTATAAATAGGGCTGCTGTGAACATGTGTATATATGTATTTATTTAAATACCTGTTTTTAATTATCTTGGGCATATCTCTGGGAGGGGATTTGTTGCCTTTTGAAAGCCATTAACACGCGAGGGCTAGCCCAGTGGAATCAATCAAGGAAATTGTATATTACAAACTGTGCTTCCCACACTCTTACCATTCTCCTTGTCAAAACAAAGAGATACTTAAAGATGATTCTGGTTGGATTTATTCTTTTAATTATCCTACATTTGTGTATCCAAGATCAGGGATGCCACACTTTACCCTATCAATTCTCAAATATAAGTTAATGAGGATAAGGATAATCATGGGGTAACATCCCAAGGTTATTCTCTAATATGTGGTTCAAGGAGATTTTGTTAACAACTAGACTTGGGGCAAGTGGTGGAATTGGAGGCAGGAGTGTCTCTGCACTCATAGAGCACTGTGACAGTGAGCAGCTGCCTTACATCTCTTGGTTGCAAATCTATCCTCTTTGAAATGTCAGAGACTGCCAGATGATCTTTGGAGTTTATTCTAGTTTTGAACATTATATGATTTTGTGATGCATGAAAATGTTATGAACTTTGGCTTTGAAAATTCTGATGTCAAATCTGACCCCAAAGTCATATTTCATGCTACTTTTTAAAAGGGGAGAAAAAGAGAATTGAAACCCAATTTGCTGACCCAAATTGATAAATTTCTGGGCTGCAAGCAAACCTACTTTTCAGTAGGTGATGAAAAAGAAATTGAGCTTGATGATATTTACAGTTAAAACAGTAACATGCATTTAATAATCACATGTAAACACAAGTGTGAATATCTTATGATATTTTATACTTTTATCCTGTGGAATTCCAAACTCCCCCTGCTTACCTCACCGGGAGGCATAGTTCCTTACCTTTATAACTGACACCTGTGCATGTACTGACCACATGTCCTGGGCTTCCCATGGAAGTGCTCCTTTCATTGACTGCTGGCTGCAAACACATACCCAGCCACTTTGACTGTTAATGAGCTCTCATTCTCATTTGAAATATATCATTACTTCTGTGTGTGGTCATCCTGGATACTCTTAATCTTTTTCCTTTTTCTTGGCATAGTGAAAAAAATATGGAATTTGGAGTCTTATGCCACCAACTTCCATTGTAGTCTGGACTCTGAAGTATGGTTGTTAAGTGGACCCTGAAATCTTTTTGACAGAAATTCCTAATTTATAGTACTGTGGTGACTGAAGCTGTGTAAGCTCTTAGTTCCAACTTTGAGTCCCAGATTCCTTCAACCTGCCCCTCCTAAAGTGTGGTCTTTGAAGGCAGGAACATTTTGTTGTCAATATTCTTATCACTCCCACTTTGAAACATGGGCCTTTGTGCTTTGTCTATGCTTCTATGTGTTTCATAATACACTTCTTCTGATTAGTAATGCATCACAGGTGGTAGACATGTTTTCAATTCAAGGGGGAAATGCTTGCACTCCTATTCCTGATTTTAGGATCCCTACTAGTGTGACCAGTCATGCTAGTCTACTCAAGACTGCGGGATTCCCAGGGATGTGGGATTCTAGGCCTCAGTTTTCTTATCTGAAAACCAGGAATCATCATAGCAACCTACCAGAGTTGCTCTGAAGATTAAATAGCTGTGTATGTATGTATTATATGCTTTTACACATACCGCTTAGTGCACAGTGACTGCTAAATATTTAGGTGCCATATGGAGGCAATTATAGCTGGGGAATCTGAAAATGAGGATGAAAGAAGGAACTCCTGTGAAATTCATTCTAGAAAGAAAACTTGGCAGAAAAGAAACTTCACACCTCCTATTCTCTCTGTTTTACCACATTTTCATTCCTGGCATGGGAGACCCCGTGTACAGCCTGGTCTTGCAGAGCCAGGCCCTGTAAAGTCAGGCAGTGGAGGTGGAATGGGACAGACAGGCGAGTCCAAGACCTGAAAAGCCAGGATTGTTTTTTGTTTTACTTTATCTAAAATGCAATGAGAAGTCATCAATGATTTTTTTTAAAGAAGATTGGTTTCTTTTTCTTTTTTAATAATTTTAACTTTTATAATATTTTAGATACAGAGGGTATATGTGCAGGTTTGTCACTTGGGTATATTGCATGATGCTCAAGTTTGGGATATGATTGACCTCATCACCCAGTATTGAGTATAGTATTCAACAGTGAGTTTTTAAACCCTTTCTCCCTTTTAATAGTCCTCAGTGTCTATTGTTGCCATCTTTTTGTCCATCCTAATGTTTAGCTCCCACTTATTAGTGAGAACATGCAGTGTTTTGTTTTCTGTTCCTGTGTTAATTCATTCAGGATAATGACTTCCAGCTGTATCCATGTTGCTGCAAAGGACTTGATTTCATTCTGTTTTATGGCTGCATAGTATTCAATAGTGTATATGTACCACATTTTCCCTTTCCATCCACCATCGATGGACATGTAGTTCGATTCCATGTCTTTGCTATTGTGCATAGTGCTATAATGAACATATGAGCACATGTGTCTTTTTGGTAAAACAATTTATTTTCTTTTTTAATATATACCTAGTAATGGGATTGCTGTGTTGAATGGTAGTTCTGTTTTAATATCCTTGAGGACTCTCCAAACTACTTTCCACAGTGGCTGAACTAATTTGGATTTCTACCAACAGTGAATAAGCTTCTTCTTTTCTCCAAGCCTCATCAATGTTTGTTGTTTTTTGACTTTTTAATAATAGCTATTCTGATTCATATGAGATGGTATCTCATTGTGGTTTTGATTTGCATCTCTCTAACAATTAGTGATGTTGAGCATTTTTTCATAAGTCTGTCACTTGTACGTCTTCTTTTAAGAAATGTCTGATCATGTCCTTTGCCCTTTTTTTTTAGTAAGGTTAACTGTTTTTAGCTTGCTGATTTAAGTTTCTTATAAATTCTGAAAATTAGACCTTTGTCAGATGCATAGTTTGCACATATTTTCTCCCATTGTGTAGGTTGTCTATTTACCCTGTTGATTTCTTTTGCTGTGCAGAAGCTCTTTAGTTTAATTGGGTTACATTTGTCAATTTTTGTTTTTGTCACAATTGCATTTGAGGATGTGGTCATAAATTATTTGTCAAGTCTAATGTCTGAAATGGTGTTCCTAGCTTTTCTTCTAGGATTCTTATAGTTTGAGGTCTAGCTTTTTTTTTTTTTTTTTTTTTTTTTTTTGAGAGAAAGAATCTCGCTTTGTCACCCAGGCACCCAGGCTGGAGTGCAGTGGCAAAATCTCAGCTTACTGCAACCTCTGCCTCCCAGGTTTCAAGTGATTCTGCTGTTTCAGCCTCCCAAGTAGCTGGGACTACAGGCATGCACCATCATGCCTGGCTAATTTTTGTATTTGTAGTAGAGACGGGGTTTCACCATGTTGGTCTCCAACTCCTGACCTCAAGTTATCCGCCCGCCTTGGCCTCCCAAAGTGCTGGAATTACAGGCTTGAGCTACCACACCCAGCCTTACATTTAATCTTTAATCCACCTTGAGTTAATTTTTGTATATTGTGAAAGGTAGGGGTCCAGTTTCATTATTCTACGTATGGATAGTCAGCTATCCCAGTGCCATTTATTGAATATGGAGTGAGATAGGATTCTTAAATATAGCATTTTCCTTGTGTTTTCCTAGAGAGCTCTTTTCTAAGCTCTTTTCTAAATTTTATGCTTTTGATTTTAATGTAAAATATTTTTGTAGGCATTCACTCAAGTGCTCCTTTATGATATAGCTGGTGTTTATTGATTAAACTAAAATGCAAACACACTTCTTGTCTGTTAGTGCTAATGCCAATAATTGCTATGATAAAAATAGTAGCAAGTGCTTTTGGGTTTTATTATTATTTCAGATAAGGTTTGTCCTCTGGATCAGTGATTTTTTTTTGTTTTTATTAAAGTATTTGAGTGATTTAAACCAAGACAGTATTATCGCCACTGTTATATGTGCTAGGATGCTGGGAATAAATATTTCAAAGACAGTCACATACTGTCATTTTTTAGAAGAATTACTGAGTTTTAGTCAACTGGCATTTATTTCACCAAAGCTATTTATCCAACTCTATTGACTTATATCTGTAAATTCTATAGGGGTAGAACTTTGGGAGTATTAGAAATAATATACATAGATTTTAGGAGAATAGCTCTTTAGATTTATTATTTTTATCCTGATTTGAGAGGTGAGAAAATCCATGTTCAGTATCTTGTCCAAGCTTTCTCTAGTACATGCTATTGGTGCTCTATCATAGCCCCTGACTTTACCACTTCAATACCAGCTCAGTTACAACCTCCACACTTGAAATTTTGCTAAAATCTTTCTCTGGTCATAGAAGCTTGTTTTCCCTATCTATATGGCAATCCGGAAGTGCCCAGGTTTTGCTTCCTCCTGGGAATTATCTTCAGCCAATTATAATGTGAGCTGATGCATTAATATCTTAGCTCCCTCACCATCCATAGAGATAAGTCTGATTGTGTTCTTCACTGGCTCCTGGAGTTTTCCTAGTGAGTTTAAGCTCTCGTTGTCCAGTGCTGGTTGGTTCCCTTAATGTTTCCTTCCCCTCCTTATCTCTGCCACCACCCTATCAGTGCTTTCTTCACTTCTCAAATAAACTACTTGCACTCTAATGCCTGCCTTGGTATCTGCTTCAGAGCAAATTTAAACTGTAACAGTCACCATCCATTCGTCAATTGGTTGACGTGGTGTGCAAAGCCAGATTTGCTTGATGCCAACAATATGTTTATTCCACTATGTGATGTAGCCTTAAATAAAAGGCATATAAGGCAGAAACCCCATTTCGTAGAGCTTCTAATTTTATATAGACAATACATTAGTGCAGGAAGGTTGAAGGAGTAATAAAAAGAGCTGAATCAAAGTAAAATGCTAGCTGAAAGACTAATTAGAACAGCCTTAGTCATAAGCTGGTAAGTGTATAGAGACATACATGGGTGGGGAGTCTCCTTCTACCGACAGACATGTTAGATCTTAGAATATAGTGTATAAACAAGTGCTGTGTATTTACCATGTGCCAGGCAATGAGCTAAAAAGAGCTTTACCTTCATTATTACATTTAATGTTCACAAAAAAAGTATGTGGTAGAATCTATTGTGGTGTATTAAACCACCTCATAATTTAGTAGCTTAAACCAGTATCCATTTTATAATATCTCACCATTTTGTGGGTTAGAAAGTTAGGCGGATCCTACTAGAGTTCTTCAGCTACTTGTGACATTGACTAAGTCTCAGTTGCTAGGTGATATATGGCTAGTGGCTGGGATAGTCTGGAGGATCTAAATGAATTTGCTCACATGCTGGGTGCCTTGATGGGGATATCTGGGGGCTGAGCTCAGTTGGCCTTTCTTGCTCCATTTAGTCTGAGGACCTCTCCACAGTCTCTCTAGTAGGCAGAAAGTACCAGCCCTCTTGAAAGCTAGTCTCAGAACTGGCAGGGAATAATTTTCAATGTGTTCTAGTGGAGAAAGCAGTCACAAATCAGCTCAGATTCAAGAGGAAGGGAAATAGACCCCATCGCTCAGTGAAGGGCGTGATGACGATGATGATTACTGTCCTTTTTGATCTACAATATGCAGGCACTATATTCATCCCCATTTTATAAATAAGAAAATTGAGCCCAAAAGATATCATGTAATCTGTCCAAGGATACAATGTTAATGTTGAACCCTGGAAGTCTGATTCCTTGGTGATAAAAACCTGTTCTAAAGGGGAAACTGTGTACATATTTAATTGAAGGCAGGTGTAGAGAAGAAGAAAGTTTATTTGTTAGAAGAGAGTTGAGGCAGGGACTGCCTATCCAGCATTCAATATTCACTATCTTTTTCTTAATTAAATACAGTGGTGTTTATGGTTTGTTGTTTTTGTTTTTGAGGAAGTAATATTCCCAATTAGAAACAGTACATTTCCTAGCCTCCATTGAGTTAATAATGGCCATGTGACATTGTCCTGGACCATGTACCAAAAGCAGAAGTCACAAGAGTTTTCCAATTGGCCCGGCTTCACAATTATGGGCCCTTCACCGTCCCTGCTTTCTTCTCCCTGGAACATAGGGGTGATGGCTAGAGCTTTTAAAGTCATTAAGGCTATCTAAGGCTACAGTCTATGGAGAGGGAAGTATAAGTCTAGAAAGAATTCTGGGCCTCTGATGATCTAGAAGCAAGATACCAACCTTGGACTGCCTAATATCAGACTTCTCATTAACCTCAAATGAAATAAACTCTGATTTTCTTTGAGCCACTGTTTTCTTCTTGATATATGCAGTCAAATGTAAATTTAACTTATGAGGATGATTTATGTTTTTGTACTTTCTGGAATCAGATGGAGAAACTGGGAAGGAAATGCTACAATTATAGCAAAATCAACAGCTGTACTAGAAGAACAATGATATAAATTTCCAAGAACTGATGACTCTGTGAGCTGGACAATCCCTTAGGGGTTCCTTGCCCTACAGAAAAGTCAGTGGATGAATTTATGTTTGCTCACATCTGGGTCACTGAAACCAGTTTGAGCTCCATTATACTGGCAGCCACCTCATCATGTAGCAAAGAAAAAAATTCAAGAGACAAAACAAGAAAGTATAACATGAGTTCTGAAGCAAGAGCTCTAGATAAAGAATTCTGTAGGAGGCAGAGAAGGGACCGTTCTCTTTAAACTGAGCTGGGCGGGAGGTTTTCTGCAGGTGGAGGCTTCTGGACTGGGCCAAGCCCTACAGGTGAGTGCTATACTGTAATTGTGGCATGCTTGCTTGAAGAGCTAAGCAGGCAACCTTTATGCAGACACAATATCCAATGTTTTGTTCTCAGTTCGACCTCAATTAGTATTTACCGAATTGAATTTGTGGTGTGATTTGAAGCGGGCTGCAAAACACACTAGTTCCAAAATGCCTCCTATACAGAAATCCCAGAAATATGTTTTTTCTTTGCATGAAGGCGTTGAAGACTTTTAAAATATAAATATGCTGTCTTGAAGAAGAGCACAGTAAGCGATCATCACGCATTATCACCTTATTAGGTTGCCAGTCAGTTAACAACTTGTTTCATTAGGAAGGAAGGGTGTTTGACTCTCTGGGATGGGCAAAGTTTGCTGAAGAAGGTTAATAAGTTCGGGGGGAAAATGATTGCTAAATTATGAAAAACGTGTATAGAATATAATTTAAAGATTCATTCACTGGGAGCATTAACAATTACAAAAGGAAGCCAGTGTACCATCCTACAGGCTGGGACTGGGTTCACAGAGGCTGGGTTCAAATCTCAGCTCTGCCACTTTCTGGCTGCTATTTTGGGCACCTTATTTAATGTCTTTTGTTTCCATTTCTTTGCTTTAAAATGGGCAGAGTAACACAGAAGATGGTCCAGTGTCATCAGGCCCTTAAAGCAGAATTTAGTGCACATTAGAGATCGATTTGTGAGAAATATTATGCAAACAGTCTTCATTTTACTCAGTACAGCAGGATGGTAAAACTGACCACACAAGCTGAAACTGGGTAAAGCGATCTTAATAAGAACTATGGTAGTTCCATGACCTTTAAAATTTGTCATCAAAGCAGTGTGTTGTCTTTCCATGTCTTAATGCTACTGTATGCCATTTCTCTGCATGATGGTGTACTTAACCTGGTGGAAGCTCCATAATTAGTGTCTCCTAGTATTATTATGGAGCAATAACTACAAAGGGCATCCTGAGTGGAATGTAATATTGCCTTGTAGTATGAGATAACCTGCTACAGGTTAGAATCAGAATGCAGGAGACTTGGCACTAAAAAACACAGAAAGGCAAGTAGCACTGGATACTGTATATAATGGTCACCTGTGGGACCATTCTTTTTTTAGGCTGGACTCCAGTCCCAGAGAATAGTTCCACTTTTCCAAATTGATAACAGCCAAATTTAGGTCATTCAACTTAGGCTCTCTGGATCTTTATAGAGGCCAGTATACGACTCATCAGAAATAACTGACTTTTAAATTGTAAAAAGTGTATTTCATAAAAATGTATATGATAAAATTACATATATATATTAGACATCAGAATATGTATAGCAGTTAGATATAACTCATCAAAAATGACCACATTTTAAACACATACATCATATGTGTTTTATTACATATGTGTTAAAAAATCTCACTTGGCTTTCAAAGATGGGCTTACATGTGTGTAACTGACTGTTGGTTGCCTACCCAGCATCCATTTTGACTCCCTTTCCTTTACCAAGAGTGCTGTTACTTGTTTTAGAAAGACTTTTAACAAATAAAATTTGCAATATGCTTACATCTGTAATAAAAAGTAGATAATATTAAGTCACTGAAGATGCCCAGTATGGCTTTTACATTTTTTTGGTGTTCTTAACTTCACAACTTATAATTCTTCATTGGAGTAGGATATATTTCTATGATTAATTTTAAGCTTTGCTAAAAAACCTCTCTTGGAATATGCAGTACCCTTGTCTTGCTCATTTCCTTTAATAAAGTAAACAACATAGCTGTAAACCAGTACACATGAGTCATTTATTCTGACTCCACATCAAGTAAATAATGAACAACCTAGGAGGAATTATTTTTGTTTCTTTCAGTCCCAAAGAAATGAGATTTTATATCAACGTGCAAATCCTGCTGTTTTTTATTTTCTTTTTTCTTTTTCTTTTTTTTTTTTAAGACAAAATCTTGCTCTGTCACCGAGGTGGGAATGCAATGGCCTGACGATGGCTCACTGCAGCCTCGACCTCCAAGTTTCAAGTGATCCTCCCGCCTCAGCCAACTGAGTAGCTGGGACTACAGAAACACACCACCACACCTGCCTAATTTTAAAATTCTTTATAGAGACGAGTCTTGACATTTTGCCAGGGCTGGTTTTGAACTCCTGGGATCAAGCAATCCTCCTGCCTTGGCTTCCCAAAGTACTGGGATTATAAGAGTGAGCCACAGCACCTAGCCTTCAAGTCCCAGTCTTAATGCCAACAAAGTGATTTTTATATAAAAATAAGCAGAATTGGCATTAGGAGTATAATACCTAGGAGTTTTAAATTTGGTTATGTAGCTAAGGTTTTACTGATTCAGCACTCACTGTCTTACATCCATCCAGGGGCCTTTACATAATGCATGTTATCAAGAAACCCAATTAAAAAGTGAAAAATTAATTTAGCCAGGTAGTTAGTGTTCAGTTGAAATAATGAATTCTCAAATGGTAGAAGGTTTGTTTACTGAATTGACTTGGTTATATTTTTTTTACTTCTTGTATCATTAATATCTACCTATCATCTATCTATTTCTTCATCCTTTTATCTGTCAGTATGTGTGCATTTTTATATAAGAAGACTCATGGAAGACCTGTGAAGTGCCAGACCTTATGCAATGTCGACCCATTTGATCATTCAAAAACATTTATTTCCCAACTTCTGTGTCCAAGGTACTTTGCTAAGAAGTAACACCAGGTATGGTGGCTCACATCTGTAATCCCAGCACTTTAGAATTCTAAGGTGGGAGGATTGCTTGAGCCCAGGCTTTTGAGACCAACTTGGCAACATAGTGAGACCCTTTCTCCACAACAAATTTTAAAAAGTAACCAGGTGTGGTGGCATGTGCCTGTAGTCCCTGACACTGGGTTGGCTGAGGTGGAAGCATTCTTGAACCTGGGAGGATGAGGCTGCAGTGAACCATGATCTTACCATTTCACTTCAGCCTGGGTGACAGAGCAAGACCCTGTCTCAAAAAAATAGAGAAATAGGTGGTTAGTTACAAGCAAAACAGGAACCCTTTCTTCAAGAAACTGATGATCTAGAGTGGTACATAAAGGAAGACTTGATAACCACACACATGGACACACATGCAATTATGAAGTTAGTGGAAGAATCAGAAGGGAAATCAACTGTTTTTAGTGATAGAGAATAAGACAGTGGGAGGAGGGAGGGGTGCTCCTTAGGAAGGTGCCCAAGGAAGTCCTCTGTGAGGAAAGGACTTTCAGTCTGGCACCTGAAAAAAAGGAGCCTGTCATACAATGCTTGGGGGAAGGCCAATGGGCACTGTGAAGAGTCGGTGCATGGGCCATGCCTTGTAAGGCTTGTGGAGTCACTGTAAACAGAACAGACATCGTGATGTGTGGCAACCGGGCTTGCATTGCCATTCCGGTTCCATATCAACAGTTCATTTAGTTTTAGGTATCAAAATGCTGAGAATAATGAAGAGGAATATTCCCTGTGCACTCCTGGCAAAGTTGTAAGAAATATTAATGAAGTTCTAATCAGAACTTGGTTTGCTTCATCAAAGAGAGCGTTCTGGATAACATGTTGTGGATGTAAATGTAAAAGTAAAGAAAATATGTTTATCAAGGTCAAGAATGAAGAAGTTTGAAATGCATGCACACACACACACACATACATGAATGTCACTGATTAGATGCCATTATTGTTGATATTAAGAGATATTTATTTTTTCATTCACTAATTTATTTTACTAATATTGGCTTGACACTTACTCTGTATTGGACACTGTGTTCTGGTTGATGTGAATGAAGTCTTGAAAAGGACAGCCTTTCTTAAAGCAAGAAGGGGAGGACAGACAAAATGGCAAAGCAAAGGCAGCCTAATAGAATTAAGCAAAATGCCTTAGGAATATGGAAGTTCTTTTTTTTTTGGTTTCTTTTGAGACAATTTTGCTCTTGTCACCCAGGCTGGAGTGCAGTGGCCCAATCTCAGCTCACTGAAACCTCTGCCTCCTAGGTTCCAGTGATTCTCCTCCCTCAGCCTCCCAAGTAGCTGAGATTACAGGTGTGCACCACCATGTCCCGCTAATTTCTGTATTTTTAGTAGAGACGGGGTTTCACCGTGTTGGCCAGGCTGGTCTCGAACTCATGACTTCAGGTGATCCACACGCTTCGGCCTCCCAAAATTCTGGGATTACAGGCATAAGCCACCGCACCTGGCTAAGAATATGGAAGTTCTTAACTTGCTTTAACTCCTACCTATCTCTTCAGTGTCATCTTTTGCCTTATTTCAGACAGAGTTAACTTCATTTTTCAGTGTCTTAAACGTGACGCACTACTTCTCTCTTTACTTTGTAAAGGTTTTGTTTTGTGCCTGAAACATGTAACCATCTTCTATTCATCATTTAAGCCTTTATTTGAATATATTTATTCCAAGCAATCTTTTTTAAATCAGTGTTTCTCAAAATGTGTTCCACGAACCATCTATATCATAATTACCTGAAAATGTGTTCTTTAAATTGCAGGTTTTTGCACACATCCCCAACCACACCCTCTGAATGAGTAGGGAACCATAAATATACATGTTAGTACATTTTCCTGAAAGTTCTTTTGCATTCTCAGTTTGATCACTGTTACCCTAGATTTGTCAGGGGTCTCTTTTATGTTTCCATGGACATAATGATCTCCCTCTACTATAAGATTTATTGCCTGAAATCTTTGCTGGTCTGCTAAATTAATCCACCAATATGATTGAAAGCTCACAGAGATAGGAGGAATGTGTTTGCTAGTCATTGTAAGTCCACTATCAAACATGGAGCTGTGTCTAGGTGGCCAATAATTAGATGTATGTTTTGCAGAGCAGGTACAGAAGTTATCCAGGTCATAAAGGGACAGAACAGTCTTCCAGGCAGAGAGAATCATGTCTGAGCAAGTTAGCTCAGATCATACACAGCAGACAGGTTGGATGTGTAGCTGGGAGACTGGGTGTTAGTGAGTGAATGGCTGTTAAGTCAGGCTAGAGAAATAAAATTGTGTTTAGCTTATGAACAATCCATACCTACAGAAAAGTGTCACGCATAGCATAATAGAAAAAAAAGGGTGGAGGGGGCCTATGGCCATGAAACCTAGGTTTCAGGCCTGAATTGGCCTTGGACTGATTAATTTACTTTAAACAATTACTTGACCTTATGTGTTTTGTCTTTCCAAACTGGAAGTTGTGTATAATTGTCTCACTTTCTCACTTTATAAGGAAAAATATTTACATAGGACATACAAATGAGCATACTAAGATAAACATAAAAGCAGTAAGCAAATGCCAAGTGTGTGTGTGTGTGTGTGTGTGTGTGTGTGTGTGTGTGTGTATGTGTGTGTAACTAAATTTGACAATCCTCTTTCAGGATTGAAAGATTTATTTATTTCTTGGATTTTGGGTCCTCCTTGTAGTTAAGTTTTCAAACTGTTTGTCCCTTACCTGAAAGCCACAATGAACTCCAGAGGGAAAAATTTTTACTTGTATATACTTCTCATACCTTCCATTAACATTGATTCTGCTTAACTATATTTTACCTTGATACAACATTTTACTCTTATAAGCCCCTGTTGTATGGGTCTGTATGGTTTTGTGTTGTTACACTTCAGAATTCAAGTGTCATAAGTAACTTTTCACACATAGAAAATGTCATGTTACAATCCAGAGCAATGTCTGTTTTTAGCGAATTTCTGATCTTTTCGTGTTTCTTTCATATAAAAAAACACACATACACACACAAACCTGCCTGCACAAAATTATCCTGGATTCATTCTATCACTCTCTTCCTGTAAAACAATTGCGAATGTGTAAAGTGTTGTGCATTCTGAGGCTACACTTGACTCTTTGCTACTTTCTCTGGCATCACAGATCTACTAGATTTAATAGAGGAGCATAGCTTTACTTACAAGAAATAAAGGTGTTTGCAAAATAATGTAGAAAGTCAAATTTTAAATGCCCAAAAACGTTAGTTTAAAATAAGTTAACTAAGTCATTCAAAATTTGAGTGCTACATTTGTTCAATTGTGAATCAGTAGTAAATGGAAATGTAGTAGAGTTCCACAGCAAGCATATTAGTATCTACACCATAGTTCTAAATGCAACAGTACTTGGGCATGTTGAGGGGCACTGAAGCCAGGCAACAGAGCTTGGAACTGATGAATAGTAGGAGGAGTAAAAGATTTTACTATTACTGCTAACTACCACTCCCCCCGGCCTCCTCCTCCTAACAGTATGCTTTCATTATGGCGATATGTTAGTCAAAGGATGAACATTTAGTTAGACTGGAGAATAAGTTCTGGAGAAAAAATTCAAGGGACCTATTGTGCATCATGGTGACTGCAGTTAATATATTATATATTTGAAAATTGCTGACAGTAGATTTTAAGTTTTTTCACACCACACACAAATGGTATATAAGGTGATCCGCCATGTCACGTTAAACATCTTGACTTAGCCATTCTACAATGTATGCATATATCAAAACATCATGTTGTGCAATATAAATATATACAAAAACCAAACAAATACATAAAACACCAAAGCTGCATTAATGGTTATTGAGCTATAAATTTGATTTATATTATTGTATTTATTTCTGACATAATTCATGTGGTAGGTACTATTATCCCTATTTTATAGGGGATAACATTGAAGAAACATGGAAACAGATATCATATGGGCAAGTTCATGATTCATCAACTTAGGTAGACCTAATTTCCAACCTGTACCTATCAGCAGCTCGTGCTGTTTTTACATCACCCTTGGAGGACATGGGGCTAAAATCAAAAGAGAATCAAGAACCTTATTTTGATGATATTTAAAATGTATTGAGTGACAGAAACTAAGTCAATTTCAAATAAGACATTTGGATATGCTGTTGTTTTTTCTTTCCAAGATGCCTTTGGTTTCTTAAGGCAGTGACAAGACTTTTGAACATTGTAATTCTTTTTTTGGATAAGATTTTTATGTTAGTAGAAAATCTTGGGAAAAATGAAACAGGGAACACTGGTATTTTTCAGTGGTGTCGCCTTTGCTTGCATTCCCATTTTGTCAGCTTTTGAGGAGCCATATTCACTATTAAGTTTGTCTTCAACATCCATTCTCTAACACAGCACATGAAACAGTCCCCTTATCTAACTCCACATGAATCTAATGTAATTTTAACCTAAAAACAGAAAAATGAATTAGGAAATACATTTGTCTTTAATGTAATACAGAGTTCAGTGAATTCTGTGAGGCACTTAACCAAAATAACTTGTGCTTTCCTTAGTTTTTGCAACCCATTTTTTAGATAATTTATGTAAAATTATTTTACTCTATACAGGAGATATTTTGGAGGGTTTTTTTTTTGGAGGCTGCATTGCTTAAATACAGTTTGGCATTTAAAATCATAAAGACTTGGGTTTAAATCTCAACCCTGCTACGTGATCTTCAGTACATCTTTGAACTTCTTCGAGTCCTAGTTACTTCATTTGTAAATTTTGAAGGTTGAGAACACATATCCGGAAGAACTTTTGAGGGGAATAGAAATAATTCTTCGACAACAATTATTGCAGTTGTATGTAGCTACTCAGTGAGTGGTGAATGTTGAGTATTTTGCAGCTTTAAAAGTATTGTTTTTATCAAATTATTATAGCATACTACATATCAGTTAATGCTATTATAAGAAACTAAAATCATTTAGAACCTTTCTAACTTTTGTCTTATTTTTGTTTTTTTTCCTCTCCATCTATGTAAGAATCTGAGAAATCATGATCTCGAGCATCATGCAGAGCATATTTTCTCCTATCAGGGATTCTTGTTCTTTGCATTTCTTTTCAGAAACACCTCAAGGTTTCTGTCCTTATAGTACATCTGGAAGAAGCACACTTCCCTAGAGATAGGGCTTTATTTAAAACATCTCTTCATTCAAGGTGAGAATGTCATTTGCTGGCATTTCCCCCGACTTATCAATGTGCCTATTCTTACATCTGGAGTATGTCATGACAGTCACTATAGTGATGTCCTCCAAGGACCTGGACACTATGTAGGCTTCTTTCCCACTGAGTCCTGGGAATGAGAGCTGGCAATGTTGACTTAGATCCTTCAGGCAGAACTACAATGACTTGCCATTTTCCATGTTCTGAAATCCTACAATGCAAAAACCTCATGATAGTTTATGCTCCTCTTCCCTTGTCTTCTGCCTCTTCCTCTAAATATTTCTGATCTTTAACTCTACCACCAATCTGTAGCTAATGCATATTCTGAATTGTATCTGGGTACAGTGAGTTCTGGTGCCACCAGCAAAAAACATCTAGTCCATTAAAGTTTTTTGTGAGATGCTTTATGTGGGACACAGTCTTTTAATGCTCATCATACCAAACAAACATATGTGATCCTTTCATGAATAAGTAGCAAATATATACCAATGCTGTAGGAGATTTATTTGAATATTTGGAAGATAGAAGTTTTCTCATACATCTCAGAGTCCTTTTATATTTGAAGAAGTGACACTTCACATTATTATTGGATTTTCATTATCATTTTTGGGAAAGTTCTCACAAAATCTCAGACCTGAAGTTGTAGACAGAATTATAGAGCACAAAGATGTCTGTGTCCTAATCCTCAGAACCCAAGAATACATTAGGCCATGTGTCAAAGAGGAAGTAAAGTTGCAAAAGTAATTAATGTTGCTCATCAGCTGTATTTGAAACAGGAAGATAATCCTGTATTATCAGGATGAATTCAGTGTAATCAAAAAGGTCCTCAAAAGTGAAAGAAGGAGATAGAAGAGAATTATAGGTTGAAGTAAGTATGAAAGAAAGGCACAGAGAAATGTAACATTGCTTGCCTTGAAATAGAGAAGGAGTCTACAGAAGCCATGGGATGTGGGTGGCTTCTAGAAGCTAGAAAAGGCAAGGAAATATAATATTCCCCAAGAGTGTCAAGAATTAATGCAGCCTTGCTGATACTTGATTTTTAGCCCAATGAGATCGATGGCAGACTTCAAACACACAGAACTGCAAGATAGCACACTTGTGTTTTAAGCTCTTTAAAGTCATTTAAGTTTGTGGCAATTTGTCACACCAGCCACATAACAATACACGATTTGATTTTTTTATGTGAAAAGACAGAGATGATAAGTTGGCTCAGTTTACATGGGTGTTGATGGAGGAGAGTAAAATTAGAGCAAAACTTAGAAAAGGCATTATTAAAGGAGGTTAATTTCTCATTTTCCTCCATATCCTTATCATACCTCTTAATGTTGCCAACATAATGCATGCTTATAGATCAGTGGAGGCTCTTTGACCATTTATGAATCAAAATAAAATTATAATCTATGCCAGTAGATGAGAGAGTCCCTACTGCCTTTCAGAAAACAAACACATTATCTTAATAAATAACCATCTCGGTACGTGAAGACTATTACACCTTAGGAAAAAAGATGGCTCATTATGCATTGCAGTTTTATATAATTGCATCATAGCAGTTTGTTCAATTGACTCTTTTAAGAAAAAGAAATGGAATACTGAGTAATCTTACCACCAATCTTGAAGAAAACAAGACATTTGATCTTGCTATGAATCCCAAATTATTGCATGTCCATCTTTTATAAAGTCTCAAAGATACTTTAGGAAGTTGAATGCTGTCTGCTGTCATAAAAAACCCATGCACACCAATCAGTTCCATGGACAGAACCAAGCAGGTGGAAATCTTGAATAGAAGGTCAGTCTACACAGGTGGCTTAAAATAATTTACACAATAAATCTTTGGAAGGACAACATTGACTTCTAATCCCTCTACCTCTTTATTTTTTTTCTCTTGCTACATTTTTGAGTGAAGTGTTGTAATGAACATCATAGGGTGCTTGCACTAATCACCAGTATCCAAAGATAAATGATGATGCAGATAATGATACAAATTTTATAAAGCACCTAAAATACAGAACAGATTTATTGTCTTTGTTACAGTTCATAAAATACATGAATGAAAATTTAGAAGTTGGGGAAAATTTTTATCTCAAAGCAGAAATGGCCCTGACAATTTTCTATGAAATGTAGTTGATATATTGATGCTTGCATTGGGAGTGGAGGTGGGGAAAGGAGATAAAGAGAGATAGATAGGGGAGGGTTTTCTTTACTCAAACAATAACAAGGTAATTTCTGTAATTTTAGATACTACTCAAAGAGGACCCAGCATATAATTTGGAAAAAACAAAAAAAGTAAAGGACTTCTGATTATCTTTTACATTGCAGAGAATCTTGGTTTGGATTCTGAAGTTGCTAAAGCAAATGCCATGGGTTTTGCTGGATGCATGTCTTCCGTCCAGTACAACCACATAGCACCACTGAAGGCTGCCCTGCGCCATGCCACTGTCGCGCCTGTGACTGTCCATGGGACCTTGACGGAATCCAGCTGTGGCTTCATGGTGGACTCAGATGTGAATGCAGTGACCACGGTGCATTCTTCATCAGGTACACTCAAGAGCATGCACAAGGGAGCTTCTGTCACTAGCACTACTTTTTGTGTCTTCAAGAAGCTTCCAGATTAAAGAGTTGGCTAATGTGACTCAGTTTTTACTTTGTATAATAACAGGTGGCTAAAAATTATGACTGATATTTCATGGGTGATTTTATACATATTTGATGTAGTTTTATTTTTAATATGATGAGTAATTAAAACTAAATGCATAGTTGTGTACTTTGCTTATTATGCACGTATATAATGCATTGTGTATGTGTGTGTGTGTGTTTGTATACATAGTCACTACTGTTGAAGTGGATACTGCTCCGAGAATTGAGGTATTTAGAGAACAGGGAGGCAGCAAGCTGGTACCTGAACTAACATGATAATTCATGTGATTAAAATAAACCTTTTTTAGCTTTATTAAGAAATAATTGACAAATAAAAATTATATATTTTCAAAGTGTAAATTGTAATAATCTGATAAACATGCGCATTGTGTAATTACTATCACAATTAAATTAATCAACACATCACTGCACAGTTACCCTTTGTGAGTGTGTGTATGTGCATGCACATCTGATGAGGACACTTAAGATTAACTATTTTAGCAAATGTCAAGTAAACAATACAGTATGAATAACTGTAATCATCATGCTGTACATTAGTTCACCAAAATTTGGGCCAGGTGTGGTGGCTTATGCCTGAAATTGCCGCACTTTGGGAGGCAAACGCAGGAGGATCACCTGAGGTCAGGAGTTCGAGACCAGTCTGGCCAACATGGCGAAACCCCATTTCTACTAAAAATACAAAAATTAGCTGGCCGTGGTGGTGGGCACCTGTAATTCCAGCTACTTGGGAGGCTGAGGAATGAGAATCGCTTGAACCTGGAAGGCAGAGGTTGCAGTGAGCCAAGATCATGCAACTGCACTCCAGCCTGGGGTATAGAGTGAGACTCTGTTTCAAAAAAAAAAACAAAAAAAAAAAAACCAAAATGTATCATCTTCTGACTGAAAGCTTGTACTCTTTAACCAACAACTCTCCATTTCCTGCACACACCAGCTCCTGACAACCGCCGTTCTCTCTGTTTCTATGAGTTTGACTTTTTTAGATTCCACATATAAGTTATATCATATAGTATTTGTCTTTCTGTGTCTTGTTTATTTCAAATTGGCATAATGTCCTCTAGGTTATTCCATAGTGTCACAAATGGCACAATCTTTTTTAATGCTGAAAATTTCCAATTGTTTGTGTATATGCCACAATATCTTTAATCATTTAAGCATTAACAGAGAGTTTGTTTCCATATCTTGGCGATTGTGAATAATACTGCAGTAAACACAAGTGCAGAAAGCTGCAGGCATCTCACTCCCTGATTTCAAACTATATTGCAAAGCTGTAGTAATAAAAAAAAAAGCATAATACTGGCATAAAACAGACACATAGACTAATAGAATGGAATAGAGAAGCCAGAAATAAACCCAGGCTTATTTAATCAACTAATCTTTGGCAAAATTTCCAAAAATGCATAATGAAGAAAATGTTGCTTATTCAATAAATTGTGATGGGGAAATTGAATATCCACATGCAAAAGAATAGAATTGGACCTTTATCTTATACCATATAAAAATTAACTTGAAATGGATTAAAACCTTAAATATAAGACCTGAGACTGTAAACTCCAGGAAGGGAACATAAGGACAGATCTCCTTAATATTGGTCTTGAAAATATATATATATGTTTACATGACACCAAAAGTATGATCAACAAGAGCGAAAATTTAAAAAATGGGACTGCATGAAACTAAAAAACCCTCTGTACAGCAAAGGACACAATCCACAAAAGGAAAAGGCAATCTACAGAATTGGAAAAAGAAATGTTTTTAAACCATATGACTGATGAAGGGTTAGTATCCAAAGCATAAAAAGAATTAATATAACTCAATAGCAAAAAAAAAAAAAAAAAGAAAGAAAGAAAAGAAAAACACTTCAAAAAATAGGCAAAGGATGTGAATAGTTTTTTTTTGTTTTTTTTTGTTTTTTTTTTTTTCCACAAAAGGCATACAAACATCCAACAGGTACATGAAAAGGTGCTTAACATCACTGATCGTCAGGGAAATGCAAACCAAAACCACAATGAGATGTCACCTCACAGCTGATAATATGATGGTTAGTATCAAAAAGACAAGAACAACAAATGTTGGAGAGGAAGTACAGAAAATGGAACCCTTTTACACTCCTGGTGGGAATGCAAATTGGTACAGCCATTATGGAAAAGAGTAGAGAGGTTTGTCAAAATATTAAAACTCGAATCCTATTTCTGAATATGTAACGAAAATAAATTAAATCAGCCTTTCTTAAAAGTAGAAAAAACCCACAGCACCATCATCCATACATTCTCTGCTTCACTACCCTCTAAGTGCCTTTTCTATCTTTTCTTAGTCACTGTCATTTTGGGTGTCTGAAAATGTATCTGGGATTTTGTCTTAATCAGGTATGATAAGGTGACAGGCATGAGATGATTGCCTTTGAAAGAAAAGTTTATTTCTTACAGTTCTCAAGAAAAAGAGATACATTCTACCACTCAGAGCCACATGGAGAAGTGCTAGGGTTGGTCAGGAGGGAGAAAGAGAAAGGGGAAAGTGTGGTGGGGTGGCTGTGTTGCAGCTTCCATGGGAAGGAATGGGGTGAACCAGGTAGGCAAGCTTGAGCCAGTTAGAATTGGATAGTTTGAATAATGTGGGCAGGATCTGCGCTACAGGGGTGGTCTCTAGTTATCTAATACCTAATACTTGGCCTTGAGTGATTTAAGGCAAGAGAAATACTGGGTTGTGAATGTGAGTTAGATAAATGGATTAGTGTGGGAGATGGGCTCTGGATTGATTGGTTTGTGTATAAAATGCATGCTTGCAGGCCTATTGTTTGCTATCTCTAGGAATCAGCTAGCCCTGAGAGGGGCAGTGTCTCCCTGGCCAGCAAGATCCTCAAGATGTCAAAGCATCATAAATACTGATTAAAAAATGACTAATACACTGAGATAAAACCAAGACATCAACATGTATCAACAAGTCAATATAATATAGATAGAAACAGTGATAGTGTCTTCATTCTGATTATGCTTTAAAGTGGTTTGTATATGGGTGAGGGAGTATTATCAGATTTTTCTAGGATGCTTTTTCTAAATCCATGGGATATATATTTTGTTCAGATTTTGCTGCTAATATTGGTATGAAATATGGGTTTTGCAAGTAGTGGTGATGAAGAGGCTAGGTCTGAGATGTTTGATAAAGCTCCCATTTTACTATGGTATTGTTTTACCCTCCCCTTGCTTCCCAGCACACACTAAGAACAATAGTGGTAGGTGTTGAAGGGTTCTGGACCACAGTAATTTTCTATTACAGGCACAATTCCCCCAGCAGTGGTCTACGATAGGTCATGATGTGTTAGTAGGAAGATAAAAGGTGGGACATCTTATTGCATTAAACAAGTCTAGGAGATTTTAATATCTTGGGAAATATATTGAGAAACACGCACTCTCTTTTATATGGCAGGACTCTTAGCCAAGACTTTTAGCCTGAGATCTGTAGTGCCCAGTCCAATATTTTGTAAAAATTGAGAAATAAATTTTTTAACAAATTTGGTAACCTGAGTAGGATATTTAAATATTTCTATCTATCTACTCTTCCAGCAATGTATTGCCCACTCCTTTACTGTTTTATGTTTCACCATTTTATTCTTCAAATATGATTTTGAGTTCTTTCAGGTAATTCTTGTGATTCTCCTGTTACCTTATTCATCACACATCTTTTAAGCAGCTACTTAGTGTTAACTTCCATAGTTAGTGGAGATAACAAAAAATAAGAAACATTTAAAGTCCCTAATTTTAGAAATCTGTAAAGATGATGGAAGGCAATGGTTCAGGGAATTAGGGTGTGTCATTGGATGCCCGGCACTATATCATAATACAGTGTGAGCAATGCTAAAGGAAAAATATGAACAGAGTTTTGGGTTGTATGGAACCAAGAAAAGGCAGTAAATACATTTTAGATGAACTAATGATAGATTTATAAATAATCTGGTCATGGCAATGCTTAGGGAGAAGGGTTTGCAATGTTCAGAAGACAGAAGCCCATTACAAAAGGAAATATGTAAGTTAAAATTCAAATTTCTGGTACAGTGTAGCATATTTAGTAATCAGTGAAAACCCCTCACAGGTAAATCATTAGGTGCAAGTGTAGAAGTCCAACATATTTCAGTAATGAGGAGTTCTTATGGAATGTTAGCTCTCTCTCTATCTCTATATATACATAGATATTTCATAGAGATAGATACAGATAGTTGCTCAATGTCTATCTATATTATTATAGTATACAATAAATTCTATTCTATAAGAATAGATATATAGATATAGATATGTATGTATAATATATACATAATATATAGATATAGAATATATAAAATATATAGATCTTGATCTATATCTATAATTATATCTATATCTATATTTATAGATCAAGATCTATATATATGATATAAATAGATAGATACATTTAAGCTGAGTCATTCTTTTTTTGAGAGGGGGATTAAAACTAAAAGATAGCTCTAAAATTGTTAAAGACAATTTAGACACACTGTGAAGAGAGAAGTACTATTGAAATAAATGAATAACTACCCCAAGGGTTACTTTGCCGAAGGTGTCCATTAAGCATGGATATAGGCATGGTATTTTTAACTTTTGTAGTCATGTTACTGAAGCTGTCATCATACTAGATCTGAAGTATTTTATTTGTAGCTTTAATAAATATTAGTTAGAATTAACAAGCTGGGTTAATATATATTAATGTATCATTAGCAAAATTTGCTAGAAATGGGGAAATCTGTTGTGAAATCAATGTTAAGTAATAACCAAGGTTATTATTTTGGTTAATAATGTTAAAAGTAGTACATAGACTCAATAAGGGAGAAACCATTGTAAGTCGGAGTAAGAAAAAAAAGCCATGAGGCTGGATGCAGTGGCTCACACCTGTAATCCCAGCACTTTGGGAGGCCAAGGAGGGCAGATCACAAGGTGAGGAGTTTGAGACCAGCCTGACCAACATGGTGAAACCCCATATCTACTAAAAATACAAAAATTAGCTGGGCATGGTGGTGCACACCTGTAATCCCAGCTACTCAGGAAGCTGAGGCAGGAGAGTAGCTTGAACCTGGGAGGCAGAGGTTGCAGTGAGCTGAGATCACACCACTGCACTCCAACCTAAATGACAGAGTGAGACTCAGTCTCAATAAAAAGAAAAGAAAAGAAAAAAACAAAACAAAACAAAAAAACAGAAAAAGGTCATGATCTAATAAACCATAATGGATGATTCAGATTTGAATACAGTCATGTACCATGTAAAGATAATGGTCTGCATAGACAGTGGTCCTATAAGACTATAACGGAGCTGAATAATTTCTATGACCTAATGAAGTTGTAGCAATCATAAGGTCCTAGTACAACGCCTTATCCACATGTTTGTGGTGACTCTGGTATGAACTTACTCCTCAATAAAAGCCTCAGGCATTTTCTTCAGGAAATAACTCAGAAGAAGGCATTGTTATGGTAGCATGTGGTACCTCTTGCATATTGTTGGCCTTGAAGACCTTTCAGTGGGACAACATGAGGAGGTGGAAGACAATGATATTAACATCATGAATCCACATAAGCCTGATCTACTGTGTATGTTTGTGTCTTAGTTTTCAGGAAAAAAGTTTAAAAAGTAAAAAATAACAGTAAATAAATTTAAAAATAGAAAAAATCTTCTAGCAAAAGGATATAAAGAAAGAAAATATTTTTGTATAGTTGTATGATATTTGTGTTTTAAGTGTTATGACAAAGAAGTAAAAAAGTTAAAAAAATAAAAAGTTCACAAAGTAAAATAGTTATAGTAAGCTAAGGATAATTTATTATTAAAGAAAGAAAAAAAGTCAATAAATGTAGTGTAGCCTAAGAGTAAAGTGTTTATAAAGCCCGTAGCAGTGTAGAGTAATGTCCTGGACCTTCACCACTTACTCACTGACTTGCCCAGAGCAACTTCCAGTCCTGCAGGCTCCATTCATGATAAGTGCCCTGTGCAGGTGTAGCATTTATTTAAATCTCATATTTTTACTCTGCTCTTTCTATGTTTAGATATGCTTAGGTACACATATACTCACAAATGTGTTATAGTTGCTTATAGTATTCACTACAGCAACATGCTATACAGGCGTGTAGCCTGGGGGCAATAGTCTATACTACATGTACAGCCTAGGTGTGTCATAGGCTGTACCACCTAGGATTGTGTGAGCACACTCTATGATTTCCACACAACGACAAAATTGCCTAATGACACATTTCTCAGAATATATTCTCACCATTAAGCTACACATGACTGTATTTATAAAGAAGCAGGAGGCATTTTAAGTAGGTGGAGTAGCACAGGGATAAACAAGAATAACAAGCACAGTGGACAGTGTGATACAGGAGATCTAATAACTAAATATTTTGAATTTCCTCTCTTCCTGTCTCCCTCCCTCCCTTTCTTTCTTCTTTCTTTCCTCCTTGTCTTCTACCCATCTTTTACCATACCTCATCCCCTCTCTCCCTCCCCCTTTTATTGACTCCTCTGATTTCTCATTTTCCTTCTCTTTATCTGCCCGCTCTCTCTCTGTCTCTAACACCCACTATCATCATTATCACCCCATCGTTATCAATTGGTGACATATATATATATATATATATATATATATATATGTTCTTCTCCATGTATGTATGCATGTATGTAGGTCATCCAGGTGTACAGAGATGATTAATAATATCAATTTCCAACTCCAAGTTTTTTCCACCAGACCCACCTTATCAATGTCACCAGTTCTGAATACCTGCTCCATGGCCAGCACCTTCTTTAATTACAATACCCTTCCCATTTGACCCCATCAGCCTCTCTCTCATGTTGATTTGTTTCTGCTCCGATTTCAAGAGTCCTAGGAAAAGGCCACCCCTGGACACCACAAATGGCATAAACTACCACACTCCCTTCACTTGAAGACACAATAAATACTTACCAAACATCTTTCACGTGTGTCTCCACATGGCTGTGTGGCAAGTGCTGTGGTATGAAGAATTGCGTGTCTTGGTTTTTTCATTAGCAAGCTTGAGGTCCCACTCGTGAGACTAGGATGTGCATGTTTATACACATAAATGTGTATGTAATTAATAGTAAGCAAAATTATAAGAAGAAACAAGATTTAGTGAGCACTTACGTTGTATCAGCCACTGTTGTAAAAACAAGTATATTAACTTGTATAATTCTTACAAAACCTTTTAAGGCAAAGACTATCATTTTTACCATTTGACAGAGAAGAAAGTTTAAATGACACCTGACAGGACTAATGATGTCATATGGGGGCTTGAGTTCTGTTGCTGCCTGCACATCACCAATCTTGATATTTTTCAAGCAGCAGAGAGGAGTAATAGAAAGACTCTGAGTGCAGTAGTTGGATAGCTTTGGTGTGAATTTTGCCTCTTTCATGAATGATCTGTAGGACTTGGACATGTTATTTGATTGTTTCAATCTAGTTTCCTTATTTGCCAAAGGGGAACAACAATACTCATGTTGTAGTCATTTTCCAATGATCAAATGATACAACAATAATAATCATAGTGGCTACTTATAAGTGTATAGTAGCCACAAGGTCCTGAAAATTTAGCATGCATTATATACACACATATAGGTATTACTACTCTCCTTTAATACATGTGCAAATTTATATTTAAAAAGAGGTCTTCCTCAATGTCACCAGACCAACAAACAACAGAGCAAAGACTCAGATTAAGGCCTGCGTACCCTTAAACTTGATGCTTTTTCTTATATCATATATGGTACTGTACACACAGTACAATTTCTCTCTCATCAGTGAGGCCTGCTCCTGAAGGTGTTAATTCTCCAGCACTTTTGTTCTTTACTGTCAATAAACTCAGGATCCTTTTGCATCTGAAGAAAACTCTCAAGCAGAGCAGGGCATCATGCATAGGAATAGGAACTGTCCAGCTAGGCAACAGGGGACATTAGGAGCAGGGTGAGGGCATGTGGACAGGATACCACCATCCTCTGTTTTAACCCCTTATCTTACAATTTGCACATAAACAAACAGGGCCATTGAACTATGGGGTGTGAGCAGTGCACTTCAAATGCTTTCTGCTTGTGCATGTTTTTTGAGTTCCTTGCAACATATCAACTCACAACTATTTGAGGGCACCTGGTGTAATGCACAGGTGTGTCATTCCAGGTGGGCCACACTGTAGGCTTCTTGCCAGTGCTTTGAGTGAGAAGTAAAGTCCCATGTCTTTTACTCCTTTCAGATCCTTTTGGGAAGACAGATGAGCGGGAACCACTCACAAATGCTGTTCGAAGTGATTCGGCAGTCATCGGAGGTAAACAATTCATTGTTGTTGAATGCAAAAAGACATAAACGATCCTGTATTCTGGAGAAAGTTATCTGAAGCTTTCCTTAATTATGGCCATCCAGCACTCAGAGCCCCCTACATTACCTGCAAGACTGTGGGCTTTTCATGAGTAGTCCTGTGTGCTGAATGATCAAAAGCACCCTCTGCCGACACCAGCAGCTCTGCGGATTCATCTTGCCTCTGATTCATGAGGCAGCTGAGCACTGAGTCAACAGCTGGAGCATTTACTTACAGACAGCAGCTCACATTCTGCTCATTTCATACAGTTTTCACTGTTTCTAAAATGCAAACAAAGCAAACCAATAAAACTAAATTCGGGGAAGAAGCCATGTTGGGGCAGACAATGGGTGAAGCCGCAGTCCTGTGGAGTATTCCCCACCAAGTGATTTGGGTTAGGTCTAATGAGCAGGGTGAAGCCCACAGAACTGTAGTTGCAAATCTCACTGCACATATGGTTACAGATGCAGACCTTGTCTGCTCTGCTGTGAGCTCAGCTCTCCTGCTTTTCCATTTTCTCATTGCCTGTTGGCCTCCCCACTTTTTTATTCTGCTTCAGCTTGGCTTCCTCCTGCTGTGGCTTGATTTTTCCATCTGGGTCTACCAACACAGAATGATTCCCAAGCTTTGCTTCATGTAAGATGCCTGTGAAAGACCAAACTCATTTCTATCTGAGAAACATAACCTTAGCAGGTGCCGCCATCCCTGCCTTCTGGAAGCCTAGATGAACTGATCCTTGGCAGATGGCGTTTTCCTTTTAAAAACCTGCAGTACCTCTCCATTTAGCTTATATTTAATGAGCCTTGCTATGGGTCAGGCTCTGTGCTAAGTAGAGGAATATGGGGATGAATGAGCCAGCGAGGAGATGGGTAAACAGACAACAAGACAACCAGTGAAGTCTGTTCTGAGGGAGGAGGTACAAATGGCTATGGGAGCACAGAGGTGCACTCCTGAGAACATGAAGAAAGGAAAACCACGCCTTTCCTTAAGGAAGTTCCTAAAACTTCTGACCTGAATTTTTGCTCCAGAGAAGCTGGACCACCTTAATTTTTGTTTGGCATAGAGAAATGTGGGAAAGAATTTTGTGCCTATTTCTCTTTCAATAATTTCCCATTTGACAAGTGGAAAAAGAAAGACTTTTGTGACTGCTGACTCCTCTCCAGCTATTTACGTGCTCTATGAGTCTCTTTAAGGACAGGGAAGTCATCTGACCCCCTAGGAAAATTCCTGGAGGCTTGCACAGCTGCTGACTCTGACTATCCCATGCATTGAAGGAGTAGGAACCAGTTTCCTATTTCATCTCTTAATGCAGCATCCCACTCATGGGAATCACTCACTACCACCCAGTTTATTCATAGACTTGCTAACTTAGATGATTTTACTCTTACTTGTTCTAACATAGTTGTAGAAAATGCCACAAAATGATTTAGGAACATATATTTATAAAAATAAATCTTAATCATGGCCTCAGTTCTAAAAAAAATTGGTGGAAGACATGCAATCCATTTATGAAACTTACAAATGTCCATGCTTCTGTAAATCATAATTCATTATGCCCAAAAATAGCTTTCTGAAATAGACACTTTTCCTCAATATCTCCTCTCCTTAGAAAAATGAAACAGCAAAATATAGAACTTATTACAAGTAAATTCTTTGCTTATCATACATATTTTTAAATATTTTCATGCTGAAATACTACATTCATGCAGAGACACATCTGCCGCTTCCATGTTTTCACTATTCCTTTATTGATATTGCCTTTCATGTTCCAAGAGCCTTCCTG
This sequence comes from Homo sapiens, assembly GCF_000001405.40. Lineage (NCBI taxonomy): Eukaryota > Metazoa > Chordata > Mammalia > Primates > Hominidae > Homo > Homo sapiens. Next base: position 124,913,352 of record NC_000002.12, read on the forward strand.
GCAAAGGTAGGGGTGAGACCCTAGGGTAAGCAAGAATAGCTTGCAACATAATCCAGTTAAATCACACACAGTCAGAATAAAGGGGAATCTGATGGGTCTGGACAGAGGTTTGCCATCTCAGTTGACTTTGAGTTTCTCAAGAACAGAGGCATCTTGTCACTGAATGAGCCTTAGTTTAACAGAGTTCAGAGCAGTGTAAAAATGTTCTAAATTTATAGCGATCATTTCATTATTAATGAAAATGTTTTAGCAAAACAAACGTAACATAAAACAAATTTACATCAGGAGAGCATGTGTTAAGATGTGAGATATTTAAGTACCATTTTCTAAGATGCTAAAGTAACTCTGAAATACTTAGTTGTGAGGTGACAAAAAAATGGGCTAATTACAAATGATTCTGACACATTATTTATAGCAGACTTGAAAAATTTACAAAGAAACCCCTTGCTAGTCCAATTCCATATGTATAAGATGGTATTCTCAGTTCTTTAAACAAAACCTTCTATGGTTGAAAGTGTCTCTCGCCCCCAGTTAGTCTGAAAGAAGGAGGTTTTATAGTAATTGAAGACAGGGCCTTTCAGCAGGTCTTTATTTCTGGGCAGGTGGCAGAGTTGCGTTTGTGTGATTTGTTTTGTTTTGCTTTCTCTCCTACGCATTCCCCTCATCTGGAGGGAATCCACTCTCCTGAGCAGATGACTCATGACGATTTCCTTCTCTCTTTCCTTCCCCTTTCTCTCCAGGGGTGATAGCAGTGGTGATATTCATCATCTTCTGTATCATCGGCATCATGACCCGGTTCCTCTACCAGCACAAGCAGTCACATCGTACGAGCCAGATGAAGGAGAAGGAATATCCAGAAAATTTGGACAGTTCCTTCAGAAATGAAATTGACTTGCAAAACACAGTGAGCGAGTGTAAACGGGAATATTTCATCTGAGAAACTGCAGGGTTCCTACTACTCTTTTTTCTTGTTGTTCAATTATCTCCTCCCCCTCTTCTCTCCTGTCTTTTGATTTGGTCATTCTCTTTATTTTCTGCTTGCCATGTCTTTTCTGGAACATACTTGCATCCACCACAGCATCAATTCCCTTGATCCAGCCCAAGAGACCAGGCAGCCATGGCCACTGCCTTCCTCTCTGATGAACCTATCGGGTGAAAACGACCACTCAAGAGACTGACTTCGCCATTCAAGACAAGGAAGAGACACATGTGTGCACTCCTGCATGTTCAGTTCTGTACTTCCAGTTTCTAAAATGCACTGTTCAGTTTTCCAACCACTTGGTGGTTCAGGCTTGCTTTGAACCTGAGCTCTTAGGCACATGACGGTCATTCCTGACATCCTCCCCAGCTCAAGTCTATTCTTACCATAGAACCCAGGGCAGGGAGAGAAGAACCTAGAGGCCTGGTTTGCTTTGGTGGCATTGTAAAAAGAGTAAGAGAGGTTTGGTTTGTGGTGGTTTGCTTTCTTTACCATAAGCAATCCCTTGCCTTAACTCATCACCCTTTTTCACTATGACCCTTAGACCCTGAGTATTTTCAAATATATGATTGCTGATAGTAGTGACCAAAACTACTTTGTTCCTTTCTTACCACTCTCTCCTGGGGCCGACACGTTGGGACAGCACACCATAGCATAAAGCTAGGGGATGCATGGAAATAGCAGCTTGAAACTAGGAGGTAACAAGAAAGCTTCTAGGAAGTAGATGTTCCATATCTTCAAAATGCCTCCTCCAATTTTGTAAGAATGCTAGCTAGGTATTCCTGGGATTATTATACTGAGATATATATATATACACACACACACACATATGTGTATATATGTATATATATATGTGAGTATATATACACACACACACACACACACACATATATATATATACACACACGCACACATATATGTTGCTGCAGCATAAAGAAATTGAAATAAAAGTTTAAAATAGTACCCGGTTCAATGAAAGAGCCTAAACCATCTTAACTCAGCTTTAAAACAAAAATTAAATCAGGAAAAAATGAAAAAAAAACTGCATGAAAGAAGAAAAATACCAAACAGAATTCTTCCCTTCCATTCACTCACTAAAGACCTGGTGAAGATAGTTAATTCAAATTTGCAAGTTTCACATTTTTTAACATCAAGCTATTCTCCAAGAAGTTTAGGATGCATTAACATAAGTGAAATGGTCACCTCTAGCTAACTAGCATTGCTTGATTTCAGAGGAGCCCTTAGGTTCTGTAGCATACCACATTTTCAAATCTGCTATACCCTATATACATAAAGACCCTTCCAAACATCTTTTTATAGGCTTAAACTCCCAAAAGAGGTGGTGACAAATTTCAGGGTCTTTGTCCCTTTTGGTAACAAAGCATTGAAAACAGTCATTCCTTCAAGAAGGCACCTTGAGCTCATCCATGGGGTGGCGGTAAAGATCTTAATGATTTTTCTGTGGCAATATGCATCATTCTTTGTCCTGGGCCATCTTGGAGAAAAAGGTAAGGAGAAGACAATGTAAATGCTCCAAGATAGTGGAAATGCTCATGTAATGATTCTTAGGTGTGGAAAATACTTGCTGATTCTCTTTATGAGGCAGATTCAATTTAGAAAACAATGACCACAGCTCTATTTGCCATCCTTGACAGTTAGCAGACATTCCAACTTGTGCTTAGGGTACACTGTCTCTCGCCTCTCACAATGAGGAACTTAGTTGCTTCATTCCATTTCAAACACAGCTTTTCTTTCAGTTTCAGAGCTTATGAGTTAAGGATTTAGTTTGCAATCATATTTCTCTATTTTAAGATGTTGTTTCAAATGCATATTCTCTCCTCGAAATTTTCTGTGGATTTGAGCTCAATCGCTTTATCATCTACATGATATCTTTTGGCTAGTACATTTATTTTAAAGTGATTTTAACCATGATATCATTTCTCTCCTTTTAGTTTTAATAAGATGAATGATTCTTTAGTAAGATGAAGGATCTTTAAACACTGTTTTCCCCTGCCCTTTCCTCCCTTTCTTCAATTTTCATTTTTGAATTTTCTATTTCCATAAAAAGGCTATATAAATCAGCCTTTTGCTTGGCTATATATTCCTTTGTCCCCTGAAATAAAAGTCACCATGAAGTGTAGTAGGTTTAGCCTGAAGCAGCTCCAATAATGAAATAGAAAGGCAAAGGAAGGTATGAGTAATAAAGCTGGAACTCTTCATTATTCAATCTTTGAGCAGTGAGGACTATGTTTTGCTGACATAGTGCTAATAGAAGAAATGGAGACTAGCAAAGGCTAACTCAGAGTATTTGATTTTCTCATCTAAGTATATATGCTTGTAGATTGTCCTGTAGGATGAAGAATCTGTGAAGCTCTATCCTGACCACAATGGCACTACAAAATCAACTGGCATCTTCCTCACGTGTGTAGACTCCATGCACACTACATACCACAGACCTAAATGTAGATGCCAGGACAGTGCCGTCTACACGTCACTCCTATAAGTAGTCTCAGGGCTAAAGCAGAATTATTTTTACAGGGTTGAATTATTTCATAACCCCAGAGAACACTAACTTTCACTAGATATATATGAAATGCAAGTGATCCGTACCCTCCAAAGTAGAATGTAATTTACAATTAGAAATCGTGCTAACTCTGACTGTCTTTCCTCAGTGGTACCAAGATCTATGTAGTTTTATGTAATTGTTCAATTGTGTGAGTGTTTTAATCCTTCTGCAATTATCATCTCGAAGGAGACTTTGAAAGCATCTTAATCTCTCTTTAACCATTTTTTTTTTCTTTTTCCTACCACATTCAGGTTTCCCAACTACATGCTCTGGCCAACTGGGCCACCATGATCTCTTCCACTTAAATCCTCAGCCTTCAATAACTGCTGTTTACAAAAAGATCTTATGGAATATGGATCACTTTACAGTAAAGCCAAAAGTACTTGTGAAATTTCACATTTTAATGGAGCTGTTTCATTGATATTTTTTTCCACCAAACAAATCTATTTATGTAAGCAACAGTATATTTGCTTACTCTAAAATATATTTATCCTACTGCATCATTTATTGCATATATAGCCTCAATTGCCATCTTTATGAAAATTTGTCTGGAGAAATAGACATTTGTCATTTCTATAGACATATTTTTATGACTAACTTTGCCTCTTCTATTTACCCTCTGCTGTATGCAGAAGATTTTAAGGATCCTAGCGGTGATGTTTTAAAACAACTTTTTTCCTCTCCTTAGTAATAACAGAGATGGTATTAACTTGACTTCTACCTTTTGTCAGACTCATCTCCACCAACGGGTAGCAAGAGCAGGATAGAACAAAATAAAGAGATTGTTTTTCTTTTTTCATTCATGAAGTATTTATGGAATGCCAATGAGTGCCGGGCTAGGCATTGGGTGAACATATATAAATTACACCTTGTTTTTGCCCTTGGGGAGCTCAAAGTCTAGCTGGCAAGGCATGTATTGTTGCAACAGGGCCACACATAAAGTGTCCTAGAATGCAGCACAAGGTCCCGCACAATTATTTTTGTGAAGCATCTGCCAGACTGAAAGAAATGTAAATTTCTGGGAAATATCTGTTATTTTTTAAATTACTGCTTCCACCTTCTGTAAGCTGTTTTGTTTCTCCTCCTCAAAGTAGATATCTATCAATGCATATAGATTTCTGTAGAAAGGGGTGGATTGACTTTTAGGAACAGTAAGAATAGATGGTCTCTGTCTCTGCCATACATTTGAGGAGGCTGAATTCTCTACATTCTTGTTTCGGGTCAGGTTGGGGGATTCCAAAAGTCTTGCCTCCCATGAGTTGGACCTAAGAGTGTCCACTTTGGCCCCTCTCCTTCCCTTTTCTCAGTTCTTCCACAGCCATGTGTTTATGACCTATTGCATGCCGTTGTTCTTCCAGATGTTCCTGAAGGTGGTTTGGTTGTCATCCAGCTCTTCCTAAAACCCTCCTTAGTCCTGATGAGCCATTTTGACTCTACATAACATTTCTGAACCTAACTGAAGTCTACCCTTCCATCAGTAATTGACTAAAAAAATGTTGTCCATTTATGTGAGGTCTCACCTCTGAGCCTGAGTGAGTGTTTCCTGTCTTGAAGGTCATACTTGCTCCCTCTCTGCAGGAAGTTAATTCAGTTAGAAGAGTTGCACTGGGAGGGTGCAAGCACAGCCAACTTATCCAGTCCAAGATATCCAGGGAGATGAGGATGAGACCTGTTGAATTTTTTCTTAGGAAAGGAAAGGTCTTGACAGACTGTTCACCAACTGCCCTAGCTTCCTTTAAGCTTCCCCATAGCTACCATCCATCAAAACCTCATTGCAGCTGTAGCCTACCAAAAGGCCTTTGGGATACCTGTATGGTTCTGCCAGTCATTCTTCCTTAATGAAAAGGCTTGGACATACTTAGTCCTCAATTATCCTACAGGTCATGTATCGACTAAATAAATAAACTGACTTCATTGTTTCTGAAGATGGCAAAGGCGATTAATGGAAGAAGATGCAGACAAACTCAAAACTTTCAGAAGTCTAGGAGGATAACTGAGTGCTATTTTCTGTCTCATGCAGTTTGAACATGTTTTCTTTAAAATACACATAATGTAATTGAATTATTTCTATATACTGTTCTTGAGTCTTTCTTGACCTCTTCTTTTATCCCCTCTTTCATAGTCTTGTTTGTGGAACCATCTACTCTGCAGATTTTTATTGTCTCTAATTATCAGCTCTGCCTTCACAAATTCCAAATTTGAACCACCTAAAGGGGAAAAAATGCAACACACACACGCACGCTCACATGCACACTTTGTACAAATAGGGCTGTTATTCAACTTTTCTCTTGAACATTCTACATACATATCTGTTTGGTAGGGAGAGAAGCATTCCTCTTTTATGTTGACAATTATTTGAATCCTTCATATAAGGTTTTAATAATTAACCGGTTTGCTATTTTTCAGTGATTATTTTATCTTATTTTGCACTAAGGTACTCTGAGGAAGAACAGAAAAGCACATTTTCTAGTGAAATATTGTACTTTGTAAGCTAGATGTCTGTCTTATGTAATGTTTATAGTCTACAAAATGGCTGAGCAGACATGAACAAAGGTTAATGCAAAAGTTGGTTTTGGTTTCAACCACACCTGCTGCGAACTTGACGAGGAGGAAGAGGGGCCAGTGGCAGTAATTGGTGGCCATCTGAGGTGAGGAAGGAAATTGCTTCCACCATGAATCAGTGGTGGCAGCCTTTCCACTTTCATGGCTCCTCACTCAGGAGTCTCTTTAGTGCATTTGGATCATTGTCTTACTCATTAGGGAAAGAGGCAATATCATGGGCTTTGCATGAATAATTCTTTACTCACATTTGCATGATTTTTTTTACCTTCCAACACTTCTTCAGTCACATTCTTTTTTTTCAATTTTTAAATTTTTTTTCAGGATTTTCTCAGAGTGCTTTAGAACTATTATTATAATTATCTAACCTGCCCAGGTTAAGCACCCAGATGCAACTTTCAGGAAATGAAACTGTCAGAAAACTGCCCTAGGTCTATTATCAATCAGAGCCCCTGTGAGTGGAAGTCCTCAGATTCTGGAATCCATCCAGTGTCTTTCTTTTCCTTCCATTCATCCTGACATGAATAAGCATAACATAACTGTAAGAAGGAGTGTAGTGTCCCAGCCCTGACAACGAGTACCGCCAGGGACCTACCATCTAACACCATCTGGGAACACTATTTTTTCTCAGTCCTTCCAGTTGACACAAGGAAACCCTTTATAAAATAGGACAAAATTAGGAGATTAGTCCCAAGCCAAGACCAAAGGTGAAGATAATTGTGTTAGTGATTAACGCCTGGTCTTATTTTAACGAGTGTCATAGTCTTACATGCTTCAGATGCCAGAAATATCTTCAGAGAACGTGAACAAAGTGCTGGATATGAAACAGGAATAATGCATTCCTCTACAGACTCTTTGAAAGGCTTTCTCTTTCAAGAAACCTTGAAGGGAAAATATTAACGGGCATCAGCCTGGGCATACTTTCCCATCAGAGTCAGCCTCTATCACAAACATTTTACATGAAATATTCACCTAGTCTATTCTCTTTGAAAGGTAGTATCAACCTGTGTAACCTTGTCCTGCCTTAAATACTGTTGCAAAAAATACCAAACTTTGCTTAAAGCAGCATAGTTACATTGAGAAAGAGACTGCCTTTAGTGAGGACAAAGACCAAGAATTTTCTCTTTCTGAATCTGGCAGTTGACAGGCCTCCTGATATCCTGTGTTGCCTTGGACTAACATTTTCCTTAGTCACTAGCCTAGGGCAGAAAGGCAGCCATGTATAAATGAATACCCATGGCCATGTTCCAATATAACTTTATTTACAAAATCTAATTTAGTTCATAGGTTACGGTTTGCTGATTCCTAAGATAGAGCATTACAGTGTCTGTTTCAGATGGGAAGTAAGTCTTCCTATGGCATGTTCAGGCCCTCCTTTTCAGGGAATGAGAAAGAGTGGGGAGGGTATTTCAACAAGTAATAAATTGCAGAATACCCTCCCCACAAAAATACACATATGTCAGACTCTTTATTATGGTAAAAGCACAAAACAGGTCATCTTTTTGTGGAAATGCTGGAGTCTACCTTTTCCTTTTTATCTTCTGATTTTTGTTCCTAAAATAAAATCCCAAGTGATGTTGCCTCATTCCAAGTCAGTTTTGTAGACCATGTAACATGTCTTAATACACTGTATGGGGAAAAAATAAAAGTTAGCCTTAGATTTCTTTGTTTTCTATGGTTATTGTTGTACAGAAGAAAGACAAACTGTAAATAATGTATATTTAATAAAGAGAACATTTTGTATGATTTTGTGTGGAAGACAAATGTGCCTTGCTGTGTTTTCTTGAGTTAATGAAGAGTCAAACAATTAATCCCTTAGCTCCCATTCTCAATCCTTAGACCATTAACTCACAGACAACATAACCTGTGGGGTTGCTGGAGAAACACGAAACTCCCACTGGCTGGGTTTATTGATTTCAGCATGGCTAAAAGTGCTGTCCTGGGCTCCCTCATCGCTGAGCTGAGTTATCCCAGGCGACACGCCTGGCTCAAATGTGTACAAGAGCAAGCTCATTGATTCAGTCAATGTCAGCTTCAGTGTTCTGGAGCCACCTTGGTTTCAGCTACCCACGTGAAACTTCAGACTCTCCTCCATCCTCATCAGTGCCCACTCACAGGAACTGTATTTATTCTGCCTCCTGCCCTACATCTTTTTCTTACAAAGGACCTTAACCCTATGTGTTTGAGACTAAACAAACACTGCTGTGAAACAGAACCCACTTCATGTGGTGCTTATTAAGCCTTCTATGTATGAGGTAGTCAGCACACACACACAGAAATTTAAAACGGACGGTAATTTCAACAGAAGAGAGACACTACCAGATTTACCCTTAAGTAAAACCTAACTTGGTTTATGGTCCTTTGGAGAAGGGACAATAGCAGGATAGGAGAAGAGGAGGAGAGAACAGTTAGGGGCCATTTCAAAAGCCTGAGGGAGGGTGGTGCTGGCTTGGACTAGCACTGTAGTAGGAAAGATTCTAGTAGTAGCTGGGTCTGGACAGAAACAACAGGGATGGTGGATTGGAAAGAGAGTGTGTGGGGGAGAAAACAATCAAGAAAGCTTGGATTTGGGGCTTATGCACCTGAGTAGATTGGTGCAGAGTTTTTGTTTTATTTTGTTTTGGAAAATGGTGTCTGTAAAATGAGAAGGGTAGACAAGTTTAATTTCAGATTTTGTTAAATTTGAGGTTTAACTAGGCAGCAAGTATAGATGGAAGGTAAGTGGCTGGGTACATGTCTGCAGTTCAGCAGTGAGGTCTGGTTCGCAGACACTTGAGAGATGTGTATATGTGTATATGTCTACGTATGAATAGGTATATCCACACACACGGCCATGTGTGCATACACACACATGCACACAAGTTGGCATCATCTACGGCAGGAGTATAACTAGGACATAGGTCTAGAAACAATGGATGTTCTAGAAGGATAAGCTACACAAGGGAACCTGTAAAGGTGCACTGAAGGACGAGGAAAACCAGGTGAGTCAGTTGGAGCCCTGACTACAAAGTGCTTCATCAGGAGGAAGCAGAGAGTTATTAGATGCTACTGAGAAACTAAGACAGGTGAGAATAAATAAAAGCCACAGGCCTAGCAAGATTAAGGCACTGATGACCCTTTCTAGAGCCATGTAATGAAGAAGTTGGGAGAAAATATGATTGGAGTCAGCTGAAAAGTTGGTGAAGCGCTGGGGAGGCGTGGAACAAGGCTCAGGGCCTATGAGCAGTAGAGACGCGTGAACATCAGAGCCTGGAAGACTGGGGCTCAAATAACATAAAACCCCTTTCCCTAATTTTGTGATTTGAAATAAATTAACCAATGTAACCCTTATATTTTGCAGATAAAAATTGGGAAACAAAATAAAACCAAACCAAAACAACTTCACAGATCCTGAGGATTGAATGAGATCATGCACACTCACCAACCATGGAGATTACATGGTCAGGGGCTCTCTACAATGCTGTGTGTCATTACTTAATTTTTTCATCATATTCTAATCTATAGGAAATAAACACACATATCACACAGAATCAAATAAAGTGAGGCATAGAAAAGGCAATCATGCTTAGTTCGGCATGAGGGGGTCAATCGTGATTTGTAAGCAAATCGGGCTAGAAATAAGTCTAATTCTGGCTCTGCCATAAATTAGGTCTGTGACCTTTAATAAATCATATGCCGAGAGCCTTTGAGATGTCTCCCTTGAAAGAAAGGTTGTGAACCTAAATAATGAAATGAATCAATTATCTTAAAAGAAATGTGATAATTTGTGACAGCAAAGAAATTGGCCTTACAGGCTTTTAGACAGAGTCATGACTTAAAATGTTTCTGTTTTTTGTTTTTTTTTTGAGACAGACTGTCACTCTGTCCCCCAGGCTGGAGTGCAGTGGCATGATCTCATCTCACTGCAACCTCTACCTCCCAGGTTCAAGCAATTCTCCTGCCTCAGCCTCCCGAATAGCCTCCAGAGGTAGAGAAGTGAATCACCACACCCAGTTAATTTTTGTATTTTTAGTGGAGACGGGGTTTCACTATATTGGCCAGGCAGGTCTCGAACTCCTGAACTCAGGTGATCCACCCATGTAGGCCTCCCAAAATGCTAGGATTACAGGAGTGAGCCACCGTGCTCAGCCAGCATGTTAACTCTTTTAATTGGTAGCTGAGGGATAGTAAGTGGATAAGTGCCTTCTCATCTCGTCTCTGAGTTTCAATTCCTCGTCACTCAAAAGATTTTATTGTATTTTTTTGTTTTGTTTTAAGCTATTAAATTTGTGGTAATTTGTTACACAGCAATAGAAAACTAATACAATCATATTCCTTAGCGGCCTCATCATCAACCTAAGCATGGTACCGCATAGGAATAACAGCATCTTCCTCATAAGGCTGTTATAGGGATACCATTAGTTTAATTTTGTTAAAGGCTTAGAACAGTCTGTGGTACATATATGAGTGTTTTTAGGTTGTCAAAAGGTGTTTAAACAATATTCATATCCTCAGAAAAAATTTTAGCTTCTCTCCCTTCTTTTATCATGAGCTTGATTCTAGTGGCATAGCAGAATCAGAGTAAAACGGGAAGTTCATGAAGGACTATGTTAGTTTGAGGTCTCTTTTTCATCCCTGCATTTGGTGTAGGCCAATGAATTAAAGGAGAAAAAGATGTCTTTTAGTCCAAGCAGACATACAGTATGTGGGGGAAAAAAAAAACTAAAGTTATTTAAAAATACTCAAATTTGTAAACGATGTCTTAGCCCATTCAAACTGCTATAACAAAATACCATAAACTGGGTGGTTTATAAACAAGAGAAATTTATTGCTTACATTTCTGGAGGCTGGAAGTTCAAGATCAGGGTGCCAGCAAGGTCAGGCCATCTGCTCTTGCATCCTCATGTGGTAGAACGTGGAAGAGGGAGCTCTGTTGAGTCTATTTTACAAGAGCACTAATCCCATTCATGAGGGCTCCACACTCAGAAGGCCTCACTGTCTAATACGCTCACTTTACAGGTTGGGTTTTCAGTGTATGAATTTTGTGGGGAATGCAAACATTCAGCCTACTGCAAAGTCGGTATGCATTTATTTTAATTTTCATGGTGGTTCAAAAAGAAACTTCTCCTGGCCTCTTATCAGGTAAATAATCTCACAGTGCCTGCTCCTCTGAGCCAGAGGCCAGGCTGAAAAGCATTTTGAATGCATGAGAGCAATGGCTGAGCTCAGTCTGACACCAACACACAGGGGTTGCTGAGAGCCAAGTCCATGAATGTGAAATCCTTCCATGGGGAGGAAACAGGAGCCCTAATGACAGCGCTGACTGGTAGAAAAGGTAAATCCAGTTCAGCCATGTCCTCTGAAGCACTCCAACTGTTGGAAAGGGTCTTAGAGAATTCAAACCTGTCTTACAGCACATCTTTCACCTGCGTGGAGGAGAAATGCCATCAGCTGAAAGTGCACAAGAATGCTCTCTGTGAAAGGGCAGACATGGCAGCTCTCACTTTCCTGACACTTTGGTTTGGAGACTGTGACATCCTGTCCCTCTCTCCCAGGACCCTTGGTTGTGTGTGAAGCTCTTATTTAAGAAATACAGGCTTTATTTCTATGAAGTGTTTAGAATAGTCAACGTCATAGAGACAGAAAGTAGAATGATGGTTGCCAAGGATGGCGGGAGGTGCAGGGGGTGGTAACAAAAAGAAAATGAAGAGTCACTATTTGATGACTACTGAGGTTCAATTCCATCTTTCCGAGCAATTTGGGAAGATGCAAAGAGTTCTGAAGATGGACGGTGGTGATGGTTGCACAACAATGTTAAGTGTACTTAATATCACTGAACTTGACTTCCTGCTAGCAAGGATTAAAAGAAAATTTTTTAAGAAACCACTGAACTATATACAAAAAAATGTGCAAAGATGGTACATATTGTTATGTGTACTTAACCGCAATTTTAAAAAATTGGGGAAAAAATAAATGCTGGCTTTATGAAGAGAATTAGAATGAGTCAAATATCTTCATGAATGTACAATAGTAATAAATAAAATAATAGAATATTACCATTTTTGCAGATCTATTGTGTGTACAGTTCTTTATATGTTACCTCTTATTGTCATAATAAAACCATCAGGGGCAATATTTTTCTCATTCTGTAGATAAGAACATCTAGCCTAAGAAAATTAAGTTGTTAAAAGTAATACATAGTCTGATGTCACAAACACTTGAATTCAACATCCATTTGTTCATTATTATCAATGTGGCTTTGGGCAAAGCTCTTACCCTGTTATTCAATTTCTCACCTGGAAAACTGGAATTTTTCTATTTTCAGGAAACAATACCTACTTCCCAGAATCATACTGCTGGCTAGTGGAGCTGGTAAATATCTAACACATTTTGGCTTAAACCACACCTTGCTCAACCTAGGTGCTCCACAACTAATTCAAGTGATTCATTTTCACTGTAGTGCAACTGCTCTGTCCCAGAATTCTTCTGCTTAATGAAACTACAAAAAGCAAAAATCAACAACAAAAAACATCTCCCTCCAAAAACATAAAGAGATACTAAAGAGAGTTGGTAAAGGCCATTAATATGAAAATGAGGCTTTCTCAGGCGAGCTACACTGAACCAACCTTGAAACAGAGGCAGCAAGAGAGTGGGACACAGTACTGTTAGAGTCATTCCATGCCCACCAGCATTGCTTCCTGATGTGCCTACTCTCAGGACCAATCCTTGGTGAGTCGGGAGAGCAACTGGAATTTTTTTGTGGATGTCTAAGACGGTAAAACATTCCCTGGAGGAATAATATTTACCTAAAGCTGGGGCCAATAGGAAACATCTTTTAGTACATAAACTTATGACCAAGTAGAAATCAAGTGCTCTCACCAGTAAACAGAGAGAACTTATTCAGCACGCATGGCACCCATCTTGGAATCTCGAGGGTACATTCATATAAGAGTTCACTCCTATCCTGCGGGTCTTCCCTTTGGGTTTCTGTGAAGGAGCTGGTAAGCTGGTAAGCTCATTGAGCAAACCCTATGATGCAACGTTAATTGAGAGCCTGCAGTGTGTTAGATGCTAAACATCCCATTTATGCTTTCTCTATTTAAATTCTAACAAGCGGTAGTCACAGCTACTAGGGAAGCTAAGGTGGGAGAATCACTAAGGCCAGGAGTTGAAAGCTGAAATGATCTGTGATGACACCTGTGAATAGCCACTGCACTCCAGCTTCGGCAACATAGCGAGAACCCCTCTCTAAAAAATAAACACACAAATAATTAAGTAAATAAATTCTAAAAAGTGGGCAAACTTAGAAATCAAGCTGCTAGAAGACAAATAGACAGGGATCAACTCAGTGTCTGTCTGCATATAGGTTCTTTAGCATTTTATTTGACATGAAACAATATCTTCTTATTTTATCATTCCTTAGAATGTGTGAAATGACTTTCTTTCTTTTTTTTTTTTTTTTTTTTTGAGACAGAGTCTCACTCCGTTCCCCAGGCTGGAGTGCAGTGGTGTGATCTCAGCTCACTGCAACCTCCACCTCCTGGTTCAAGCGATTCTCCTGCCTCAGCCTCCTGAGTAGCTGGGATTACAGGCATGCACCACCATGCTCAACTAATTTTGCTAATTTTTGTACTTTTAGTAGATATGAGGTTTCGACATGTTGGCCAGGCTGGTCCCGCACCCCTGACCTCAGGTGATCAGCCTGCCTCTGTCTCCCAAAGTGCTAGGATTACAGGCGTGAGCCACCACACCTGGCCTGTGAGATGACTTTTTGTGTTAATATTGTAGTGTCTAATACTACTCTTATTTTATATTATCCGTGAGAAACTACTCATTCCCTCCCTAATTCATTGACTCTTTAAACAAATGTTGGTCAGCCCTTTTGATGTATATTTTGTGTAAGATAATGGGAATAATCACATAATAAGACGTGGCTTCTGCTTGCTAGGGGCCATGGTGATGTAGTGGAGGTCAGCAGGTGAGCAACAAGCCTGTATAGCAGGTGCTGTAGAGAATAACCCAGTGTTCTGATTAGCACATATGAGAGGGCACCTGGCTGAGGGAGCTGTTGTTCCAGCTGTGTCTCCCAGGCCTAGAGCATGATTAAAATTTAGGTGGAAAATAGTACTCAAGAGAGAGGAAGTAGCATTTGAAAGAAGACAATTCAGGAAATTGTACATAGCTCAATATAGGTTAGAATAAGTTTAGAAAATTGTTGTTTAAAAATGACAGACGGCACAGCAAAGAGGGGAGAATGACCTTTTATATCAAAGTTTCCACTTATGGGCTAAGGGAACAAAGGCAACAAATAGTGAGAGGTGAAGCCAGCTGGACTTCGTGGGTCAAGTGGGGACTTGGAGAACTTTTCTGTTTTACAAGAGGATAGTAAAATGCACCAATCAGCACTCTGTAGCTAGGACTGTAAAACCCACTAATCAGCACTCTGCAGCTAGCCAGAGGTTTCTAAAATGCACCAATCAGTGCTCTGTAAAAATGCACCAATCAGTGCTCTGTGGCTAGCTAGAGGTTTGTAAAATGTGCCAATCAGTACTCTGTAAAAATGCACCAATCAGCACTCTGTGGCTAGCTAGAGGTTTGTAAAATGGACCAATCAGTGCTCTGTGGCTAGCTTAGAGGTTTGTAAAATGGACCAATCAGCACTCTGTAAAATGGACGAACCAACACTCTCTAAAATGGACCAATCAGCAGGACATGGGTGGGACAAATAAAGGAATAAAAGCTGGCCACCCCAGCCAGCAGTGGCAGGCCACTTGGGTCACCTTCCATACTGTGGACGCTTTGTTCTTTAAATCTTCACAACAAGTCTTGCTGCTGCTCACTCTCTGTGTCTGTGTCACCTTTGAGAACTGTAACAGTCACTGCGAAGGTCCACAGCCTAAATCTTGAAGTCAGCCAGACCACGAACCCACCAGAAGGTACAACTCTGGACACAATAGGGCACATGTTAAAGTGAAACAGAATTATATTTAGGGCACATTGTTTCCAAGCATGTATCAGACGAGATTTGGTATTGGAAGGCTTCATTTCATCCCAGCCATCTTCTTCCTAGTGATAGATGAATCACTATCTTGAGCTTTGGGTGTCTAATTTGTAGTATGTATATAAAATATTCCACTCACTGAGTTATTACGAGTAATAAAATGAACAATGTGGAAGTATATTTCTAAATTATACAGAGCAATATTAGCTATTGATATCAGTTATCAGTTATTGGTATTACACCTGCAAGCCAGGAGGAGGAGAAAATATCCATCAATTACAGTAGGGATTGAGAAATCTTTTCTGTAAATGAACAGATAGTAAATATTTTAGGTTTCAAGGGCCAGTCTCTGTTGCAACTACTTCACTCTGCCATTGTAGTGTGACAGAAGTTGTGGGCACTCCATAAATGAATGAACTTGGTTGTGTTCCATAGAACTTTGTGCAGAAAAGCTGAAATGTAAATTTCATATAATATTGGTGTGTTTTTAATTTTTTTCAGCCACTTAAAATGCAAAACAAAAACCTTAGCTCATAGGCTTTACAAAAACAGGCACTTGGCCTGCTTTTACTCGCAGGTTGTGTTTTTTCTGACTCCAGAATAAGACAAATATTAATTGAATTCAAAGTCTAGCCTATTTTAGTATGAGAAGCAGAGATAAGAAATAAATGCTCTTTACCTCTTGGAAACTGATACTATTAAAGTGCGCACTTGCACTTAGAAAATGAGGCTGAAAATACCGAGGGCTAGCTTTCGGAAAGGTGTGGAATTCAAAAGTCCAAGACTACTCTTGAGCTGAATAGGGAAGGATTTAAAGCAAAGGGGCCTTTTGGATTTTTGGGTCACAGCATTGACAGTGATGAACAAGATAATCCCAGTTTCTTGCTTTTAATTAAAAGAGTTCCCATGAAAATTTTTTTTCTTTTAAAAAGAAGAGGTTGTGAATATGAAAATATTTTCCAGCCATAAAACATATAAACATTTGACTTAAATGATAGAAATAAACTCTTATTTGTTGGAATCTTGTTTGTCTGGGTTGGAGGACCCAGAGGAAGTTTAAAACTTCTGCACAAGTCTCAGGAACATGACTGGATTATGCATTTAATTGTACAATCAAGTTAATCAGGCTAAGTGGGCCACTTTAAAGAAAATAATTATATTGTGGAGAAGGGGAGTTTTGTTTGCTTAGCATAGATGATGCTAATGTATAGAAATGTCTATAGAATAATTCTAAGCTTCCAAACATGTGCTTTACATGAGTAATAGGTATGTCATGAGATATTGATCACCTAAAACCTTTGTGAGAAATGGCAGGGCTTAGCGTGTCTGGAACAATCCAACTGGTGATCTTGTCCCCAGGTTTTCGGAAAATGGTCTGATTAGAATGAGCATCTCACGGATGGTGGGTCAAATTACATAACTTCAGATCCGCATTTTTGAGTTAGGATAAATAATACAAACAAGGCAGTTAAGCAAAAAGCATAAAGAAGTAAAAAGGCTGTTTAAGGACAAAACAAGGAAGCCTACAGCTGGAAGGCACTTGTAAGCAAAAAAGAGAAAATTAATGATATAAGTTCACATTCAATAATTGGCCAAAAAGTTTTTGCTTGCTAGAAAGAAGAGCCCTTTATAGAAAGCCATAAAAATACTAAAAGTTTGTATGGCTTCCTCATTGCTCACTTTTAAAAAAGCTGGATGTGAATTTTCGAGTTGAATAACTGTCAGCTTTGTGGCAAGGTCAAACCTACATGCTGAAAGATAAAGAAAAACCCAGGAGCGGTGTCACACCCAGATCAGAAGAGTTGAATGCCATGCCTTTCTGGGCTTTCAGTGCACTTGGCCATAATCCCTAGCATTGACTCTAGATACTTGTCCTTAGGAGGGGAAAGGAGACATTCTGAAAAGTTTCAGGCCAGTCAGAAAACAAGAAAGGTACGGTGAACCATCATATAACCCATCTGGGGTAATCATGCTTTAAAACAGCATGAGATGTTATGACATTATAACACAAGACTCCAAAAAGAACAAGCCTTTCGATACCAATTTAGTTTGTTTCAGTGAAAATGTACAGGAATGTAGGAACAAGGTAGAAACAATAACCACAATCTATCTATTTTTAAAAAGGCTTTGATGATTTCTGTCTCAAAAGATGTTCTCCATAATCACGGATGCTGCAGACTTGAGTATAACACTTTGGTGGAAGAATAACTGACTTTTAGAGTGACTTTCTATAACTCAATCTCAACTAAGGCCATACTTACTATTTTGCAATAATTAGTCCTAGAGTATGTTATACTGCAAATCTACAATAACTCCACTTACACGAATGATAATATGCTTATCAAATATATAGATAAACCTCACTAGGAAAATCTGTGAATGTGAAAGAAATGAATATATTTTAAAGTGACAGGATATGCTGGCCAAAGGTTACTACTGAGAAAAGGGTGACAAAATTTGATGAACCTGAATGACAGGAGAAAACACACCTAAATTCAGAAAGGGAGGATTTGTAGAGAAAAAAACAAAGTGGGGTCAAATAAGACCACACCTTTAGTATGAATAAAGGCCAAAGGAAGGACCCTTTCTCCATTGTGCTCTTTCTGTATGACACAGACGTGTACCCCTCAGCTTTCCTCCTCTTGCAACTTTTGTATGCCTCTGTTACTAGGATGGTGTTTGCCAATTATCTCTTTCTAGGATTACCCGTCAGTTTCTGAGCTTCCTGAGGGCAGTGGCCAACACTGAGTACACACTATCCCTTATACCACACTATCCCTTATGTGCTGCTGAGCACATACAAGGCTTTGGGGCCTCTATGTTCATGTTGTTGAACGGGTCAATAGTTAAGGGTCAAACTGAAATTGCATGGAGACTTCAGTGAGAAGTGTGGAACAGGAGAGGACTGTGAGGAGAGTTCAAAAAATCAGGTATTTGAAATTCTATCCGACAGAATATTTTGAATTTGGTAAAGACAAAAATAAAGTGTTGAATATATTCCTGAAAACCTTGAAGGAAAGTAAATAACTTGTGTATCCTAGAAAACTTAGCAATTATCCCTAGTTTCTTATTGTTGAATATTTATTGAATTTCCATGTTAAGTTTTATATGTATTCTTTGAATGTTAACCTTATATTAAGGCAACTCTTTCAGAAGCCTGATTATTATTTTTCTAACTGAAGGACACTTAGAAATAAGGTCTTTCTGGCTAGGTGCGATGGCTCACGCCTGTAATCCCAACACTTTGGGAGGCCGAGGAGGGGGATCAGGAGGTCAGGAGATGGAGACCATCCTGGCCAACATAGTGAAACCCCATCTCTACTAAAAATATAAAAAATTGGCCAGGCGGGCATGGTGGCACGCACCTGTAGTCCCAGCTACTCGGGAGGCTGAGGCAGGAGAATCACTAGAACCTGGGAGGTGGAGGTTGCAGTGAGCAGAGATTGTGCCACTGTACTCCAGCCTGGGCAACAGAGTGAAACTCTGAAAAAAAAAAAGAAAAGAAAAGAAATAAAGCCTTTCTAATGAAAGAATTTATCAAAATGCATCTCAACAGTGGCATGATGGGCTAAATGGAAATAATCCATTTAGGTTCAGTTATTGGGCTAACTGCTCACTGGCCTAATTTGTTATTATACTTATGAAAATATGCAGCACTCTTCAAAATGCACATAGTTCCCACTATGGGCCAGGTATCTGGTGGTCTCAGAGATACAGGAATAGCTGTTGCTGGTCCTGCAATTTGAGGTGTGATTTAGTTTGTGTTAATGTAAGGAAGTAGTTAATGTAGTGCCATTGAAACTGTGGTCTGCAAAAAGGTCCTAAAAGCTATACATGGGGTTCCCATGAAAAATTAAAATACTGTACAAATAAAAAGCATCATATGAGTAAATATTTGAGAAATAAAGTATATTCCCTAAATCTGACACTTTAATGTATATGAACAAACTGAACGAACCTCTGCAGTGAAGAGACATGATGATTTTATATCACTTATACCAGTGTTTCTCAGCATGTGACATTTTCTCTCAGCCCCCATTAATTTATTTTTATTCTGTGAAAGTGGACATTACAGTGGCCTGATATTCAGAAGCCTGGCTGGATCCTAGCCTCAAATCTATTCCTGACACATGGTGTGACCTTGGACTAGACATTTCAACTCTCCACAATGCAATTTCCTCTAATGTGAAATGAGAGAGCTGGTCCAGGGGAGATGCACAGGCTTTACAGCTCTCAAGCTTGATGCCATTAGGAAAGGTCTAGGCAAGAAGACGCTGCTTCTTCAATATCGGTTTTCCACCATGAGGCTAGGTCAAGCCAAAGAACACAAAATAATAACGCTCATGTAGGATGGGACCAAAGACTGATCACATCAGTCACTTCTTTAAAAAATAATTGCATAGGTAAAAATGTTAAGAATTTTAAAATTGTGCCCTGAATGTGATGAATGTTCCTTCAAGCTCAGGATGATACCTTTTTGTGTATGGTCATACCATGCTGATCCTGTCTGATCTCAGAAGCTAAGCAGTGTTGGGCCTGGTTAGTTCTTGAATGGCAGGATGATAAACTTTTGGCAGAAGACACCAAGAAATGCTTTGTGCAAAACAATTTAGTTAACTACCATGACATTATCCACAAGGTGAAAACACCTCCTAGAAACCCCATTTATTACCACATCACTATTGATAACTAGGAATCTATTATCTGTGGATCAGACTATCCTCCAACTCATAAATTTATCTGGTTGTTGAAAGTTGTCTAAGTGGTTAATTTCATAGATTTGGGTTCTTTGGCAAAGCAAATGATTTTTGTTTGTTTTACTAAAACTAATAGCCTGAAGGATTAAGAAAACATTATTCTCCCTAACATTTGGAATGAATGCTATCTGTTTCCCCTGATTCCACATCAACAGCAGCAGCAGTGTTTTCTCAGCCATATGTTGAGCAACTGCTTGCCAGGTACTTACTTCAACACTGTCAGTTCAGATTCTTCCAGAATTAGTGAAAAGAACTCTCATCTTCATTTTACACCATGCAGAAGTTGAGAAGATTAGCAAGATGCAGTCAAATATCTAAGGTCACACTGTTAAAAGGTCAGAATTTGATCCCAGGTAGGTCAGAAGAGGTGAGCAAAAAAATACAAGAGCAACACCTGGAGCTGAAATCAAGGCTCAGGCCCATCACTGAGCTTTCAAGCCCTGCCTTCCTTCTTGGGCACAACTTGAGGCAAGAAGTGGTCTTGGGTACAAACGTCTGTGTTCGTTTGTTCTGTGTACAGAACCATGGTGTTAGCCTCTCATCTTGAATTTCTGCCTCTTTTCGTCCTCACAAATGTACACTAAATGCCTAACCTGTGCTCCTGTCTTTTTCTCAGGGAGAATATCCCACTCGGTCCATTCAAATAAATACAAATGCCCCCATACCTGGGGAACCTCTCTCTGGAGAAAAGAAAAAAGACAAGAAATAATCAACACACAAAGCAGACTCAAAAGGAGATTAGAAGAATTAGTATTATTTAGATGAAAATGAAGAAGGGTTAAGTAGATATAGTGCTGTTTTCATAGATTTGAACATGAAAGTGTCCATCTGATGAGAGCTAGACTGTCAGTTTTAAGGAACAGTTTTCTGAATAGCTCTGTAGAAACTGGAACAGGCTACCGGATACCACCACTGTTCCTGTTTTGAAACAGGTTAGAGATGTCAACTGGAAAGATTAGGGTGCATTTCTGTGCAGAAAAGAGAGGCTAAATGCTTTGTTAAAGTTTGGGAGTGAAATGAGGGGCAAGAAGGACAATAGTGTTGTGATTTAATTGTCAGTGGTTTTAATAATTTTAATAATCTGAAGTGCTAAAGAGGCTGTCAAATAATGCATTAAACCTCAGTAGAGAACAGACACAGAATGCTGCTCTATAAAGATGTGAGACTCCTCTAACAGGGCAGAATTCTTCTCCTAAGGAGCTGGGAGGGTTGAGGCAGATTTTTTTGTGTTTTTGTTGTTGTTGTTTGTTTTTGTTTTTGTTTTTGTTTTTGCCACTTGGAACTTCAGTGTCTTCCCCTTCAAAGGAGGGGAGCAGATAAGATGTATACTGGGGTCCTCTCCACTCAATTTATCAGTTTGTGATTCTATTCTGAGAAAAAATAAAAATCCATTCAGTTTAAGAAACATGTTCATAAGTTTTGAGGGAGAATCAAAAGATAAAAATTGATTCACTTTTCCATAAAATATATAAAATCTTAGAGTTTACCATGATTAAATTCTGAAGTGAGAATAATGATGAGTTAAGTTTCTTTCTAGCCAGAGCAGGTAATAACAATGATGTCAACATATTTTATTGAGCTTTTGTTCTCTGCACTGCATTTGTGCATTATCTCTCATTCTCACCATCCCAGTCTCACAATCACACTCTTACTTTCTAAGGACAAAGTATGTCCCAACATTCCCATTTGCTGATGAGGAAGTTTAGTCCCCAAAAGATAACATAACTACCTCAGTTGCTGCTCTGCTAGTCATTGTTAGAAGAGGAACACATAGGACATGGAGTAATTTGATTCTGAATACCTTATTTTTCAGCATAACTAGTACCATGTAGAAGAGAAAAAGTACTATCTTCTCCTCATTTATTGCAGGGGTCATGACCAACACTACTACAAGACAAGACAGAATAAAGGCTGGGCATGGTAGCTCACACCTCTAATCCCAGCACTTTGGAGGCCGAAGTGGGCAGATCACAAGGTCAGGAGTTCAAGACCAGGCTGGCCAATATAGTGAAACCCCGTCTCTACTAAAAATACAAAAATTAGCTGAGTGTGGTGGCGAGTGCCTGTAGTTCCAGCTACTTGGGAAGCTGAGGCAGGAGAATTGCTTGAACTTGGGAGGCAGAGGTTACAGTGAGCCGAGATCACACCACTGCACTCCAGCCTGGGCAACAGAGCAAGACTCCATCTCAAAAAAAAAAAAAAAAAGAATAACAAGAGAGAGGCTTAAACAATTTATTTAATCACAGTTTACAAGACCCAGGGAAAATTGTGTACTTCTAAGTCTGATGAGAGAAGTGAATGATTATAGAGAAACATGATTGGACAAAAAGTTTATGATCTAGATAATAAAATGAGGGGTGAACCCAGCAAGGCCTATTTTCTCAGCTTGTTTTCTGTGTCTGTGTAAGAAATTTCTTCCTCCTATCACCTGGGGAATGGGACAGGGCCCTGGTCAGCGGAGGACCTTCAAGGGGAAGGGAGGGGGTCAGAGACCTTCCTGGGTTTTATGGCTTGTTTTTGAGGATAGAAATTCCAGTTTCTGTGACTCACTTGGTAGATAATAGAGAGGAAGAAAGGAGGGTGGGAGAAGGTCCAGAAGACCTAGCTGAAGTCCTTCCAAATCTCCTTCAGTTCTAAGGACTCGGCAAGACAGCATGCCATATTTTGTGTTATTTTGCATGTTCTGAGCCCCAACAACCACTATATTAGTCTCCTAGAGCCATCTCAAAAAGAGTGTCATAAGACTGGGAAAAAACAAAATCCAGAGACCGAAGTGGGAAAGTCAGTACAAAGTAGCTGGTTACAGTATATCTGGTCATTGATTATGAAGTCTGAACACCCAGAAGTGGTCCCTAAATAACCAACGATTTGATTGGGGTAAGGATAAAAATACATACTATCAATAAGTCCCTGAAAAAGATGGGTAGGTAGGTAGATGATAGATAGATAGATAGATAGATAGATAGATAGATAGATAGATCTAGATAAATAAGCAAATTAATGCCAAACCAAAAAAACAACAAAACATACTTGATATTTGTTGAAACATAAAATTTGAAGTGCTATGCTACAAGTTTTATGTTTATATCTCATTTAATACAATAGCCTTGTTCAGTAGGCACTACTTTGTTTTCTTTCTTTATTTTTCACGTAAGAAAGTAGAGTCTAGAGTGTTGAGCATCAAGGTCATACAGCGAGGGTAGAGCAAGGACTTATGGACAGATCTTGAATCCCAATCCTGTGATCTCAACCACTATGTACTACTTCCCTGTGTCAGCCAGTAGGAAAATGCAGTAAGAAAGCCTGGGCTGAAATTTAGTATTATCAGGTTTAACTCCTAATACTAAGTGAGCACACTTAGATTCAAGCCTCCTTAGTGTGTATGAGGTGCCTATACGTGAGGCTGGAATTCATGAAGAGATCAAATGCTTTGCTCTGGGTCAAGTAACTCAATGAAATACCCAACTAAATTAGAATACAAGTTAAAGATGCTTGAACTATAAACTGGGCTGTTTTCCAAACCTTGAATTCACTGACTTTGGAAGCTAAGCTCTAGTCACCTTGCATTGGTGATGAAGAGGAACTATAGTCACAAGAGCTAACTAGCTGGTGGGTTATTGAATTTTTTAACATTGAAGCCCTAACCACCACCCCCTTTTCTTTTATTATTATTATTTTTTTTAACTTGGAGGCAAGGGGTACTAATATTTAAATTATAAAAATGTAAGACATGAACATGCTGGCTGCACGCTCATCCCCCACTTCACCCCTAGCCAAGGTCCAAGAGAAGTCACAATTTCAGGATTATAGGACCAAAGAATGGGGCATGGAAGAGATTTTGGAGTTTTCTTAGTCTAATATACTTATTGTTCAGATGAGAACACTGAACTATCATGTAAGTTGCTCATTCAACCCCAACTAGCTATTTAAAATTCATGTGAGTGCAGACAAGGTGCTCAGCTTGTATAGCTCTTGCAAGGTTTCATCTGAAAAGGAGAGATCATCACAATAAAACCTACTGCATGGAGTTAAATCAAGAATTAAATCAAGGAATGAATAGAAATCATAACAGCACCAGCCAGGCGTGGTGGCTCACGATTGTAATCCCAGCACTTTGGGAGGCCGAGGTGGGTGGATCGTGAGGTCAGGAGTTCAAGACCAGCCTGGCCAACATGGTGAAACCCCATCTCTACTAAATATAAAAAAATTAGCCAGGCGTGGTGGCGGGCACCTATAATCCCAGCTACTTGGAAGGCTGAGGCAGAGAATTGCTTGAACCTGGGAGATGGAGGTTGCAGTGAGCAGAGATCGCACCACTACACTCCAGCCTAGGTGACAGAGTAAGACTCCATCTTAAAAAAAAAAAAAAAAAAAAGAAAGGAAATCAGCAGAAACATTCAGAAAATGTTGCCAAGTCTCAGTTTACATGAAGATCTCCTTCCAGGGCCTGTTGTGTCTCACCTCCTCCATGAAGCTGCCCTTGACTGCTTCGTCCACATGGGACTGCCTTCTTTGGTTCCCTGTTACTCCAACCTGCTCCAGAAAACTTACCACTTAATTATCAATCTTTGAGTAATTTATTTATGTACAAGACTTTGACTTTTAACTTTTCCAGGTTCTCTGTAGAACAAACATATACTGAAATTTCCCCTGTATTTCCTACATCTTCCACACTGCCAATTTCAATTCCTAGGTATTCCACACTTGAATTTTAATTAAATAATTAAATCTTTAAAAATTACCTAACCAACATATAAAGTATACTTACTTTAAAAAGTAAAAATGTTTTATAAGATGTACCACCCATCTTTTCCCTTGATTTTAACTCATCCCCTAAAAATTCTTCTGGTACCATCCTCTATTTTTCTAAATAACGTGTTTATGCTAATAACTTTTGACTTGTCAATTTCAGGTATCACTATGGGTTTCTTACTGTGGAAAATCAGGATTGCACTTCCTTGCACATCCTCCCCCCACACCCAGAATAATTAAGGCACCATTTTGGTTCACATCAGTATTCAGTGTTGTTGTCATTGTGACCACATAAATAGTAGTGGACCTAAGCCAATTACTGTATTACATTGATTCTCTCATGAATCTCTATTTTCTTAAGTTTTCACATGCTTGATGGACTATAGGTCTATCACAAGTTTATCCTTAAACTACCAGAGATGTGATTCTCCTTTCAATGAGTCCAAACACATCAGACATGCGGGTTCATTTCATCCTTGCATCCTGAAGCCTTTGATTTCACTGCTCCAGTCAAGACGTTGTTCCCAGGCCAGCAGCTCAGCTTTTCTCCTGAGTGTTCCCTTCCCCGTCAGCCAGGAATCACACTGTGCTTTATTAAGCATCACATTCCCTTTGCCCAAATACCAGGATTTCCTACTCCTTGCTTCTTTTCCTCCTTTTGGGGGACTATATCCTGAAAATAAAAAAAAAAAATTAGGACAAAACCAAAAAATGTTAGGTCTTGTTTATCTGAAAAGTCTGAATTACTTTCTCATACTTGAGTGGTGAGCTGGGTGAGGTATAAAACTTTTAGCTTGAAAATCATTTTCCTTGGAATTTTGAAAGCATTTCTTCCACTGCAGTTTTAATTTCTGAGATAGCGACTGCAGAACCTTACATCAACTCCTTCATTATAGGATGACTGCTGATTTACCATTTCTCCAACCTTTTTGGGATCTTCCTTTGGTTTTTGTTCTGAAACTCCATGATGCTGTCACTTGGTGTGAGTGATTTTCCACTCATGTGCTCTGCGAACAACAAGTTGCTCCAGGATGCAGCCTGGACAATCTCAAGCATTTCTGTCATAAATCCCTCCTTTCTGATTTCTCTGTCTTTGGGAACAAAATGATTTTGAGCATCTGAGTCTGATTTTGTGGTTTTGTTCCTTGCTTTTGCTCTCACTCTCTCTATTTTTCCATCATTTTACTCTTCTTTCTAAGTATTCTCCTTAATATTAGGTTGGTGCAAAAATAATTGTGGTTTTTGCATAATTGAAGTTTTCCATTTGATATTGGAATACATTCTTAAATGTGGTTATGTTATACATCATTTTAACACACATTTCTTGCTTTTTTGTTAATAACTTATTACTTGCTGCTGATTTTGTATTTATTTTAGACTATGGAAATAATGTTAGACAAAAAGCAAATTTGAGCAATTTTCTTACTCGACTTCAAAATGAGTCATAAAGCAACAGAGACAACTCAAAACATCAGCAATGCATTTGGCCCAGGAACTGCTAATGAGCGTATGGCAGTGGTGGTTCAAGAAGTTCTGCAAAGGAGAAGAGAGCCTTGAAGATGAGGAACGTAGTGGCCGGCCATTGGAAATTGACAATGGCCACTTGAGAGCAATCATCAAAGCTGATCCTCTTACAACTACAACAAGAGTTGCCAAAGAACTCAATGTCTAGTATTCTACAGTTGTTTGGCATGTGAAGCAAGTTGGAAAGGTGAAAAAGCTCGACAAGTGAGTGCCTCATGAGCTGAGTGAAAATCAAAAAAATCATCATTTTGAAGTGTTGTCTTCATCTTATTCTACACAACAACAACAAGCCATTTCTCAATCAGATCGTGACATGCGATGAAAAGTAGATTTTATACTATAACCAGTGATGACCAGCTCAGTGGTTGGACTGAGAAGAAGCTCCAAAGCACTTCCCCAAACCAAAATTATACCAAAGAAAGGTCATGGTCCCTGTTCGGTGGTCTGCTGCCAGTCTGATCCACTGCAGCTTTCTGAATCCAGGTGAAACCATTACATCTGAGAAGTATGCTCAGCAAATCCATGAGCTACACCAAAAACTGCAACACCTGCGGCTGGCATTGATCAGCAGAAAGGGCCCAATTCTCCACAACAACACTCAACCGCAAGTCACACAATGAACATTTCAAAAGTTGAACAAATTAGGCTATGAAGTTTTGCCTCATCCACCGTAATCACCTGACCTCTCACCAACCAACAACCACTTCTTCAAGCATCTTGACAACTTTGTGCGGGGTAAACGTTTCCACCACCAGCAAGATGCAGAAAATGTTTTTCCAGGAGTTTGTCGAATCCCAAAGACAGATTTTTATGCTACAGGAATACACAAACATTTCTCATTGGCAAAAATGACTTGACTGTAATGTTTCCTATTTTGATTAATACAAATGTATTTGAGCCTAGTTATAATGATTTAAAGTTGATGGTCTGAGGCTGCAATTCCTTTTGCACTAACCTTTAACATTTCCAATTCTGAACTTTGAATTTACACTATCGTAGTTTCACTTTATTATCTTAATCCTTCCTTATTATAACACCCTGTTCTTTTTTCTTATTTTCTACCTTCCTTCATCCCGGACAAAATTAAATTACATTGAGTTGGAGCAAATCTAACAGTTTTGAACAAATTCACTTTTTAATATCTGTTTAAGAAAAACTTATGCATGCAAACTTGCTCTCAGACAGGCTACTCTTTAAAGTAGATTTGTAAAACATACATTTGTCCTGCAGGTGTGGGGAAATGCTCCTCATCAGAAATGCTGATCAGACAACAGTACGAGTAAAGCGGGCCTCCTCCTTTCCTTCCCTTTCTGGCCCCAAAGACCTGTTAACCATAATTGCCTCCTTGCTTATCAGCTGACACACTGCTCTCATATGCTGTTAAATAAATGCAGCTTGCAAAAGTGCTTGCCCATTGGTCTTTCCTCTACCAGGGTTACTTGATGGACTAAATTTTGCTCCCAATACTTGTATGTTGAAACCCTGTCTCTCATTGTGATCACATTTGGAGCTAGGGCCTTTGGGAAGATAATTAAGGTAAAATGAGGCCATAAAAATGGGGCCCCAATCTAGGACTGATATCCTTATAAGAAGAGGAAGAGTGCCGGGTGCAGTGGCTTACGCCTATAATCCAAGCACTTTGGGAGGCTGAGGCGGGCAGATCACCTGAGGTCAGGAGTTCGAGACCAGCCTGGCCAACGTGGTGAACTCCCATCTCTACTAAAAATACAAAAATTAGCTGGGCGTGGTGGCAGGCACCTGTAATTCCAGCTACTCAGGAGGCTGAGGCAGGAGAATCACTCAAACCCTGGAGGCAGTCGTTGCAGTGAGCTGAGCTCACATCATTGCAGTACAGCCTGGGCGATGAGAGTGAAACTCTGTCTCAAAAAAAAAACAAAAAAGAAGAAGAGACACCAGGAATCAGGAATTCCCTCTCTCTTTGGGCACACAGAGAAGAGGCCGTGAGAAGGAGAAACCTCACCAGAAATCAACCATGTCAGCTCCTTGACCTTGGACTACTAGAGTCCAGAACTGTGAGAAAATAAATTTCTGTCATTTAAGCCATCCAGTGTGTGGTTTTCTTATGGCAGCCATAGAGGGCTAACTCAGTTATCTAATAATACAATCAACCTTCTGTGAACTACTCTGTGACTACACTATGCTGGTTCCTGTGGGATGAACCCAACCACTGACTTTTAGAAATAATCAGCTTAGAAGAAAAGGGAGCTGTTCTCTGTTCCTGGTGTAAAATTTAGTCAGTCATTTTTGCTTTCTGGTGCTTCGTAGATAACTGAAGTTCTGAAGTGATGTGGGATCTCAACACAGTCTCATTTCAGAAATTTAACATGTCCAGAACCAGTTACTAATCAAAACTTTGCCAGGCTTAAACCTAATACTCTTCTTCCCAAACCAGGGGCTGCTACTGCTGGCTAGAGGGTGGCTTACGGTGAGGGGATGGGGGAGGTACTTTTTTTCTAGGCCAGATACCTCCAGCTCCCAAGCCCTCACAAGATGCTGGCTCCAGATTGACTGCGAGAAGGCAGGAGGTAGGAGACTGACATGTGTTACAGGACTTACCACACATATTCATTTGAAGAGTCAGTAAGTCCTCATATGGAATTGTTCAAGCGTGCTTTTGGTGCTGTCTCCAATCCCCTTGCTGCCCCACAAATGCATGTGGACAAAACAATGTCACGCAGTTAAGAAAACAGCAGAAATGCTACTTGGTAGGCTGACACAGGAGAACAGGAGAATCACTTGAACCCGGGAGGCGGAGGTTGCAGTGGACCAAGATCGTGCCATTGCACTCCAGCCTGGACAATAAGAGTGAAACTAGGTCTCAAAATAAATAAATAAATAAATAAATAAATACAAATAAGAAGAAATAAAACTTCAGTTACTTTGAATCTGGTATTCTATGTGACTGATTGAAATTCTTATTTGATTAAATATTTGTAAAAGTGGAAACTGTGAGGTATAGCATTTTTGTTTCAAAATTTAATTCATGCATGAAATGTTATTCATACATGCACATCTTTAAAATAGAAAGTTATTTCTGGGATTGTTGTGCTTATTTAACACTATATTGTTCACTTTATTTTAGGTTTTATCATTTTCATTACTTATTGGCATAATTATACAGACAGAGTTAATTAAAAGAAAAATTTCACTGTCCATATTTCCTTTGTTTGCCATTGATATTATTAAGTTAATTAAATTATTAATACTGCAAAAATAACTGTGTCCTACAAAAGAAGATAATTGTTTTCTAAAAAAGGACTTGCTACAATTGTAAATAAAGTAAGTTAGCTGTGCCACTGAGGAAAGTATAGCATGGTCTCTGACTTAGCATGGGGACCTGGGGACCCCCATAGCAGAGGAGCTCATAAGGGGACCCTGCCCTCTGTCCACTTTGGGAATCAGCCTTGCATTCCATCCTGCCAAACACCCTATCTGCAGCTTCTTCTAGGCATGGACTTCCCATGGCAGCTCCCCTCACCTCCATTCCTCTGGTCTTGCAATTTGTATCTGGGGTCTCCTTTCTCAGTGCATAACCTTGGTAAACGCTCACAAGGCATTAAAGACTAGCAGTAGTTTTATCTCCTCTATGCAACCTTTCTTGTCACTGCTCTAGGAATATTGTTCCATCTCTACCTGAGCCCCACACATACTCCTCAACAGACTTTTATGTGATTAGCTCCTTTTTTGGATGAAATAGTTTAAATATATGCTGAGACTATATAATTAGGTTCTTTTATGGGAAATATTTCAAATGTAGATATAAGTACAGAAAATAACCAATTCTCATGCACCCAGAAATCATATTTAACAATTAGAGATATTTGCCATTTTTGGCTCAGGTCTTTAAACTATTATTAATATTTTAATAATAATGTTATTATTGCTAAGGACATAGACTATACTATGTGCCACTTCTCATTACCATTCCTTCCATCCATTGGTAGAGGTAACCAGGATTCTTCTGAACAATGTTCTATACATTTGCTATTAATTTATACACCCATCAAAATGTATTACATATAAATACACACCAATTTATATAAATGTCTACATGTTAAACAAATTTATATATATTGTCAATTTTTTAAGTTTTTTTAAATTAAAACAAATGGTATCACAGTGCTCATATACTTTTACTACTTGTTTATTTCTACTCACTGTTAAGTTTTCAGGTTTTAATCATTTGGATACATTTTATTAATGAAAGCTATGGTATAAACATTCTTTTGTACATGCCACATCTTATCTATTCCTCTAATGGTGGAAATTTCCAAAATTATGGCACCATTTATTCACACATTTTCAATACATATATGTGCCCACTTCTCTGAATCTCTGTTGAATTTCTGGTCCTTCAGACACCAGTAACTTGATTGATGTGGCACAGAATCTTGGTGTTTCAACTTACTTTTTCTTCCTAATTACTATTAAGGTTGTTTTATTGTCTTGAGTGCCTGTCCTGTGCTTGATACTGTTCCCAGCTTCTGGGATTCTTCAGTGAACACATTGAAGAAAGGTGTCTGCTCTTATCAAGCTGATACCTGGTGGAGTCAGGAGATAGAGACAATAAGCTATAGCCATAATACATAAATGAATTAGCAAGCATATAAGTGTTCGTCTGGATCTGTGTCTCCACCCAAATCTCATGTTCAATTGTAATCCCCAATGTTGGAGGTGTGGCAGGGTGGGAGGCTATTGGCTCATGGGGGAGATTTCTTATAAACAGCTTAGCACCATTCACTGGGTGATAGTGAATGAATTATCATGAGATCTGTTGTTTAAAAGTGTGTAGCACCTTCTCCCTCTCTGTCTTTCTCCTGTTCCAGCCATGTGAGACGCCTTGCTCCCCTTTGCTTTCCACCATGAGTGTAAGCTCCCTGAGGACCCCAGTCAAAATTTATTGACTGTCTTTGATCTTCAAGGTGTTGTGGTGGATCCTAAGGATACAAAAAAACTTTGATACAAAGTATTTGTCCTCAAAGAGTTTACAATTTTGTGAAGCCACAATATATACTTAAAAATTACCAATGGGAATAATAAAATAATGAAAATTGCAGCTACAACTTCTGGAATGCTATTGTATGCCAAACACAGTTCTAAACACATGGCTTATGGTATCTTTTTATTCCTCGTTAGATTTATGGCGTGCAAAATTTCTACTTATTTTGCATCTAAGAAAAAGGTGAGAGATGTCATCGCAAATTAATTTTATAGAGTGCTTATAGCCACTATACCAAACTAAGGTCCACATACAGTGCCAAAATGTGTGTTACAGATAATACACAAAGATTGGCAAGGACGTTAAATATCATCTCAATTCAGAGATGGGGAACACAGCCTTCACTTTGGGCGTAGTTAGAAAATATTTAGAGAAAAGACAGTGTTTGAGCGCACCCTTGAAAAATGACTAGGTAGGATTCAGATAAGCCATAAAGGAGGGAAGGAAAGGCTCTGGCCACATGAGCAAGTTAAGTTTTCATGGCAAGATGGAGTAAAACCATTAGGAAGTGATTTTCTATGTAACATATCATCTGGCTGAAATATCACTTGGAGAAAAAAAGTCATGAAAACACTTGGTCTAGTATTGTATGTGAGGAATGCTTCAGAAAAAAATATTTTAAAGCTCCTTTGTGAATTGTGAATTTATTCATTGTGTATAAAGTGAAAGTTGATAGTTTGTGTGAAACAAAAAATTTAACTTTCAGGTAGGGGAAACAACCAAGCTATAACAATCACTGTAACTGTCAGGACTATTGATGTGAATACAGGAAAGAAGATTCTCTTTCTTTCTCCACTTGTTCAGAACCTGGAAGGATGTTCCGCGGGGTTGCAGTCAGTCACCCTCAGGGGAGGGTGACAGTGATTTAAAAATGTGGAGAATACCAGGTTAGAGGAGAGCTGAGAGATGAAGAGAAAATAGATTCACATTAGTCCAAACATATGCACATTTAAAACTAGTCTTATCACTGGACTTTTCATTACATGATTCTTTTTGCTTCATCCAATTTGGATTGGTTTTTGTTGTTTATTTGCAACTATAAGATTTCTAAGTGATAGAAGATCTTAGGATATGGCATCAGAAAATACAAAGTCAAAGTCTGTACAAAATCAAATTAACTAACAATATTCATTCTTTCATTCATCATTTATTTATCACGTAATTTTAATTCTACCTTGTAAACAAGATCTAGCACCAAGCTGAAATATAGAGGTGAAAGTTTATGGGGCTGGCTTCAAGGACTCAGAGTACAGTGAAAGGTTTCCTATGCAAGTCGTTATAGTCCAGAGTGATAAATGTTATAATGCAAACAAGTGCTAAGGGCAAATGTTACATAGGCCTGGAGCATCTGGATCTGTTTTGCAAGATGAGGAAGACTTAAGGTGGGAAATGCTGTCTATAATGAGAGTTAAAGCATGGTCACTATGGAATCCATACTTTCTACTTTGCAATCTTTGCATCACTGAGTGTTTTTAAGATTTATAGCTGTATTTTTCTTCCCAAGTCCTCTCCAGAACAATAGTGTTTGAAGAACTTTCTGTGAAACAGCATGCTTAGAAATGCTTGGTGGTAACAAAACACCAAAACTTCAGGTATTGACTTTAAGATATTGATGTAACCACAGGGAGGATGATTGTTGCTGTAAAACTTCACAAGGCAGGAAT
The DNA here is from genome assembly GCF_000001405.40 of Homo sapiens. Classification (NCBI taxonomy): domain Eukaryota; kingdom Metazoa; phylum Chordata; class Mammalia; order Primates; family Hominidae; genus Homo; species Homo sapiens. The sequence continues at coordinate 124,946,153 of NC_000002.12, forward strand.
TGGGCCAGCCCCACTGGGGGCTATCAATGTGTGCGCCATGGTTTTGGAATATGGTTTAAATCTTTGGCCTTTAAATGTAACCTTCTTGGAAGACATATACTTCTTTGTATATTTCAAAGTCAATGGAAAGAATAATGTGCCTGCTTTTGTTTGTTTGTTTGTTTTTGTTTGTTTGTTTTTCAGATTATCTCTGAGCCAAAGTGATATTTGGAGAGCAAGCTAGGCTTATGTAGAATCACAGATCGTTGCATGACCAGAAACGATCTAATTCTTGGCAAGAAAGACTCTATAACTCAGTGGATTTGTCCTTTTTCTTTGACATCTTGAAAACCTGAAGTTTAGAAGTACAACTAGAGCAACAAGCACACAATCAGTTCCTGAAAACCTACAATATCTTTGATGGTTATTTTTAAATTTTGATTTTATTTTTTCCAACATTTTATTATGAACATTTTCGAACATGTAGCAAAATTAGATTAATTTTACAGTGAACTTCCTCTAGGAGCAGGGATGTCCAGTCTTTTGGCTTCCCTGGGCCACAATGGAAGAAGAAAAATTGTCTTGGGCCACACATAAAATATACTAACGATACCTGATGAGCTAAAAAAAATAAAAATCTCAAAATAAATCTTATAATGTTTTAAGAAAGTTTACAAATTTATGTTGGGCCACATTCAAAGCTATCCAGGGCTACATGCAGCCTGTGGGCTACAAGTTGGAGAAGTTTGCTCTAGAGCCTACTATTAAAATTTTATTGTACTTGCTTTATCAGATGTCATCCTCCTTTTTATCAGAATTTCCATCTATGAATCCATCTTATCTTTTTGATTCATTTCACAGTAAATTAAATAAATGTGCATGATAAATACTCCAGCCTGCATATCATTAACTATAGCACAAGATTTGTTTACAGTGTTTTATGCCCTTTGAGGTAACATTTACAAAAGATGAACTGCATAAATCTTGTTTTGTTTTGCTAAGTGCTGACAAATGCATACACTTGGGTAACCAAACCCCTATTAATAACTAAACTTTACTACCACCCCAGGAAGTTTTCTCTTGATTTCTCCCGTGTATTTCTTGCCAAACCACCATTCCAGGAAATTTCTACTGATTTTTTTTTTTCTACCATAGACTAGATTTCTGTATTTAAAAAATTAACATGAATAGAATCCTATTGTGTGGGATTTTTTATGTTAAGTTTCCTTTATTCAGCATAATAACTTTTTAAGATACACCCTTGGTATATATAGTTATTTATTTTTATTGCTGAATAATATATTTGAATGATTACATCACAGTTTATTTATGCATTGTTCTATCGATGGACACCAGGGTGTTTCTATATTTTGGCTAACATGCATAAATATTCTGTGAGTATATATGTAAGTATTTTGTGAACATATATCTTCATCTCTCTTGGGTACATGCATAGCTTTAGAAGTGCTGAGGAGGTGTGTGCTTAGTACCATTTTATATTCTTACTAACAATGTAACAGATTTACTGCTTCTTATGCCTACTAGCATTTGTTATCAATCCTTAATTCTGGCCATCCTAGTGAGGGGTAGATGTATCTCACTGAAGTTCTCATGAATGTTTCTCTGTTGTCTAATAATGTTGATTTTTCATGTTCTTATTGGCCATTTTTATATCTTCTTTTCAGAGGTGTCTGTGAAAATGGTTTACTCATATTTTTACTGTATTGGTTGTCTTTCTATTATTGAAATGTAAGTTTTCCCATAAACCCTGATTACCAGCCCTTTGCCAGAACTCTGTGTGTGTGTGTGTGTGTGTGTGTGTGTGTGTGTGTGTGTGTATAACATTTTAATATATTTTCACTGTCTGTGGCTTGTTAATGAATGGAAATTTTATTTTGTCAAAGTTCAATTCTTAATTTTTTCCATTATTCTGCTTTTTATTAGGAATAGATGCTTATATTGTGTTTATTTATTTACTTTTTGTCTCCTATCTTGTCTCAGTTTATATTGTGTTTAGTTTTGAAAATGACTTTAATCACTTCTGAGACCAAGTCAGAGGTAAACCTAAAGAGTTAAAACGGTTTCAACAGAAATCCAATCTCTGTGATATTGATAATCCATTTATTCAATTCTTTTCTCAGTTTAGTTCCATTTGTTTCTCAAGTTCTTCCGAAGAATACAATGGTGAACAAAACAAAAAGAGCTCTGCTGTCCTTCAGCAGTAGGGAGCAGATGATTCAGGAAAAGAAATGAATGTGTGGAGGGAGTACCATGTCAGAAAAAATGAGCAGGAAACGCCTCTCTGATAAATGTGTATTTAGGCAAACACTATAATGGTAACCAAAGTGATATGACACATTTTTTGAGCCTTTTCTATGAGCCAAACAGACCAGTCTGTTTCACGTGTGCAATCAATTCACTCTTCACAACTATGTTAGAAGACACTCACTCTTCTTATGCTTGTAGAATATTGAGATCCTTCTCACTGTAAGAAAATAAAGAAAATAAAAGAAGTGGGGACAAAGAAAATGTTTCACCTTCAAAGGTGAAATATAAGTTGAATCTTGGTCTACCTGAGTCTGTAGCCATTATGTTCATGGAGACACCTATTTCTAAAAAGAAAAAAATTTAAAAAAAATGTGTATGTGTGTTGGGGTGTGTGTGTGAAAGAGAGAGGGAGAGATTGAGAGAAAGGGATGGAAAGAGAGTTAATTTTACGTGCTAACTTGGCTGAGCCACAATGCCCAGATATTTGCTCACACATATTCACATTTCTTTTTCTTTTTTTTTTTTTTTTTTGAGATGGAGTCTTGCTCTGTTGCCCAGGCTGAGTGCAGTGGCGCGATCTCGGCTCACTGCAAGCTCTGCCTCCTGGGTTCACGCCATTCTCCTGCCTCAGCCTCCCCAGTACTGGGACTACAGGCGCCTGCCACCACACCTGGCTAATTTTTTCTAATTTTTTTGTGTATTTTTAGTACAGAGGAGGTTTCACCATGTTAGCCAGCATGGTCTCGATCCCCTGACCTTGTGATCCACACGCCTCGGCCTCCCAAAGTGCTGGGATTATAGGCGTGGGCCACTGAGCCTGGCCATATGCACATTTCTGTAGGGGTGTTTCTTGGATCAGATTAACATTGAAATTGGTGGATTTTGAGCCAAGCACATTGCACTCCATAATGTGGGTGGATCTCATCTAATCAGTTGATGGACTTAATAGAACAAAGACTGACTTACCCTGTCCCCCGCCTCCAACAAGAAGAAATTCTGCCAGCAGATGGCCTTCAGACTTAAATGGCAGCACTGGCTTTTTCCTAAATTTCCAGCCTGCTAACCTTAGCTTTTTTCTTTTTGCTTTTTTTTTTTTTTTTTTTTGGTTATACTTTAAGTTTTAGGGTACATGTGCAAAACATGCAGGTTTGTTACATATGTATACATTTGCCATGTTGGTGTGCTGCACCCATTAACTCGTCATTTACATTAGGTATATCTCCTAAGGCTACCCCTCCCCCCTCCCCCCACCCCACAACAGGCCCCGGTGTGTGATGTTCCCCTTCCTGTGTCCAAGTGTTCCTGAACTTGTCAGTCTCTGTAATGGCTTAAAATAATTCTGTCTCTCTCTCTCTCTCTGTACATCTCATTGCTTGTGTTTCTCTGAGGAACTCCATTAGGTTGTTGCAAACTCCATTAGGTTGTTACAAAGTAATTGCGGTCTTTGCCATTACTTTCAAAGGCAAAAATCGCAAAACATTTGCACCAACTGCATACAATTCTTATATGTGTGTGTGACTGTATGTGTGTGTCTATGCATGTGTTTCAGACTTTTACATATATGAGAAAACCTGATTATGTGCTTATTCAGGAAATGGACAAATTGGACTTGCCCAAGTCACCCATTGGAGTTATTAGTAGTGACTTAACCTGAGCAGAATTTAACGCACATGCTCAAATGAAAACTAGGGTGTGGCTTATGGATATATAAGGCTGATAGACAATGCACATTTAATTTCACTTTATCTTACAATCCCATTAAACAGTTGATACAAGACTTTTTTTTGTTTGCTTGTTGGTTATAAACATAAAAAGAGTGGCAGCATAGTGGAGAGACACAGCAACAGTATTTTGGAAGATGGAAAACACTGGGGGTGAGGATTCACTCACTTAGTAAAAGCCCATGGGCAGAAGGGTGGGCGGAAGGGGTGTGAACTGAAAAATAACATGATTTACACTGCATCATCTCTAAGAGCTCAGCGGCTGATACAAAATGTATTCCTTGAAATAGACGTGATGGGGTGGGCAGGTGAGTAAGATCAAGGATGAGTGGTTAGAAATCATTAAGAATTAGTTCCCCTGATCCTTCTCCATTCTGCATCCCTGGGCTAACGCCCTCCCTGATCCCAGGAGAGCCTGTGAAAATATTCTTCAAAGAGGGGGAAAAACAAAGTCTCTAAATAAGGGAAGACCAAAATACAGTGACCAGGGGTACTCTACTGAAGTCACAGCCACTGCGTGACTGCATGCCTACTGCATGAAGGGGAGCCTGCACTCTACTCAGTCTCCAGAATCCTGGCAGTCAGGCCTTCGGCCTTTTCCTCTGCAGACAGGAAAGGATTTCTCTGGCAACTCTAACCAGCCCTACCAAACAAATCAGTCACATCCCAACAAGCAAGAATACAGCACACATTCTTAGAGTTTACAAATAGATTTTAGAGCTTCCCATACATAATTATGAATAGACAACCTGAGATTATTTGGTATCTTCAAAATTCCTCTAACATAAGAGATTGAGATCACATCCAACGAAGACAAATTAGAACTGCTTCGTCAAGAAGAGCAAGACTTCAAATAAGTAATTTTCAATAAATGCCCTTAGAGGAATATGAAAAGACTTCGCAATTATGAAGAAAAAGAACTTAGAAGGAAAATAAATATTCATAGGACAAGAGAACATTTTAAAATTATGCGTGTAAAGAACTTTATAATTGGATGCCTACTGAATGCAGAAATTGCCAGAAAATAAAACTCTAAAAATGACATGGGTAACAATAAAGATACAAAAACTAGAGAAACAGTCCAGAAATTATAATATGTGCCTAAGACATGTTTCATAATAATCGAGAAGAGAATTGGCAAAAAAAAAAAAAAAAATTGAAAAAATATTCTTATCCATGCAGGGCATGAGTGTCCGGAGCGGAAGAGCTCAGTGTACCTGCACTAGGTTGATTGGATGAAAAGAAACCCATGATAAAGTGTATCATAAAAAAGGATCTGAATGCTTAGAACAAAACAAAACAAAAGCATAGAAAGACAAATAGAAAATATAGAGATTGCATTAAAAAAATCAGGAGTCCACCAGAATGGCTTGAGACTTTTCTTACACCAACAAAAGAAACAAGATTTAAATATTTTAAGAAAAAAAAAATTTCGATCTAAAATTACTTTGCAAGTTAAATTATACATCAAATGGTAAGGTATTTGAAAAATCTCTAAAAGATATAGCATCTCCAAAAGAGTACCTACCATGCTCTGTTTTCGCAAGAAGCTATGGGAGTATTTGGTCCAATAAAAAGAGAAAATATGCTAATAGAAATGAGAAGAAGGGTCTAGTAATCAGGGGATTCCCAAAAAGTCACCATTGTGCTGGTGAAGGAAGAAGCCACATGACAGATTTGTACCAGAATTAGAGGGATTCAGTATAATGAAAAGAGCCAGAGGTTTCAGGACAGATTTTTCCAAGAAGTTGCCATTGATATAAGACCTGATATGTTAGTGTTCTAAGAGAGTTTGGGATGAAATGAGTAATAAGCCTATAAAAAAACTAACAAATAGAACTAGACAACAGTCAAATAATAATTATTTATTTCAAGAAATATGAAAGTTGTGGTAAAAATTAAAAGTAATCTGTTTATTACATGGCTCATATTGAAAAAGCACTTAAATTGCCAAAACGTGTGAAAATTGATGACTAAAATAACCCAGATTACCATTCTGTGTTATTGGAAGGGTGAGGAGAGGTGGGAGGGAAAGTTGTGAAGGGTGTAAGGGTGTGGGGAGGAGGCAGGTAAATCTAAATCTGTATTAAGGTTAAAGACAAGTTACTTTTTATTACGGAAGGTTAATAACCAATGCTTAAGGGTGAAAATCAAGAAGTCAAAATAATAGCATGTTATTTGAAGATAATGAGGTAAGAAGGAAAAGAGTCCTATTAAAAAACCAGCACTTCTGGAGAGGAAGGGGAAAGGAAGGCAGCAGTATACCACTTGTGGGCCACACATTGTGGAGATTAACTATGAATCCTGATGGAATTAAAATATTCGTTAAAATACAAACTTAAATAAATACAAATTGACTGGTGCCAGTCTACTTTTCGAAAACTCTCAAAACCTACAAATGGTTTGAAGAGTTCGGTTGCTACAACACCATGGTTATCTGATAATTGTTTAGATTTAGTACACTTACCAGAAGGATGCTGGCATTTTGGCACTTTGGTTAGTTTTGATTTCTCATATGAACTCCTTCCTTTTGCTTTTCTCCCTCCTCCCCTAATTTACTTCCATTTTAATTTCTCTATCTCATAAAACACCACTTATCTTACTCATTTGAATTGCCAGTTCCTTTTTCCTCACAGCACTAAAGCCCTGTAGGAAAGAAAGATGTTGCTGCAGAACCATGAACGTGATCAGAAACACAAATAATCAATGTCAAAGAAATCCTATTAGAACCTGATAAGACACCCACTTTTCTTCCGTAAACTTGAGAGGTTAGTAGCACTATTTAGTTCTCTGACCTGAGGTTCTGAGGTTCTGATGGATAGATTTGAGCTTACTACTTTTCCTAGGATGTAAATACTAGTTTTGTTATCATCACTGATGCTAGACACCCTTTCCCCTTCCTGCGGTACTAGGTATCTTCTCCTGGTCTTGTGGCTGAAGCACAATAGAATCCACATCATCTCTTGATTAGAGCCAATAGTAATCTCCTAACCAGTTGCTTTGCCTCCAATTTTTCACACACACATACACGCACACGTGCACACACACACACATACGTATTTATATATATATTTCAGCCTTCTAAAGTTCTGGAATTTCAGGCATAGAGCCACCACATCCAGCCGATTTTTCTGGCATTAAATGCAGCTTCCACATTGTCACCAAAGAGAGAATTCTGAAACACTAATATGACTATTTTACTCCTTAGTGTTCTAAACACTTCCCTTAGTGTCTACCCATTGTCCTCAGAATAAAATCTGAGTCGTTTAATCAGCCTGTCCTTTATTTTCTGATTTCCTTCTACATTTCAGCCTCATGTATTTCTACACCCTCTCACATTCTCTGTCCTCTAACCATACTGAATTACATGCTACACCTGACAGAGCTCCAGTGCACCTGCAGTCCAACGTTAATGAAGCATTTATTCATAAACACCAAAAAGCAAATGTGACGGGCAAGACACTATATTAAAACATGAGCATAGCACAAGAGACAAAGGCATGGGTTTGTGGGTCTGGTCATATTTTTTATGTGGAACATGAGTTTTACTAGATGTATGTGTTATTTCACAAGTTTCTTACGTCCTGAGATAGTAAAAAGGCAAAATAGACATGACTTCAGAGGATAGTTTGGCTGAAGAAGATTTTTCCCAGGCCCAATTAACTACAGGACAGATACTGGCAAGTTCAAAATTCCCAGAATTCTCACTCTATTTCTATTTTTAGAAAGAAGTAGATGAAGGGATGTTTGCCCTCTTTGACAGGAGTGGGAATGGGTTCAAGATGAAAAATAGATCCATAGAGACTTAGGAACAATGGAGGAAGTAAAACATGAAAACTAATTTTGTTTTCTCTCTTAGAAGCTAGAGCTCTAAACTAGAAAATATAAGAGTATCCTCTGAGTATCTTTTCAATTAAATAGGACACCCTCCTTACTAGTAAAATACATGAAGAACAGAGCCTGGTTGTTCCAACAACTTCTAAACACAGTCACGCCTGAATGTGCCTTTTCTTTCTTCAGCTACAACAATGCATCAAACAGAGTGTGACCTCAACTGTTTTTCAGTGGAAAACAGACAAGCCTGAAATAAGAAAAAAAAAAAAAAGAGAAAGTCTAAAAGAATTCTCTCTAAATATCTCAGAGTAAATAGAGTCAGAACAAAACTGTCGTAGTAAATATGAGTAAGAAGAAAGAAAAGGAAATCATAACAGATGGCAAATTAAAAAAAAAAACTAAAATTAACATTAAAAAGGAAGAGAATTATGGCATCTGAGAGCCCAAACACTCCAATTATAATAAGCCAAAAATCAAAGAGAAAGAAGTAAATGTTATTTCACATTTATATCCAAAATAATTTATTACTAGTACATCAACACCATCTAGGGAGAAGATCAGTAAGAACATAAAGAGCTTCATCAACACTATAAAAAAAAATTTAAAAAACACCTAGCCCTAACAGACACCTATAGCACACTCCACCCAATAATGGCAAAATGCACAATCTTCTCAAGCAACGGTGAACATTCCCCAGGACAGACTATCTTAGGCCACAAAACCAGTCTCTAATTTTAAAAAGACTGAAATTGCACAAACCATCTTTTCCAACCACAATAGAATGAAGCTAGAAATTTATAATAAAAGAAAAACAAAAAGAAAACTCATAAATATGTGAAAATGAAGCAAAGCATACTCAAGTAACAAAAGAGTTAAAGAAGAAATGACAAGGAAAGTTAAAAATATATAGATATAACAGATGACAAAAATAAAATATTCCAAAACTTATGACATGCAATGGAGGGAAACTAAAAGGGAAATTTATAGCTGTAAATACATTAAAAAAGAGAGCAATCTTAAATTATTAGCCAAACTTTACACATTGAGAAAATAGAAAAACAAGAGGAAACTAAACCAAACAGTAGTAGAAGAAAGAAAATAATAAGGATTTAGAGCAGAGATAAACAACATAGAAAATAGAAAAACAAAATAAAATTAACAAGAATTTGTTCTCTAAAAATATCACAATTGGTAAAACCTTTAGCTAGACTGACACCGATAAACAGAGAGAAGACACAAATAACACAAATAACTGAAATCAGAAAAGAAAGTGAGGACATTATTACTGACCTTACAGAAATGATAATAATAAGAAGAAGATAATATTATAAACATTTGTACCCCAACAAATTAGGTAACCTAGATGAAATAGAAAAAGTGATCATAACACGAAAATTGCCTAAACTGTTCAAGGCAAAATAGAAAATCTCAGCAGATCAATAGTAAATAAATATTTTGAAACAGCAATCAAAATTTCATAAAGAGAAAAGCTCAAGTCAGATTGTTTCACTACTGAATTCTATCAAGCATTTAAAAAGAATTAGCAACTGTACTTATCAAACTCTTCCAAAGTATAGAAAAGGAGGAAACGATGCTTAAGGGATTCTATGAGGTCAGAGTTACCCTCATACCGAAGCCAGACCAAAACATTTAAGGAAAAGAAAACTAGAGCTGAAAATAATCTCAACAAAATTAGCACATTGAATCCAACAATATACAAAAAGTATTATACACCATATTCAATGAGATTTAATCTAGGTATGTAAGGCCAGTTACATTGAAAAGCCAATTAACGTAATCTATATCAAGGGGCTAAAGAAGAAAAATCACAGCCATCCATACAGAACCAGTATTTGACAACATTGAACACCTATGTGTGATAAACAAACAAACAAACAAACAAACAAAAAAACCCTCACCAAACTAGGAATAGAGAGGAACTTCCTCAATGTGATTAAGAACATCTACAATGGATGAACTGGAAAACAGTATGCTAAGTAAAATAAGCCAGACACAGAAAGACAAATACTGTATGATCTCATTTATATGTGGAAATGAAAAAAGTTGAGCTCATAGAAAGTGAATAGAATGGTGGTTTCCAGGGATGGGGAGGTGGCGCAAATAACGAGTTGTTAGTCGAAGAATACAAACATTCAATTATATAATTAATAAGTTCTGGGAATCTAATGTACAGCATGGGTGGTGATAGAGGCATTAATTTGACTGTGATAATCATTATACAATGTATACATCTATCAAATCATCACATCGTACACCTTGAATATATATAATTCAAGATGTCAATTAAATTTTTAAAATAAAAAAAATCTGCAGAAAACCTACAGCTAGCAATATACTTAATAGTGAGAAACTAGAAATTTCCCTGCTAATGTCAGGACAAAGCAGGAATATCCTCTCTCATCACTCCTTTTCAACATTGTACTGGAATTTCTAGCTAAAGGGATAAGATAAGAAATGGAAATAAAAGTTATACAGATTGTAAAAGAATAAATAGTATTATCTATGTTTGTATATGACATGATTGTCCATGTAAATAATTTGAAAGAATAAAACATGACAATAACAATACTCTTGGAATTAGTGATTATACCAGAATTTCAGGGAAGAAAATTGTATATATACAACAATAAACAATTGAAATTTGAAATGTAAAAATTATTAACATTTGTATTAGAACCCTCAAAAGTGAGATGCTTAGATACAAATCTAACAAAATATATGTACAAGATCTATATGAGAAGAACTATAGAACTCTGATTATCAAAATTAAAGAATTAAAGAACCAGAAACATAGCTCATATTATGATAGGAAGATGCAATATTCCCTAAAGGTCAGTTCTTCACAGCTTGATCCAGATTTTAATGTAATCCCAATCAAAATCCCAGGAAGTTATTTTGCAGATGTAGACAAAATAGTTCCATATTTTGTATTGAGAGGCAAAATATCAGAATTGTCAATACAATATTGAAAGAGAAAAATAAATTCTGAGGACTGGCACTACTCAACTTTAGGACTTACTATAAAGCTACAGTAACAAAGACAGTGCAGTATTAGAGACAGAACAGACAAATAGATCAAGACAACAGAAGAGACAGCTCAGAAGTATACTCACACAAATATAGTCAACTGATCTTTGACAATAGAGGAAAGATTATATAATGGGAAAATTAGCATCTTTTTAACAAATTGTGCTGGAACAACTGAGTATCCACAAGCAAAAAGGTTAATATAGACACAGACATTACACTTTTCATAAATATTACCTCAAAATGGTTCCTAGACCTATATGTAAAACACAAAATGATAAAACTTGTAAAAGATAACATAAGAGAAAATATATATGACCTTTGGTTTGATAATGACATTTTAGATACAACATCAACGGCATGACCCATGAAAGAAGTAATTAATAGTATGGACTTCACTAAAAAAAATGTCTTGCTCTGAAAAGGCCACTTTTAAGAGAATGCAAAGAAACACAGCATACTTGGGGAAAAATATTTGCAAAAGATATATCTGAAAAAAGACTTGAATCTAAAATGCAATAATAACACATAATTCAAGAATGAGAAAAGAAACAACCAGATAAAACATTGAGGAAAAGATATGAAAAGAGGTCAGGCATGGTGGATCACACCTGTAATCTCAATAATTTGGGAAGCCAGGGCAGGAGAATTACTTGAGGCCAGGAGTTCTAGACCAGTTCAGGCAAAAGAGTAAGACCATTTCTGAAAAAAAAAAAATTGAAAAATTAGCCAGGCATGGTGGTGTGCATCCATAGTCCCAGCTACTCCAGAGGATGAGGTGGGAGAATCACTTGAGCCAAAGAATTCAAGGCTGCAGTAAGCTGTGATCACACCACTGCACTCCAGTCTGGGCAACAGAGTTAAACCCTGTCTATCTGAAAAAAAAAAAAAAAGAAGATGATAACTCTGCAAAAGAAGGTAGACAGATACTCCACATCATACTCATTAAGAAATTTCAAATTAAAACAAAGATGAGATATCACTGTTGGAATGACAAAAACTCAAAACACTGAAGACACCAAATGTTGAGAATGTGGAGCAAAAGGAAACCTCATTCATTAATGTAAAAATGTAAAGTGGTACAGCCACTTGCAGGAAAGTTTGGCAGTTTCTTACAAAATATATTCTTATCATATAATCCAGAAATCACATTCCCTGATGCTTACTCACATTGTGTTCACAAAAAAACTTTCACATTCATATTTATAGCAGCTTATTCATAATTGTCAAAACTTAGAAGCAGCCATGATATCCTTTGGGAGATTAATGGATAAATTAACCATGTTACATCTGCATAGTAGACTACTCTAGGTGGCTCATGTAAGTGGAATCGTAAAGTATTTTTCCTTTTGTGACTGGCTTGTTTAATTTAGCATTATGTCTTTAAGGTTCATTCATACTGCAATGTGTCAACATTTCCTTCCTTTCTAATATTCAGTAATATTCTATTGTATGTATATATCACATTTTGTTTGTTCATTCATCCTTTGATGGACACTTAAGTAGCTTCTGCCCTTTGGCTATTGTGAATATTGTTTCTATGAACATGATGTTTAAGTGTCAGTTCAAATTTTGCTTTCAGGCTGGGCGCAGTGGCTCACGCCTGTAATCCCAGCACTTTGGGAGGTGGAGGTGGGTGGATCACAAGGTCAGGAGTTCGAGACCAGCCTGACCAAAATGGTGAAACCCTGTCTCTACTAAAAATACAAAACTTACCTGGGTGTGGTAGCGTGTGCCTGTAATCCCAGCTACTCAGGAGGCTGAGGCAGGAGAATCACTTGAACCTGGGAGGCAGAGGTTGCAGTGAGCAGAGATCATGCCATTGCACTCCAGCCTGGGTGACAGAGCGAGACTCCATCTCAAAAAAAAAAAAATGCTTTCAATTATTTTGGGTATATAACCAGAAAAGAAATTGCTGGATTATATGACAACTCTATTTTTAATTTTTTGAGAAACCTCCAGACTGTTTTTTATAGTGGTTATACCATATTACATTCCTAGCAACAGTGCATGCACTTTCCAATTACTGCGCATCCTAACTTGTTATTTTGGCCTACTGATTTTTGACAAGAGTGACAAGTACGTACTATGGGAGAGGAGGGGTAAGAGTCTCTTCAACAAATGGTGTTGGGAAAACTGGGTTTTCATACGCAATGAAATAAAATTGAACACCTACTTAATACCATATACAAAAATTTATTTGACATTAATCAACAAACTAAATATAAGCTAAAATTATAAAATTTATAGAAGGTAGCATAGGAGAAAATATTCATAATCTTGGAATCTGCAATTCATTATTAGATATGACACTAAAAGCAATCAGTAACACAAATTTAGATAAATTGGATGATATTCAAATTAAAATATTTTGTGTACCAAAGTATGTTCTCAAGAAAGCTAAAAGACAACCTATACAATGGAATACAATATTTGCAAATTATATATCACCTAAGGGTTTAATATCTAGAATAATAATAATAAAACTTCTGCAACTCTACAACAATAACGCCAGTAAACCATTTTAAAAGTGGTCATAAGCCTTGAATAGAAACTTCTCCAGAGAAGATATACAAATGACAATAAACACATGAAAAGATGCTCAACATCATTAGTCATTCAGGAAATGCAAATCAAACCATAATGAGATATCACTTCATATCTACCTGTATGGTAATAATAACAATGAAAAATAATAGATGTTGACAAGGATGTGGAAAAACTGTAACCCTCCTACATTGCCACTGGGAATGCAAAATGATGCAACCACTGTGGAAGACACTTTGGCAGTTGCCCAAAAGCCAAACAGAACTAAATGTTTTCACTCTATGATTGGGGAAAATACAAGAAAGCCTGCTCTCGCTATTTTATTCAACTTAGTGCTGAAATTTATACCAGTGTGCTAAGGAAAGAAAAAAAAATAAAAGACATACATATTGAAAAGAAAGAGATAATTTTTTTTTCAGATGACACAATTATGTATGGAGAAAATCCAAAGAAATCTATAAAAAACCTCCTAGAACCAACAGGTATGTTCAGCAAGGTTGGAAATAAAAGATCAACATACAAACACAACATAATTAAAAATGGAGAAAATCCTAAAGAATCTATAAAAACATCCAGGAACTAATATGTAATTTTACAAAGATTGCAAATACAAGATCAAAATACACAAGTCAATTGCACTTCTAAATCTTAGCACTGAATACATGGATTGAAATTTAAAGATAGAATTCCATTTACAATTACTAAAAAATGAAATATTTAGGTGTAAATGTAACAAAACATGCACAAGATTGTATGTTCAAAACTATACAACACTGATGAAAGAATATCCAAGATGAGCTAAATGAGTAGAGATACATATTGCATCAATGGATTGGAAGACTTCACATAGTAAAGTTATTAATTCTCCCATTATAATTTCATATATGAGTTTAACACAAAGCTTATAAAAATCCTAGCAATATCTTTTTGTAGATATCAACCAGATTACTATAAAATATATATCCAAAGTGAAAACTAGAACAGCTTAAACAATTTTGAAAATATTATATATTGGAGGAAAATGGTCTACCTGGTTTCAAGATTTGTATAGGTACAGTGGTCAAGATTATTTGCTATTTGCAAAGGGACAGATACATCAATCCATGGACCAGAGGAAGAACTTCTTACAGATGCTGATAGAAATGCCCAAATTGATATGGACAGGAGATAGGGAAATGCTGGGTAGAAGAGAGCGGTTTCCCGGCAAAGGCCCCATCCTCAAACCTGGGAGACCCGTGCCCCTAAATAGGGACAGGCATTCTTGTCTTGTGTTAGGGACAGGCCCAAAATGTTGCCTTTTGGCCCGCCATGCCCCTTATCCTGTTCCCATATAAACCCCAAAACCCCAGGCTCCAGAAGCAGATAAGCAGACGAGCAAATGCAGAGACAAGCAGATGGACTTTGGAAGGACGACACGGGCAGAGAAAGAGAGAAGAGGAGGAACGTGTGAATGCCAAGAGGAATTTGGCTGGTCGCGTTTGGAGAAGGGTTCAACTCTTGGACAGCCAAACTCCAGGGGAAGATCATCTTCCCATTCCATCCCTCCCTTCTGGCTCCCCATCCGTCTTGCTGAGAACCACCTCCACCACTCAATAAAACACTGCATTCATCCTTCAAGCCTGTATGAGACCCAGTTCTTCTGGCTCAGAATACAGAAGGCTGTCACGCTGGCCTTCTGGCCTTGCAGAAAGGCAGAGGATCCATTGAGCTGGTTAACACTCAAGCCGTCCCTGGACAGCAGGGCTAAATGGGCACACTGTAACACACTCCCACTTGGGCTCTTGCACCTGTCCATCTGGGTGCTACCCCGCCCCTCAGGGGATTGAGCAGCAGCAGTGACCAAACAGGCAAGCCACACCCCTGGTTCAGGTCCTGCGAGGGGGATCAGGAAATTTTCCTATTTCAAAATGATTTTTAACAAAGGTATAAATTCAATAAAATGGAGGAAATTTTTAACCAATGCTGCTGGAGCAACTGGACATCCACAAGCAAAAGAAATTAATGTTGACCTAAGTCTCACATTTCATAAAAAAACTGACTCAAAATGAATGACACACATAAATGTAAAAGGTAAAAGTAGAAAACTTAAAAAAAATATAGGAGGAAATCTTTAGAATTCAGGGCTAGTCAAACAGTTCTTAGATAACAGTGTAAGCACAAACTATAAAATGAAGAATTGATAAACCAGCTTCATAAAAATGAAAAGCTTTTGTGCTTTGGAAGAACTTGTTAAAAGATTGAAATGGTCTGCTTCTGAGTGGGAGAAAATACTTCAAACCATATATCTGACAAGGGACTAGAATGCACAAGTCTCAAAATTCAAGAGTAAAATACCAAACAATTCCATTAGAAAATGGGCAAAATAAGTTGAGGATATATACAAATGGTCAATAAGCACATGATATGATATTCCACATCATTAGGCATTAAGGAATTGCAAATTAAAGCCAAAGTGAGATATCCCTGCACACCTGTGACAATGGCTGAAATGAAAAATTGGTAGAACTATTAGGTCCAATATGAGAAGAAACTGGATCTGTCACACATTGCTGGTGGGAATGTAAAATGCTCTAGCCACTTTGGAAAACAGAATGGAAGTTTGTTAAAATCAAAACTAACAAACAAAGCTAAACCTGCAACTACCATCTGACTAAGCAATACCGCTACTGGGCGTGGATCGCAGAGAAATAGATTCATGTTCGCACAAAAACCTGTACACAAATACTTATAGTAGCTTTATTTGTAATGTCTCCAAACTGCAAAATCCAGATGTCTTTCAGTGAGTAAATTGTTAAACTGTGGTATATCCACACCATGAATGCTACTTAGCAGTAAAAAGAAACAGATTTTTTTTGTTGTTGTTGTTTTTGAGACGGAGTCTCGCTCTGTCGCCCAGGCTGGAGTGCAGTGGCGCAATGTCCGTTCACTGCAAGCTCCGCCCCCCAGGTTCACACCATTCTCCTGCCTCAGCCTCCGGAGTAGCTGGGACTATAGGCGCCCGCCACCATACCCAGCTAATTGTGTGTGTGTGTGTGTGTGTGTGTGTGTGTGTGTGTGTGTGTGTGTGTGTGTGTGTTTAGTAGAGACAGGATTTCACTGTGTTAGCCAGGATGGTCTCGATCTCCTGACCTCGTGATTCGCCCACCTCGGCCTCCCAAAGTGAAACAGATTTTTTATGTAAGTAACAACTCGGATGGCTCTCCAGAGAATTATGGCAAGTGAAAAAAGCCAATCTTATAAGGTTACATACCATATGAATTCATTAATATAACATTTAAAAACTGACAAAATTGTAGAAATGGAGAGATTAGTGGAGGCCAGAGTCTGGGGAAGGGATGGAGGTGATAGGGAAGTTTGTTGCAAAAAAGCAATGTAAGGCATCCTTGTGGTGAAAGAACTGTCAAGAGTCTGGATCAATGCCGACATCCTAGTTATGATGTACCCTAGTTTTGATGTTACTATTGGGAGAAACTGGGTAAACGGTGCATAGGGTCTTTGTGTTATTTCTTGTAACTCCATGTGATTCTTCGATTATCTGAAAAAAAAAAGCTTAAACGGAAATGAAAGAGTACCATATTTAGAAATACTTCATGATAAAACACTGATCATAAAGAGAAAAAATAAATGCATCAAAATGAGCATCTCAAAACTGAAGAAGTTGTAATAAAGGTATAAAGCTGTGGATTCATTTTGTTGATTGTTTTCTTTACTGTGAAGAAGCTTTATAGTCTGATTTGATCCCATTTATTTATCCCACTTGATCCCATTTATTTGATCCCATGTATGGATTTTTGCTTTTGTGGCCTGAGCCTTTGGTGTGGTATCCAAAAATTCATTGGAAGGACAATGTTTAGCAGCATTTCCCCTATGTTCTCTTCTAAGATACTTTCTAGCTTGCATTTAGGTATTTTATCCATTTTGAGTTGATTTTTGTGTATAGTATAAGGAAAAGGCCCACTTTTATTCTCTGCATGTGAAAATCCAGTTTTTCTAGCACAGTTTGTGGAAATAACTGTTGTTTCCTCATTATGTCCTTTTGGTGTCCCTGTCAAAAACTAGTTCGCTGACAAATTCATATGTTATTTCAAGGTTCTCTCTTTTGTTCCATGGCACCCTCACACCTGAATGACAGTTTGATGTGCACAGAATCCTAGATCAATGGCGATTTTTCATTAGCACTAGAATGATTTTATTTCATTTTTAAAATATTTTAAATTTTTAAATATTTTGCTCTTATCCCATCATTTTATATTCTATTGTTTATCTAGGAATTTTCAAGTATGCACGAATTTTATTTATATCACTAAGGACTTGGCATGCTTCTACAATACAAGGATTCACATCTTTCGTTCAACCTGAAACATTCTCTCAGTTTGCTTCCTTTTTTTTTTTTTTTTTTTTTTTTGAGACAGAGTCTTGCTCTGTCACCCAGGCTGGAGTGCAGTGGCACAGTCACGACTCACTGCAGCCTTTACGTCCTGGGCCTCAGTGATTCTCCCACCCCAGCATCCTAAATGGGACCACCTGTGTGCACCACCAGGCCCAGCTGGTTTTTACAATTTTTTGTAAAGAAGAGGACTCACAATGTTTCCCAGGCTAGTCTTGAACTCCTGGACCCAAGTGATCCTCCCGCCTTGGCCCCCTGAATTTCTGGAATTACAAACGTGAGCCACTGTACCTGACCCTCAATTCATTTCTAAGTCTCCTTCTGAGTATTTGTTGGATCATGTCATTTTGTTATCTGTGTTTGCTTACTGCTTGTTTATTGTTTTAAATCTCTGTCTGTTATTACTGCATTTCAAAGAGTTTTCTCACATCTTTTTGTAATTTAGCTATGTCTAATTTGCCGTTAAACTTACCAATTAAATTTTTAAATGAAGCTATTATATTTCCTTTTATTAGATTACTAGTTAGAACATTTTAAGAGCTGTCCTGATTATTCTAATTTTATAACATCTTTTTCTTATATTTTGATTTCTACTCCTACTTTTATACCTTTAATACTTTTGAACATAGTGTGTCTTTCAAATTGTCTGATTAGCTGAGGCTCCTGGGACTCTTAATCTTGTGGTTATCAATTTTCTTCTGTTCGGTTTTCCCTCATGACATGTATAGTTTGAAAGTTTTCTTCATGGGCTTAGTAAACTTGGGAATGACTTTTTCCTACAGATATTAATTTACCTTGGGTTTCTGGACATGTCTTCAGTGAGTGAGTTGCCCCAGGGTTTTCCCTGCCCACTTTCGTGTTACATTTTTAGCTTGGAGATGCATAGCCACTATGTGATGTGTAAATGCTGCCTGTGCATTCACAGGTGTTATAGGTTTAGGGCTCTCCATCTCACAATAGATATTATTCTTTACTTGACATTTCCTCAGGCCTTTGGATGATGTGTTTTCAGTGTCTCTTTTAGCAAAAAGATACTGATTTCATGAGTTTTCTTTATTCAGAGTCCTTAGTTCCAACTCGATATGGACCCAAGGCCATGTCTCTTGCCCATGGATGACATGAAAGCCCAGCCCCTGACTACTAAAGCCCATGTTCTGGTGGGATATTACCCCTGACTACAGCATCATCAGCATATTGTAACAGCAAAGAGAGGCACTTCCAAAGAATTGAAAGCCTTCAATTTGCAATTGGTATGAAAAGCAATAAAAAATTGTTCATCTTTGACTTACACCCAAGAAGATTACTTAATAAAATGTGGAAGACTTCTGAATCATGTATTCTCACCTGTGAATGAGGTTTTCTTTTTTGGCCCCATCATATATATTTCCTATAACATAATGTGATAGAAAATATCCGTTGCAAAATTTCTAAGATATTTTTTGCTGATTGAGACTGGATTATGCCTAGTCATTTTGGAGATTCACATTTGCTGCTTAGCATTTATTTTTAAATTATATGCATCCAGTGTTCCACCGATATTCTTTCTCATTTCCTTGGAACTTTTTTGTTGTGTTTGTATTTTCAGCCTAGCCTCAATTATGACTCATTTCCAGTTGTCTCCTCTTTAAAAGTAAAAGAAACATACTGGATTTGGGAAAATCTCCTGTTTTGATTTCTACTTGTTCTTCTCATATTTTTAAGGTGGTGCCTGCTGTCTTATTTTTTAACCAACCATCAGTTTGCATAATTTAGAAATAAATGGAATAAATTTTGACATCAAGGTCACGGCATCAAGCTTTTGAGGATTATTTCAACAACTATGAAATAGGTGATCGTGTAGGTAGAAAACTGTACAGATACTATTACATAGCCATTGCCTCTTTCTAGTTTATTAATTAAAATTATGTATGCATGTATCAGCAGAGAATTATAATATAATAATTAGTTGACAATAGCCAATAGCCATTGCCTGTGTAAAAAAAATAGAACTTACTGGCAGCTTTGAAATAAGAGGGTATTTTCTCCTTTTACGTTGGATAAAAAGGGAGTCACTATATTACACTTCCGATGAATTACATTAATCTTAATAGAACATTTTCCCTTAAACCTGCAAGCTATTTTATAATGCTTTATATTTAATTTTTAAAAAGAGGCGCAGACTCTAAAATCTCTTTGCATTCCATGTGAGGAAATAGCTGCCAGAAAAGACATGAAGACTTCAAGAGCCTACAGAGGTAGGGCTGATGAAAACCGTACTGTCCAGAGTGTTGCAAGAATGATGTGTGTGCAGGAGTTAGGCTTTCAACAGCATCACTGAAGGAAAAACCAACATCAACAGGCAAATAATTTTGTGTGGCAAATCGGATTTCCAGACAATTTGGTAAGAGTTTTTACAAAATCACAAATAGAAATAAAACTTTCAACCTAAGGCCCTAGCCTTTCTAACATTTCAGTTTCTTTTCCGTTTCAGAGATACTATCATTCGCTGAGAGTAGTAAGAAGGCAAAACCAACAGCAAAGTAGGTGACATTGGGATTTGAGAAATGACACTGACATAATCAGATTATTTATTCTTCCTGGCAACTCCATGCAATCACTAGTAATACTTTCTTATACTGAGAGAAAAACAGAGGCTCACAGATTAAACAATTTGCCTTAGATCACAAATGAGAAGTGAATTTAAATCTATCACTACACTTTTGGAAGACATTGGCCAATTACCTACATCAATGTAAGAACGTTAAACATTTAGGAAATGTTTTTTTTTTTTTTTTTTTTTTTCTGAAAACTTCTGAAAAAAAAAAAAAGGATTATCTAGGGACTAGAAAATGTGTTTCAGGAAGGCACGGAAACACGTCACATACTCTGCTAGAAATATATTTTGCCATAGCAAAATTGTGTAAACAAGACTGATTACTCCTTTTCCCACTCTGGGAAGCAGGCTATTTACTCTGGTAGTCAGAGGTGACCCACTAAGTTCAAGCACACATTTCTAATAATGTCAGAAAATTCAATACTACAGAAAGATAACAGTTTTATTGGTAGTGTTTGTACTCACACTTCAGAATAAATTAAGCACTAATGTCATCAATAAACTGTCAGAAACATAGTTAATGATACAAACTTTTAGCGACTTTTGTCTAAGAAACAGATATGAACAAGCAATTCCACTTAAATATCTATGTTCTGGTCTTTTCCAAGCCCTTTTCTTCTGTTATTCATTTTGCTTCACTTTGGTCTCATAATAGTTGCCAATAAAATTGTTTTATTCTCTTCTATTAAGTCTCTTATTATGACTGGTTGAACCTTCTTGGATTCTGTGTGAACTTCTAAGGAAAGTTGTTTCTCTCAGTAAGATTCCCTGTAGATTTGGTTTAGCTTAATGTGACTATTTATCCTCAGTGATGTCTTTTCTTGCTGCCATAGAAAAAGGGGAATTCTCTATACTCTTTTTGGTTCAGGGGCTTCCTACTCAGGTCAATTCTGAAAACAAATTCCATGTGGGAAGATATATGGAGAAAGAATATTTCCTTTCTTCTTGTGTATTAGCAGCACGTACTCCTGCAGCCTCTCCCTTTTAATAGCAACTCTGTGAGTCACACTCCTATTTCAAGATAAGTCTAATGGACAGTCTAAACTGCAGGTGCAACTAAAGAACATCAGTCACCCAAATTTTATAACTTGAATTCCAATACACAAAGTGATTAAATGGGGCTAAAAAACATTCAGCAGCAGTGTATAAAGGCTTTACCCCTAGTTTTTCTGGAATGAAAGAGAAAAGAGCCTCAGGGTTGCCTTATTAAACTGAAACCAAATAGAACCTCTGCTTCATATAAGTGGAGGTATCTCATCATGTGTGTATGTGTCCCTGTGTGTGTGTAACAGAGTCCCTCTCATGGGTAGAATGGTTTAGTAATGACTCTCAATCCACAAGTAGAGGAATGTAAGATGTCAGAATTGTATTCCTCCTTATGAAGCCAAGATTGTTATGGAATAGAGTGTATATGACTGTATTTTAACTCTGCCTCTCTCTAGGGTAATCTCAGTGAATCAAACTTATAATTGCTCTGAAATCAAAGAGAAATAAGCTTTAAAAAACTCACGATTTATCCCCCACCCATAGAGTGATTTAAGATAGTTTCTTGTTCCATCCTAAGTGTAAAATATTGCAGTTTACATTTTATTTATGGAAACATAAGTATGCTAGCAATTTTCTTTGCATAAAACAGATGTATTTTGAGGAAAATATATACTTCCCATGTACCCATTTATAGATATATGGTTTCTCTTGGGAGCTGAAAATATTTTCATTTTTTCTCTCAAATCCCTCTAGAGGTAATTATCTGCTTACAGTTCTTATTTTCTTTTATAATGAAATAGAATCCTATGATACAGGTTACTAACTCAATTAAGGTACTTGGCTTCCTAGCTTTAGTCTATGTTACTAACAAGTAGATTTTTCAGGCTTTGCTTTTTTCTTCTGATAAAACAGTTTCTTAGAATTAAATGTTAGCATATTTCAGGATTGAAACTCTATATGTCTATTTTTAATCATATATAATGCAATCATTTATATATGTGCAGTAAACTATACGCACATAGAAAAATGAATAGAAATATCTTCCTTTCTCTTAACAATGCCCTATATCTTTATTACCAAAAATGTGAGTCTTATATAGACTTCTATAAGCCATTTCAAATTCTTTACAGTCTTTTTGAGCCATGACAAATTATGAGCATATGAATTACAATATATGATATTTCAATCATATATATGTGTATATAATATATATGTGTGTAGATAGATAGATAGATAGTAGATTGATATCTCCAAATTGACTTGAAGAAGTTCAATTATCTGTCCATTCAGAACTAGAAATGACAGGAAAAGAAGAAAGGAAAGAGTGTCAACTTAGTGCTTTCATTTTTCCATTTGGAATTTCACCTTTTCCTTATTTGATACAAAGTATTGTGGACATTCCGTTAGGATTGGCACACTTTCCTCCTCACTCCACATTGCAGACAGGGTTTCTCACTGGCTTCCAGCTACTTGTCCAAGACTAAACATGCTTGAGAACTAGCTTCACCCTAAAGAGGGAGAGCATGGAGAGGGGGTGAATGGAGTCTCTTAGGATGAGAATGGTAGCTCCAGCTCTCCTCGCTCAGAAGAGTTAACAGCTGCTGCAGTTTTGCAATCATGAAAGAAGATGTGTTAGTTTCCTATGATTGAAGACTTTGTTCCATATCTTTGGATATCCAATGTGATTGGCTGAATAGGGGTATCTTTGGGGCTTGGAGGGGAGAGCAAAAAGAGGCAGGTAGTTGCCCTTCCAGTGACTCACACCCACCCCTAATTGTCTGTCCTTTGTTTTGGATGGGCTCCAACTCTGAATTTCCCACTTATAATGTCAGCTGCTCAAGCTTTTTGCTGGCATTCTTCCTTCCTTGTTTTCCTTCAGTATCCCCTGACCCTGCCTTATTTTCCTTCTTCCTTTTTCTGTTATTTCTCCCTCCCCACAAAAAAAAAAATGTATTGAGTGATTTGCAAATAACCAGTGAGATATGCTACCCGCCTCTTTTGCTCTCCCCTCCAAGCCCCAAAGATACCCCTATTCAACCAATCACATTGGATATCTAAAGATATGGAAAAAAGTCTTCAATCATAGGAAACTAACATATCTTCTTTCATGATTGCAAAACTGCAGCAGCTGTTAACTCTTCTGAACGAGGAGAGCGGGAGCTACCATTCTCAGGCTCCTTGGGGAAAGAAGAGCTAAATCAGGTAAGGGCAAAATGGTGCAAAGGCTTAATTAAGATCATGCAGGAACAGTGAGATTGCTGTGCTTCTGTTTTTCTGTCCTTTATCTTAAGAAATATTCATTTTATTCTACAGAAATCTTTAGAAATGTCAGTTCTCCCCAGACTTGAATTATCCCTAATCTGTCATTCCATAGAGAGAGATCCTAAATAATGTGCTTTAGGAAATGACTAGCCAAACCAATCTGTATGCTGGGCTCCCCACAAAACACTCTGTCTTCCTATCTACACTTAGCTTACACAGAAGATAAAATGCTTCATTTCTTTTTAGTGTTGGGTGTTTGGGAAATTGTCCCCTGTTATTCTAAAAGGTGATCCACAGGTAATGAATGCAGCAGTTAAGCTGGTCCTAGGGAGTGGAATGAGTCTTGTTTTCTGCGCACTACATAAGGCAAGCTTTAGTGGATTACAAAATTCCAGAAACCCAGAAGGAGAGGATAAATGCTGGCATTACCTTCTGATTTCAGCCATGTGAGACTGTCTCTATTGAACAAGATTGGACATGAACAAAGCCAGTCTATTCTCAGCTTGCCAGCTGCAGCTCAGCTTTTGGGTGAAATGAGGTATTTATTTGCTCTCTTCTTCTCTCCTTGTAGAGGCTCCTCTCATATGAATCATGCGTGTGAGACTCCTTGTACCATTTAAAATTCTTTCTGTCAGCTCCATTCTATCTACATCCATAGGAATATTCAGTAGAAATATCTGGGGTAGAGTGTGGAGGAGAAAGTTTGAGATTACATATAAACTCATCACTGGATTTTGAGACAGGCTAAGTCTCCACTGCTGATAACAAACTTGTCTTAAAGGTAAGCAATCTCTTGTTCAGGAATTTATCAACTGCTTCTTGGCCTTTTGGCTAAGATCATGTGTAGGAATTTATCTGCTGCAGAAATTTACATTGTAATTTAAGTAATGTTTCTTCATGGGCACATGAAGGGCCTACTTTTGATAAAATTCATAAGTCATAATAATTTGAAAGATCTCCTTTTTCTCTGCCCACCCTACACATCAATGCTTTTAAAACTCCCAATGCCCAGCAATTACATCAGAGGCTCTGAGGATGAAACCCAGGCATAAGTATTTTTAATGCTCCCTATGTGATTCCAATGTGCAATATATACATATATATATAATTTATTTAATATATTTAATATATATAATATATACTGTCTCTACATATATCTATAATATAACATATGCATATATGATAAAGTATAAATATATTTAGATATATAGTATATATCTTTATATATGTTATATATGCAATATTGCATATATAGTATATATCTAAATATATTTATACTTTGTATATATTTAGATATATACTATATATTGCATATGTATTTAGATATATAAATATATTAAACTTTGTATTTTTACCTTTTATATATTTATTCATCTTTATATATATATATATATATTACATATATATGTATATATACTTCATATATAAAATATTTAGAGACAGGATCTTGCTCTGTCACCCAGGCTGGAGTGCAGTGGCGCAATCATATCTCCTTGCAACCTTGAACTCAGGCCTGGGCTCACACAATTCTCCTGCCTCAACCTCCTGAGTAGCTGGAACTACAGGCTTGCCCCATCATGCCTAGCTAATTTTTAGATTTTTTGCAGAGGAGGGGTCTTGCTATGTTGCCCAGACTGGTCTTGAACTCCTGGCCCCAAGGTATCTCCCAGCCTCTGCCTCCCGACGTGTAGGGATTATAGATGTGAACAATGCCCAGTCAATTTGAGAAATATAGTGTTAAGAAATTTCAAGCATTTGTGGTTACATGTGGGTGTATTGTGAGAGGAGACAGAAAAGTTGCCCAAGGAGAACTCACAATATTTCAGCAAGTGTCTACTCCATTTAGTAGTATGTCAATATCTTTGCTTTGATAGGAACTAACACCTTATTAAATTATCCACATTTTTAGAATCTTGCCCTTGTCCTTGCTTGGCTGGAAACTGGACTTCGTAAATACTGAGTACTAGTAGGACTAATATAATAGCTTACTAATATATGATTAGTGTGTCAATGAACATTTCTATTGGAAAGTATGCTTATGTCCCCTATGCTAGACTTGTCAAGTATGAAATTATCCCATAGAGGAAAAATACTCTTCCATAAACTCTTGTCCAAGGAATGGCAAGGCTTAATAGTTCCCTGCTCTCCTCTCTAGAAGAAAATGTTCTCTAAGGTCGAAGTTTCTTGCGACTGCCTGACTTATCTTTTTCCTAGGAATGTTGGGGTAGATACTTCCAGTTTTGCCTGTGGAAGGCATATCAATTATTGTGTTCTTGCTCATATAACATCTTAGGGACTCTTCCTCACATAATTGCCCCGAAAGGACCCATTATGACAGCTTTATGTACTTGGTGAGCTGACCCAAGAGAAAACAATCAGGCTGCCTTTCCTGGGAATCAGAAACTGGGCAAGTGAGCAATGTATAATCAGTGACATGACAATGACCAAAATATTCATTTTTTGTTAGAGTCAGTGACCATAAAAATCAAAATGCAAAACCCACTGAAGTTTAGAGAAGTGCATTGAGAATGGGGAAAGCATATATAAGCAGAAAACGCTGATCTTCACAGAAAAGTAAGAGAGTAAAGTTGCTATGGAGGGAAAAGTAGATGCAAGATGCAGTACACCCCAGTGAATGATGCAGATTGCATCAGATCTGGAACTTTTCATTTATTTTATGGCCATCCATAAGATTATGTATTGGGGCTTATCAGCCATCTCCCTTACATGCTGACCATGTTTTTGTGGCATTCTGTCCTGCAACTAAAAGGTATTGATAAAAAACATCATCCCTCAATGCATACTTTTCGATATACTGCTTCCTCTCCTCCTGCAGATGAGTATGTTAATTTCCAAGGGCTACTATAACAAAGTGCCATGAACTTTGTGGCTTACAACAACAGAAGGCTATTCTCATAGTTTTGGAGTCTAGACATCCAAAACCATGTTTTCAACAGAGCCATGCCCCCATGAAGACTCTAGAGAGGAATCTTTCTTTGCCCTGTCTAGCTTCTGGTGGTTGCCAATAATCCTTGGCCTTACTTGACTAGTAGATGCATTACTCTATTCTCTGTCTCCATCTTCACTTGGTGCTCTCCCTAACGATTTTGTGTTTGTGTGTGTGTGTGTGTATGAGTGTGTGTGTGTATGTCTTTTTTCTCTTCTTATAAAGACACCAGCCATTGGATTAGGGCCCACCTTTATCTGGCATGACCCCATCTTAACTAGTTATATCTGTAACAACTCTGTTTCTAAATAATGTTACATTCTGAGGTTTAGGGTGGACATGACTTTTGAGGGACACTCTTCAGCTCACTGTAATGACACAATCTATATAATTGTTCTTTCTTGAACCCAAGCAACATTCTGTTCCAAGAGGCCTTCTCACAGGGTGTCTATACTGAAAAATGACATGATTCCAAGACATGTTCATTTACACCACTCTAGTAAGCTAAAGAGAAAGGCATTTGAGGATGAAGACGAAATAGTGGTTAGTTTCTACTTGTGCCCAAGAGCATAACATAGAACTACTAGATCCTGGATAATTAATGATCACAAAAATACGATAAATTTTGTAAGACCTTTTCAGAGATTGCAAATAGGTGAAACTACAGTATGAAAGCATCTAGCAACTGCCATATATTTTATTCAATAGAATATAATTTAATCAGATAGTGGTGTACTGTGTAGGAACACCTTCATCTCACTGTCTGTTTCTCCTGATATTCAAATTCTTCACTTGGATGTGTCACTGTTCATAGACCTTCTTGGCCACAGAGGGCAAGGGGCAAATTTCTACTCTCAGTGTTTACACAAGACATTCTTGCTGTCACAAGCAAGGTGATGTATTCCATTGTTGGCAGCCTCTAGCTGTTTCTGTGTGGATGACCAGCCAATTCTCCGTCTACCTAAATCTGAAGAATCATACAGACAGCTATAAGGAAATCTAGGCAGAACTAAATTTACTTTTTGTGCCCATTACCTTGTATAACACCCATACCATTAAGCTATATTGGTATTTGGGTTATAATTTGGTGATAATATATTCTTCTGTAACAGTGATCTTTTCTCATATATGCAATTAGATCATTTGTCATTTAAATGCCTTTCCATATCTTGTCAAACCCTGAGGTCTCATTAAACATTCATTGACTTGCTGATTGACAGACAGAAGGAGGAAGACTTATAGGTCACTAAGCATGGGAACTTAATCAAGTTCTTCAAATTTCCACAAATCCTTGCTCTATAAGGTGCCAAAAACAATACTGAATAAATAGGACAGGATATGGATTCCAATCTCCTTTCTACTGGACCATGTGACTTACAGCAAATCAATTAAAGTCTTGATTCAGTTGCTTTTTTTGGTAACATGTACCACAATAGAGTTTAATGAAATATGATAAAATACAGTAACTTATCTACTAAAAACTGGTAATAGCTACCTGATATCAATGTATAATAAATAGGCAGTCGTTGCACTAGGCATATTTACCGAAAACATTTCACTTAATCCTCAAAGTAATCATTAGGTTTGATGTTATTGTTAACATATTAAAGATGATAAAACTGGAATTTATGTAAGTTGAGCAGCTTATTTAAAGTGAACGAGGCAGTTACTATGCATCAAGGATTTGAACATAGGTCTGGACTCTAAAACTTATTCTCCATTAGTTTGCAATGCTTCTTTACAGAGGCTAGGTTAGGTGACCTCCTGAGGCCCTTTCTAGTCACAACATTTATTATACTCTTGCATGTTAGGTGGTAGAGCAAAGAGGGTTGACTTTTGGTACATTTCACTTGTGTCCGTGTGAAGAGACCACCAAACAGGCTTTGTGTGAGCAATAAAGCTTTTTAATCACCTGGGTGCAGGCTGGCTGAGTCCGAAAAGAGAGTCAGTGAAGGGAGATAGGGGTGGGGCTGTTTTATCAGATTTGGGTAGGTAAAGGAAAAAGGGGGGTTGTTCTCTAGTGGGCAGGAGTGGGGGTCACAAGGTGCTCAGTGGGGGAGCTTTTTGAGCCAGGATGAGCCAGGAAAAGGAATTTCACAAGGTAATGTCATCAGTGAAGGCAAGGACCAGCCATTTTCACTTCTTTTGTGGTGGAATGTCATCAGTTAAGGCAGGAACTGGCCATCTGGATGTGTACGTGAAGGTAACAGGGGATATGATGGCTTAGCTTGGGCTCAGAGGACTGACAGTACATGCCTGGTGAAAGATTGCAATGAGCACAGCCTATTTTTATTATCACTGTCTTCTCTGTGAACATGAACCACCTGGATACAGCATGTCCTTCAGTTTCTTTCCCTGTCCACTGTTTTTCTGCTGCTCTGCATAGCAGTTACATGTATTCTCTACCTTTTCTACCTGAATTTCCTCTACCTTCTACCTCATTTCCACACAATACAAAAATAGCAGCTCTTCTTTAGCTGTTGGTTGGTGTCTATATTGTCTAGAAGAAATCAAGAAAACAGCACATGCTAAGCTGTGTCCTGTGGAGGCCCTAATGCAAGAGTGAATTTGCATGTTCAAAGTACAGTGAGAAGGTAGGTTTCTTGAGAGCAGTGAGCATTTCCCTCTTGTCCATGTGTCTTTAATGAGAGCTATCGTAGCTTAGGCCAGAAGGGGAGCCATCGCCCTGGACCAGCAGAGGAAACATTCCATGTGGGAGCTACTGTAGTATTGATCACTCCTCCAGAGTGGCTGCTTGCTCTCTGTTGCGCAAAGGGCTGTCCTGCATTCCCAGACCAGCTCAGGCCCCCTCTCCCTAGGGCATCTCAATAACCCACAAAGCAATTTTGTTCTGTTTTGTTTTTTTAATTTACACAAGTGGTCTTTCATTGCATAGACTGTACACAAAAGTCATGAAATTGTTCAGAGAATTACCACAATGCCTTGCAGAAAGTTCCAAAGGGAAGAAGAAATAAACAAAAGGCTGAAAGAAAAAAACAAGGCATTTCATTGGACTTTAATAAGCTGACTTTTCTTCATTTCCCATAAGGTCACATTCACAACTCTCTTTGCATTTGGATAGCTGCTAATGGCTGTGAGTTTATCACAGGAAAAGGATCACATTCTCTGCAGTTGTGCAAGCCAAGTCAGTGCAGTTGATGACAGTAAGGGAGAGGAATGGAAAGCCATCTGAAGCCTTGCCCCCTGATAGAGCTCAGAACCTGGTAAATCACATTAAATGGAAAGCAAAGAGGAAGTCCCCT
Source organism: Homo sapiens (assembly GCF_000001405.40). Classification (NCBI taxonomy): domain Eukaryota; kingdom Metazoa; phylum Chordata; class Mammalia; order Primates; family Hominidae; genus Homo; species Homo sapiens. The sequence goes on from NC_000002.12 coordinate 124,975,989, forward strand.
AATTCCAACGAGAAAATCTGCTTTTCCCATCTCCCTGAATCTCTACTATCTCCGCCTTTTTAGGAAGGTAATGATTAAAAAATATAGGATGATATTCAGGGAAACAAACCCCAGTGTAGTTCACGTAAAGTTTACCCCTGAGGGAGTCATACTTTTTCAGGTCTGAAAAAGCTGATGGAGTCCTAAGGGAGGGTTTATACTGTTGCGGTTGACAGTGGTACTTTGTTTTTGTTTTTATTTTCTATATGCTTTTTCCTGTTCAGAAGGTCATGCTTATATATGGCTTACAAAGTAATATTAGGAAAACCCTGCCAGCCAGCCACCCAGGGGCAGAATTCACTCTTGGAAGAGGACTGGGGTGTCTCATGGAAAGTGACAATTATTTTTTGAGCACTCACGATAAAAAATAATACTATGCTTCTTGAAGTATAAAAAAATATTATGCTTCTTGAAGGAGTGTTCACTTTTACTCTAATGTTGTGGCCTGCTAGGGTCTGAGGCAATACAGGGATATAAAAGAGTGAAGCTAACATCTCAATAGGTTTATTCCAAAGAAGAGCTCTTCCAAGACAATGCTGATTTCAGTCAATGCCAGGGAGGGGGATCACAAATAATTGTTCAATGAGCATACTCATCATCTTTGCCATGAAAATATCACATATTTAACATTTTAGTTGTACACAATCAATTAAATATTTTCCAGTTGCATTCCATAAATTCTCTTTCATTCGTGCTTGAGCTCTTCTCTCACTGCCCTAGTTTAGGGCTCAGACTGCATAGACAACCAGGACTCTGTTTCTGCCTTCAAAGACTCATGATCTCAATGAACAAGCAGGACAAGCCCAGAGGTTATATGGGACTTCTTATATGTGGCTTCTTCTTGATGGTCACTGAGCTGCACGTGGAGCAGGAGTCAAAGCAACCATGACCTCTGCTGCATGTGTCTATGTTGAGTCTCACATTGTTACAAACTCCAAAGGATGCTTAGAGGGATGGGAAGGAGAAGCTTCCAATACTGATGAGATCCTAGAAAATGTGAATGGGATGGAAGAGGCAAGGCTGGAAGGCAAAAGAACATGTCCAGTGGAATTTCAGAACTGGGCTTGCAGTGGCTGAGGAGGAGAGAGGAGTGCTGACTGGATACCTAAACAGACACTGCTACACGGTAGAATCACTGGCAACTTCAACCACTCCTGGGGCTCCAGCTGCACCCAACCAATTAAACCAGAATGTCCTGGGCCATCCTCAACATTCTCATGTGATTCCAGTGTGCAGCCACAACAAGCACCTGGGAACCAGAAGGCTGTAAGTGGCTGACGAGCCCCACACCGTGTGCTGCTCAGCTCCTGGGTGCCTTGTTTTTGCCTTTTTTGCCTCAAGACCCAGAGATTTGGCCAGATTTCCCGTCCTCCACAAAATGCCTCTACCTATTTTAACTTAGGGATTCCTTTTTCCTTCTAACCCTGAATTGTTTCTTTGCTTTCTTTAAATACAAGGAACTTTTATTGACTCTTTTAATTATACAGACTTAGACTACAAGCAGTACTTCATGATGGCAACTGAACAAGTGTGAAGAATGCTTCAAAGCATTAGAGTCCAGGAACCCAGTTCCAGGTGCTAGACGAAATGTTTTCCATGCTGATTTCACTGAATCCCCACAACTATCCTGTGGAGTAGACAACTACTCATTCCTTCCTACAGATGAAGCAAAAGAAGCTTAGAAAAGCTGAGTATGTCAGCAAAGATCATTTAGCAAGTTTGTGATAAAGATTGGGCATGAGCCCGTCTGTGTGATTAAGGCCCCTGAGCTGAAACACAGCATGGCATGGTCATTGGTCATATAGTAATGTAAGATGGGAACCGGGAGCCTTCGTCAGCTGTTGCTGGGCACTGTTTTCCTTTTGATGTTGAAGCTCAGTCCTCTAACCAATATAAATTTCTATCACCAATCCTAGGAAGGCCATGTGGCCCTTTGCCACCATGGTCAGGTACCAGATGCCTCTGACTCTGAATCCAGGCAGAGCAGGGCTAGTATAAGCGAGTGTGGGTTGGAGGTCAAAGTCCTCCATTTTTAAACGGTGTGACCTTGAGTGGGCTACTTCTTTACCTCTCTGAGCTTCAGTGTGCTCCCTATACATGGAGAAAATGTTTTAAACTTTCATTAATGAAAACCAAGAAAATAAAAACATAGAAAACACCTATTAAAATGCAAATGCATAACATATTTCTAACAAATGATGGCAGGTGGGAGAAGAGGATGCTTTGCATTTCTGAGGTTCCCCCGCTCCCACCCAGGACACTTCAGACTCAGACCGCTGTGTCCTGCCCAGGCTGCTGCTGTGTGGCATTCCTCCCACGGGACCAGAATAGACACATTCATAAGCCTCAGCACCGGCCCTAGGAGAGGACCAGTCCCCATAGCCCTTGCTCCCCTCTGGGAGCCCAGCCCTGTTCTGTTTTGTTTTTCACGTTGGCCATTGTGGCTTTCCTTCACCCTGCATCTCTCCATCCAGGCCACCTTTGCTGCTGCCTAACCTGCCCTTAAAAGCAGGTGACCAAGTATGTAAGAATGTACACTTACCCAGAATTGAACAGAGAGGGTGGGGTCAGGGTGTTTCCCTGTGTAGTACCCTTTCACTGTACCATGTAGAAGATGCAACAGATGCAGCTGCTGAAGAATGACCGGGAGCTGTGTTATCATCACTTGGGATAAACATTAACAAGACTTCCTGTGATGGTGCTTCTGGAGCTGGGCTGTGGCCATGCTGGCAGCATGCCACTAGAAGATACAACCCAACGTTCACACTAGAAGATGCCTTTCTTCCAAGCGGAAGTTTAAGGACCTGTCTCCTACCCACTTATCACTAGAAAAATACCAAGTCAATCTTTCTCTGATATCTCAAGTCATTATCAGACTATCTTGGGAAGCACATGTGTTAGAAGTTATGTGTGTTAATGTAATCACATCACTTCTACAGATTGGGAACTACATATGGCTATTCCCTGCCCACAGCCTTCCTCAAGAAAACGAGTGCATGACAGCATTTGCATTCTCCTTTGGGTTTTCCCTCAGTCTAGCTTCCGGACTTTGGAGTTTGTGTGTCATCATTGTAGAACACAGGCATACTCCCTTCCTGCACTCTATACCCCCATACCTCCAGATTAGAGAGAAGGTAGCTGGCAGGGTCATAATGGGCTGTGAACAAATGATAGAGGAGGGAAAGCAATTTGGCAGAGGATTCTGGGGACCAGGCACAAATGGAAAAAAGACTGCACAATACAAAGTCATCAGTGGAAAGAAATGAACGACCCAACCACTAGTGTCTCCCTGAAACTCTGTTAATAATGGAAGTTAATAACAGGCTTCTGCAAATCTTTTTTTCTTGCTGGTTAAGGATGTATATCTTTTATGAATTTCATGTTTTAATTAATGATTTTATGTTCTATATATTACCTTGGCTTATAAATTCAAATGGGCTCCTAGAGGTTATTCAGGTAGAAAATGCCTTCCATAAATGTAAGATTGTTATTAATCGATAATTAATATTTAATTTTAAAGTGAATAATTAACCCCCTTCTAATTCCACCTTTTTGTGGTCTTTCTAGAACTCTTTCTTTCATGTACAACCCACAGTGCTTCACTTTTAAAACTGAGGCTTTCTTTTCCTTTGAAATGTCGAGAGTTATGTCATGTTTGCATTCAGTCTTTTTCTCAGTAAAGGCTCTTGTTAGCAATTAAAACATACAGACTGGGGCTGGTATGAGAAAAAGTGAAAATTATTGAAAGGATGTCAGGGAGTGAAGGAATAGTGAAGCATGGAAGATGTAGGTTGTAAATGGAAAGGAGCCAAGAGCAGACACAGGACAGATCACCACCATACCATGTCCCTTATCACCAGATGCAGGTCACCACAGAAGGTACAACCAAGGCTCTGCACTTGGCATGAGGCAGCTGCGAACCTTGGGGACCAGATGCGCCGCCACCTCTTTAGCCACTGGAGAGAATCCTCAACTATAATTGTTCTGATATATCATGAGCTCCTGGCCTGATGCACATATCTGTCTCACCGAGCCTCAGTCACCTGGCCATGTCCTGAGGAAAGGGAGGCTGAAAGAAATGTTTGTGGACCATTCAGACCATCAGGATTGCATCCCAGATTGACAACAATTTCATCTGTTGATAACCCAAAAATTTAGAAATCCCAGGACAGTTCCTTCCCGTGGCATCTTCACCAAGTTGTAGAATAGCACAGCCTTATTGCCTATACTGCAGTATCTTTGAAATCAGCTCCACTTCAGGTTGGAAAGGACAAATTCTTTCTGCCTATGAGGAATTTCTATTCTCTTCTTCTGCTTTGGCAACACTAGGTGTGTAATAATCTCCCAGAGTTTGCCTTACTTTGCATGTGGTGAAGAGTCTGGGCTTTAAAGACCAACTACCTGGCTTCAGAACTGCTTGTCCCTCGTCAGCTGTGTTAGCCTCAACCACTTTGTGCCCCACATTCCTCTTCTGAAAATGAAGCTAAAGACTGTACCTACCTCAAATAACATTTGTGAGAATTAAATGCATTAATACCATGCTACTCAGAGGGTGATCTGTGGATAGGACCAGCTACATAGTTGGCAGGGCCTAGTGCAAAAAGGGAAATGAAGGGATCCTTGCTCAGAGATCATCAGGAATTTCAAAATGATGACAGCTGAGCAGGTAACCAAGCCTAGGTCCCGTAGGAGCATGGCGTCCTGGGCAGCCTCACAGGTCACGTGTCCATGAGCTCCTCTGCCTTTGGAGCATTGTTGGTTACTAGTCCAAAAACAGTGCAGACACTGAGAGAAAGCATTTGAATATCTTATAGTAATTTGACATTATCATGACATCTAAGTGTGCGATCAGTGGATGGGTCTAGTTGAATAGGTTTCAGATTGGTTTGGATGTTGTCAAACTGATGTATTAAGTTGCATGGGGCACCAGCTTTGCATTAGTCATGCAATTGGATTATTATCTAACTGCAACATATTAAAAGTAAGAAAAACATTGTTCTTTATGACTGATAGTGTGAGAAACACTAAGCTAATAAATATGATATGCTTACCCGACATGTAATTATATATTCAATAAACGTTAGCTGTTATCTGTGATTGTTTTTTACTGTAAGTAAAAAGCTAAGTTCTGTAAGTTTTATTGTTCTTCTCTGCGTGTGTGTGTCAGTGTGTGTGTTTGTGATTGCATGTGTGTCTGTTTGTGTTTCTTTTGTGTGTGTGCCTGTTTATGACTGTGTATGTGAGTCTCTGTGTGTGTTTGTGTATCTGTGTGTACCCATGTTTGTGTGTGCACACGTGTGTGTTTAGGCATAAGATCTGCTTTATCCGAATTTTTGTTTCTTTTTCAGCCTTTTTTTCTCTAATTCTAATAATTTATGAAGGGCCACTTCCTATTCAAAGCCTTCTTGTCCTTTCCCCATTTAACTGGGTTAGTTTCCCCCACATCTGTGTTCACATGGGGTAATTTGTAGTTTTGCTTTCATTATATTGTATAGTTAGGATGTACTCATCTTTTGAAGTCTCTCATCATGAAAGATTGTGATGTTATTGAGTGCAAAGATCACATTCTATTCACTTTTGAAGGTCTAACTTTTCACACTAGATTAGGCCTATGGTATTCCTAAATAATTGTTGGAGGAAAGGAAAAGAAGAAAAGAAACACAGAAGAAAATAATGAAATAGAAAGAATGTGTGGCACTAACAGAAGGACTTAGCCACTTGACCAAGAATTCAGTGCTTGTCATTGTGCCCCTGGAATTCCTCTGATCAGCCACAACTTCTCCATCTCTTTTTTCATTCTTAAGGACAGCACAAACCCCAGTGTTGTTGAGATTGTGCCTTCCCATGAGCCTCTCAGGGCTCCCGCCTTTCACTGTATTCATCTCCTCTTTCTGAAATGTCTATTTTCCTAAACACTCTCTTTTGTCTGCAGAAGGAACTTGAGTTTGGAGACAGCATATTCAAGTTGTTTTGAGCCTTGAAATAATTTTAGGGAATGTGTCTCATGTGAGTGTTCAAGTAAGAGAATTAATGCTGACTTATATCCATTGGTCACAGTCAGAGCACCTGGCCCAGACACTGCCCTAGCTATCTCTTGTTCTGGCTGAATTGGATCCGTAACCTTTCATCGTACTACATAGAGGATGCACCAAATTTAGCTGCTGAATGATGACCAGGAGCTGTGTTATCCTCACTCAGAACAAATATTCACAAGGCTCCCTGTGATGGGAGCCTCTGGAGCTGGGCCATGGCCATTCTGGAAGCATGTCACTGGAAGACACAGCTTAAGGTTCACACAAGAAGAGGCCTTTCTTCCGAGCAAGGGAAGTCACAGAAGTTTAAAGACCTGTCTCCATGGTCCCAGAGACAGTGGAAGAGTAAGGTAAGCATTCTGTCTTCCAATGCCCTGCAACACGCAGGCTTTCCATGAAACTGCATTAAGCAACCTCACAAATCCAATGGTGAAGAAATAATTTGTAAAATAATACAAGTGTTAGAAATAAGAACCAAATACATTAACTGACGGAAAATGAAAACAAATGTATTTTACTTCAGCAGAAAGTAACTTTGTGAAATTTGTAAATAAATAAATATAGCAATGATCATTTATCCACTTATTTGGCATATGCAATGTGTCAGTCTCTCTCTCTATATATATGTATACATACACAGATATATATGTATACACACACACACACACACACATATATATGGTTATTAATCCTTTACTTGAACTACTGTTAGAGAATATATATTTAATATATATTCAAAAATATATCTAGTAGTTCTAGTGGAGGATCAATAACATTATAACATTATATATATTATATATATAGTAGTTCAGATGGAGGATCAATAATATTAATTTAATATTGAGGAAATAAAATTCTGAGTAATTAAAGCATTTATAGATGGTATGTTCACAGTCAAAATTTAAATTCTTTTTTTTGTCTGACATCTAGCATGATCTCAGTAACTGTTTGCTGATTTGCCGACTGCTAATTTTTCTATAAAGGTAATGCATAGCTAGCATCCAGCCAAAGACAAAAGTAATACGATGGAAACCCAAACACTGTAGATCCTGCATTCAAAGGGACAGGATAGATTTGCAACAGCAACAGAAGCTCTTTTTCATGTTGTGTTCATTTTGTTTTAACAGAATATTTGGGATTAGTTGATTAAAACAAAACAAAATAAACAACAAAAAACCTTCAAGCTACAACCCAAAATGTATAAAATGCAAGTAAAGTGAGGAGGTGATTATTCATGTTGCACAGTTGAGCATTAACAGAGAAAAGAGAATTACCCAACTTACTTTGGGTAAGTGGTAGGGTACATTTTACCTGGGTAAAAGATGGGATTGGGTTAAGGGATTATAGTGTCTCCTAAGACAGACAGGGTTAAAGGCCCCTCTTAATAAAAGGAAAGAATGCTTGACCAAACTTGCAAATGGGATACAGAATGAAATGAAAGAGATGAGAGAAGGCTGCTACCCTGCATGTTGTACTTATCAGGACAACCACTGCAGAATTAAGTAGTAATTTTTTCCTTTCAGATGCCATAGGAAGGGGACAGCCTTCCATCCACAGTCATGGTGTCAGCTGCTGATGGGAGGGGGCATGATGAGGAGGTCCTCTCAGGAACCTAGCCTCTGAGCCTGGCCTTTCTGTGACCCAGCTGGCAGGATTTGGACAAGTCTTTGCCATCTCTGGCTTGCACTTCTCTCATCTATAAAAAAGGGGGCTGTAGCTTCAATTCTCAGTGTTTTCTAGACTTGAAATCCTTTATAGAAGACTATTCTCTTTGTCCTAGTGTCAGAGGCTGCATTCCCAGTAAGTTAGGCATTCTTAGTCACAGGATGACTAAGGAGGTTGGCACAAGATACAGATCATAAAAATCTTGCTGATCAAACAGATTGTGGTAAAGAAGTCAGCCAAAACTGACCAAAACCAAGATGGTGATGAAAATGACCTCTGGTGGTGCTCACTGCTCATTATACACTAATTATAATGCATTTGCATGCTAAAAGACACGCCCACCAGCACCATGACAGTTTACAAATGCCTTAGCAATGTTAAGAAGTTATCCTATACAGCCTAAAACGGGGAGGAACGCTTAGTTCTGGGAATTGCCCACCCCTTACCCAAAAAACTCTGGAATAATCCACAACTTGTTTAGCATATAATCAAGAAATAACTATAAGTATACTTAGTTGAGCAGTCCATGCCACTGCCCTGCTGTGGAGTATTCTTTTGTTTCTTTACTTTTTTAATAAACTTGCTTTCACTTTAGTCTGTAGACTAGCCCTGAATTCTTTCTTGCCTGAGGTCCAAGAACCCTCTCCTGGGTCTGGATTGGCACCGCTTTCCAGTAACATCTTCCTGGCAACCATGAAGGGACTACACTGAGGAAACCTGACTCAAAGGAAATAGAATGCAGCACCAATTAGCCGACTTTGGGTAAGTGGCGAGGTACTTTTTACCCAGGTAAAGGGTGAGATTGGGTTAGAGGCCCAATTTAAGAGGATTACAGTCTCACCTAAAACACACAGAGTTAAAAGCACCTCTTTTTTTTTGAGACGGAGTCTCACTCTGTCACCCAGGCTGGGGTGCAATGGCGCAATCTTGGCTCACTGCAACCTCCTCCTCCCGGGTTCATGCAACAAGTGATTCTCCTGCCTCAGCCTCTCGAGTAGCTGGGACTACAGGCATGTGCCACCACACCTGGCTAATTTTTGTATTTTTCATAGAGATGGGGTTTCACCATGTTGGCCAGGCTGGTCTCGACCTCCTGACTTTGTGATCTGTCCGCCTCAGCCTCCCAAAGTGTGGGGATTATAGGCGTGAGCCACCGCACCTGGCCAAGACACCTCTTAATAAAAGGCAAGAACGCTTGACCAAACTTGGATTAAAGGCCCAACTTAAGAAGGTTAGTGTCCCTCCTAAGATTTAGAGGGTGAGAGCCCCCTCTTAGTAAAGTCTCTTTTGGTTAAAAATGGATTTTGCAATATGGGATGTTAACCACTATTCTCTTTGGATTAATCTGCCTTGCACTCTTTGCTGATGGCTGTGAGGGACAGGATTAGGCATGTACATAATCATGGGACATGGGGAGCTTTTTTCCTTTCTAAAGCGGGAGACTTGAGAGCTGATGGGACTGCTGGAAAAGTTCCCTTTGCAACTGACTAATGGCTGCCTGAACTTATGATTCAGTTTTGCTGCAATAGGTGGGTCTTTCTCTTGCCTCCCTGAGCTCTTTGCCTTCCCCACCCTGCGGCAAGCAATGCTTTTCTGTCTCTTTCTCTCATTTCCCTTTTCTATCTTTTCTGTTCCTCAGGGCTAACAGCTTGCCCAGAGTCCACATGTTGAAACTCCTGGTCAGAGGTCATTCTAACCCACTTTGAATGGATTAAAGATGACACGGCCCATCCTGGGGCAAGTTTGGTACTTGCTAGTTTGGTATTGGCTGCTAAGTGAAGTGATTAATGTCTATGTTTTGTCAAATCACATGTATTTTTCTCTGCTCATAATGGAAAATGTTAATTTGGTTACCCTGTGCAACCTCTTGCATGGTGTCTTGCAAAACTAAGAGGCTTTTGCCTATGGCTTTATAAAATGGAAAAAGGCAATTTTCCTTTGTAATGTGGCTTGGCCCCCAGAGGTATGTGCAGCAAGCAGGGTCACTAGGGCTGCTCAGGACAAGGGAAACTAGAAACCTCACATGCTGGCCAAAGGGTAAGAATTTTTTACCAGTCAGGCTTCTGACCTCTCTCTCTCTGTGCAAACTGGTTGAAATGAATGGTTAAAAATCACTGTTTATTTTCTCTGTAAAGTTTTGGTTAATGGGAAAAAGGATTTGTGAGGCTACTCTTAAGCTGTAGAGAATCTGGTGTACTTTGTGCTAAAAGTGTGTCTCTCTGTATTGCTCTGTCATAAAGAGGAGTGTTTGTTTTAGTATAGAACATCGTCTTGGGACCCCATAAGCCCACTGTTCAAACCAGCCTGGCAAGCTGGTCAGTTGCAAAGTTTGCTGCAGGTCCCTGAAAAAAGAAAAAAAAAAAAGATGGATGAAGATTTCCTCTCATCTTGTTTTATGTCCTTGAGAGTTTGACCTTGTAACAATGTGGCAGTACTTTCTCTTGGTCTCTGACAGCCAGGGAAGAGGAATTTGGGGGTTCATGTCATAATTAGCTCTAAAAGTTATCTTGAGCCTTTGCAAGCTCAAACTTGGCTGCTTTAGACTTCTGGGAAGAGCAGCGGAAATTGCCCAGTGCTGTAGCTTAGTGGCTAAGGCTTTGTCTTTTCCTAAGGATGGCCTGGGTTCAGGGTTCAATTCCTAACTTAGGAAATGAGTCCTTTCCGGTTTGATATCCGCGTGACTTTTGCCCTGTATTGATTATCTTCATTTCCATGAACAACTTCTGACTTCCCTTCTTGAATTTTCCTTTCTCTGGGGACCTGGGAGGTTACCTTTGGTAAACAACAAAAGCCAGACATATTGGCTGTTTTCCCTGGCTAAAGTTAGGTAATAAAAGAATTTAAAAGATTATTTTTAGAAGTGCTATTGTGTCCGGAATTGGTGGGTTCTTGGTCTCACTGACTTCAAGAATGAAGCCGCGGACCCTCGCGGTGAGTGTTACAGGTCTTAAGGTGGCGCGTCTGGAGTTTGTTCCTTCTGATGTTCGGATGTGTTCAGAGTTTCTTCCTTCTGGTAGGTTCGTGGTCTCGCTGGCTCAGGAGTGAAGCTGCAGACCTTCGCGGTGAGTGTTACAGCTCTTAAGGCAGCACGTCTGGAGTTGTTCATTCCTCCCGGTGGGCTCGTGGTCTCGCTGGCTTCAGGAGTGAAGCTGCAGACCTTCGCCGTGAGTGTTACAGCTCATAAAAGCAGCGTGGACCCAAAGAGTGAGCAGTAGCAAGATTGATTGCAAAGAGCGAAAGAACAAAACTTCCACAGTGCGGAAGGGGACCCCAGCAGGTTGCCACTGCTGGCTGGGGCAGCCTGCTTTTCTTCTCTTATCTGGCCCCACCCACATCCTGCTGATTGGTAGAGCCGAGTGGCCTGTTTTGACAGGGCGCTGATTGGTGCGTTTACAATTGAGCTAGACACAAAGGTTCTCCACGTCCCCACCAGATTAGTTAGATAGAGAGTATCCACACACAGGTTCTCCAAGGCCCCACCAGAGCAGCTAGATACAGTGTCGATCGGTGCACTCACAAACCCTGAGCTAGACACAGGGTGCTGATTAGTGTTTTTATAAACCTTGAGCTAGACATAAAGATTCTCCACGTCGCCACCAGACTCAGGAGCCCAGCTGGCTTCACCCAGTGGATCCTGCACCGGGGATGCAGGTGGAGCTGCCTGCCAGTCCCGTGCCATGCGCTCCCACTCCTCGGCCCTTGGGTGGTCGATGGGACTGGGCGCCCTGGAGCAGAGGGCGGCGCTCGTCGGGGAGGCTTGGGCTGCACAGGAACCCACGGAGGCGGGGGAAGGCTCAGGCATGGCGGGCTGCAGTCCAGAGGCCTGCCCCGGGGGAAAGCAGCTAAGGCCCGGTGAGAAATCGAGCGCAGCGCCGGTGGGCTGGCACTGCTGGGGGACCCAGTACACCCTCCGCAGCCACTGGCTCGGGTGCTAAGTCCCTCATTGCCCGGGGCCGGCAGGGCCAGCTGGCTGCTCCGAGTGCTGGGGCCCGCCAAGCCCACGCCCACCCGGAACTCCAGCTGGCCCGCAAGCGCCACAGGCAGCCCTGGTTCCGGCTCGCGCCTCTCCCTCCACACCTCCCCGCAAGCTGAGGGAGGGGGCTCCCACAGTGCAGCGGTGGGCTGAAGCGCTCCTCAAGTGCCGCCAAAGTGGGAGCCCAGGCAGAGGAGGCGCCCAGAGCGAGCGAGGGCTGTGAGGACTGCCAGCAGGCTGTCACCTCTCACTATGGTTGTAAGTCAGCTTAATTAAAAAATAGATATCCAAACTATACATATATTTAAAAGGCCTTCATGTTATTTTTTCTCTTCTTGAATCTTATTTTTGTGAAGAAAAATTTTTTTTTATTTTTCTTCTCAGTTGACTGAATTGTTTTTCTCCATTTTGTCTGCTACTCTTGATGCACACATCAGATGATCTAAAAGAATTTCTAGCAGCCTGGGACTCCTGAGGAAAACAGAGGAGGCGACACCAACCCTGTTTTGGGAAAAAACAAAAAAACTCTGTTTTCCTCATGAAACCCCAGGAACTAAAAGTGGGTAAATCTCTCTCAAAATTTAAGGCTGTGTTCCATTTTGCATTACGTCATCTGACATTTTTGACTATTGAGGGCATATCAGAAATTACTTTGAATTATGAAAGGGCTTTGGTGTGTAATAACTAGATAGAAAATGTACTTTTAGGGATGTCTAATGGCAGTTGTGGGAGGATACTCTGCTCTTTGCCTGTTTGGATCAGAGAAGCCATGCCCTTGGCCTCCCAGAAAGTATGGAAATATGTCCACCCCCCTCTGAGAGATAAGATTCCTACGGGAGATGGGCTGATTTTCTTTGGGGGGAATCCAGGATCTGGTATAAAAATGCGATCCTGGCAGGTTGAGGAAGCTCACACCTGTAATCCCAGGACTTTGAGAGGCTAAGGCAGGCAGATCACAAGGTCAAGAGTTCAAGACCAGCCTGGCCAATGTGGTGAAACCCTGTCTCTACTAAAAATACAAAAAAAAAAAAAAAAAAAAAAATAGCTGAGCATGTTGGTGGGTGCCTGTAGTCCCAGCTACTCGGGAGGCTGAGGCATAAGAATCGCCTGAACCCGGGAGGTGGAAGTTGCAGTGAGCCAAGATTGTGCCACTGCACACCAGCCTGGGCGACAAAGCAGTGAGACTCCATCTCAAAAATACATACATACATAAAAGGGATCCTTAATTTGGGGGGATTTGTTTTGCCTTTCAGTTGTGCCTGCTTATTAAGTCATAGAAACTGCATGCTTTAAAGAGAAACTTGAAACTGGCAAATGAAAAATCATACAAGTACTAGATCCTCTTCTGACTATGATTTATAGGTGTTGTGTGTGTGATATGAAAGAGCTTTGATTAATTGGCTTAAAAATAGTGGGAACTTAAAGCAAATAATTTGTGGGAAAAATACAAACTGTAATGCCTTTTAGTTCACATGACTAGTAAGCTGTGGGACATAAAGACATTTTTAAAGATGATTGGTTGTGCTCACTTTGGTAGCACATATATTAAAATTAGAATGATACAGAGAAAATTAGCATGGCCCCTGTGAAAAGATGACATGCAAATTCATGAAGCATTCTATATTTTTTAGAAACATGCCTGTTCTCACTGGTAATTAGAGCGAAACAAACTTAAAATGAGGTTTTTCTCCTCATTAAACTGGCAAAAATCTAATAAATTGCTAATATTCATTGTTGGTTACGATGTGGAGAAATAAGCACTTTCAAATACTGCTGGTATAAAAGGCAATTTGACAATAACTACCAACTTTTAAAATATGAATACTATGAATACCTACAATTCCACTTCTAGGAACCTGTCTCAAAATCATCACATAATATATCCAGGAGAAATTTCTAACATTTCTGATAGTAGATATAG